>NC_000005.10:65734807-66359807 GCF_000001405.40 Homo sapiens
ATCTAACTATTCTAACACTGAGATTTATACATCTATACATTATTTTTATTCTCATAGGAATTCTTTTTAAGGTTTCGTAGCTTTCTCCTCTGCCAAGATACAAAATAGGGAACCACAAATTATTTATTTAAAAAAGAAATAGATGAATGATATTAGATTCCAACTACCAATTGGACAGCTCCTGAGGTCTCACAGTCAGCCACTTTTTTATCTTATAAGTGATATGGTTTGGCTGTGTCCCCACCCAAATTGAATCATGAGGCAGTTACCCCCATGCTGTTCTCATGATACTGAGTTCTCACAAGATCTGATGGTTTTATAAGGGGCTTTTTCCTCTTTGCTCAGCACTTCTCCTTCCTGCCACCACATGAATAAGGAGGTGTTTGCTTCCCCTTCTGCCATGATTCTAAGTTTCATGAGGTCGCCCCAGCCATGCTGAACTGTGAATCAATTAAACCTGTTTCATTTATAAGTTACCCAGTCTTGGGCATTTCTTCATAGCAGCATGAGAATGGACTAATACAATAAATACTTATTGAACACCTATTATGTTGTTGAATCTCAATATCACCTTTTCCTAAATTGACGGAATTCCCCTGGCTTGCTTTTTTGCCATTGTTCTTTGCCTCAGTGTCACCATTTACGCAAGTCCAAAGCCTAGGAGCCATTCCTTGCTTTTTTCTCTATTTCCTTTACCTTTTCCACCAACACCAAGTCCTGGATAGTCTTCACATTCTTTCTCCTTTCTTTGTTCCCAGTATCACCATCATAATCCAAATCTTCCTCATCATGAGTCCCAGCATCAATTTTTGCTTACCACTAATATATTTTCCTTATGAAAATAGAGATCTTTAGGAACTACAAATGTGACATGTCATACTTCAGTTTGCAATTTTTCTTTACTTGTCATTAAACAATCAAAACTCTCTTGTGGTTTAGAAATCCCTATACAGTCTGACCCCTGTGTAGCTCTCCCAGCTTCTCCTCTCACTCAGTGAACTCAATGCTTCAGCCAGAGAGTTTATGTCCTTATCTCCTGGCCTTAAATTAACATAAGCTGATCTCTTATTTGGAACATTCTTTTCTTTCTCTCCCATTTCCAGAGCCTAATACTTATTCATTTATCTTAAGAGTTATGAAATATTATACACAAAAAATGTAATGCATATACGTATATACATGTGACTAAAAGGATGAAAAATGTGTCAATATATAAAATGATATTTCTAGTATGAAAAATATATCTATATGTAAAATGATATTTCTAGTACCGTTGAAGTTCCTTGAGTGCCCCCTTCAACCATGTCCCTTTCCTCATACCAGAGATAACCACAGTCTTGAATTTTGTAATTGCTGTCCTCTTGCTTTTCTTTATAAACATTACAACAAATGTATATTTCCCTAAACAACATATGATTTAGTTTTGCATAATGAAACTAGTTTCACATGGATATGGTTCATTTTTACTGTTGTAAGATATTTCATTGTGTGACTATTCCAAAAATTTACTTTTTATTTTGTCAATGAATATTTGGGCTTCCATTTTCTTGATATTACAAGCAATATTGCTATGAATATTCTTATAATGTCTCCTGATACATATGTGTAAGAGTATGAATTTAAGAGAACAATTACTAGGTTGTAGGATGTACATTCTCAACTTTACCAAATAATGCCCAATTCTTTTTCCAAAGTGGTTATACTAATTTACTTCCTTCTCTCCATATAGTATTCATGAGTAGCCATTGATCCACTGTCCTTAGCAGCTCTTGTTGTTGTCAAGCCTTTTGCCAATCCAATGGTTGTAATGGTATTACTTGGCTTTTATATATATTTGCTGTGTTACTAATGAGTTTGAACATGTTTTCGTGTTTCTTTGCCATTTGTATTTTGTGCCTGTTTATGTCTTTTGCCCATTTTCCTGAGTTATCTTTTTCATATTGAATTTACACTCTACAGTATTTATACATTTTAGATATTGTTCACTTGTTTTCCAGTATTCAAAAAACATGACTAGTCATGGTGGCTCACGCCTGTAATCTCAACACTTTGGGAGGCTGAGGCAAGAGCATTACTTAAGCCCGGAAGTTTGACACCTGCCTGGGCTATATAGGAACACCCTGTATCTACAAAACATTAAAAAAAAAATTAGCTGGGCATAGTGGCATTCATCTATGGTCCCAGCTACTCGGAAGGCTAAGGTGGGAGGATTGCTTGATCCTGGGAGGTCGAAGCTGCAGCGAGCCATGATCATGCTGCTGCACTCCAGCCTATGCGACAAAGGGAGACTCTGTCCAGCCTATGCGACAGAGGGAGACTGTCTCCAAAAAAATATGTATATTTAATCTGTGTTTAATCTGTACAAGCCACTGAGCTAAACTCTAAGAATACAGCTGTGGATAAGACAGAAACTGCTCCTGCCCTCATGGGTTTATCCCCTCACTTAAAGGGGGTCAAAAAGTAAACTAATAAATCTCTAAACTAATAAATCTCTAAATGGTAACATCATCTTAGCTTTGTACTTTCTGAGGGTGAAGTTACCAGACCCCTACTAAATTCTTTCCCCCTGAATCCTGTATTAATACTTCCATAGTACAAACATTATTATTAATAATGTTTTTCTTCACCACTAGTTGACAAGTTTTCTGAAATCAGCAGCCTATTTTTTTGTTTTTCATTTCTGTACCTCCACTACTTAACATGGTCATTACATAAGGGATGCAAAATAAATATATTCATTGAATGGATGAATGAAAATATGTCATTACTAATAATAACTGAAAATTCAGTGTTCACTATTGATATCTAGGGAGTATAGGTCTAGATCTGGCATTTTGATACTGACAATTACAGGTATAACTTTCAGTAGAAAGTAGATATTTCAAGCCCTATATAAAGTAGCTGGGTGCAGATTTCTTAATACAAAAACCCGGTTGCCTATGTCTACATGTTAGGTAAGCCAATTTAGATTTAGTCATTTTATACCAAAGTTATTTACAGAAAAAAAGTAGACCTAGTTGTATTATCAAAAAATTAGAGTTGACTGGGCACAGTGGTTCACTCTTGTAATCCCGGCACTTTGGGAGGCTGGGGTGGGTGGACCACTTTAGCTCAGGAGCCCAAGACCAGCTCGGGCAACATGGCAAAGCCGTATCTCTACAAAAATTACAAAAATTAGGGCGTGGTAGCATGTGCCTGTAGTCCCAGCTACTTGGGAAGCTGAGGTAGGAGGATCGCTTGCACCTCGGGAGGCGGAGGTTGCAGTGAGCCAAGATTGCACCATGGCACTCCAGCCTGGGTGACAGAGCTAGACCTTGTCTCACAAAAGAAAAAAAAAAAAAAGCCAAGGCAATACAACCTAGTAAGAGTGATAAGGCACATACTAATAAATAATTAGAATACAAGGCAGAAGGTGATAAGTACCACAGAGTGGAGAGATTGATATGGAAGATCAGGGAAAAGATATTACTTCCAGGATAAAAAGGAGGGGGAAAGGCCAGGTGTGGTGCCTCATGCCATAATCCCAGCACTCCTAGGAGGATGAGGCAGGAGGATTGCAGGAGCCCAGGAGTTCAAGACTAGCCTGAGTAATATAGTGAGACCTCGTTTCTACAAAAAATGTAAAAAGCCAGATGTAGTGGCACACTTCAGTGGTCTCAGGAGGCTGAGGTGAGAGGATAGCTTGAGCCCAGGAGGCAAAGGTTGCAGTGAGCCGTGATTGCGCCACTGCACTCTAGCCTGGGCGACAGAGCAAGATCCTGTTTCCAAAAAAATAAAATAAAACAAAGAAAAAAGAATACAATATATTGTTAACTATAATCATCATGTAGTACAATAGATCTTTTGAACTTATTCTTCCTATCTAAGTGAAATTTTGTATCCTTTGACCAGCATCTCTCCAACTCCCTCCTTTCACCAGCAGTCACCTCAGCTGCTAGTAACTACCTTTCTACATTTTTTCTTTTTTAAGACAGAGACTTGCTCTGTTGCCCAGGCAGGAGTGCAGTGATGTGATCTCAGCTCACTGCAACCTCTGCCTCCCAAGTTCAAGTGATTCTCCTGCCCCAGCCTCCTGAGTAGCTGGGATCACAGGTGCGTGCCACCTATGATATATATGTGTGTATATATATTTTTTATATATGTTTATATATATGTATATATAAATATATATATTATATATTTATATATATTTTATAATATATATTTATATATATAAATATATAATATATATATAAAAAATATATATAAATTAGCCTGGCTAAATTTTGTATTTTTAGTAGAGATGGGGTTTCACCATGTTCGCCAGGCTGGTTTCGAACTTCTGACCTCAGATGATCTGACCACCTATGCCTCCCAAAGTGCTGGGATTACAGACATGAGCCACCATGCCTGGCCAATTCTACTTTCTATAGTACTTCTATGAGATCAACTTTTTTACATTCCACATATGAGTGAGATCATGCAGTATGTGTCTTTCTGTTGCTGGCTTATTTCAGTTAACACTTTCCACCAGGTTCATCCATGTTGTCACAAATGACAGAATTTCCTTTTTTATGGCTGAATAATATTTCATTGTGTATGTATACCACATTTTCTATATCCATTTGTCAGCTGATGGACACAAGTTGATTCTATGTCTTGTCTATTGTGAATAATATATAGCAAACATGAGAGTGTGGATATCTCTTCCATATTGATTTCATTTTTTAAAGATATATTCCCAGTAGTGGGATTGTTGGATTGTATAGTAGTTCTATGTTTAATATTTTGAGAAACCTCCATACTGTTTTCCATAATGGCTGTATGAATTCATATTCCTACTAACAGTGTGTGCGGGTTCCCTTTTCTCCACCAAAGACTTGCTATCTTTGGTCTTTTCCATAATAGCTATTTTAACAGGTGTGAGATGATGTTTCATTGTGGTTTTAATTTGCATTTCCCTAATGTTGATGTTGAGCATTTTTTTCATATACCTGTTTGCCATTTATATGTTGCTTTTGAGAAATGTCTGTTTGAGTCCTTTGCCCATTTTTTATTGGGGTTGTTTTCTTGCTATTGAATTTATTGAGTTACTTGTATATTTTGGATATTAATCCCTTATGAGATGTATATTTTGCAAATATTTCCTCCCATTCTATAGGTTGTCTCTTCATTCTGTTTATTGTTTCCTTTGCTGTGCTTATTAGTTTGATGTAATCCCATTTGTCCACTTTTGCTTTTGTTGACTCTGCTTGTGGGGTCATATCCAAAAAATCATTGCCCACACTAGTGTTATGGAGCTTTTCCCATATATTTTCTGTCTTAGTTCATTTTCTGTTGCCATAATTGAATGCCTGAGGCTAGGTAATTTATAAAGAAAAGAAATTTATTATTTACGGTTCTGGAAGCTGGGAAGTGCAAGGTCGAGGGTCTTCTGCATCTGGTGAGGGCCTTCTCAGTGTGTCATAACATGGTGGAGGACATAACGCGGTGAGTGAGGCACACTGAGAACAAAACTGGCTCCTATGACAGATCTACTCTTCTGATAACTAACCCACTCCTGTTCTTCCCCATTAATTCACCCACTAATTCATGAATGGATTAATCCACTTATGAAGGCAAAGCCCTCATGACCCAATCATCTCTTAACAGCTTCACCTCTTAATACTGTTAAACTGAGGATTCAGTTTCAAAATGAGTTTCAAAGGGAACAAGCATTCAAACCATAACCATTTTCTGCTAGTAGTTTCACAGTTTAGGATCTTACATTTATGTCTTTAATCCATTTTCAGTTGATTTTTGTATATGGGATGAGATGAGGGTCTAATTTCATTCGACTGCATGTGAATCTCCAGTTTTCCCAACACCGTTCCCTGAAGAGACTGTCTTTTCGTGTGTTCCTGGCATCTTCGTCCAAAATCGGTTGGCCATAAATGTGTGGATTTATTTCTGGGCTTTCTAGGCTGTTCCATCAGCTATGTGTCTGTTTTATGCCAGTACCATGCTGTTTGGTTACTATAGCTTTGTTATATATATATATTTTATATATACGTATATTATATATATATAATATATACGTAATTCTTTTTTTTTTTTTTTTTTCTTGAGATGGAGTCTCGCTCTGTTGCCTAGGCTGGTGTGCAGTGGCGTGATCTTGGCTCACTGCAGCCTCTGCCTCCCTGGTTCAAGCGATTCTCCTGCTTCAGCCACCTGAGTAAGTAACTGGGATTACAGGTGTACACCAGCACACCCAGCTAATTTTGTATTTTTAGTACAGGGTTTCACCAGTTGGCCAGGTTGGTCTCAAACTCCTGACCTCAAGTGATCAGCCTGCCTTGGCCTTCCAAAGTGCTGGGATTACAGGTGTGAGCCACCATGCCTGGCCTTTGTAATAAGTTTTGAAGTGAGGTAGTATGATACCTCCAGCTTTATTCTTTTTACTCAAAATTGCTTTGGTTATTTGGAACCTTTTGTGGTTTCATACAAGTTTTGAGATTGTTTTTCTATTTCTGTGAAGAATGTCATTGGTATTTTGATAGGGATTGCATTCAATCTGTAGATCACTTTGTGAAATTTTTTTTTCAAAAACATAATCATAATACCATTGTCACACGTAAAAATAATTAACACTTATTTTTGACTGAACCAGTCTTAACAAGAAGCATACTAGCTATTAGCCAGGCCTCAGATGAGAGGATCTAGGCATCATCATTCACACAACAAAATATTTATGTGTAAATGACACACACTAACAAGCCTAAGTATTAAATAATGTACTGAAAGAGGAGAGTCTCTCTCCTGAGTAATTTACTAAGGACTTCAATTGTGAAAAGTATGCCCCAAACACCAATTAAGTGTGCCAAAAGCAATTTATTCATGTTTCTAGAGAAAAATAAAAGGGGAATATCTGAGTTGTGGTTTTCCATGTATGTGGATAGTCGCATTAGTAATGAATCAAGGAACACTTTATTTCATTTGTGAAGCAGCACTTGATTTTATATGCTCTGTGGTCTCAGTTGGCTTTACATAAGCCAGGGATAGGATTTAAGAAAAGAAATCTCTTCAAGTTCATGTATAATCAATTTATTTAGAACCTATAATCATTAAGTTAGCTGTGTCATATACAAAATTAGAAGAAAATTAACCAATTATCTTTTGTTACTTATTTTTTAGAACCTGAGATTTTTGTTCAACTTTGTAATGTGAACCTTTTCTGAAAGCTCTATTTGTCAGTGGCAGAAATATTACAAATATTTCTAGCATCATACAGTTTTTCATATGCCCTTAAGTAGTTTCTAACATTTTAACATTTTTATTCATATCTCTTAAAAAAGAAAATTTTGAAGAGTTCCTTTTCATTTATTTACAATGAAATTTGGAAACAAAAACTTATTACATTACAAAATCTAAAATAAAGTTACCTTTTTTAAAAAAATGGATCATAAACATTTTGTAAAAAGAGTTGAAAATAATCATTGTTCTTAAGTCTTACTGCTAGAGGAAGTTGTACACATTAAGGATGTATGTGGCACTGTTTCCAAAATAAATGTATATTTATGCTACATAAGACCAAGATTAGACCATTGAAGTTGTAATGATCATTCTAGTTCTCAAATTCAAATGCAATTTTTTTCAATACAAAAAAGAGACTGTACAATGAAGGAAAACTCATAATGCTTTTGACTTTACCAGATGCTAGAGGCTACTCAAAATAAAGGCCAGAATGTCTCCATATTTAGCGTAGTTCTTCTCTATACTCAACATACTTGTAGCTGAGTTCATGGTGTACATTTTTCGTGAATGGTTGTTTATAGGATGTTTATATATTATCTTGGCAAGATAACTTTGAAAGCCCACTGTTTTCCTAGCATTTTTCTATGGTTGCTAAACAATTTCTGCCCAATCTAAAAAATTACTTTCCTATACCAGCAGGTGGAGGCAAGAGCAGTCGAATTGTAGCACTTTGCTTTTCAAGTGTACTGGCATGTATTGTAGATTATCTATCCATGACTCAAAGTCTCTTTATGACGTGTCTCTCACATAATTACTTTTCTTCAACAACTCTGTTGTTGTTTTAGCATCTTCTTTTGATTGCTTTATTATTTGCTTTATTTACTTGGTGTCTGGGACTGAACTTAGTGGTCATTTTAGGACAGACTAATTTAGATTTTCATCACTTTCCTATACTCATTGATTGAACAGTTAAAACATATATGTTATATGCTGAACACATTCTTCCACATTTGCCAAGAAATACAAAAATGACTAAGACATGGACCACATTCCCAAAGAGCTTACATTCTAGTAGAATTACAAGGAAAAATGTCTTCAATTCCTCTCCTGACTTGGGGAAGCAGATCAGTCAGCCTTGCTGGTATAGCTATGGCTAGCATTGGGTAGTAATAAAGCTCAGTATTCACGTGGATTTTAATTCCATCAACAAATATTTACTAAGCACCAGGGACTACATTGGGGATTAATTTATAAACATAGGCTTTTTGTCTTACAGATAAAAAAGGCCAAAACAATCTTCAAAAGAAGTATCATTTATTTTTAAACTTCTTAATACAGATTATATAGAACAAATAGTTAACCGACATATAGATCCTGATGCATTGCATTTAAGGAACTTTCAGTTAGAAGTAACTGTGTGTAACATTTTCTAGAATATACTTAGAAAACTTTCCACAAATCCTGGTTGAAATAAAATAAAAGTATGTTACTCTACATCAATTCCATTAGCTGTTTATTTGTAGCCAATAATGATAAAAAATATATACAAACAGTATGAAAGAGGAGAACTGAGTTCTAAGGTTATGTCTGTATGTGCAGAATGAGAGATGGAGAAGAAACTCATAGTTATGGAAAACAGAAAAGAATGGCCCCAGAATTTCTTGCAAGACTTAGCAGCCACCAATATTCAGAACTGTCTTTAAGCCCCAACCTGTCCATCATCTTAATACATTGTGCATCAGAAATTTCCAACCCAATTAAACCATTTTTGTTTCCTTCATTGGTTTATTTATGAAAGTCACTAAAAAGACACAAATCTGGTCTAACCTATTTTAGCCTTACCTCTTATCCCTCCACATCCCATTAAACCCGTGTACCCACCTTACCTCATAGAGCTATCTTGAAAGACTCAGCCAGTTTAGAAGTTACATCCTCATTGAAGTCTTTCCTAGATTCCCCAAGGCAGAGTCACACACACTGTCCTCTTCATTCTCCATTGCCTTATTTATATAGAATTTGTTACCTGATATTCTGTTATTTCATTATTATTTTTAGAGACAGGGTCTTACTCTGTTACCCAGGCTGGAGTGCAGTGACACAATTGTGGCTCACTGTAGCCTGACCTCCTGGGATCAAGTGAGCGTCCCAAGTAGCTGGGACTATAGATGAGGTCTCACCACGTTGCCTAGGCTGGTCTTGAACTTCTGGGCTCAAGTGATCCTTTCTCTTTGGCTTCCCAAATTGCTGGGATTACAGGCGTGAGCCACCACACCCGGCCTGCTACCTGATACTCTAATGTCTCTTTCCGTATTTCTTCCTCACAAGTCTGTACTCTCCTGAAAGGTAATAACTTTGTCTTATTCATCTTTGTAACCTCAGTAAATATTTGCTGAAGGAATAACTGAATCAACTATTTCTTGAGAAGTCCTTTTATAATAAGCTTCTCTCTCCCCTTTTTTTTTTTTTTTTGCTGATGTCTGAATTATAGTCATAATTCCAGATGATAGATGATAGTAACAAGTCAATAAATCCTATCAATAGGGAATAAAGAACCAGCATTTATTGCATAGAGTGTTTTCTTAGGATACCTCAGCTGAGGCTGGGCACAGTGGCTCATGCCTGTAATCCCAGCACTTTGGGAGGCCGAGGCGGGTGGATCACCTGAGGTCAGGCGTTCAAGACCAGCCTGGCCAACATGGTGAAACCTTGTCTCGACTAAAAATACAAAAATTTGTATTCCAGCTACTCAAGGGGCCAAGGTGGGAGAATCACTTGAACCTGGGAGGTGGAGGTTACAGTGAGCCAAAATCATGCCATTGCACTCCAGTCTGGGTGAGAGAGCAAGACTTCGTTTCAAAAAAAAGAGAAAAGAAAAGAATGCCTCAGCTGAACCTTATCAATAAAAGATGTAGATTATTTGTTTGAGTACTTTAAGGAAGAATTTGCCATTTCCTGGGAGTACACTGTTTCCAAGTGATTTATTGATTACCTATGAACAGTTCATTAAAGGGCTCTGGAAAAAAATGAGACCTGGGTGCAGAGGGCAGCCATCCAGGTCTTCCATGTTTGAGTGGTTTTACTCTTTGAGAACAGGTGACTAAAAAGCTGCCCAAGTCTATGTGACCTGTTTTTCAGAGCTGGATGAAAGCTAAAGTGGGGCACTTCTCCACAGCCCCTGCAGCAATCTCTCAGGGAGTGGTATAGATAACAAGTCAGACATGTGATGTAAGCATGTATGCTTTAAGTCACCTTATTCTCTCCCCATTAAAAGCAAAGTACAAAATCAGAGAAGTGCAATTGGTGAGAAATTTGATGATTTCCTTTTCTGGGATGGGAGTTGCAGCATCAGTATAGGATAATAAAGAATAAGGGCCCTCAGATACTTTTCAGTTTATAAATAAAAATACAAAAGAATATGGGCTCTGGAGTCAGGCTTGGGTTTGAATCCCAGCTGCACAAATGCTATGTGACCTTGAGCAAGCTACTTCTCTGTAGCCAGTAAATTGGGTTGATAATATCTTCCTCTTGGCTTATTGGGAGGATTAAATAAGAACATGCATATAAACTCTTGGTGTAGTGTCTTGCAAAGGCCTGAGGAGAGCTTAACAGTTTGAGGGAGATGTGAAAGTAGTTCATTATGTCTGGAGCATAGATATGAGAGCAAAAGGATGGCACTGAGAAAGCCAGCATGGTAGTTAGGGCAGATTCAGAAGTAGTAGCTTGAACTTGATCCTGAAGTCACTGGGGAACCATGCCATTGAAAGGGAGTGTCATGATCAGATTTATGTTTTAGGATGATTACTCTGCAGGCAATCTGGAGAACAGATTAGAAAGCATCCAGAACCTCCCGGGTTTCTGATTTGGACAACTGAGTACATACTGGTGATCGTCCTTGAGATAAGAAATAAAGAAGGAGGACAGTTTTGGTTCTGGGGGCAAGGAAGATGAGCAATTTAATTTTAGACATACTGTATTAAGGTGACCATTGACATCCAAGTGGAGCTACCCAACAGGCAGTTGGTCATATGGGTCTAGAACTCAGGAGATTTGTGCTGGAGGTACAGATCTGGAAGTCTTTAGCTATAGGTGACATGTGTAGCCATACAAATGGAACAGGCATGGTGTGCAAGATGAAAAGAAAAGAGGCCATAGAACTGAATCCTGAAGAGCTCTAAGGAATCCTGAGAAGGGGCTAAAAACAAAAACAAAACCTAAAAAAAGACAACTGATGATAAAAATCATGAGGGAACAGCCAGAGACATCAAATGAAAAGAGGAATCATTATCACAAAAGCCCAAAGAGGGAAAAGTTCCCAAAAAAGAGGGAGTTAAAAACAGGAAAGAGTGGAAAACACTGTCATGTATCACAAAAAGTCAAGATGTAAATAGTGAAGAATGTCTGTTGCATTTAGTAGAAATCACTGGGGACCTTGGTGAGAGCAGTTTCCATTTTTTTATGAGACCAGGACCCAGATTGAAGTAGGGTGAAGAGTGTTTGGGACATAAGAACAAAAAGATAGTAGGGCTGGCTGGACCACTTTGAAAAGTCTTGAGGATGAAGGGAAAGGAAGAAATAGTGGTGTCTAGTGGGGGACCCAGGATCAAGGAAGTTTTTGTTTTTTTACTTAAGGTGGAGAAATGTAAATACTCCAGCACATGTGTGTATAAAGAGGCAGTACAAATGAGACATTTAACATTTTGCTGAGCCGGGCGCGGTGGCTCACGCCTGTAATCCCAGCACTTTGGGAGGCCGAGGCAGGCGGATCACAAGGTCAGGAGATCGAGACCATCCTGGCTAACACAGTGAAACCCCGTCTCTACTAAAAGTACAAAAAATTAGCCGGGCGTGGTGGTGGGCACCTGTAATCCCAGCTACTCGGGAGGCTGAGGCAGGAGAATGGCGTGAACCCAAGAGGCGGAGCTTGCAGTGAGCTGAGATCGTGCCACTGCACTCCAGCCTGGGTGACTGAGCGAGATTCTGTCTCAGAAAAAAAAAAAAAAAAAGATTTTGCTGAGAGAGATGATGTTTCATGGGTGATGTCTCTGGAAGAGATTGGATAGGACCCAAGCACAGAGCAAGAAATTGGCTTTAGGCAAGTCAGATTTGTCTTATACTAGTTAGGAGTAAAGAGAAATGGATGATACAGATGCAGCTATGTTCGTAGGAGGGAAGTGGAGGGAATTTCTGTGTGATGGCTTTAGTAATGTAGGCAGCAAGGTCAACTACTGACAGTGAGAGGAGAAATTCGGGGAGGCTGGTCACAGTTTGAAGTAATAGGTCATGGGAGGCAGATGTTTGTGGGTGGATTTTCCTGAAGGCTTGGGAGTCCAACTCAAATCAGAGGCCATGATATAATAGTATCAAAACCCATAGCTCTGTTCAGAGCCTGCTATGAGAATAGAGAAGGTAGCTGGTTAAAATGGTCCTGAGCAGAGGTTTTTAAGATTGATATAGCAGAAGGACTGGAAGTTGGGGTTTTGGTGAGAGATGGTTGACCTGATAGATGAAGTTCACTTCTAACAGTTGTGCAACCTGAGGTGAAACTACAATTGGAAGCCCACCCCTGGCCCCCTCCTGTACCATGAGGGGCCTCACATGTGTACGGATGCCCCCACCTATATGTCCAAACTCTGACCACACTCCCTGCTCTTAATGGCCACACCTCAGTGCAAGATATGTACAAACCAATGGTGCAGTTCACCCTCAGGAAAATGGACCCTAGGAAGGGGCCCACACAGATTCTGGGAGCCATTTGAGCAAGGGATTCTGGAGTCTTGTCACCCAAAGCACAGTTGCAGGATGTTAGTGGCAAGCTTTGCATGAGCACATCCCCTTACCTCATCTGAGCTGAGTGCAGACACAGGAGGGCCAGAGTGGAGCCTGCCAAAGTACAGCAGTCAGCCAGGCGCAGTGGCTCACACCTGTAATCCTAGCACTTTGGGAGGCCAAGACGGGTGGATCACCTGAGGTCAGGAGTTCAAGACCAGCCTGGTCAACATGGTGAAACCCCGTCTCTACTAAAAATACAAAAATTAGCTGGGCGTAGTGGCACACGCCTGTAATCCCAGCTACTTGGGAGGCTGAGGCAGGAGAATTGCTTGAATCTGGGAGGCAGAGGTTTCAGTGAGCCAAGATCGTGCCACTGCACTCCAGCCTGGGCAACAGAGCAAGAGTCTGTCTCAAAAACAAAAACAAAGTACAGCAGTCATCCAGGTCGAAGGGTTGAGCTGTGGGAGAAGTCTGTTAGAGTGAGAAAATAGAGGGATTAAAGGACTGGAGTTCTAAGGGAGATGGAAAACTAAGAATCATGGGAGTAGATAAATGGAAGCTGAAAACATAGAAGGTTGTGATTACAGTGGAATAGCTGACTTTATCATTTCTGAGGAGCATCTCCAAGTGGTGGTAAGAAGAATAAATACAAAGGTTCTTGGAGTGAAATAGGTTAAGGAAGTGATGTTGGCTGGGCACAGTGGCTCATGCCTGTAATCCCAGCACTTTGGGAGGCCAAGGTGGGAGAATTGTTGAGCCCAGGAATTTGAGACCAGCCTGGGCAACATAGGGAAACCCCATCTCTACAGGAATTAAATTAGCCAGGCATGATGGTGCATGCCTATAGTCCCAGCTATTAGGGAAATGGGAGGATCAAGTGCTTAAGCCCAGGAAGTTGAGGCTGCAATGAGTTATAATCACACCACTGTACTCCAGCCTGGGCAACAGAACGAGACCCTGTCCCAAAAAGAAAAGAGAGAAAAAAGAAACTGAAGTTAAGGGAGTGGTAAGCCTTGTCCACCCATCCTTAGAGTCTCCCTGGGATGATTATGGAACTTTAGACAGGGACTGATATGGTTTGGCTGTGTCCCTACCCAAATCTCATCTTGAATTATAGCTCCCATAATCCTCATGTGTCATGGGAGGAACCCAATGGGAGGTCATTGAATCTGGGGGCAGATTTTTCCTGTGCTTTTCTCGTGATAGTGAATAAGTCTCACGAGATCTGATGGTTTCATAAAGGGCAGCTCCCTGCACATGCTCTCTTGCCTGCTGCCATGTAAGATGTGACTTTGCTCCTCCTTCTCCTTCTGCTATGATTGTGAGGCCTCCCAGCCATGTGGAACTGTGAGTCCGTTATACCTCTTTTTCCTTATAAATTATCCAGTCTTGGGTATTTCTTCATAGCAGTGTGAAAATAGACTAATACAGGGACTGTAGAGCTAATTCTTTGGTGAATATGAGAAAATGGCAAAGAGTTTAGTTGATGACAGCAACAAAGAGAGTTAGTAAGGGATGTAGCAGGAAGCCAGTAGCCTCAGAGGATTAGAATTGTAGTGCAGTAATGATTTGGACAGCCCTTTGAGGATCAAGGAGAGGTTTACCCTGTGTCAAGGCCTCCTAGTGTGAGGAGCCTGAGAGAATGTCAGTGCACTTCATGGGAGAGGCAGTGCATTCACCAGGAATCCAGGTTACAGTGAAGACAAAGTGGAAAAGCCAGTGCCCTGTGACAGGGTTGAGGATGTAGGGTAGGGGGTTGAGTGTCCAAGAAAGAGACTGGCATGATGGGAGAGCTTCACCAACTGGTGATGCTGAACTTTTGGAACAGTGGCAGAATGTATGCTGTGAAAGGACACAGAGCAGAGAGAAAACAGTAAGTTCACAAATATTTGCTGTGTTGAAGGTCTCGTACTAGAAACCTTTAGGTAAACTTTTGTGACTTCTATCTTAGTAAGCTCAGTCAGTGAATAAGATTAATTCTCACTTGTAAAATAATAAGGACATGAAATTTAAACAGTCTTGTGGAAAAACCATTTTTATATTCTAATCATATTATCAATACCCTTGGCCCTGCTCCCTATGGAAAGAACTGAAAGTCTTTTCTGCCACACTGTGCTCTTGAAAGTAGTGCTTACTCCTTATTTCTGCATGTTGTGAGGATTAGATGAGTGTTTTAACACTCCTGCACACATGAGCTACTCGGTAAATGAGTTCTCCCTTCCTCTGTTTCTCTGTCCTTTCTTCCTTCCAGAGAAGACACCTAGGAACCTAGTTTGCGAGTGGAAAGGAGAAAGGGTACCCAAGGAAGGGCACAGGCAGGGCTGCTTGGCATACATGTGCTGTCATGTGGAATCTCAGGAATGGGATCATCCAGTCAGTGCTGTCCGTTCGAACTTTCTGCAGTGGCGAAAACATTCTCTATCTGTGCTGTCTAGTGTGGTACCCACTTACTACAAGTGGCTATTGAATATTTGAAATGTGCCTGGTACAACTGAGAAACTGAATTTTTTATTTTATTTACTCATAATTCATTTAAATAACCACATGTACCTGCTGTGTTGGACTGCACAGGTCTAGTGGATAATGTGCTGCTTGGCTGAAGGCTTCAAGAAAGAAATGGACTGAGTACCTGAGGAAATAGATAAGTTGGCCTGGCACGATGGCCCATGCCTGTAATCTCAGCACTTTGGGAGGCCAAAGCGGGTGGATTGCTTGAGCCCAGGAATTGCTCATTATGGGCAACATAGCAAGACTCCATCTCTACTAAAAATTTTTAAATTAGCTGGGTGTGCTGGCACATGCCTGTAATCCCAGCTACTTGGGAGGCTGAAGCAGGAGGATTGCTTGAGTCCAGGAGGTCTAGTTTACAGTGAGCTATGACTGTACCACTGCACTCCAGCCTGGGCAACAGAGTGAGACTTTGTCTTTTTAAAAAGTAAAGAGAAAGAGAGAGAGAGAAAAATAAAGAAAAAAAGAGAAATAAGGAAAGAAGAAAGAAAAGAAGGAAGGAGAAAGAAAAAGAGAAACAGGTAAACCTCAGTGAGGTGTGTAGCTGGGATTTGGCATTGTAGAAATCAGAAATAAAGGAGTCCTATATGGTCTGATGAAAGGACCCTGGACTTGAGCTATGGCCTGAGAAGTTGTGAGGAGAGGGGTGATTTAGTCAAAACAATGGCTAGAAAGACAACTTTGTAAATGGTAGAAATCAGGATTAGAGTGTTTCTGATGTAATAGCCACACAAGAGAAATAATTAAACTTATACAGGAATTCCGGTCTTGTGGGGAGATTGATTTAATGCAGACCTCAAGAGCAGCTTGTAGAGAAACATTAATTGCAAAGCAAATACTAGGAATATTTGCCAAGTGTTTCAAAGAATTGGGACAAATTTCTGGAAATATCCTGCAAACCATGTAGTACAACACAGTGACATGGTGACAGGGAAAGGGATGGAAAAAATGTAAATTGGTAGGAGGTAGAAGTTGTAAAATTTTACATAATATAGTTTCACTATAGCCCTGGCTCTAATAAAACGTGTTTCCCTGTATGAATGTTTACTTGTGATGATGAGGGAAGATGGTGTTGCTTTAATGTTTTTGTCATATTTGTCCCATCTTGTTTCAAGTATATAATGAACATCTGTCTGCTCATCAGTGTGCAGTGCATTGGGGTGGGGGTTTGTGATGAAAGAAATGTACAGTGGCCATTGTGCTTGAGAAGTCCTAGTTTCATTTAGAATATAAAACAAACTAATTGAATAGGTGATGACAGTAATTTAAATGTCTAAAATGAATGGCACAGATGAAAGGTGAACTGGAATGGTGAAAGCCTTGATGAGAGGAAGTAGAGGACTTTAAACTATGCTTCAAAAGAAAATGAACCCCATAAATCAACATTTCTGAAAGTACATTCCATAAAATATTTTACAAAAGTCTCAAGGCAATAATTAACTCAGAATAACTATGGCATACTTATTTGTCCAAATGAAATTCTGTAACCTGATGATTTCTGTCAAAATTTATCCAGCTTTCTTCCTTTGCCTAAACACTATTATTATGATGATGATGATATTATTTTGGACACAGGAGATTACAATGCTAGCAAATGCACCTTCCTGTCAATTCCCGTATGGTATTCTGTATTATTTCTTGGTTAGAAATTTCACAGTGTTGGCCTGGTGCAGTGGCGTATGCTTGTCATCCCAACACTTTGGGAAGCTGAAGTGGAAGGATCACTTGAGCTTAGGAGTTCAAGACCATCCTGGGCAACATGGGAAAACCACATCTCTACAAAAAGTACAAAAAATTAGCCAGGTGTCATGCACACCTATAGTCCCAGCTACTTGGAAGGTTCAGGTAAGAGGATCACCTGAGCTGGAAGGTTGAGGCTACAGTGAGCCATGATCACGCCACCTGGACTGTAGCCTGGCTGAGAGAGTGAGACCCTGTTTCAAAAAAAAAAAAATTCACAAAGGTCATGTTTTGAAAAGTGCTTTGAAAACAGAGGAGACGATGAAGAAGGTATGATTGAGACAGAAATAATAAAGAGCCTGGAATTTTGTAGTAGGAAAAAGAAATCTAGTGTTTAATTAGACAACTGGAATCTCAGATTTGATCTACTTTTTCATTTTCAAATTATTAGACGTAATAACTGCTGTAGGAAAAGACAGGCTCATGCCGTTTGTCTGCTTTTGACTTATGTAGCTCTCACTTGCAAAAAGTCAGAGAAAAATCTTCACCAGGTTCTCAAGAATACAAGTGCAGCTGCTGGAATGACTACAGGTGCACTGGTTTTCCCACCCAGGTGCAGTTCTTTCCAGGGCTGCAGAGGCACGGAAGGGGAAGACGAGATCAATGTACCAGCATCCAAAGCATTGGGTGAGCTTGAAAATGTAACAAAGGGGAAGAGGAGGGATGCTCCGCAAAATGAAGATGGGAGAGGAAAAGCAGAGATAATGCAGAAAGAAAGTACTCAGTAGATCAAAATGTTTTAGTTAGAAGTATAAGGCATTCCGCTGTCACCATTCCTTTTCTTTGGTAACAAGAACTGTGAATCCTGAAAAGAATTAAGGTAAAATCTCAGAAGGTGAGAAAAAAAGTATTAAGATAAAAATTTTAATGTATTTAGTTGACCCATGACATCATGATTTCTAGCTTTTGTTTCTGTCTTTTTAGCCCTTCCAGGTTCAGGGAATAGTATTACATTAAGGGAGAAATAGCTTTTCACTAGTTGCCTTGGAAACTATAAAACATATATGTGTCCGGCCGAGGTGGAGGTATTGACATCCTTATCAGTTTAACTTTCCCACTACAAATAAATGACAAGTGTCTGAGGTGATAGTTATGCTAATTAACCTGGTTTGATAATTACACAATGTATACATGTATTGAAACATCGCACTGTATCCTATAAAGATGTGCAATTATTGTGTCAATTAAAAACAAAATAAGACTTAACAAACAATCAGATATGCTGTGACCACTCAGCCTTCCAGTAAATGTTAGGAAATAGATGAAAACCAACGAAGGTCATCTTATCAGTGAAATGCTTGAAGTAATTTTCTTTTAAAGCTGAATAATAGGCTGGGCACGGTGGCTCATGCCTGTAATCTCAACACATTGGAAGGCCAAGGTGGGCGGATCACTTCCGGTTAGTAGTTTGAGACCAGCCTGGCCAACATGGTGAAACCCCATCTCTAATAAAAATACAGAAAACTAGTCAGGCATGGTGGCACAAGCTTGTAATCCCAGCTCCTCGGAAGGCTGAGGCACGAGAATCGCTTTAACCTGGGAGGCGGAGGTTGCAGTGAGCTGAGATTGTGCCACTATACTCCAACCTAGGGGATAGAGTGAGACTCTATCTCCAAAAAAAAAAAAAAACCTGAATATTAATGATACTAATGGAAATTTGTCTATAGTCATTGGTTTATACTAAGAGGAGTGGTGAAAAGAACAGGGTGTTAAGATGGATATGTCCTATGTTTTAGTCGTTGTTCTTCTCTTTCATATTCATGTAACTCAGTCATCTCAGGGCCAGCCTTTTTACCTATACTGGGACTTCCTTGAAGTACAGCCCGTCATGGCCATGACTGACTCTTTCTTAGTGGCCTCTGTTGGCAGAAATAATTATTTTGGAAATTTTCAGCCAACTGTATAAATCCTGAACTGAACATCTTTATTATTTTGCACCAACACCAAGTATGTGAGACCCTCTACTCATCTGCCATTTCTTGTACTCTGACCTCCATACTGTTGGTTTCTCCCTATACTTATTCCTTTATCAGTTTTCATTCCTTTATCAGTAGGATCCTATATGAGGCAAATAATATAAAACCCCATTCTAACTGATTTCATCATAGAGGGGACTTACTGACTCATAACTGGAATGGTCAGGCTTTACAATTAGTTGATCTATGGGCTCTATGGTGTCTTTAAATATTTGGTTTCCTTCCTTTATTCTGCCATTCAAAGTGTCTGTTTTATCGTAAATCAGATTCTGCTCATTCTCATAGGATGGCTGCCAGCTGCAATCAAGGACATAAGTGTACTCACACTTAGTGGGAATGAGACCCCCTTCTCTCACAGCATTCCAAGCAAGAGTACTGAGGGTAGGGACAGCTACCTTCAAAGAACGTGAACTATGTTGGGGGTGTATGAGTGTTGAGAGGAAGATGTGCATATAATTAGATAGGGGAAGAGGTTAATGGCTAGACAACCATGTATATCTAACCATCTACTGCACTGACTTCTCCATTGTTATTTCTGGAACCCTTGTCCTATGGTAAATAAACTCCTCCACTTTTTCATACTATTCCCTGAATCTTCCCTTCTCTTCCTGACCTTTTCTAAAATCCACTGAACCCTGACAAAAATGTTTCCCATGCATCCCTCTTCCTCCCACACCCCATACCACAAAGTAAGGAGGAAAGATCAGTATCTTCTTTTCCCCCAGAGGCCCCCTCCAACCACTGTGATGTCCTGCACTTCTTCACCATTGTGTAAAAACACCTTTGAGGCTCATCATCTGGTTTTCCCATTTTATATCCTGCTCATGTTGTCTCTCCCAGTCAGCTGAGAGTTCCTTCTTCAGATACTCGGGTTCCTGGTTCAGTCTTCCTTTCTACTCCCGGGATCCACCATCAACCTGCTGACTCCAGTGTTCATGTAGGCAATTTATCCAAACTAGACTCTTGTTTCTTCACACTCTTGCAAAGAAACTGCTTAACCCTTGAAGTCTTAAATTCAGATATCTCACATTTTTACTATAACCTGACTACTCCCATTTTACTGTTTTATTGATTTTACTAAGACTGTAGTTTTTCTGTCTAAAACATTGCTCATGTTTTATATTCCATTTCTTCCTATCTCTGTAGGGAGCTCAGTCTCTCTAAATATCTTAATAATGTAATTGAAAAAAAGTGGTTTCAAGTAGAATCATAACTATGATAAATTTCTTACATATTTTGTGGAAATTTAAAACATATTTATACCCAAAACTTTTGATCTAAAACCAAGGCCTTTTGCTAACTGTAAATGATTTGATTGGCATTTCTCACTATCCTTCTTGTATAAACTACACCTATAATGCATCATCTTTGATTTCCAGTTTCAGCTTCTCGAAAGTGGAACATGCGTATAAGGAAACATATAAGTAGTATGAATTCAGAAGCCTTCTGAATTGTCACAATTCCTTTCCCAATCTTTCATAAGGACAAGTTTTTTGTGGGAGTTGATTTTTCTGTAACTCTCTTTTTAAAAGTATTTCTGAAACCTTTTACCTATCCCAGAAATAAGTTTTTAAATGTTGTATACATTTAATCAGTCAAATATTTAAATTACATGAAAATAAGCATAACAGGCATAAACAGGTTTTGGAACAACAGGCTTAACCATTAGTTAGCATATAACTCAACTGGTGGAAGAAGAAATGTGAAAATGTATTAGAAAATAGCCTGGCAGCCTGGAGTTGTAAGCATCAACTAGTATGTGGACATGAGTTCTTGTGGAGAGTAAGTTGAAGAGGTCAGTATTTAGGTCTCTCCTGTGTGAAAAATGTATCTATTCTGTGCCTCAGCCTCTTTTAGCTACACTGCGTTAGCTCTCCTTATTTCCACGGCCAGATCCACAGAGAATTGCCTAGGTTCACACTCTCTCCAGTTCTTCACCTCTTCCTTATTCCTCCATCATAGTAGTCTGACCTGTACCCCTGCTGCTCCCCTGACACTGGTTTTGCCAGAGTCATGAATGGCATTCTGCTGCTGTATTCAACAAAGACTTTTCAGTATTTCTCAACATCTGTACGTTTGCTGTTGTTTTCACTGCTTGCTTGTCACAAGGTCCTAGAACCCATATTGGCCTAATATTCCTTCTCCCTCAGTGATCATATTAGAGTTAGGGCCCCAATGCTTTTCTCTTCTCACTCTGCAAACTCCCTTGAGTACTCCTATAAGTAAAATTACCACTTAATATTAATTCCTCTTACATGTTCTGTAGCCACTTCAAACTTGGCATGTCCAAAATCAAGTTTCTCTTTTTTCCCCCAAAAAGCCTCCTTTCCCTTGACTCTCTTGACTCTCTCACCTCCACCGCCTCCATCCATTCAGTACCAAATCCTTTTGAGTCAAACTCCTGAATATATTTTAAATCATTCCGATTCCTCCTATTTCCTAGTTTTATATACTTTAATCATGAGCCCCAATAGCTCTAAGAACAACTTCTCTCTTGAATGATCTCTTTTACAAACCTTTCAACTCATTATAATTTGAGTGATTTCTCTAAAACACAAATCTGTTATCTGTCACCTGATTAAAACCTTTCTATGGCTCTCGAATTGCCTTCAGAATAAGATTGGATGTTTGGGGGAGTTTTTTGTTGTTGTCGTTGTTGTTTTAATGTTTCGTAGAGACAATGTTTCACTATTTTGCCCAGGCTGGTCTCGAACCCTGGACCTTAAGCAATCTGCCTGCCTCACCCTCTCAAAATGTTGGGATTATAGGCATGAGCCACGGTGCCTGGCCAAGGTTGGATGTTCTGATGATTCCCAAGGCTCTTCATTTGCTAAATGACCTTACTTACCTTTTCAGCCTTCTCTCCCCTTATGGCATTACCTTTGGATAATTCCTACACATTGTTCAAATGTTGGTTTGCTAGTTGCTCTTTCTAGAAAATCTTTCTTGACACATTCCCCCTGCCCCAAGACCAGAATGGGGTTCCCTTCGTTTGGAGTTCTCTTTGCTTACACTTGTCATAACACTCATCTCAGTGTAGTATAATTGCATATTTATCCATTTGTCCTTTCTACTGTATTAGAATGTCAGGGTCTAAGACAATTTGCCATTTATCCACATTGCCTGTCACGTAACTAGATACAGTACATGCTCATAAATATTAGCTGGGTGAATGACTTTAAACAAGTCACTTAGTCTTTCTGAGGCTTCAATTGCTTTATTAGAAGAGAATACAGTAATGCCCTACCTACCTTATAAGGTTGTTTTGGGATCCTGTAAGATAATAGAAATGAAGCTTAGCATAGTGGTTAAGAGTATGGGTTCTGGATCCATACTGCCTAGCTTTTAATCCTACCTGTGACCCTACAACTAGCTGCGTGGCTTTAGGCAAGTTACTTAACTTCTCTGTGTTTTAGTTTTCTCTTCAGTAAAATGAGACTAACCACAGTATATAACTTAGAGGGTTGTTGGAGGACTGAGTGAGTTACTACATGGGAAGTATTTTGAACCATGCCTGAACAGACAATAAATGTTAGCTACTAAATATAACATTTTTATTTGTAAGCCCTAAAATTATATGTACTTATATATATGTATATGTATGCATATGTATATAGACAGAGAGAGAAACATGGCATCAGTATTACTAGTTTGAATGTTTTAAGGGAGTAAAGACTGGTATCATTATTCTAAACAATTTCTTTTTTCTTTTTTTCTTTTAGGATAATGGCATAGCTATCCCAGAGTTTATTTTCCAAGTCTTAAATTCAAATTGTCATTCTTAATTTACATGAAATTTTGGTTAAAAAAAATTGGTGTTCAGTATAAGAAGAGAAGTTTTTAAATGTTTCCTCGCTAAACTTGCAAGGTTTTTTCGAGTCTATGTACATAGTAGGTGAAAGTTAGCATTGGAAAAATATTAAAATAAAAAAGATACTGGCCGGGTGCAGTGGCTCACACCTGTAATCCCAGTACTTTGTGAGGCCAAGGCAGGAGGATTGCTTGAGCTCAGGAGTTCAAGACCAGCCTGGGCAATATGGGGAGACCTCATCTCTACAAATAATTTTTAAAAATTAGCTCGGCATGGTGGTATGTCCCCTGTAGTTTCAGCTACTTGGGAGGTTGGGGTGGGAGAAACACTTGAGTCCATGAGGTCAAGGCTGCAATGAGCTATGATCACATCACTGCACTCCAGCGTGGGCAACAGAATGAGACCCTGTCTTAAAAAAAGAGGGAGGGAAGATTACTGATTTAATTTATAAAGGAGAATTATTATAGCTCCAACACCTGACTTTATTTATCTATATGATTTAATTACACAAACAATTCAGTGTTTGAATTATACAAATTTCATTAAAACTATGTAATTATGCAAGAAAAATAGGAAATACAGGGGCACTTAGTTTTGTGCATATGTGTTCACCTGAGAGTATTTGCTTGTTTTTTTAAAAAGGTTCTTTTTAATTTAATATTTAATTTTATAATGCACATTCATATGTTGACTTTGGACCAACAGAAATCCCTAATTCTTATTCTTTTTCTGATTCTTTTTAGAGTTGGTGGTTCCAGGATTTTACTCAGAATGACGTTAGGAAGAGAAGTGATGTCTCCTCTTCAGGCAATGTCTTCCTATACTGTGGCTGGCAGAAATGTTTTAAGATGGGATCTTTCACCAGAGCAAATTAAAACAAGAACTGAGGAGCTCATTGTGCAGACCAAACAGGTGTACGATGCTGTTGGAATGCTCGGTATTGAGGAAGTAACTTACGAGAACTGTCTGCAGGCACTGGCAGATGTAGAAGTAAAGTATATAGGTGGGTCAGATGCAGAAGCATATCAGTGTTTCACTTTGTGGACATCTTAAATCATTTCATGCTTTCTGTCTTTCAGTTTTCCAGTTTTACAAGCATTGATTTTTACATTATAATTAATTGCTTAGAATTATCTAAGATTTTAAAATTGTTTATGTTGACAAAGGTGCTATAAAATGTACACTCTGATTACACTGCTCTCTGGAGAGCATTTTGACAATGTGTCAGAACTTTTAAGACATTCATACCCTTGCTCATTAATTCCACACCTAGACATTTATTCTAAGAAAATAATCATATATATGGAAAATTCATGTATCAATTTATGTATAAATAGGTATTCTTGTTATATCATAGGCTTAGAAACAATTCCCAAATGTCAACTAATAGATTAGATAAATAAATTATGAAACATCCATCCTCTGTAATGCTGTATAACCATTAAAATCATGGATTACAAGCAGTATTTAATGACATGGGGAAAAGGACACAGAAGAACTGGAAGAAAATAAATTTTATCAATGGTTTTGTTAGGATTCTCTAGAGAAATTGAACCTATAGGGTGTGTGTGTGTGTCTGTGTGTGTGTGTGTGTAAGTATATATATATATATAAACATATGTATGTGTGGGGAGAGAGAGATTGATTGATAGATTGATTATAGGGAATTGGCTTACATGACTAAGGAGTCTGGAAAGTCCAGAATCTCAGTGGGGGCTGGTAGGCTTGAGACCCAAGAGAGCTGATGTTCCAGCTCCAGTCCGAAGGCCAGTAGCCTAGAGGCCCAGAAGAACCAGTAGTGCAGAAGTCTGGAGACTGCAGGAGGATTCTCCCTTGTTCAGGGAGTCTTTTAGGCCCTAAACTGTTTGGATTTTGGCTACCACATTATAGAGGGCAGTCTGCTTTACTTCAGGCTCATCACTCTAACGTTAATATCATCAAAAACACCCTCCAAGTTAACACATAAGATTAATCATCAGAATGTTTAATATATCAGGTGATGGGTTTATAGCTAATTTTTACTTTCCTCTTTATGTATTTCTCTATTTTCTGTATTTTCTGCCCTTACATACATTATTTTTATAACATATTAGACCCTTCAAGTTATAAGGAGTGAAGATTCCCTTTGGTTACCTCTAAGGGTTGGACATACTTTGTAGAATAATTATGACAGACAACTTTGGCTGTGTATCCAGGCTTCATACAAGAATATAAGATAGCTGCAGAACTGGATATTGTAAACATTCGTGGGCATTTTGGAATTTGAAAGATCATCAGAATCCAGCATAGCCCTAGTGACCTGGTCATCTCCTTGCCCCCACTATCCCTTCATCACCAAGAGTTCTCTACTCTATGTTTCACTGTAAAAAGGACTTGGCTATTTTCTCTTATCTCAGTGTTTGTTGGCTATTTTCTCTTATCTCAGCATTTGTTTCAGTTTCTGCTCCTACTACCAACTGCTTCACTTTCATTAATGGCTTCTCAATCTTATTACACGTCTTGAATTTAAACTCGTGAATAAAAAGATCTGGTTGTCTTCATTAGTCAAAGTCAAAGGGATAGAGTTAGTCCCTATTCAGTAGAGCTTTTCTAGCTGGCAACTTCATGTGCGTGTACCATCCTGGATGTGGTTTGTCCTTGGTTCAGGTGCTCACTTCTTCAGTCACTTGTGGCCAAGATGGTATACCAACCCATAACTTAGGCATTTGAGACAAAGTCTCACTCTGTCACCCAGGCTGGAGTGCTATGGCACAATCCTAGCTCACTGCAGCCTCGAACTCTTGGGTTCAAGAGATCCTTCTGCCTCAGCTTCCTGAGTAGCTGGGACTGCAGGCATGTGCCACCATGCCCAGCTAATTTTTACATTTTGTGTGGAGATGGGATCTCACTATGTTGCCCAGGCTGGTCTCATGTATGTTGCCCACTCCTTGTCTCAAGTGAACCTTCTGTCTTGGCCTCCCAAAGCACTGGGCTTACAGATGTGAGCCACCATGGCTGGCTCAAACAAAATCTTTATAAAATAATTACTTTAAATTGTTTTTCTCTCAATAGTAGATCTTTTCAGCATACTTTCAAGTTTGTGATGTTTGTTCTTGCTCCTCTATAAATTTATTTTTGTGGGTTAATTATCAAAATTTTTGAGTTTAGGAATAGATTTCTTAAAAACTAACTTTCTCTTATCTGGGCATATTCTCTGAGTCCATTATGCCTCTCACAGTAGCTGTTGAAACCTTGTTTGTCTAGTGTCAGGCACTGGGCGTCAGCATTGTCTATGGTTTGGCAGTGAGAGCATAAATCTGGTTCCAGGTCTTTGTGGCAAAGTAAGGAAGGAAATGGCTTTCAGCACCTTTGTTTGTTTAAGAATGTTTCTAATTTTAGGCTCCTGCATTTGATGTTGCTTATATAAGTTTATGAGCAATTTTTATTCCTTCTTAATATATTTCATAGCTAATTTATTTTATTTTTTTATTATTATTATTATTTTTTGAGATGGAGTTTCACTCTTGTTGCCCAGGTTGGAGTGCAGTCATGTAATCTTGGCTCACTGCAACCTCCGCCTCCCGGGTTCAATCAATTCTCCTGCCTCAGCCTCCTGAGTGGCTGGGATTACAGGCATGCACCACCGTGCTCAGCTAATTTTGTACTTTTAGTAGAGACAGGATTTCACCATGTTGGCCAGGCTGGTCTCAAACTCCTGACCTCAGATGATCCACCTGCCTCAGCCTCCCAGAATGCTGGGATTATGAGCTTGAGCCACCGTTTTATAGCTAATTTTTAAAAGTAAACATATTGCAACCATATAGTTAACTAGTATCACTTAAATAAGTGCTGTATTAAATTTCAAAATTTTCTATTCCATTCTTTCCTTAACCGACAGACATAAAATTATTATTAAATCCTAAAAGCATAATTTCATAATTTGATATTTCAAAAATATACCTTATGGATTTATTCTGATATTTGTGGCAGGTATTTCTAATAGCTTTATTTGTAACAATGTTTTAGGAGGACTGATACGAGTGTTTAACTGTATAATTTCTTGCTGTATAAAGGATAGCTCTACTGTCTACTATATATCATATGGAAATTTTACTGTTTATAATACCTTCACAATACTGAAGTTAATCAAATAAAAATTTACTTATTTTCACAGCATAACACAACCATCACTATAAACCATACTTATTTTTGTTCTATAGTATTGGTTATTTCACTGACATCAGAGATTTTTACCCAATTAAAGTTAAAATACAAATTGATGAAAAACCCAGGAACCACCTTTAATATGTGAAGATTAAACCAAACTAAATTATCATTATTATTTAATGGACTGTCTCCAATGTCTGGCTACTTGTTGGATGTGTCCACTTAGATTTCTGGGGATCCTTTGAAGTTATCTGGAATTTTGAATGTTTTTATGTATGTGTGCATTTGGGGTAGGGTCCGTTGCTTTGATTAGATTTTCTATGGAGTCTTTATCTTTTTATGTACCCTTTTCCCATCCCAGATCCTAAGAAGCCTCAGTATAGGAACTGTGTCTTTCTCTTCCTGCATTGCCAGTTGATAAATTACACCCTCAGGCTAGATGCAGTGATTCATGCCTGTAATCCTAATACTTTAGGAGGCTGAGGTGGGAGGATGACTTTAGCCCAGGAGTTTGAGACCAGCCTGGGAAATATGGCAAAACTGCAGCTCTACAAAAAAATATAAAAATTAGCTGAGTGTGGTGGTGCATGCCTGTGGTCCCAGATACTCAGTGGTGTTGGGGAAGAGGGGTGCTGAGGCAGGAGGATTGCTTGAGCCTGGGAGGTTGAGGCTGTAGTGAGCTGTGATTGCACCACTGCACTCCAGCCTGGGCGACAAAGCAAGACCCTGTCTCAAAAAAAAAAAAAATTGTACCCCAGTATACTTTGATAAGTGCTCAGCTCACATCTTTACCGTTCATAATGATGCCAGCTGGAACAGCCAAATCCTATATTAGATGCTTTTTCTTGGTAGCCTTAGGAGGCTTTACAGAAAGTATAAAATAAAACAAACTTTTATTGGCATGATCATTCATCTGGGTATGAGGTATTTGGCTTAATACTGATTTGACAAGTCCTGTTGTGTGGTGATAGTTTTTTTCTCCATCTGCAGTGGAAAGGACCATGCTAGACTTTCCCCAGCATGTATCCTCTGACAAAGAAGTACGAGCAGCAAGTACAGAAGCAGACAAAAGACTTTCTCGTTTTGATATTGAGATGAGCATGAGAGGAGATATATTTGAGAGAATTGTTCATTTACAGGTAAGTGGTGTTATAAATCCCTTTAAAGAGGGAAAAACTCTACAACAAAAAAGAACATTCAGTCATAAATAAAACATACTGACTGGATTTTCTTAGCTTTTGTTTCGAATGATTATAAAACCATAATGGGCATTATATAGTATTACATAATGTTAATTATATCGTTGAGGTTATGTTGAGCTGCTAATTCCATTCACTTAAAGACCAAATGTAGAAGAGTGAACATCTGTAAAGTTAAGGCTTTTTAATAACATTATGAACTTGATGGTTACATGTAAGGGTTATCTTAGACCAAATCAATTAGAAGCAAATGGAATCAAGTTGTTTATCTGTAAATATCTCGTGGTTTTGGAACCATAATATTGATGACATACTGTTGATGCTGTATGCCGGAGTCATTCCTGTCTGTCATCCTTACATTTTTCAAGACTTGGGGAAATTATGGATAATAAATGTTCTAGGTGGGTCTGTCCAGGTGTTTTTGATCTTTTTACCAATGTTGATTTGCCTCCTAGCAGCTTTCAATTTTTATTTTCATGACACTTCAGCAATTTTTTTGGGGAAAAAAAACAGTTTCAAAATTCCAGGCTTTTTTTTTGTTTAATTTTGCATGTTTCTTTCTGCAGAATCCTAATTACTTTTTCCTTTTTAGCAGACCGTGACAAGAGTTGGAATATTTAATATTTTAAATTAAATAGCATTTTAATTTGTAACTCATTATACAATGTGTCATCAAGATTTAGACATGTAAAATGTATATCCTATTTTCTCATATCAGACAAGCATTTTTCATCCTATAATTGATAATCATATAATTCATAATAATTCACATTTGGTCTATAAACTTCATGGTGAAAGTAAGTTATGAAAATAACTTTATGATTATTCTTCATTAGCTAAATTGTTCTTCTTGCTCCTTTTGACCACAGTTATTTGATGTGATTTGAATCATGGTCTTTATAGTCTCCTCATTTTATTTCATCCCCAAATTACATTTCTTTGTTGTTCTATTTTTTTTATGTAATTTGGAATTTTTCCTAGAATTTCCAGTTTCCTTTGATTAATCCTATTTTCATCATGATTTCTAAGTTCTTATTTGGAATAATGTTTTTGTTTTTATTTCACATTCTGTGATTCTTATGAATGTTATCAAGATATGAAAGGTTTGTCACTTTACATTTCTTTGTCATAGAGTACTTTTAAATTTTGTGTATTTGAGACCAGCCTGGCCAACATGGTGAAACTCCATTTCTACTAAAAATACAAAAATTAGCCAGGCATGGTGGCAAGCACCTGTATTCCCAGCTACTCAGGAGGCTGAGGCAGGAGAATCACTTGAACCCAGGAGGCAGAGGTTGCAGTGAGCTGAGATCATGCCACTGCACTCCAGCCTGGGCAACAGAGTGAGGCTCCTTCTCAAAAATTAAAATAAAATAAATTTTCTATAGTTTTGGGATTGATCCCACTAAACTTGGGAACAAATTGCTGACTCTAGAGTAGACTGGCACACTATAGTGACCTGATAGACACCAATGCGTTCATCAGATTTGTGTCTTTATTTGAGCTGGTTCATTTCGGGCCTTTATTTTAACAATTTAAGGTAATTTCAGATTTGGTTCTGTAATTCTGGTTTCTATAATTTTTATTGTGTGAACATTTTTTAGGGGCTTCTACAACATTTGCTAACTCTACATCAGGATAATAAAAAATAACTATTGTGTTTGTTTTTGCATTGAAGGTCATTAGGTGAATTTACCTACCTTTAAACATCTTCCATGACAAATGGTTATGTTTATTTAGGCAATTTTTTTAAAAACCTAGAATTACCAGTATTAGTTCTCTGCTGGAGTTGGACACTTTAATAAATGGTAAAACTTATCCCATTCGTACCTAAAGGGCAAAATCAGATATCCAAATATTTTATTTATTTTCTCTGTGATACTGTAAGTTAAATAGGATAGCCATGATATAGCATATAAAGCCTTCATTAATGGCTGGGCATGGTGGCTCACGCCTGTAATCCCAGCACTTTGTGAGGCTGAGGCAGGCAGATCACTTGAGCTCGGGAGTTCAAGACCAGCTTGGGCAATATGGCAAAAACCCATCTCTACAAAAATAAAAAATAGTGGCCAGGTGCGGTGGCTCACGCCTGTAATCCCAGCACTTTGGGAGGCCAAGGCGGGTGGATCACGGGAGGTCAGAAGTTCAAGACCAGCCTGGTCAACATGGTGAAACCCTGTCTCTACTAAATATACAAAAATTAGCCAGGTGTGGTGGCAGGCGCCTGTAATCCCAGCTACTCAGGAGGCTGAGGCATGAGAATTGCTTGAACCCGGGAGGTGGAGGTTGCAGTGAGTCTAGACTGTGCCATTGGGCTCCAGCCTGGGCAACAAGAGCAAAACTTCATCTCAAAAAAATAAAAAATAAATTAATTAATTAAAAATAGAAAAATTAGCTGAGCATGGTGGTAAGTGCCTGTAGTCCCAGCTACTCGGGAGGCTGAGGTGGGAGGATTGCTTGTGCCCAGGAGGTTGAGACTGCACTGAGCAGTGGTTGTGCCACTGTACTCCAGCCTGAGTCACAGAGTGAGACCATGTCTCAGAAAGAAAAAAAAAAAAATCCACACATAAAGGCCTCATTAAGCTGGATAAATAGGATCTTAAATTTATATGATGTCAGCAATTTCAGGCCTGCTCTACTAAAATTAGGATGCTCTGAATAATATTCCCAAGACACCAATAATATATGTAATAATCAAATATATTATCCCAATTGGATATAAAATGTTATTTTAGCTCTTTTTATTTTCCACTTAAAATTAATACATAGAAAAGTGAAATTACTTTTCATAATTCTTCATGCAATATGGGCTCCAGTTATCTATTGATGCATAACATATTACCCCAAACCTTAGTGGCCTGAAATAGCAACCGTCATTTTCTTTTCTCTCACAGTTTCTATGGATCAAGAATTCAGAAAGGAATTAGTTGGACAGTTCTGACTTGGGGTCTGACATGTGGTTTCAGGCAGTGGTGGCTTGGGTTGAAGCAGGTAGGAACTAATCAGGCATCTGTCTTTATTCATGTAGTCTCAAGGTGTCTGTATTTGTCCATTTTCACACTGCTATAAAGAGTACCTGAGACTGGGTAATTTATAAAGAAAGAGGTTTAATTGACTCACAGTTCCACATGGCTGGGAGGCCTTAGGAACTTACAGTCATGGCATAAGGTAAAGGGGAAGCAAGGCATGTCTTACATGATGTCAGGAGAGAGAGCACAGGGGAAGCACCAGACACTTATCAAACAATCAGATCTTGTAAGAACTCACTCACCATCACGAGAACAGCATGGGGGAAACCACCCCATGATCCATTCACTTCCCACCAGCTCCCTCCCTTGACATGCGGAAATTACAATTTGGATTACAATTTGACATGAGATTTGGGTAGGGACACAGCCAAACTTTCATCACACCCCCAGCCCCTCACAAATCTCATGTCCTTTTCACATTTCAAAACCAATCATGCCTCCCCAACAGTCCCCCATAGTCTTAATTCATTCCAGCATTAACTCAAAAGTCCAAGTCCAAAGTTTCCTCTGAGACAAGGCAAGTCTCTTCTGCCTATGAGTCTGTAAAATCAAAGACAAGTTAGTTACTTCTAAGACACAGTGTGGGTACAGGCGTTGGGTAAATGTTCACATTCCAAATGGGAGAAATTGGCCAAAACAAAGGGGCCACAGGCCCTATGCAAGTCCAAAACCTGGCCAGGCAGTCATTAAATCTTAAAACTCCAAAATCTCCTTTGACTCCATGTCTCACATCCAGGGCGCACTGATCCAAGGGGTGGGCCCCCATGGCCTTGGGTGGCTCTGCCTCTGTGGTTCTCAGGTTACAACCCCTGTAGCTGCTTTCACAGGCTGATGTTGCCTGCAGCTTTTTCAGGTGCAGGGTGCAAGCTGTCATGTGGATCTACCATTCTGGAGTCTGGAGGGCAGTAGCCCCCTTCTCACAACTCCACTAGGCAGTGCCCTAGTGGGGACTCTGTTTGGGGGCTCCTGTGCCACATTTCCCTTCCCCACTGCCCTAACAGAGGTTCTCTGTGAGGTCTCTGCCCCCGCAGCAGACTTCTGCCTGGATATCCAGGCATTTCCATACATCCTCTGAAATCTAGGAGGTTCACAAAGCTCAGTTTTTGTCTTCTGCACACCTACAGGCCCAATACCATGTGGAAACCACCAAGGCTTGGGGCTTGCGTCCTGTGAAGCAATGGCCTGAGCTGTACCTTGGCCCCTTTTAGCCCAGCTGGAGCTGGAGCAACTGGGATGCAGGGCACTATGTCCTGAGGCTGCAGAGAGCAGGGGAAGGAGGGGGGAGCACAAAACCATTTTTTTTCTCCTAGGCCTCCAGGCCTGTGATGGGAGGGGCTGTTGTGAAGACCTCTGACATGCCCTGGGGACATTTTCCCCATTGTCTTGGGCACTAACATTTGGCTCTTGTTACTTATGCAAATTTCTACAGCTGGCTTGAACTTCTCCCCAGAAAATGGGTTTTTCTTTTCTACCCCATGGTCAGGCTGCAAATTTTTCAAATGTTTATGCTCTGTCTTTCCTTTAAACATAAGTCCCGATTTCAAACCATCTCTTTGTGTACACACATGGCTGTATGCTGTTAGGAGCACCCAGGCCACCTCTTGAATACTTTGCTTAGAAATTTCTTCTGCCAGATACCCTAAATCATCTCTCTCAAGTTCAAAGTTCCACAGATCTCTAGGGCAGGTGCAAAGTGCCCAGTATCTTTGGTAAAGCATAGCATGGGTGACCTTTACTCCAGTTTCCAATAAGTTCCTCATCTTCATCTGAGACCACCTCAGCCTGGACTTCATTGTCCATATCATTATCAGCATTTTTGGTCACAACCATTCAGTAAATCTAGGAAGTTCCAAACTTTCCCACATCTTTCTCTCTTCTTCTGAGCCCTCCAAACTGTTCCAACCTCTGCCCTTGACCCAGTTTCAAAGTCGCTTCTACATTTTCAGTTTGTCTTTATAGCAGTACCCTACTATCCTAGTACCAATTCTCTGTATCAGTCCATTCTCACACTGCTATAAAGAATACCTGAGACTAGGTAATTTATAAAGAAAGAGGTTTAATTGACTCACAATTCCTCTGGGTGGGAGGCCTTAGGAACTTACAATCATGGCAGAAGGAAGCAAGGTACATCTTACATGGTGGCAGGAGAGAGAGTGAACTTAGGGGAAGCATTAGACACTTATAAAACAACCAGATCTTGTGAGAACTCACTCACCATCATGAGAACAGCATGGGGGAAACTGACCACATGATCCAATCACCTCCTACCATGTCCCTCCCTCAATACGTGGGGATTAAAATTCAGATTACAATTCAAGATGAGATTTGGTTGGGCCACAGCCAAATAATATCAGTGTCTTAGTTAGACTGGGCTGCCATAACAAAATACCATAGACTGAATCCTTTAAATGACAGAAATTAACTTTTTCACAGTTGTAGAGGCTGCAAGTCCGAGATCAGTGTGCCAGCATGGTTGGGTTCTGGTGAGAGCCCTCTTCCTGGCTTGCAAATGGCCCCTTCCCTTCCCTGCTGGCCTTTCCTCAGTGTGTGCACATGGCACGGGTTGGGAGGTGGGGTACAGGAAGGCGAGGGGAGAGAGACAGGGAGAACTCTCCTTCTCTTCCTAAAAGGCCACAATCCTGTCAGATTAAGAACTGCCCTTCTGACCTCATTTAACCTTAATTACCTGCCAAAAGCCTATTTACAAATACAGCCACATTGGGGATAGGGCTTCTACAAAAGAACTTGAAAGGGCACAGTTCAGTCCATAGCGCAGAGCGTCTCCATGTGGTTCATTTGTGTGGGTTAATTTGGGCTTCCTTACAGTGTGGTGGTATCAGGATGGTAGGACTTCTTTCATGAGACTCAGTGCTCCAACATGAGTGTTCCGGCAAGGCACATAGAAGCTACTTTGCACTTATGTGCTGTCACGGAAGTCACATGACATCACTTCTGCCATACCATATGGGTTGACAAGTCACCGCATTCTGCCCAGATTCAAGGAACACCACATCTCAGTCTGGGGAGTATCATTTAATTGGCAGTCATGTTTCAAAACCTTCAAAATAGGGGAGGAGGTGGGGATGGTTAATGGGAACCAAAAGGAAAAACAATAGAATGAATAAGACCTGCTACTTGATAGCACAACAGGGTGACTGTAGTCAATAATGACTTAATTGTACATTTGGAAATAACAAAGTATAACTGGATTGTTTGTAACACAAAAGATAAGTGCTTGAGGGAAGGGATACCCCATTCTCTGTAATGTGATTATTACATATTGCTTGCCTGTCTCAAAACATTTCATGTGCCCCATAAATGTATACACCTACCATATACCCACAAAAAATTTTTTTAAAACCTTCAAAACAAATAATTTGTTGATTAAATGGATGGAAGAAATTACAGTAGAGGATAAGACTAACCGGTGTGTTGTGGTCCTCTCCCTCCCAGTGTATGACTACTAAGACTGCCTTACATTTGTGTAGCAATATGACTCATATAACCTTGATTCCAATCTTATGAGATAGGCTTTTTTATAATATAAGTGGAGAAACTGAAGCTCAGAAACAATAACTTTCCAAGAGCCACATCACTGGTGGGTAAGTGCTTGCCAGAAACCATGTAGACTGTTTGTTAAACCCTTCAAGGGAGGGAGGTATCATGTTTGATTCTATTTTGCACCTCTGGCAGAGTGCCTGATAAAAAGCAAGCATTCAGTAAATGTTCATCAAACTAAAGTGAGAAACCAGTTAGTGGCAGATCCAGAAAATAGGCCTTCGGTAATTGCTGGGACATAAGTTACCCATTTGGAAAAATAAAATAAAATTGAATGTCTTCCTGACAACCAACTGAAAAGCAATTCCTGATGGATTAAAGTCATAAAAGACTAGAGCTTAAAGCTTCTAGATGTCTGTACAGGAAGATATCTTTATGATATCTGGGCAGGGATATATTTATTAAGACGCAGAAACTGCTAACTATGAAATATAAGGCTAATAAACTTGACTATGTTAATATAACTTCTATTCATAAGGAAAAGTGAAAAGAGTTCAAATACTGAGAAAATAACTTTACAAAACATGAAACCAGTGATGCATTCTAGGATATATAAAGAACTACTACAATCAATAACAAAGAAACATCCCAGTAGAAAAATGGGCAAATGATATGTAGAAATATTTCAACAGAAACGCACATAGCAATCAAATGTATGAAAAGATGTTCAATTTTATTAGTAATCAGAGAAATGCAAATGAAGACCATAATAAGTTACCATTCTTCACTCACAAGATTGGCAAAGATTAAGAAAACCAACAATGCCAAGTTATCTTTGTGGATATGGATCAACAAGAATGTTTGTGCACTGCTTCTAAGAGTATAACTGATTCATCACCAAGTTGGAGAAAAACTTAGTATTAGAAAGTTGGAGCTTACATTCTCCACAACCTAGCACATCCTCCCACTCCCACCTCAGTATTTACCTAGAGATACCTTTGCATTTGTGCAAGGTAATATTGAACAAGTGTTCATAGCAACTCAGATTCCCATCAGCAAGAAAATGGATCTATAAATTGTGGCACATTTATGCAATGGAATATTTTATAGCATTAAAATAAATAAGTATAACAACATGGAACAATATAGTTGAATCTTAGTAAAAGTGAAGGAAAGAAACTGCAGAATACTGCATACAATATGATACTTTATAAAGCTCGAAAAGAAGCAAAACTATACAATATATAAGTGGTAAAACTGGAAAAAATGTTTGTCACAAAATTCAAGAGAGTAGTTATTTTTTGCACAGGTTACCTGTTGCATAAGTAAATGCAACGGTATTATTAATGTCCTATTTTATAAGTTGAAGGGTGGATTTAATTTGTCCTCACTACATATATATAGTTATATCCATTTGCAGATATCAGGTTACACATAAAAATTTAACATATATTAAATGTATCCTTAATTCCACTAAGAAAAAAAAAGAGAAAAAGCAGTGAAAACAAGGACTTCCTCATCCTTTTAAGCTAAAAAAATGGCCAAGTGTCAGAAGCCAGCAATTATGGCTGCAGGTATTAGTATTTCCCAATTCTGACAAGGGCTTCTCAATTGTTGGCTTTTAAAAAGCCAACAAACATCCAAGAAGATTTCATACCTGCTCTTTCCAGCCATTTTGGCGAGAAAAATGTACAGTGTCTTCATGTCAAAACAATCAGGCATATTCTATTCCAGTGGCCTGCTAAGGAATAAATGCACAAGAGGAATTCTTTCATGAAATAGAGGCTGAATTATGCAAGCTAAATTTGAGAAGTACAGTGATCTATTGTAATATTGTTTATTTATTTTTTTTAGAGCGGCAGGCTTTGATCTTGCCAATTCATCTTAGCCAATTAGTGATTTAAATAGGAAAGCTTTAATGTTACAGTGCAGATGAATAGGTCATGAGATTAAGTATATGATTTTAAACATTATGTAATCTCTCCTACTTGACCAGCCATGGAGACCCAGCTCCAAATTAAAATACAAGAACCAGAACCGACCGGGTATAGTGGCTCATGCCTGAAATCCCAGCACTTTGGGAGGCCAAGGTGAGCGGATGGCCTAAGCCCAGAAGTTCCAAACCAGCCTGGGCAACATGGCAAAACCCCGTCTCTACCAAAAATACAGAAATTAGCCAGTCTCATAACCCAGTCTCAAAATAAATAAATGAAGAGATAAAAATTTTAAAATTAAGTTTAAAAAGAACCACTACCTTAAAACAATGACAAAAAAAAAAAAAAGATATCCCAAATTCATTTACAATTTCATTCCTTTTATTTTCCATGTCTTCTTGATTTTTGAAATATGTAAGTGTAGTCATTGGTCATAATCAATACTACTAAACTTACAATTTTTTTGGGGTCTTAAAAGCCTAGGGATCCAGATATAAAGCATCAATTACCTTGGCTTAGTTTCCCCATTGGCTAGGCATCCTTCTTTTGTGCCCCTCTTTTTTCCAAGTACTTACCTATTTTTTAACATGATGTGTGATATTGATGTTATCTATTAATATGTCTTTCTTTTCCTTCATGTGACTTAAAGCTCTTCAAGAATATTCCTTTTTGTTTCCTTAGTGCCAGGAATAATTAGGAGCTCAGTAAATGTAAATGTGTGTTGAACTGAACTAGCCCCAATGAAAATGTATCTTCATGCAGTGTGATGCCTCACTTCAGCAACCTTACGCTGTGGCTCACACAGAAGCAGTGAATCTTGCGATGGCATATTGAATTAGTAGTCAGCAAGCAGTGCTGGCTGTATCCCCCTAGCCCAGGAGTGCAGACAACTACCTAAGAATGTCCTCTTCACCATGTAGTAAGATAGCAACTTTATAGTAAATGTCATGGACTGGGGCAGGGGCAAGAGGGAGCAGAAGAACTAAATTACAAATATAATACAATTAGTTATTTCTCTATTTTAGTTTAATTTTTTTGGTTTGGGTTTTTGTTTTTTTGGTTTTGGGGTTTTTGTTTTGTTTTTTGTTTGTTTGTTTGTTTTTCATTTTTTTTTTTTTAGAAACAGGGTCTGGCTCTGTCACCCAGGCTGGACCGTAGTGACGTGATCTCAGCTGACTTCAACCTCTGCCTCCCAGGCTCAAGTGATTCTCCCACCTCAGCCTCCCAAGTAGCTGGGACTACAGGCACACGCCACCAGACCCGGCTATACTCTGTTATCCTATTATAATTCCTTAGCAAATTCAAAGTTCCTAATTCTTTTTTGTTTTTTTTTTTTTTAAATGAGCAGGGTCTCACGCTGTCACCTTGGCCAGAATACAGTGGCACAGTCACAGCTCACTGCAGCCTGAACCACCTGGGCTCAAGTGATCCTCCCGCCTTGTCCTCCCAAACTGCTGGGATTACAGGCATAAGCCACCACACCCAGCCCTGAATTCTATTTTTTTTTTTTTTTTTTTTCTGCAACAGGTCCTCACTCTGTTGCCCAGGCTGGAGTGCAGTAGCTCAATCTTGGCTCACTGCAACCTCTGCCTCCTGGGCCCAAGCAATCCTCCCACCTCAGCCTCCCAGGTAGCTAAGACTACAAGCTTGCACCACCATCTCCAGCTAATTTTTGTGTTTTTTAGTTGTTGTAGAGATGAGGTTTCACCATGTTTCCCAGGCTGGTGAACTGAGCTCAATTGATCCACCCACCTCAGCTTCCCACAGTGTTGGGATTATAGGCGTGAGCCACTGTGCCCAGCCCTGAATTCATTTTTTAAATGATATTCAGAGAAATATACTATCTTAATCTCCATAGTTCTTTTAACGGCATTGTAATTTCTCCTTTGTATAATACAGAAAATCCCACTGGAATAATTTTTTATTTATAGATTTTAGAAACAGAAAATATAAAGTTCTTGTGAAGAAAAAGACAAAGTCATGAGACGGAAGGTGGGGAGGGTTTGGGGGAAATTAAGAAACTCAATATTTGGCCAGGCACAGTGGCTCATGTCTGTAATCCCAGCAGGTTGGGAAGCCGAGGCAGGTGGATCACTTGAGCTCAGGAGTTTTAGAACAGCCTGGGCAACATGATTAAACCCCTTCTCTACAAAATATACAAAAATTAGCCAGATGTGGTGGCATGTGCCTGTAATCCCAGCTACTTGGGAGGCTGAGGTGCGAAGATCTATTGAGCCTAGGAGTTCAAGGCTGCAATGAGCCATGATCACACCACTGTACTCCAGCCCAGGTGACAGAGTGAGACCCTGTCTCAAAAATAATAATAATAATCAACTCAATTTTTGTGATAAAATTTTAAAGAATGATTAAGGATGGTAATACAGTAGTATGGTACATTGGGAAAAACATTAAAATAGAATTCAAAGTTTTTTTTTTTTTTTTGCTGTTTTTAACCATTAGATAGCTATATGATCTTGGGAAAATCATTTAACCTCAGTTTTCTTGTCTGTAATATGAGTATATAATCATACTTGTGAGAGATGCAGACAGGGAGAGAGAATACACATTCATATTAAAACTCTTTGTTACAGGAGGAAGTTAGCGGAAAATTAAATCTTGTCACCACAGAGACTAAAATAAGGTTCCATACTGTCAGATCATATAAATTTAAAAATCACTTCTAAGAACTTTAGCCTTCTACTCTATAAGCAGAAAAACTTCACCTAAAGAGGCCCATGGCCTGGCTGAGATTCAAGGGGAGAAATTTTTGTTAGGAAGGAAGGTGCAATTACAGCAAGACAGTCTAGAAGTGTTGGCTGATTCCCTCTTAGAAAATCCTTGGGCAGTAATTCTGACCTTGCCTGGAGATTGTAAGAGAATATTACTATGATCAGCTCTGGGATAGGAATGTGCTTAAGTAGCACATTTTAGAAGTGCCTTACTCCTACCAAAGAACTCTGGGGATTTCCCAAGACCTGTGTCTGCCTAGCAAGGAGTGTCTGGTTATAATAGTCAGATTTCTGTTGTGTCATTTTTGTGGTAAGTTAAAGATTTCATTACAGTTAATTAGTCATACATATATAAATTATATATATATATATTTTTTTTTTTTTTTGAGACAGTTTTACTCCGTCACCTGGGCCAGAATGCAGTGGCACGATCTCAGCTGACTACAGCTTCCACTTCCCGGGTTCAAGTGATTCTTCTGCCTCAGCCTCCCAAGTAGCTGGAATTACACACACATGCCACCACACCCGGCTGATTTTTGTATTTTTAGTAGAGACGGGGTTTTGCTATGTTGGCCATGCTGGTCTCGAACCCCTCACCTCAAGTAATCCGTCCAATTCGGCCTCCCAATGCTGGGATTACAGGCATGAGCCACTACTCCCAGCCTAATTAGTCATATTTTAATTAGACCTAATTCCGGGCTGATTTTTCTCAGAATATCCTTCTACCTGTTTGCACCTGTGTCATTTATTTTGGGAATAAGTAGTTTTAACTTTAACATAGACTATGAGTTTTGAGTTCATATCCTGAATGTATTTTAGGCTTTCTGAAAGAGCAGCCCTGCTACATGCTGATATGGCAGATTGCAGTCTACCTAGTATGAGAGCCCATCCTCATTAAGCATAGCCATAGGGTAGGAATTCTGCATTCTTCAGCTATTGAGGCTTTGTCATGAGTCTGTGTCCTGAGCTCATGGCCAAATGTGGCCCAGGAACCCAGGTACACACACGGCTGTCCCCCTGTAGCCTTAGCTTCTCGCTGGCTCCTTTCCTTGCTGGGATGGCCTTCTGCTCTGGTCCTTAGCCTGCTCGCCTGGGTCCTTAACAACTTACCCAGCTCTTGCCAGGCCCTTCTCACCAGGGATTCCTCCCAAGTCCCCTGCACATAACTACAGCCTGGATTCTCCCCAGCTCTACAGCTTGCAGTATCACACTGTCTAGAGACTCCTGTTGCTGTGCTTCACACTACAGGACAGACTTCCTGGCGCTACTAAAGGCAGCCTAGATCAACCCAAGTTAATCACATCCGCAGGAACACTGTGATTGGAGCTGCTGGCCACCCCTGAGGGAACCAGCCCATAGCCCAGTTATCTCCCTGGCCATTGTGGGTTTCCTCCCTTTGCAGGCACCTGCTGCTAGCATCCCATTGTGCACTGATACTAGCTAGGGAGGGTTCCAACTCCAGTCATGCCAGCATGCACAAATTCTCCAGGGATACAAAGGGAGGTTGCTGTAGAAAAAGGAGCCTAACTATTTTCTGCCTCCACTGAGGATAACCTCAGAGTAAATATATGCACAACAAATGCCTTAGTACTGTAACATAAAATTATTTGTTGGCCAGGCATGGTCACTCAAACCTGCAATCCCAGCACTTTGGGAGGCCGAGGCAGGTGGATCACTTGAGGCCAGGAGTTTGAGACCATCCTGGCCAACATGGCAAAACCCCGTCTCTACTAAAAATGCAAAAATTAGCTGGACGTGGTGGCACATGCCTGTGATCCTAGCTACCTGGGAGGCCGAGGCATGAGAATTGCTTGAACCTGGGAGGCGGAGGTTGCAGTGAGCTGATAATCGCACCACTGCACTCCAGCCTGGGTGACAGAGCAAGACTGTCTCCAAAAAAATAAAATAATTTTTTAGCAGGCAAAGTGAGATACAGTTGGCTGTATTAAGTAGTATTTAGTTAAAATACAACTCTGTTACCTGCTGCAACAAAAGATATACAATTACAGAATTATTGCAGCACAGATCTAGCACCAACAATCTAAAATGCAGTCTCTAAGCTAAACACAGTCCTTTTACAGATTTAATTAGTTGGGAAATTAGGGATGCTCAGGGTTGAACAGCCTGGGTCTGTCATGGAGAGAATCTTTAACCAATAGAAGGCCTATAAGGCTTTAGAAACAAGTCCCTCATTGGCTTTCAACCAAACTGAATCCATTACACCTGCTGAATCTGTCCAGAGTCCATTTCTTCTTAGGAACCACTAACTACCCAGCCATCCAGATGTGCCATGTGTATTCTGCCACCTGCTTTAGAGAAACATCTGGTGTCTTTATTACCTTGCTGTGGCTAGGGGAGTTTTCCATTCCCCTCCATGGCCCTCTGTTCTTTTGAGTGAGTGTTGTTTGTGCTGCTGCATATAGATTCAAATTTACTGTCCAGCTTTCCTCCACTTTGTGCAGTGCTGACTCATTTTCCCCAGATACTTGTTCCTATGCGGCTTGCTGTAGTCCCTTGATCTCTCTTGGCAAATGACAGTAAGGCATTTTTGAAGTGTTGGAAGGCTTTTGCTCGGGCTTTATCCAGCTCTCCCCGTTTGGTATATTGGCAAAAGAGTCCCACTCTGCATTTGTGTAGAATTTACCCATTATTTCTATTCCTGCCTTTCAAGTAGGAACCAGGTTAGCAAATGATAGAAAATTAAATCCAGATGATTTGTGGTAAGAAATATGTTTTGTGAAAAAGACCACTCAGTCATAAAGAATGCTCAGAATTAGATTATGCAAATGCTCTGTTATCACACTTTCAAGTGGTACAGGCACTGCTGATTTTGATTCAAGGCAAGGAAATTCTAGTTAGCTTTTTATTTATTTAATGTTTCTGTTTTAAATGAGCAGGAGCTCACTAAAGTATAAAAGAAATTAGGTCTTCAATAGGGCCTGCCTCGTAATCACCTATGTGCTTCATAACCCAACGGAGATGATGAATAAATTTGCTGTGGCCTCATAGTTTATAATTTACCTGTGCACTGTTTCAACCGAAATGGTTTTCATGCTCTTTAATTTCAGGAAACCTGTGATCTGGGGAAGATAAAACCTGAGGCCAGACGATACTTGGAAAAGTCAATTAAAATGGGGAAAAGAAATGGGCTCCATCTTCCTGAACAAGTACAGAATGTGAGTTTATGTTTTCTTTTCTTATCAGAAAAAAAAAATGAATAAATAAAACAAAATACTGGTTGAACATCCCTAATCCAGAAATCCAAAATGCTCCACAGTCTGCAACTTTTGGGTGCCAACATGATGCTCAGAGGAAATGCTCATTGGAGCATTTCAGGTTTTGTGGGTTAGGCGTGCTCTACTGGTAATAATGGGAATATTCCAAACTCCAGAAAACTCCAAAATCTGAAACGTTTCAAGCCCCAAGCATTTCGGATAAGGGATACCCAATTTGTGCAACAAAAAACAGAAAATAGGGAAACAGATGGGTTGTAATAGAATAACCTGTAATACAATGTATTTTGTATTTAGTGGTTTTAAATTCTACAACTCCTGTTAACCTCATGGTGACAGACAAACAACTGATAACTTAAAATTGTTCTTTAACCTTGTACAAGTTTTATTTATTTCATGTGTGTTGAGCTTATTTTCCCTTCCCTGTTTTACATTCTTTAAGAGCTGTTCTCAGGTCTTAGTAGTTGATTTGTCTTTTCACTCCCTTGGTCATACAGAGATGGGGCACTGATTATAAAATCCTTACCGATGGAGAGTTTTAAAACCAGCACCTTGGAATGGAGTATCCTATGTTTAACACATGCCCCTTAAAAGATGAGAGATTAGCTGCTGAAAGATGCCTCTCAAACTTTTTCTTTTGTCTAATGCCAGTCAAGTCTTCCAGGTTCAAAAATAAACTTGGCTCCAGAATTAACCTTTTTCTTCTTGGAAAGGAAATATACTCCATGATTTATTTCCAGGTCATTCTTCTAGCCAGCAGGACTGGAAATAAGTTTGGAAGAAATCCAAATCAAGTGTTGTCAGCATGTTAGCTATAACCACAGGCACCACTGAGATATGGGTACCTTTCTCCCACGTAAAGCCCTTTGATCACCTTGTATCCTCTTCCTTCACTGAGTTAGAGGAGAAATGTGATTGATCTCACTTACCTGACCCTTTGTCTTCCTGGTCAATTCTTAATTCTGTTTGGAGCATGAACACTGTATTAGTTAAGATATGTTTGGTTGCAGCTAACAAAACCCTGTTTAAACGAGAGATTTATTTGCTTGTATAACTAGAAGGTCGAGGGGTCGGTGAGCTGCATGGGTTGGTTTGATCCTGATGCACAGTGGAGTCATTGGCCAACTGATTTTTCTATTTCTCTACTGTGTCTTCCTCAGTGTTAGTTTTATCTAAAGGGTGGCTTCCTTTCATTCCTAAAATGGCTATAAATCTAAAAACTCCACCATCCAGAAAGACATAGAGAAGCCACCAGTAAACCTCTCCTCATGTCTTAATGGCCCAGAGTGGATCCTGTGGTTAATCCTGAATTCCCTTTTAGTCAATGGAATACGAGGCCTGGGTTATCTGAACAGTCCTGAGGGCAATGGGGGTGGAAGGATGGCCCAACTGGTGTAGAAGTCACACACCTAGAGTTGCAGATAGGATCAGGTCCTATGTGAACTACATGGGCGCTGCAAAGTGGGGCAGAGGTAGAAAGGGGGTTGAGGGAGAGTATCGGAAAACACCACTGAACAGTGCGTTAGGTCAGTAGTCTCAAATTTAGTGTGCATCAAAATTACACGGAGGGCTTATTAAAACTCTGATTATAGGACTCGACTTTTAAGAGTTTGCACTTCAGTAGGTTTAGTGTGGGGGTCCCAAGAATTTGCGTTTCTAACAACTTCCCTGGTGATGCTGATGCTCCTAGCCAGGGCCACACTTTGAGAAGCAGTAAATTTCATTATGTAACATTGTTAGAAGAATGGGACAGATTAATAAAATTGTATCTTTTTTTTTTTCTGGTGGTTTCCTTCTTATTGCTTCATTTGATCTCCCACCTAATACTTTTTATGCAAATCTTAGAGTCTATAAATCATCTTTTTTTACAAAAGCTCTATAAAACTAAAACATCACCTTTTCCCCGAAGCAACAATAGAATGAATTATTCAGCTCTTATCTCTTGGTTTACTTCATAACCAGATGCTGATTACTGAATTAAAATTTTGAATTGGAAACAATTAGAAATTTGCTAATTGGTAATGCACTGCTAGATTTATTCATTCACTCAGAAACTATTTATTGTGTATGTACTATGTGCAATATATTGTGTTTACTGTACCTCCTAAATTTATTCTTCAAATTCACAACTAATTTCCAAGACACCACCAGGCTTGCCTTTCTATAAGTGCTACACACAGATACACGTGGACATGACATAGTGGACTGCAGAAACCTGTTTTATCAAGCACATCTCTACAGAAGTACTTCCTGGAGTTTGGGCACAGAAGTCAATCTTCATATGAAAGTGAAACTTACTCAATTGATGGTGATAAAAATGAGTTGTTTTTTTCAAACAATTCTCCTGCCTCAGCCTCCTGAGTAGCTGGGATTATAAGCACACACCACCACATCCAGCTAATTTTTGTATTTTTAGTAGAGACTGGCTTTCACCATGTTAGCCAGGCTGGTCTTGGACTCTTGACCTCAAATGATCCACCCACCTTAGCCTCCCAAATTGCTGGGATTACAGGTGTGGGCCACCGTGCCTGGCAAAAAATGAGTTTCTTTTTATTGCTAATGCCCTGTATTTTTATCTTCCTTTCAGGAAATCAAATCAATGAAGAAAAGAATGAGTGAGCTATGTATTGATTTTAACAAAAACCTCAATGAGGATGATACCTTCCTTGTATTTTCCAAGGCTGAACTTGGTAAGTTTTATTATTTTTCTAGATTAAATCATATAATTTAGGCAAATAGTGTTACCTCACAGTTTGTTTTACTTTCCAGATACAAAATTTCTAAATCATAGTTCAAATAATTATTTAAAAAATGATCCAGTACCTAAGTCCACCACCCCTTCTACAGAAGAGACAATCAAACCAACCAAAATTAGATTTTAGGCTAATGAGGGTATATAAAATTTCTAGAGACAGTCCAGAGGGGACTTAATAATCTTTTTTTTTTTTCATAATTTTTCTTGGTAGTTTATAGTTGTGTTTAACAGCCTTCAGTGCCTTAAAATTTTTTTTTGACTTGCATTGTTTCCTGCATTGTATCTTAAACTAGTCTCTTCTTACTCAGTCCTGGGTCTTTTTTCTTTTCTTTTCTTTTCTTTTTTTGAGACGGAGTCTCGCTCTGTTGCCAGGCTGGAGTGCGATGGCGCAATCTCGCCTCACTGCAACCTCCACCTCCCTGGTTCAAGCAATTCTCTTGCCTCAGCCTCCCAAGTAGCTGGGACTACAGGCATGTGCCACCACGCCCAGCTAATTTTTGTACTTTTAGTAGAGACGGGGTTTCACCATGTTGGCCAGAATGGTCTCGATTTCTTGACCTCATGATCCACCCACTTCAGCCTCCCAAAGTGCTGGGATTACACGCATGAGCCACTGTGCCCAGCTTTCCTGGGTCTTTCTTCACTTAATTTTGCCTGTTCTCCACTGAAACATCATTTGCACAAGTTTACTGAAACCTGTTCATATTTTGAATTGCCGTCTCCCAAGGCACCTGGCCTCTAACAGCCACCCCAATTCCAGCAACATCAAAATGATATTTAAAGGATTGTCATTATTTTACTTGAATTTCAATTACTACACAAAATTCCTAGAGCTACCAAAAGGCACCATGCCAATACTAAATAAACCAGCAATGAGTGGAAAATTTGATATATGAGAAAATGATTTTTTGCAGGTGCTCTTCCTGATGATTTCATTGACAGTTTAGAAAAGACAGATGATGACAAGTATAAAATTACCTTAAAATATCCACACTATTTCCCTGTCATGAAGAAATGTTGTATCCCTGAAACCAGAAGAAGGATGGAAATGGCTTTTAATACAAGGTGCAAAGAGGTATTATAAATGTTTGTCTTTCTTTTGTTTTTAATGGAATATTTTAAGAAAAGGGTTTACTTTGTTCACCAGTGTCAAAGTCAGCTCAGAGACTGATATTCCTGTGTGTGCACTGTATCTCTAATTCCTCAGACTTACAAGACTTTTAGCTTTTTCATTGCTCATTGACAACCTGCTTGGTGTGGTCACAGGATAAGCTGTTCTAATAAAAATAGAATGGATTAAATAAATTAGAATTCTGTTGCTCCTCTCCTAAATCAACAATCCAGCACTGGTAAGTCCTGCTTTAATATGAAAAAGAAAAAAGGAAGAAGTAGACAGGGATTCTCAGTCATCTAGCCAGTTCTACCGTGATCTGCCTCTCTAGCTATCCAAGTAACCATGAGGACCCTTTTTTCCTTACATAGGACCCATTCACCATTTGTTAATTCCCAGTTACTGCCTGAAGCTCAAAGACCAGGATCTCTGGGTGATACAGTTCTTCCTGGTTGTAGCTTCTCATAATCCAGCAAACTATAAAAGGAAGACAAGTTATCAGCTCCTCACCCCCACACCCTCCCCCAACACTCCCAGTGATGGCATAGGAAAAGAATAACCGCACTGAAAAGTCCCATTTGGAAAAAGAAAGACTGGGAAACATAGCAAGCTCATAGCAATTTTCTAAAATTTTCAAATTCCTCAGGAACTGGGAAGATTCTGTACTATGGTGACGTTTCTTGGTTAGCTTGTTGGACTAAACTTGGGTCTGCTTTCTCATAAGAATTCCTTTATCAATTTTACTCCATGGCCCCCAGTTTTGCCCACAGGGAATTGTTTTTGTCCATTATCCTTGATGACCATATCTTGGGGGACTGCTGGTCCTGCTAATGTCAGGTAGAATCCCAAGGGTTGCTTTAGGGATCAAATAATCCAAACTTTTGTAGGCCAGACTTACGATATCTTTGGTAATACAGCCTCCTCAAAAATGTAGGTTTGTTGTCTGTTTGCTGCTAATCAGATGCATGTCAAAATAACTATACCCAAATATCACTTTTGGTCATAGTTCTTAAACTTGCCAAATCTTATATACTGTCTTCTGAATTTATCCATCTCACTCTTCCTCCATTTAATGAAGTCTGCTTTCAGGCCCTCTGAACATAGTGAGCTTGTGGAGGAAGGCAGCATTCTCAAATTCATGTCTGCAGTTCAGTAACTCGGAGTGACAGCCTTTTCTCTTAACACTAGGAACACAGAGCAATTGGCTTTTCCAACCATCTGAAGATTGTAGGCCATAGGCAGAACCTCCCTGAGCAGAATTCTTTTCCTTCCATCTTTAGAAACTGGCCAATTCTCACCCAAGCTTATCTCTCCCATGTAATCTTTCAAAAAGCAACAAATGCCAAAAAAACACCTCCCAACAGTATTAGCTTTCCCAAACAATTCCTCTAGGCTAAGACTCAGTAGGTACATGGCCTGCTGTCTGAGTTATGGCAAGCAACAGTTTTCACAAATGCCCATGGTATAATGAGAACCTGCTTCCCAGCCTGCAATGTCTGGGTCCTTACCTTCCATTCCTGTACATTTTTCATTTTTATTGTTAGTACCACCCAATTTCTGGTATTAATCTCTACATATGTTAGGGTCCAGGCTAAGGGACTTGACAGAAGTCAAAAGCACAGTTAACTCAAATAAGATAAAAGTTTTATCTTTCCAGAAAGTAGATTAGAGGTTACCAGGGAATGGGGAGAGGGAAGACTGAGGAGTTAATGGTTACAGAGTTTCTGTTTGGGGTAATGGATAAGTTTTAGAAACAGATGATGGTAGTGGTTGCACAATAGAATGAGTATTATTGCCGTTGAATTTTACATGGCTAAAATGGCAGATTTTACCACAATTTTTTTTTAAAAGATTTGTCTTATAACTGTAAGTCAAGAGGTGAGTGGTCCAGAGGTGGAAGACAGCTCTACCATCCTCAGGGTGTGGCTTTCAGGGTCATTGAGGTCATCTTCAGTTCACAGCCAGCAAGGCAAAGATCTATCAGACATGACCCAGAAATTTCACTCATCACTTCATTCACATCCCATTGTCCCATTGAGTATCACATGGCCACAGCTGGCTTTGAGGAAGGCTGGGAAACGTAATTAGGTAACCAAGTGTCCGGCAAAAATTCAGAGTTCAGCCAGGCACAGTGGCTCACACTTGTAATCCCAACGCTTTGGGAGGCCAAGGCAAGAGGATTGCTTGAGGCCAGGAGTTCAAGACCAGCCTCAGCAATATGGCAAGACCTCACCTCTATGAAAATTAAAAAAAAAAAAAAAATTCAGAGTTATATTACTAAAAGAAAAAATGAGAGAACAGATATTGGGAGAAAATTGGCAGTCTAGAGAGAAGATCTGGAGAAACTGCAAAAAATGAAAGAAAAATCTAATTAAACTATTTAATTTTAGAACTTGGAGAATTACATTATGTATGTTTCTCTTCTATGTTTTCCATTTTAGTTTTAAAATAATAATAATTATAACAGATAATTATATAGTGTTTGGTTATGTGCCAGGCATTTGTCTAAGCACTTTACATATATTTTCATTTGAATCTTCATGATTACTCTCCAGTGTATGTATTTTTATTTTCCACATCTTGCAAATGAGAAAACTGAGGGTCAGAAAGCTCCAGAATTTGCCCAAGATCAGGTAACTAGTAAATGGTGGAACCAAATTTTGAATGCAGGTAGTGTGACCTCAGTGTGTGATTTTCCTTAGAAACCAGTCTATAAATAATTTGCTGATTTGATTATTGGAATCAGTTTTTTCTTTTACTTTAACATTTACTTACTTCCTCTAGGAGAATTACTTTTATTTCATTGCTAAGAAAATAATAAAATAATATCAATTTTTGTATTTTTAATACAAATAAAATATAAAAGATATTTGTAATGTTAATTTGGGAAAAATCCCTGAAACATTTTTAAAAGCAGAATTTTATGGTGCCTTAGTTCATTTGTGCTGCTATAACAAAATACCACAGACGAAGTAATTTATGAACAATAGAAATTTTTCACAGTTCTGAAGGCTGAGAAATTCAAGATCAAGGGGCATCGGCATTCAGTGTCTAGAAAGGGCCTTTTTTCTATATCCTCACATGGCAGAAGGGGGAAGGGCAGAAAAGGCCCAAGTTCTTTAGCTGTAGCCCTTTTATAAGGCACTAATTCATTGGTCAATTCCCAAAAGGCCCTGCCATTTAACACTACCTCAAAAGGGATTATGTTTCAACACATGAATTTTGGGGAACATTCAGACCATAGCATGTGGCATTAAGTATATTCACATTGAGAATATGTTTATATTTTTCTGCAGCCATCACCTGTATCCACCTGCAGAGTTTTTTCATCTTCCTTAACTGAAACTCTACCCATTAAGCATTAACTCCCCATTATCCCCTATCCCCAGGCCCTGGCAATTACTATTCTATTCTGTGTCTCTGTGAATTTCACTACTCTAGGAACTTCATATAAGTGGAATAATAAAATATTTGTCTTTTTGTATCTGGCTTATTTCACTTAGCATACCTTAAAGGGTCATCCATGTTGTAGCATGTGTCAGAATTTCCTTCCTTGTAAAGGCAGAGTTATATTCCATTGTATATATATACCACATTTTGTTTACCTGTATATCTGTCCATGGACACTTGGGTTGCTTCCATCTTTTGGCTGTTATAAATAATGCTGCTGTGGACATGGGTGTATAGATCTCTCTTCGAGTCTCTGCTTTCAATTATCTTTGTTATTTACTGAGATGTAGAATTGCTGGATCATATGGTATAATTTTTTTAGGAATCACCATACCGTTTTCTACAGCAGCTAAACTACTTTACATTCTCATCAGCAATGTGCAAGGGTTCCAATTTCTCCATTTCCTCACCAGCACATTTTCTATGTTTTTAAAAATAGTAGCCATACAACTGGGTATGAAATTAAAAAGATAAATTTTACGTTATGTGTATTTTACCACAATAAAAATGTCCAAAGGAACTGAAAGTACCAATATTTGGTGCAGTTCTGTCAGTAGAAGTAAATATGGATTCGCTATATTCCTTAAAAATATATTTTCACTCTAAGTTTGTAGCACCTACAATTTTATTAAGACCTCATAGTTCTGAAGTTTAAAAAGTCATAAATTGTTTCAGAAATAAAACGAAATCATGAATCCAAAAAAAAAAAAAAAAGCCTATAACACCAAAATGGAACCAGAAATTTAAATGGTCTAAAAATATTTGATAATTTTACAAACCTAAAAATACATACAGTAATTCTTCCTTTTAGTGCTTTGGATCAAATTATTGATTAGCCTTTATTTTGTTGCTGTTGTTTATTACTAGGAAAACACCATAATTTTGCAGCAGCTACTCCCACTGCGAACCAAGGTGGCCAAACTACTCGGTTATAGCACACATGCTGACTTCGTCCTTGAAATGAACACTGCAAAGAGCACAAGCCGCGTAACAGCCTTTCTAGGTTAGTTCTTTTTTTTTTTTCTATGACTGTTTTGCTATACCATGTCAACCAGACAGAAGGCCTCAGAACATAATATGCCTTTGAGGACATCCTACTTTTCCTTCATTTGAGAGAAGTATATTGATCACCTATTAAGTGTTAGATAGTGTGCTTGGTTGTAGGGACTGCTTATTGTTTATATTGCTAGTATAGGCCTGGCTTCACTGTATCTTATATCTTCTTTAGGCTTTTTATACTAATTCCTAACATGACATGTAGGTTCTAACAGAGAGTTACTAAAGTTACTGGCTTTATTCTCTTCACTAGGGATTTAGTAGTCATAGCATGGCTGCTTATGAATTTGTATAAAATAAGCTGACAAATATGACGTACATAAAAATAAAACATACATAAACAAAAAACATTTAATATTCCAGAAACCACTTGTTAATATACAAAACTAATATAAAATAATATACATAAAACTAGTATCTAATAACTAATATAAAATAATATGTATAAAAACTGTTATCTAGTAACTATAATGTTAAACTCCATAAATGGTACATATTTGTTTTTGTATAATTCACTCATTCATTCATGAGACGTTTATGAAATAACTATTCAGCCTTAGGCAGTATGCTAAATAGTAGGATTACAGAAAGGAGTAAAACAAGGTCCTTTTGGCTGGGCATGGCAGTTCATGCCTGTAATCCCAGCACTTCGGGAGGCCGAGGTGAGAGGACTACTTGAGACCCAGAGTCCAAGACCAGCTTGGGAAACAAAGAGACCCCAACCCTGTCTCTACAGAAAAATTTAAAAATTAGCCAGGCATGGTAGCACATGCCTGTAATTCTAGCTACTTGGGAGGCTGAGGTGGGAGGATCCCTTGAGCCCAGGAGTTCAAGGCTGCAGTGAGCCATGATCATGCCACTGTGCTCCAGCCTGGGTGACAGAGCAAAATCCTGTCTCTAAAAATAAAAATAATTTTTTAAAAAGAGACAAGGTCTTTTTCTCAATGGATTTGTCACTTACTAGAAACAACAGAAGTGTGAACAGGTAATTACTCTACAGTCTGATGCATGGTATACAAGAGGATGGCTCAGAGAGTTAACAGGTTTGTAAAGAATGTTTCCTTCAGTGGTGATTGCATACACTAAAATTTTCCTTAGTAACCACCTGATTAACTTAATTCATTTAAAGGAGTTTTCCTTCTAATTTGAGATTGGCATATTCCTATGCAAAGTGTCCTCTTGAGAGGCTAAAGTGCGAGGATCCCTTGAATCTGAGAGTTGGAGTCCAGCCTGGGCAACATAGCAAAACTCACTCACTCTCTCTCTCTCTCTTTATATATATATATATGTATGTGTGTGTGTGTGTGTGTGTATACATACATGCGCACACACAGACACATGCACGCACACATGCACATGGATATATATATGGAAAACTATATCTTTGTATCCTCCATGAGTTTCCTCACTTCTCTTCACGGTATTCCTCGGGCTGCTCCTCCATCTCTCACATTGTGAGGTTGCCTTCTGAACTGCCATGTCCTTTGCAGAGCCAGGCATGTTTTTATCGTAACGTATGTAACAAAATGTAAAAAATAAATACATAAGACCATACTCATTTATCCAAATACAGTAAAGTGAAAAATTGACCACAGCAATATAATTTGTGGTTCTCAGAAGTTTCTCCAGCTAAAAACTGGAATTGCTGTGTCCAGATAAACCTTCACAGAAATGGGGTAATGAGAAACTAAACCCAGTGATAGGAATTTCTAGATAACATTGACCACAGGTCACATCTGATGTGTTTTCCCTAGCTTTCTTAGGAGTCTGACTGTCTTCATTGAAGAATAATCATGTACATGACTTTAGTTTCACTAGTGCTTTTTTCCCTGAATAACATTCTTCAGTCAGCGTTCTCTGAGATAAACTTGAGCTTTGGTGATGAATTGAGGAACTCATGGCCCAGTTCTGGGGGTGTTAAAAGAAAAAGGGGCTAGGACCATAAAATCAATAACCCCGAAGAGCAAAGTGTGCTTCCATAATACAGCCTGCTTTCCTCCCTCACGTTTTTCCTCCTCCTTTACCTCTTTCCGCCTTATTTATCTGTATTGAGTACTGCAAAGGAGGAAGCACCATGCTAAAACACAGGTGGTATTTATGAGTATGCTTGCTTCCAAAAGCAAGTAGATCACTAACTTTTCCTTTTCCTTACAGATGATTTAAGCCAGAAGTTAAAACCCTTGGGTGAAGCAGAACGAGAGTTTATTTTGAATTTGAAGAAAAAGGAATGCAAAGACAGGGGTTTTGAATATGATGGGAAAATCAATGCCTGGGATCTATATTACTACATGACTCAGACAGAGGAACTCAAGTATTCCATAGACCAAGAGTTCCTCAAGGAATACTTCCCAATTGAGGTGGTCACTGAAGGCTTGCTGAACACCTACCAGGAGTTGTTGGGACTTTCATTTGAACAAATGACAGATGCTCATGTTTGGAACAAGAGTGTTACACTTTATACTGTGAAGGATAAAGCTACAGGAGAAGTATTGGGACAGTTCTATTTGGACCTCTATCCAAGGTACTGAGGATCACGTTGTTGGAAGGGACCTTAGGGATTCAGCTATGCCTACTTTAAGACTCTACTCTTGGCCAGGCACAGTGGCTCATGCCTGTAATCCCAACACTTTGGGAGGCCAAGGTGGGAGGATTGCTTGAGGCTAGGAGTTCGAGACCAGCCTGGGCAACATAGTGAGGCCCTGTCTCTACAAAAAATTTAAAAATTAGGTCAAGTGTGGTGGCTCATGCCTGTAGTCCCAGCACTTTGGGAGGCCGAGGCAGGTGGATTGCTTGAGTCTAGGACTTCAAGACCAGACTGGGCAACATGGCAAAACTCTGTTGCTACAAAAAATACAAAAATTAGCCAGGTGTAGTGGTACATGCCTATAGTCCCAGGTACTTGAGAGGCTGAGGTGGGAGGATCACTTGAGCCTCAGAGGTGGAGGCTGCAGTGAGCCAAGATTGCAACACTGCACTCCAGCCTGGGTGACAGAGTGAGACCCTGTCTCAAAAAAAAAAAAATGAAAAATTAGCCAGGTGTGGTGTGCACACCTGTAGTCCTAGCTGTGCTGAAGCAGGAGGATCACTTGAGTCCAGGAGTTTAAGGTTACAGTGAGCTATTATCACACTGCTGCATTCTAGCCTAGGTGACAGAGCTAGACCCTATCTCTAAAAAAATTAATTTAAAAAAAGACTCTACTCTTCCATATTTCTCACATGGGCTTCTTAGTATACAGATTTAAAATGTGGGTCTGAAGCCAGAATGTCTGGCATCATCATTTACTAGGTAGGTTACTTAATTTTTCTGTGCCCCAGTTTTCTTACCTATATTATAGGTCCTATAAACTGGGAATATTAGTAGTACCTGCTTTGTATGGTCACTGTAAGGATTAAATTGGTTGAATACATGCAAAGCATTTAGAAGACTGCTCAGCACATAGCAAAGGCTTAATCAGAGTTAGCTGCTACCATTGTCATTATCATCATCATCTAGTTTGTGCACTACATTTACTTAATTGAATATTGACCACCACCCAGACATGGTGGCTCACACCTGTAATCCCAGCATTTTGGAAGGCTGAGGTGGGCAGATCACTTGAGGTCGGGAGTTCAAGATCAGCCTGGCCAATATGGTGAAACCCTGTCTCTACTAAAAATACAAAAATTTAACAGGCATCTGTAGTCTCAGCTACTTGGGAGGCCAAGGTATGAGAATAGCTTGAACCCTGGAACTGAGATCACGCCACTATACTCCAGCCAGGGCGACAGAGCAAGATTCTAACTCAAAAAACATAAATAAATAAAATTGAGCACCAAAATATTTATTAGATAATCTGTCTGCCAATAATCTATGGCCACTCCCTTCAGTCTGGCTGAGAGGCAGCACAGTTTAGTAGAAGTAGCAAAACCTTTGCAGTCAGTCAGATTTGAGTTTGAATGCTTGAGTGACATAACCTCTTTGAGATTCTGTTTCTTCCTCTGTAATATGGGACTGGAAATCCTTTTACAGGATTGTTTTATGCATTAAAGACTATATGTGCAAATCATCTTCCCCAGATATCAGTGGTAACAATTATAAAAATGTTATAATTGTGTCTATAGCATGTAATAACTATAGATTCCATAGTGTTTCATCAGATACAAAAGGATTTGGATCTCTTTCTCCCCAGGCTACTTTCTAAAGCAAAGTCAACCTCTTACAATTACTAATCATTTAAATAGATCAAAGGAGAGTATAGTATCCCCCTCATTCAGTAATACACACAAGTTTGTAATCCACTGACTTTGAGTGCTGAAAAGTAGGTTGAGTAACTGTGTCATCTAGTTGGTGGGCAGAAGTGTCTTTTAGCACCTAAGTGATTATCCTGGTGTATTAGTCCTTTCTCACAGTGCTGTAAAGAACTGACTGAGACTGGGTAATTTATAAAGGAAAGAAGTTTAATTGACTTACAGTTCTGCAGGGCTGGGGAGACCTCAGGAAACTTACAATCATGGCAGAAGGGGAAACAAACACATCCTTCTTCACGTGGCGGCAGGAAGGGGAAGTGCCAAGCCAACAGGGGAAAGCCCCTTATGAAACCATCAGCTCTTGTGAGAACTCACTCACTATCATGAGACTGGCTACCCCATGAATCAATTACTTCCCACTGGGTCCCTCCCACGACACGTGGGGATTATGAGAACTACAATTCAAGATAAGCTTTGGGTGGAGACACAGCCAAATCACATCACCTGCTGCTTTATGGACTTACTTTCACTAATATTATGACCTAAAAGTAAAACCCTGCCAAATATAGATGAGTCTTATTTTTAAATAAAAAGTATCAGGATATAGTTTTAACCGAAGAACTCTTTCAGGAGTAATCCTTTAATATTGGAGTCTCCTATAACTGTCCTCAGATTTTCTTTCCAGCGTCAAATAACAATTCTTGCTACCTCATTCTGCTGTCTCACTGCCAGGATATAATTAATTTCTTTTGTACTGAGAGATCTGGTCATTGCTACCAGCACCCTGGTGTGGGTAACAGAGAGTAATCTTTGTGAAAGTAGTGACCTAGTTAATACTTACTTCCTGTCATCTTAAGATGTTCTCTTCATAAAGGTAAAAGGGATTAACTTGTTTTATTTGTCTAACTGACTTTTAAAAAGGGTATTCAGAATAGGTTTTAAAAAGACCAGGTACTGTCTGGGTGCAGTGGCTGTAATCCCAGCACTTTGGGAGGCTGAGGCAGGTGGATCACTTGAGGCCAGGAGTTCAAGACCAGCTTGGTCAACATGGTGAAACCCCATCTCTAGTAAAAATACAAAAATTAGGCTGTGCACAGTGACTCACACCTATAGTCCCAGCACTTTGGGAGGCCAAGGAGGGCAGATCACCTGAGGTCAGGAGTTTGAGACCAGCTTGGCCAACGTGGGAAAACCCCATCTCTACTAAAAATACAAAAATTAGCTGGGTGTGGTGGCAGGCACTTGTAGTCCCAGCTACTCTAGAGGCTGAGGCAGGAGAATCATTTGAACCCAGGAGGTGGACATTATAGTTAGCCAGTATCTTGCCACCGCACCCCAGCCTGGGCAACAGAGCAAGACTCCGTCTCAAAACAAGAGAACAAAATTAACCAGCGTGGTGTTGTATATATGTAATACCAGCTACTCAGGAGGCAGAGGCAGGAGAATTGCTTGAACCTGGGAGGCAGAGGTTGCAGTGAGCTGAGATCATGCCACTGCACTCCAGCCTGGATGACAGAGCAAGACTCTGTCTCAAAAAAAAAAAAATAAAAAGACCAGGTACTATTAGTCTTCTGAGCAAAAGAAAAGGGGGAAAGGACACGTACTCCCAAAATGAAGTCTGATAGCTTTTGGAGAATGAAGTCTAATAGCTTTTGGAAAGACCACACAGATACGACACTGTACAAGAATAGTCTAATTGATAGTATAATTTATGCATTTTCCCAGGCTAACTAAAAGCATTCTGTTTCAAAAAGGCCTGTCTAGTTTATAAAAGAAGCTTATTTAATTGTGATTACTGATTCTTTCCTCCTCAAATAAAAGGAAAAACCTTATCGTCAGAAATTCAGTTTTTTATTCCGATTTTAATGAAAAGGCTGCCTAGTGAGTCAAACTGTATCTTTTATTTCAAATGTGGGTTTCAGCATTGTTTAGTGTTTAGTAATCCCATCTTTGAAAAAGAAAAGTAGAACCTCATTAAAATAAATTGGACATTCAGCTGTCGGTGTGACATGCATTCTTCATTCTTACCTCGAGATTTTTCAATAAAAGAAACTTCGGAGCTCACACAGAATGTTAGTGGGGTTATTGTTTGTTTAGCTTTAGTTTTTCCATTTTAGCAAAATAACCTACTTTCTAAAAGGTAAATTAATGTTTAAAGGCATCTCTGGTAACAGATATGGCTTAATGACTGGAAGAGGCCATGCCAGTGTAGTTGCTAGAGGAGAATTTTCCTATGTTGCCAACGCGTGTTTCTGGCTCCTAGGGAAGGAAAATACAATCATGCGGCCTGCTTCGGTCTCCAGCCTGGCTGCCTTCTGCCTGATGGAAGCCGGATGATGGCAGTGGCTGCCCTCGTGGTGAACTTCTCACAGCCAGTGGCAGGTCGTCCCTCTCTCCTGAGACACGACGAGGTGAGGACTTACTTTCATGAGTTTGGTCACGTGATGCATCAGATTTGTGCACAGGTGAGTTTTTTTTTTCCCCCAGTAAACCTGCCAATTAGTTTTTTTAGAAAACTTCTTGACTGCTGTCAGGTTTCTGCTCCTAACAGGTTTTTTCAGAAGCTGAATGTGTTCAAGAATTTTATAGGCCTTCTGCAAAACCAAAATTTTCCTTATCCTGTCCTCTTTCACAACATATTTTTACTTGGAGGTTCATCTACCAGTGAAAGATGTTTGTTGAATAACAGCCTATGGAAAAAGAATAAGACTATCTGTAAGGAAAGGTTACAAATACTTTGCTTTTTCCTTTTAATCCTTTAGGAATTTGATATAAATTTCTCAGAAAAACTGTGCTGTAATCTGTCTCTTCTGCTTATCAATGCTTTGTTTACTTTAGTGGTTTTTCAATCCTCTTAGACCCTTTACTCATTTTTAAATAATAATTTTGTAACATTTGCCTTTACTAACTTCAAATTAAAATCATAGATAATATAGTCTAACCATGCAAAGAATTTGCCAGAGTGGAGGTGTATGTGTGCAGTAGATTAAAACTGATTTTTTTATTTCTGAAAATAAAAAGTACATTTATTCTCAACTTTGTAATACAGTCCATTTAATTAGGCCCAGACTATTCTAGCATGAACCATATGAACTTGCTAACATTTAACCATTATTAACATATGAAAATGTCTAGTTCAGCAATTCACCGTAATAGTTGAAATATACTGTTATTTGGCTGGGCATGGTGGCTCATGCCTGTAATCCCAGCACTTTGGGAGGCCAAGGTGGAAGGATCGCTTGAGTCTAGGAGTTTGAGAACAGCCTGGGCAACGTGGTAAAACAAACAAAAATTATCCAGGCATGGTGGTATGTGCCTGTGGTCCCAGCTACTCGGGAGGCTGAGGTGGGAGGATCACTTGAGTTCAGGAGGTTGAGGTTGTAGTGAGCCATGATTGTGCCACTGCACCACAGCCTGGGTGACAGAGCAGACCTTGACTTAAAAAAAAAAAAAAGAAAACCACCCAAAAAACTGATAGTAACAGAAATGAAGGTACAGTTTTCCAAATTTGAAATCTCTGTATGTCTCTAAAGGTAGACTTAAAAAACAACAACAACAAAAACAAAAACATTTTTATTAGGATACTTTTAGATTCATAGAAAACTTGCAAAGATGATATAAGGATTGCCTGTATACCCCTCAGCCTCTCACCCCTACTTGTAACATCTTCCATTCCAATAGCACATTTGTCATAGCTAAGAAGCCAGCATTGATACAGTACTCCAGACTGAACACCACAGTTTATTTGGATTTTACTAGTTTTCCTTAATGGTCTTTATACAGAGAATCTTCTTAAATCCATACGGTGTCCTCACTGAATATAAATAGAAGAAATTTTTGTATTTTTCAAGTGATAATGCTTGGATATGACTATGCAGTAAGACATAATGAAGTATGCTGGAGGTTTGCACTGTATGGAAGTAACCCTGAATGGAGCAGCAGCAAGTGCAAACTGATGGAAGTGGTTTATGTTGTCAGCTCAGGTCCTAGAACAGTGCTGACAATGGTGGCATGAGGTTCCAAAATGATGAACACCTCCTGGGAAACTTCAAAAGAAAGTAATCTCACTTCAACTTACACAGTAGATCCTAGTACTTGTAGTCTTAGAAATTAAAATGGTGTAAAAAATGCTTCGCAAGGCTAGGCATGGCAGCTCACACCCACAACCCCAGCACTTTGGGAGGCCAAGGGCGGCAGATCGCCTGAGCTCAGGAGTTCAAGACCAGCAACATTGTGAAACCCAGTCTCTACAAAAGATACAAAAATTAGCCAGGTATGATGACACACACCTGTAGTCCCAGCTACTCAGAAGGCTGAGGCAGGAGGATTGCCTGAGCCCAGGAGGTCGAGGCTGCGGTGAGCTGTGATCGCGCCACTGCTCTCCAGCCTGGGTGAAAAAGTGAGACCCGGTCTCAAAAGAAAAAAAAAATGCTTTGCAAAAATATGTACAGTGGGGTTAGTTTCTCGGTTTAGTTACAGCTAGTTTTTTTGATTTATGTGAATAGTCCAGCAGGGGGTATGAATGACGAGCAGGATATGGAACAGTCTTTTTGTTGTCCTGACATGTGCAGAATCAGTCCTGTGCATCCAGCATCCCTATATCCCAGAGTAGCCCTAATCATTGTAATAACCCAAAATGTACCCATTCATTTCCAAAATAATTCTGTCACCTTTGTTTAAAAACTGGTTCTTTCAACATTTTATCTTTAACCTGGTGCTTCCATCTTTTGTTTTAAAAAACAGAGGGGAATAGTATATGAGTATGTCCAGAGAAATGTCCTGATATGGCCATTTTTAATCTCTCTTTAATCCAAGGAAAATAAATCTTTCAGAATAATCTTTCTTTCTTAGGTGTTTTTAAAATTCATTTTCATAGCACTGACTGGGCGTGGTGGTTCATGCCTGTAATCCCAGCACTTTGGGAGGCCGAGGCAGGAGGATTGCTTTGACCCTAGGGGTTCAAGACCAGGCTGGGCAACATGGTGAAAACCCATCTCTACCAAAAATAAAAAAAATTAGCTGGGTGCGGTAGTGTGGCTAGGCTTTGCAAGGCTAGGCATGGCAGCTCACACCCATAACCCCAGCACTTTGGGAGGCTGAAGGGGGAGGATGGTTTGAGCCTGGAAGGTGGAAGTTGCAGTGAGCTGAGAGTGTGCCATTGCACTCCAGCCTGGGCAATAGGGCCAGAGCCTGTCTCAAAAAATAAATAAGATAGGCCAGGCATGGTGGCTCACACCTGTAATCCAAGCACTTTGCGAGGCCCAGGCAAGTGGGTCACCTGAGGGCAGGAGTTCGAGACTAGCCTGGCCAACATGGCAAAACCCCATCTCAACTAAAAATACAAAAATTAGCCGGGCATAGTGGCACATGCCTGTAATCCCAGCTACTCAGGAGGCTGAGGCAGGAGAATCGCTTGAACCCAGGAGGCAGAAACTGCAGTGAACCAAGATCGTGCCACTGCACTCCAGCCAGGGTGACAGAGTGAGACTCTGTCTCAAAATAAATAAATAAATAAAGTCTATTATCATAGCACTAGGATTCCTGAAATATTTATCGTGTGGACCTTCTATCAATGTCCACACTGTGGTTGACATTTCCTTTAATTAGGATAACTCCAGTTTACATTTAAAAAAATTTTTTGTAATTTAGAAGTCAAAAATATTTTTCTTAATTTTAGACTTATGGTATATTACTTATATTATCCAAAATCCAGTTATATGTTTGTACATAGATTAATAATGACCTGCTTTTAAAATAGTGGATGCTCACATTTTTGGATCTGAGGACCCTATGAAAATCTGATTTATGCTGTGGGTACCTCTTGTAGAAAAATACACCTACAAATATGCATGAAATTCCAAAAGGCTCACAGACCCCTCGAAGCCCTCACCATAATGAATCTCAAGTTAAGAACTCCTGAGTTATAGCAGTTTCCTTCTTATTTGATGATTTCACAAGGAAGCATTTTGGTCTTTTAATCACATTTATTAAGATAATAGTGATCTTCAAATAGGGTTTTCAGTGCTCTTGATGCATGTTCGTTTTTCAGGCACAGTCCTCTTATCAACTTATTATCATATGCTTACCATGTATTCCATCAGTTCTCCACAACTCATTCCATTGTTCCCATTATTTCTTACATTAATTGTGATCTTTTGAGATAGTCACTTTAGTACTAGAAAGATCTTTTCTTGGTACTCTGACATTTTAGAGCTGTCTGACTCGTGACTGAACTATTAATATATATATTGCATTCACCAGCTTAGTGTTTCTCTCTTGAAACAGTAGACATATTCAGTTCTTAAAGTTTTGCCTAACCTCATCCATGAGCACAAATGTGTCATACTGATGAATAATGTGTTGGTACAATTCTTTACTTGGTCATATCTTCATGAGATTATCTTTGAAAAATCTCTTCTTGTCTATTAATCCTTTCAGATAGCCTGTAATATTTTAAGAACTTTTAAGGTCATCACAAGTGATCACTACTTTTGTTTTTCATAGGCACCGATCCATATATTTGCAAATTTATAATTTCAAAGCCTTTTGTACTGACCTAAAATGGATGATAGTGAAAACAGAGATTGACAACTTCTATGTTCACTAATACTTCCAGCTTACCTAAGAAACATATAGTGAATTAAAAATTTGCCATATGTATTCAGTACATTGGTTTTAAGAAATGGCAGCTCAGTGTTTGAGCTCTCCACTGTGGCAGTTGGCAGGTTTCATGACTAGAAGGGCTCGTTTGAGCTTGTCATCGTAATATTTAAACATGTTGGCAAGAACATCCCGTTTTCAAACATGTAGATGCACTAGTTCAATATGTCTGCTATCTCTTCATTCAGGACGTGAGTTTCACTCGTATTACGTTTACAGGGTAGGTAGGTAATTTTGAAGATAGCAATCAAGAGGTGATATCTGTAGTATCTGTTCCTGTTGCATGGCTTTATTGTGGTTTGAGCTGTCAGTAATCACTAGCCTTTGAACTTCTGTAGAATAGTAATGCCTCTTAGCCTCCATTGTGATGTCTGTGTTGTGTTGTACATTAAGAGCGGTGATGAATTTTGAACTGTAAAGATGTCGTTATTCTAAGGAAACACATAAGAATTACACTAAAGCCTTCTTAATTAAACGTGAAAGGGATGGGCAGAAGAACTTCAAATTGTGTGACATGAAATCATTAATTTGGTTAAAAACTAATAAATAAAGCAGCTTGTCTGCTCTAAATATTTGGATTAGATTCTGCTGTAGATAAATGTACCCTGTATTAGTCAGGAAGGCACCCTGGTGTTATGACAAGAGCACTGGATCAAACATCATTTGTGTATCTGTGGACCTGGCTGTATGACTTGGGGACAGTTATTTAAACTCTTTGAACCATCTCATTTTTCTTATTCAGAAAATGGGGACAACAGCAATTCTATGTACTTCCCTGGACGATTGGGAGAATTAAACCAAGCATATGTGAAAAGGCATTTGGAAAAGCATAAGGAGCCATATGTACGTGAAGTATTCTTGAAACTATGCTTATGTATAATTCAACTCTTTTGAGATCAATATACAACTCAAAACTAGAAAGGGGGTAAAAAAGACCATCTGCCCTGAGACAATTTACTGCCACTTGAGGTTCAACAGAATTCACAAATGCTTACCTTCAGTGGGTTTTGAGTGAAGATCTGTGGAAGGTGATTGGAAACCCTCACGTTTGTATTTGGTTCTGTTTTGTTTTCATGATTGCTGCCTACTTAGAATTTGATACCTGAAACAGTAACAGAAAGAGCAGCTTGGAGTATTGGGAGTGATGGAGGATTAGCTGAAGAGCAATGTGGGTATGTTTATCTCCAGTATTAACCCCCAGGAAGCGAAAGACAAGCGAAAGACAAGGTTAGACCAGCCAAGACCATACCTAGTCAGGCAGAATATGCAGGCTCAGAAGAAGATAGGCAGCTGAGACTTACTGAACATGTACCAGGTGCCAGGAAATATACACACTGCTTTACATTCATTCATTTTTATCTTCACAGTACGCTCTGAAGTAGATGGGTACTGTTATTGTCCCCATTTTCCAAATGAAAAATCTGAGACATAGAAGGACCTGCCCAGGGTCCAATAGTCATGACCTAACTGCTCTACTTTATTGCGTATTTGCGCTCCCATTCCATGCACTGGAGACAATACTATTATTCATGGTCTGAATTTGGTCTTCCAAATGTGTTGGATGGGCTTCCTTCTCCTAAGTTTATTAAATGACACTCTAATAATGTAGAATGAATGCAAATGTGGAATGAATGCATTTATTTATTTCTAGGTTTCCCTCTGTGTGAGTTGACTGTTGAGGTTTCAGTCCTAAAATGCAGTGAACTCCCTATCATCAGCTTTGTGGCCTCTGCTGTCACCCTGTCTCCCTAGCCCCAACTCCTGCACACTGTTTTAGTTTGTGACTTTAACATCAGATGTAATTTCTTTCAAGATCTTCTTTTTGTTATTTTATTTGTTTGCTTATACATATATAAACAATACATACATGTGTAAATAAAATAAATGAAGTCATAAACCAAAATATGAATGTATTAATGCATAATGTTTATTTGGGAATGTGCTTATTTCTTTCATTTGCTTAGTGCATTTTCTACATGTATTATTTTTTAAAAATCAAAATATTTTTTAAAGAGAGGGATGTTTAGTTTTTTGTTTGTTTGTTTTTGGAGACAGGGTCTCACTCTGTCACTCAGGCTGGAGTGCAGTGGCACAATCATGGCTCACTGTAGCCTCCACCTCTCCAGGCTCAGTTGATCCTCCCACCTCAGCTTCCTAAGTAGCTGGGACCACAGGCATGTACCACTACACCAGGGTAATTTTTGTATTTTTTGTAGAGATAGGGTTTCACCATGTTGCCCAGGCTGATCTTGAATTCCTGGGCTCAAGCAATCTGCCCAAGTCAGCCTCCCAAAATGCTGGGATTACAGGTGTGAGCCACCATGCCCAGCCTATATAGTTATTTTAAGAAACAGAATTATTGACTATGTGTCTGACATGTCATATTACCTATGGTAGGATGGGGTTCAAAAGAAAGAAAAGTTATAGTATCTTGAATGTTCAGAATTTAGCTTGAGGACATGAAGTGCAACAAATAAAAAATTAAAAGCATAATATTAAGTAAAATAATAAAAGTAGAATTTTAAGTATTGAAAAAAAGTAGAGAGGTGAGAGGTTGAGGTCAAGAATGATAACAAGGGAAAATATCTTTGAGTTGTTTAAGTTTGAATCTTCATACAGAAATATTCTCCCCAGGGCTTCATCCATTTCACAGATATTTATTGGACATCCTCTACTTTCTGTGCTGGATTTTGGAAATACAGTGGTGAATAAAGCATACTCTCTAGCATTTGAGTTTGAATAGTACCTTTATTTGTTTTCATCTTAAAAAGAAGCAGTTTAAATAAGATGTACCTGATCAGGAAGGTACAGCTAGTTTGGGAGCAAGCCTGTGAACTTAATATGCAGTATTCAAAACTTCTCCAAATTATGTTATTTCCTGGGTCCTTTAAAGGATGATGGTGATACTGAACTGTTGAACTATAGGGCAGTTGTGAAGATAAAGAAGGATGTCAACACATTATCTTTATTACTATTATTTCCAGTGATCACTCGGTATGTGTGAAGTTAAAACTATGGCCTTTTAATCATCTGTTTATGGCAAAGTCTAGTAGATAGTGGTCACTTTAAAAAAAAAATACCTTGCCTTGTTATATAAACTTCTCCATCATCCCTGGATTTAGGGATAGATTAGACAGGCCAGGATGTGGAATGACTGCTAAGAAATCAGTACTGGATCACCTCAGACAGCCAATGTCAGGTCTCCTGAGGCCTGTCCTTTTTCATGAGCACAATACACTTATTGATTTCAGCAACTGCCTTTTCTTTGAGTTGGGATTTGCTATCATGGAAATAACACTTAGTTGTAGCCATTAAAAGCAACTGTTCTCTTAATTAGAACAGTCACATGTAAGATTTAGGCCTTTAAATACAGCAGAAGCTCATAGGACTTCCGAAGCTTCAATTTATATGATTCTGTTCCTGTTCTTATTGCACTGTAGGAATTGCAAAGTTAATCTCTATAGCATCAAGTTATCTGTTGTAAAAATCTGAAACAGAGTACATTTTAGACATCCTATTGTTTGTTTAAAAGATAGTAAAGACAGCCAGGCATGGTGGCTCATGCCTATAATCCCAGCACTTTGGGAGGCAGAGGCGGGCAGATCACGAGGTCAGGAGATCGAGACCATCCTGGCTAACACGGTGAAACCCCATCTCTACTAAAAATACAAAAAATTAGCTGGACATGGTGGCGGGCGCCTGTAGCCCCAGCTACTCGGGAGGCAGGAGAATGGCGTGAACCCAGGAGGCGGAGCTTGCAGTGAGCTGAGATTCTGCCACTGCACTCTAGCTTGGATAGTGAAGAAAACTCTCTTATTTATTTATTTATTTATTTATTTATTTATTTATTTTGAGGCAGGGTCTCACTCTGTTGCCCAGGCTGGAGTGCAGTGGCATGATCATGGCTCACTGCAGCCTCAGCCTCCACCTTCCAGGCTCAAGCGATCCTCCCATCTCAGACTCCTGAGTAGCTGAGACTACAGGAATGCACCACCATGCCCAGCTAATTTTTTTATAGTTTTTGTAGAGATGGGGTTTCACAATGTTGCCCAGGCTGATCTTGAACTCCTGAGCTCAATCAATTCTCCTGCTTCTACGTCTCAAAGTGCTGGAATTACAGGCATGAGCCACTGTGCCTGGCCAAAATCGTGTATTTAGACAACTGTCTTCCTCTCAAGAACTTCTAACCAAACAGGAATCTAAGTTTACATTGTTTTCTAGGCTTTTGTTATCTAAATATTTCCTGCAGCAAAAAAAATGCCCTAAAACTCTTTGAAGTGTCAGCTACAAAAAATATTTGTTAATTGGATTATTTTGTGTGTTTTTTACTGCTTTATCTGGGAAATACATTAGCATCAATAGTTATCATGGCCCATAAGCAACTATTACCAACACCTTCAAATTGTTTGCATTGATAACTATATGAAGTACTTTTTTAGGGTTCTTTGGATTATAGTTTAAAAACTGGGGAATGGTATTTGTTGGCTGGTCAACAGTGAGTAATGGTTCAGCACCCATGCTGTTTTGTATAAGATCCATTAGGCTGCTAGATTGTGAGTCTTACCCATGGTTTCTGTGTGGACATACACAGTGGCTGACTGCATTCCTTTCTCTTGAGAATTCGGTTGTTTGCTGCAAATTGAGCTTTCAAATTTTGTAGGTTCTTTGTCCTCCTTTTTTGAAAAATATTTAAATGATGTTGCCCAAAGGGCTCACAGAGAAACAGCATGACCAACTTTCGGGAAATTAGTAAGCACTAGGGTTATTTTTAGCTTTTTCTCCTTACAAACATTTCCTTTTGTTCTTTAGAAGACATTGTTGATCTTTCATTCATTTGCTGTGCTGTCTCCCCAGCTACAAAATGGCTTTTGAATAGAATAAGCGCTCTCTTCTCTACTCTGCATGACATTAACTGTGTTCTTATTTTATTCAGTTTTTACTCTAGCTCATGAATTATCATTTGTGTATTTTTTTTCTGGATATTGAATCCTCCCCTACACACACAAACACACATACACACATTTTTGTTGTCATTTGGGGTTGACTTCCTCCCTCATATGCAACTAATGACTGAAAAATCTTCATACAAGCAGGATATACAAAGTCTGTATTTTTGTCAGTATATCATATGGTGGTGGCTGATGGTGTGATTTGGCCTTTATTTGCTGTTAGTACCTATTTAAAAACCATCACCTTGAGAAAATTGTGCAGTAGTGTCACGGGATCCTTGGGGTGTCGCATCACCAGCCAGAAACCTCTGTGACCAGTGGTACCTTTGCCCAGGTTTTGCTTGGGCCCACTGGGCCCACTCAGCCTGGCAGGCTGCACTCAGCTCGCACTACTGGCCTGGATCCCATGCCTGCCAAGGGCAAGTGGAGTGGCAAGGGGTGCATGAGTGAGCAAGCATGGGGTCCAGCCACTGCACACAGCCAGGCATGCTGGCTATGGCGGTGCAAGCAGCTCCAGGTGCCAGCACAGGCGCTGGAGGCAAGGCTGCCTGCAAGGCTGCAGCCGGACCAGGCGTACCACAAGCAGCTTTCACAGCTGGCACTGGGGAACACAGTGGCACCCAGAAGCTTAGAGACGCTGGGAACCACATAGCCCCAAAGAAGGTATCACAGCCCTAGCTCAGGGAGCTCCTAGGTCTGGGTTCCCTGAAGGGCCACAACTCTTCTCTCCTTGTTGCCCACAGCATGGCGAGCAAGGGGCATGTTTCAGCCCTGTTTGTGTTATAGCCCTTTAGGCCCCACCATTCGGCAGGTCCCGAGTTCCTGTCCCGTGCCCAGGAAGAAGGAGGTATACGAACAAGTGGAGGGTGAGCAAGGCAAAGAGGAGCTTTACTGAGCAATAGAACAGCTTAGAGGAGACGCACAATGGGTAGCTCCTCTCCACAACCAGGGTGTACCAATGTGAGTGTTCAGCTATCAGCAGAGAGTAGACCCTGGAGTGGATAGCTCCTCTCCACAGGTAGGTCATCCTGTAGAGGGTTCAGCTCTCAGCAGAGAAGAGACCCTGGGGTGGGTAGTTCCTCTCCGCAGCTGGTTTGTCCCACCATCTTTTCAACTTTCAGTATAGAGGAGACCCTGGGATATGTAGCTCCTCTTTACAGCTGATCGTCCCGATGTCTGCTCAGCTGTCAGCAGAGAGGAGACCCTGGAGTGGGTAGCTCCTCTCTGCAGCTGGTTGTCCTGACATCAGCTCAAGTCTGGCTGAGTCCAGTGTTTTTATGGGCTTCAGAGGGGAGAACGTGCAGGCTGATTGGCTTATGGGTGGGCCTGGCAAAAGCACCATAAGTTCCCACTCTGGTCTGCAGGACTGGCAGCCTGGCCCCCAGGCTTCAGGCCTTCCCTGGCTTGAAGGTGGGGCTTCACCAGGGACCCACCCCTTTCTGCCCAGGAACCTGTCTGCCTGCTACCACTGTTTATGGTGCCCAGGCTGTTCATGCAGAGGGGCACCTGCAGGCCAGTGCCAAGCCACGCTCAGTTCCCCCCTCAGCTTCCCTCCCATGCTCGTCAGTGCCCAAAGTTCAGTAGGGGCTGAGGCAGCAAGGGGCTGGCATGTCAGTGCTGTCCTGAGCATATGGACACCTGGCCAGGTTGTGACAGTGCCTGGGATTGACCTCAGCTTTGCTCCAAGATCAGAGCAGGTGCCGCTAATGGGTTGGGGGAGCTTCCGGGGCCCCTGAGAGTACAGAGATGCCTGGGTCCGCAGCCATGGCTGGGTAGCTGTAGCTACACCCAGGAGGGTGGGGCTCCTGCCTTCTTCCAGCCCCTAAGAGTACAGGGATGCCCAGGTCTGCATCTATGGCTTAGGAAACCGCAGCTGTGCCCAGGAGGGTAGGGCTCCTGCCTGCTCCTGGCCCCCAAGAGCACAGGCATACCTGGGTCAGCAGCCACAGCTTGGGCAGCTGCAGCTATGCCCAGGAGGGTGAGGCTCTTGCCCTGCCAACTTAGAAGGGGGAAGGACTTTTCTGCCTGTTCCTGGCTCCTGCCAGCTCCATGGAGCGCACAGCCCCAGCCACGCTTCCCCCACTGCAGCCGAGATGGGCCACCACTGCCATCAGTAGTATTGCAGAATCGCAAGTTCAGGATAGATGGTTACAAAGGCTGGTCTTTACACTTCAGCTTCATGTTTGATCTTTGAAAAATCTTCCAGTATAAAGAAGAAGTCAAATTTCTAAGGAAGCACACTGAAAACTCACTTTAACTCTTCACATAAAGGAGGGTTTGATATAAGACTTTTGTATTTTAGATCCCATCCAAGAGGATTTAGTCATTTTGTAATATCATTTAACCTTTTTTTTCCATTTTACTCTAAGATACGGAGACAGTTAGCATTTGTGGTTAAGATTGTGGGTTATGAAGTCAGACTGCCTGGTTTCAAATTGAAGTTACATCATTAATCTCTGTATGCTTTAGTTTCCTTATCTCAAAAAGGGAGATAATAGTTACTTCATACAATTATTTTGGGATTTAAATCAGATAATCCATGTAAAGAGCCCATGATATGAGCACACCTCATTTTATTGTCCTTCACTTATTGTACTTCACAGATATTTTGTTTTTTACAAATTGAAGGTTTATGTCAACCATGCTTTAAACAAGTGTGTTAGTGCTGTTTTTCCAACAGCATGTGCTTACTTCTTGTCTCTGTTCACGTTTTGGGATTCTCACAATATTTCACTTTTTTCTTTGTTTTTGATGGAGTCACACCCTGTTGCTCAGGTTGGAGTCCAGTGGTGCAGTCTCAGCTCACTGCAACCTCCACCTCCTGGGTTCAAGCAATCTCCTGTCTCAGCCTCCTAAGTAGCTGGGATTACAGGCACATACCACCACACCCAGCTAATTTTTTTTTGTATTTTTAGTAGACATGGGTTCACCGTGTGGGCCAAGCTGATCTTGATCTCCTGGCCTCAAATGATCTGCCTACCTCGGCCTTCTGAAGTTCTGGGATTACAGATGTGAGCTACCACACCCGGACAATTTTTTCATTGTTATTGTGTCTGTTATGGTGATCTGTGATCAGTGATTTCCTTTTTTATGAAATAGAGACAGGGTCTTGCCATGTTGCCCAGGCAAGTCTGTCAGTGCAATTTTTCCAACAGAATGTGCTCCCTTCATGTCTCTATGTCACATTTTTGTAATTCTCACAGTATTTCAGACTTTTCCATTATTTTTATATCTGTTATTGTGACCAGCAATCTTTGATATTACTATTGCAATTGTTTTGAGGCAACACAAATCATGCTCTTTATAAGAGAGTGAACTTAATTGATGAATGTTATATGTATACTGACTGCTCCACCGGCCATTTCCCATTTCTCACCCCCTCTTTTGGCCTCCTATCTGAGACTCAACAATGTTGAAATTAGATTAGTCAATAACCCTACAATGATCTGTAAGTGTTCAAGTGAAAGGAAGAGTCATAAGTCTTTTGCTTTAAATCAAAAGCTAGAAATGATCAAACTTCACGAGGGAGGCATGTCAAAAGATGAGATAGGCCTCTTGTGCCAGTCAGTCAAGTTATGAAACAAAGGAAAAAGTTCCTGAAAGTTATTACAAGTGCTACTCCAATGAACACACAAATAATAAGAAAGCAAAATAGACTTGTTGCTGAGTGGAGAAAGTTTTAGTGGTCTGGGTAGAAGATGAAACCAGCTACAACATTCCCTTAAGACAAAGTCTAATCCAGAGCAAGACCCTAACTCCCATTCTATGAAGCTGAGAGAAGTGAGGAAGCTGCAGAAGAAAAGTTGGAAGGTAGCAGAGGTTGGTTCATGAGTTTTAAAGAAAGAAGCTGTTTCCATAACATAAAAGTGCAAGGTGAAGCAGCAATTGCTGATTTAGAAGCTGTGGCAAGTTATCCAGAAGATCTAGTTAAGATCATTGATGAATGTGGCTACACTAAATGACAGATCTTCCATGTAGATGAAATAGCCTTCTATTGGTAGAAGATGCCGTCTAGGACTTTCAGGAATGCTAGAGAGATGTCAATGCCTGGCTTGAAAGCTTCAAGGGACAGGCTGACTCTCCTCTTAGGAGTTAATGCAGCTGGTGACTTGAAGTTGAAGCCAATGCTTATTTACCATTCTGAAAATTCTAGAGCCCTTAAGAATTATGCTGAATCCACTCTGCCTGTGCCCTATAAATGAAACAACAAAGCCTGGATGACAACACATCTGTTTACAGCATGGTTTACTGACTATTTTAAGCCACTGTTGAGATCTACTACTCAAAAAAAAAAGATTCCTTTCAAAATATTACCACTCCTTGACAAAGCACCTGGTCAGACAAGAGCTTGGATGGAGATGTTCCAGAAGATTATGTTGTTTTCATGCCTGCTAACACAACAGCCATTCTGCTGTCCATGGATCGAGGAGTAATTTCAACTTTCAAGTCTTATTATTATGAGAAATACATTTCATAAGACTACAGCTGCCATATATAGTAATTTCTCTGAGGGATCTTGGCAAAGTACATTGACAACCTTCTGGAAAGGATTCACCATTCCAAATGCCATTAAGAACATGCATGATTCATGGGAAGAGATCAAAATATCAACATTAACAGAAATTTGTAAGAAATTGATTTCAACCCTCATAGATGACTTTGAGGAAGGGGTTCAAGACCTCAGTGGAGGAAGGAGCTGCAGATATGGTAGAAACAGCAGGACAACTAAAATTAGAAGTGGAGCCTGAAGATGTGACTGAATTGCTGCAATCTCATGATAAAACTTAAAGAGATGAGGAGTTGCTTCTTAAGGATGAGCAACAGAAGTGACTTCTTTATATGCAATCTACTCCTGGTGAAGATGCTATGAATATCGTTGAAATGACTGACCACGAAGGATTTTAGAATATTACATAAACTTAGTTGGTAGAGCAGTGGCAGGTATTGAGATAATTGACTCCAATTTTGAAAGACATTCTGTTGTGGGTGAAATGCTATCTAACAGCATCGCATGCTACCAAGAAATCTTTCATGAAAGGAAGATTCAGTCCATTGATATGGCAAACTGCATCTTTGTCTTATTTTAAGAAATAGCGGCTGGCTGCGTTGGCTCCCACCTGTAATCCCAGCACTCTGGGAGGCCGAGGTGGGTGGATCACCTGCGGTCAGGAGTTTGAGACCAGCCTGGCCAACATGGTGAAACCCCATCTCTACTAAAAATACAAAAAGTAGCCGGGCATGATGGTGCCCACCTGTAGTCCCAGCTACTAGGGAAGGTAAGGCGGGAGGATCGCTTGAACCCGGGAGGCAGAGGTTACAGTGAGCTGAGATCATACCACTGCACTCCAACCTGGGCAACAGAGCAAGACCCTGTCTCAAAAAAAAAAAAAGAAAGAAAGAAAAGAAAAAAAGGAAGAAGGAAATTGCCACAGCCATGCCAACCTTCCATAATTACACCCTGATCAGTTAGCACCCTGATTATAACTACCACCATGATCAGTCAGCAGCCATCAACATTGATGGAGGCAAGACCCTCCACCAGCAAAAAAGATTATAGCTTGCCAAAGGCTCAGATGATCATTAGCATTTTTTAACATATAAGGTGTATACATTGTCTTTGTGGGTGTTTTTGGTTTTGATTTTTTTTTTTTCTTTTTTTGAGACAGAGTCTCACTCTGTTGCCCAGGCTGGAATGCACTGGTGCTATCTTGGCTCACTGCAACCTCCACCTCCCAAGTTCAAGCAATTCTCCTGCCTCAGCCTCCTGAGTAGCTGGGATTACAGGTGCCCGCCACCATGCCTGGCTAATTTTTGTATTTTTAGTAGAGACAGAGTTTCATCATGTTGGCCAGGCTGGCTCGAACTCCTGACCTCAGGTGATCCACCCACCTCCGCCTCCCAGAGTGCTGGGATTACAGGCGTGAGTCACCGCACCAGCCATGTACATTGTTTTTTAGACAATTCTTTTGAACAGTTAATAGACTAGAGTATAATGTAAATTTATAGACTTTCATCTGCACTGGGAAATCAAAAAGTTTGTGTGGCTTACTTTATTGTGATATTCACTTCATTGCAGTGGTCTGGAACTAAACCCACAATATCTGTAAGGTATGCCTGTAATGCCTAACATAGGAAAGTCTCAACAGATGTTAGCTATTATTATTGTATAAGATTGTTTTATTTATGATATAAGATGTAATCTTACACTATCATATACCATAATGAGATAAAATATTCAATTTCTGGGGACCCTTACCTCTTTCCCTGCAAGATTTTTTTTATTGGGATGTCCTCAATAGAGGTGGCTTAATTCCACAACTAGTGAATTTAGTTATCCTTGCCCCTTTAATATTTGCATCTCTTCATATCTAGAATCGGCACAATTATAATGAGAAATCAAGCAAAACATTTTTTTGCATAAAGAGAGGAAGGCAGAATGTGAGATGGCGTTGACATCTGTGCCTCTGCCCTGGGCCAAAAAGCAGAGTGGGTATTTGCTGCTGATTCGGCACCCCATCTGCTGCCTTCTCTGGTGGTTACATCCCTCTTCCCTTTCCCCTCCGTGTGGAGCCCCAGGGATGATGAAGTCAGGGAGAGAAGGATGGAATGTAATGCATCAGAGGAGAAAAACAGGACAGAGGTTCAGTGAAAGACAACGGAATGAGGAGCCCCATTCTGCAGATGACCCAGTAGGATAAATGCTGTCTTCTCTGCCAATGGCAGTTTTACAAGTGTTTGAAGGACTGTGTGAAGGTTAAAAAAACACTAGCCTGTTTTAGTGAATCTCTGTTTTTCTACTTGAGAGCTTTTCTGACGTCTGACTCAAGAATTTACTAAACTTGGTTTCATTAAACTCTTTTTAAACCTCTTTTGTTTTTTTAACTCTTAGCTCAGGCCTTCAGAATAGGTCGTTTGTTTTTACCAGGAGTGCTCCAACTTTTGAATACATCCGTTGTTTCTCTTTTCCTATAGCATATAACTCACTCCACTTGCCAATTAATTTACAAACCTAACTCCTACTAAAGCAGCTTCTTATTTTAAGGTAACATTGTCTACCCAATCTGAGAGGTAGAAATCTGACTTTCTACAACATGGTAATCTTAGAACCACTCATTTAAAGTTTAAAATGCAAAGCATCGCACACTCAAAGTCTATAATGTTGTGATTTAACTCTTTAATTAATTTTGGTTAAGACCTAAGTAGTTAAGACCTAAGCAATAGAGTGATGAGTGCCCCAGAAAGGCATGGATTGAGACCTAAGCAATAGAGTGATGAGTGCCCCAGAAAGGCATGGATTGAGTAAACAAAAGTAAGCAATTGGAAGGAGGAGCTAGGGAGAAATTGCTTGTTTAATGGATCTCTTCATTTTTAATGGAAAATTCTTTAAAAATACTTCTGCTTTCAAAGCTTAAGGCTTGTTTTTAGCTTAGACTGATTGTATTTTTCAGTTCTGGTTTTCTGATGATTGTTCCAACTTTGTCTACAATTCAAAGGAATGAAATTACTACTGTAATATAGAGTATTTGGGGGTTGTTTTTCACACTGTTCAGCTGCTGTGTTTTATTTTCACTTGACTATGAGGTTATTCTAACCCCTCATTCAGAGGAACAGTTGAGTCTGATTCTGCCTTAAGTTTTCGTGACTCTTAATAATTATTCATTGCATATGTACTTTCATTGAGTTCTTTAAAAAAATTCTCTGTGTTTGCTTTCTAGACTGATTTTGCACGATTTAGCGGAACAAATGTGGAAACTGACTTTGTAGAGGTGCCATCGCAAATGCTTGAAAATTGGGTGTGGGACGTCGATTCCCTCCGAAGATTGTCAAAACATTATAAAGATGGAAGCCCTATTGCAGACGATCTGCTTGAAAAACTTGTTGCTTCTAGGCTGGTCAACACAGGTATGACTTCTAATTTTAAAAAGGAAAATAAATTAGAATCTCTTAATGTAGAATTGCTGTCACCTTCTTCTGTAGAACTTATTTTCATTTTAAGTGGTATCCCAACCGTGCTAGCATGAGGAGTGAAGAACATTAAATATATTGGAATAGGAAACCCCGGAATTTTGTCTGAGGCAAAAAACCACATCTCCTTTTAAATCTTAAGTAGAATGAGATGTCCTGCTCCCATTTTGTGAGTACTACTGGAATCTGTTTTTGGAATCTACAATCTTGTGATAATAAAACACACAGTTCTGTCTTCTTCAAAACATGCCCAAACATTCTTATGTTATTAGGTCTTCTGACCCTGCGCCAGATTGTTTTGAGCAAAGTTGATCAGTCTCTTCATACCAACACATCGCTGGATGCTGCAAGTGAATATGCCAAATACTGCTCAGAAATATTAGGAGTTGCAGCTACTCCAGGTATGTAACTACTATGAATTGAGTTCATTTCTCTGTGAAGCACAGGGCGTTCTCCTAACACTGCAGGGGAGATGGAGTTTGTCAGACAGATTACCTAATTGTTTCTGATTTCTGTAATCAGGCCATGACTTTCAGATAAGCATACTATGTCCTTATGAGTTATCCCGTCCAAATGCGCTTGAAGGAAAGGTGGCTCCAGATCTGCAGCATTTTAGTGTAATCAGGCATGAGCAGTTGGCCTCCGCCCCAGAGCTGGGAGAGCCATTCGTGTTGGCAGCACACTCTCAGCTCCTCCCTCCCTGTATGCATCATGACTTCCCTGTGATTTTCAGGAAGAAATTGGCAGAAGGGGAACTTTTTAAGTTTTTTTTCCTTTACATATAGTATTTTGTTTATTTTTTCCATCCCCTCAAGCATTTATCCTTTGTGTTACATACAGTCCACTTGCACTCTTTTAGTTATTTTTAAATGTACAATTAAATTATTATTGACTATAGTCATCCTGTTATGCTATCAAGAAGGAGCATTTTCAGGCCTGGCATGGTGGCTCACACCTGTAATCCCAGCACTTTGGGAGGCTGAGGCAGGAAGATCACTTGAGCTCGGGAGTTCGAGACCAGCCTAGGCAACATGGCAAAACCCGTCTCTACCAAAATACAAAAATTAGCCAGGTGTGGTGGTGTATACCTACAGTCCTAGCTACCCAGGGGGCTGAGTTGAGAGGATCACCTGAGCCTGGGGAGGTTAAGCCTGCAGCGAGCCATGATTGCACCACTGCACTCCAGCCTGGGTGACACAGTGAGACCCTGTCTCAAAAAAAATAAAGGGTATTTGGGGGGAGAAGCATGAACTTCACCTTGTTTCTGATTCTGAGATCAGTTAAAGCATTTGACTAGCAGTTTGTAATCTGAGATTTATGGGACTCATGCATGGGCGTGTTTATATTTGTATGTGTATGTTTTAAGCCAATATATAGTTGTGCTTTTATATGTAGTTGGTAAGGTGGATTTTTTTTCACCAAGGAAATTGTTATTAAAATGAGTCAGCCACATTTATAGAGAGAATAAAGATAAGAATGGTCCGTTGAGTCATTCTAGGCTCCCCACATAGTAAGCCATAGTGCACCTTTGTGTCACAAGCCTTTGTGTCGCAATTACATTTTTAAATGTACAATTAAATTATTATTGACTATAGCCATCCTGTTATGCTATCAAGAAGGGACATTTTTAGGCCTGGCATGGTGGCTCACGCCTGTAATCCAGCATTTTGGGAGGCTGAGGCGGGAAGATCACTTGAGCTCAGGATTTTTGACAAAATCCTATATAAAGTAGCCCTACAGGTAGATTGAATTGGTGAAAAGTTCTTTTTCAGGCAAGGCACGGTGACTCACGCCTGTAATCCCAACACTTTGGGAGACCGAGGCAGGCAGATAGATCACTTGAGGTCAGAAGTTTGAGACCAGCCTGACCAAAGTGGTGAAACCCTGTATCTACTAAAAAATATGAAAATTAGCCGGCGTGGTGGCATGCACCTGTAATCCGAGCTACTCAGGAGGCTGAGGCAGGAGAATCCCTTGAACCTGGGATGCTGAGGTTGCATTGAGCCGAGATCTCACCACTGTACTCCAGCTTGGGCAACAGAGTGAAACTCTGTCTCAAAAAAAAGTTCTTTTTCAGTAATTATCAACCTAAAATAAGTGCAATTCTGAGACATTTTAGATATAAAGAGGTGTGGCAAAGAGTAGGGTTAATATTATTTTTCAAAACACATACATGTTTAAGAGATAAGAAAGGACTGATTTCAGTTCTAAAACACTGAGCTATCTGGTGGGTGTGGACAAAGCCGCTGAAACTATCCTTAGGCATTCCAGAGCTTGGGGCCGAAACCAGCTCTGAGGTTGAGCCATTGATAGATGTTTATAAACATCTTGGCCAAGAGGACACATCAGCCCAAGGAGTACTAGAGGTGAGATCATGTCATTCATTCTCTCCTCCCACAGCTGGCCTCCTCAGAGGGAAACCTTAGCTAGCTGTTAACCTGATCATTAACGTTTGCTATCACATTGATTGAAATGTATCTTTTTTTAAAGGCACAAATATGCCAGCTACCTTTGGACATTTGGCAGGGGGATACGATGGCCAATATTATGGATATCTTTGGAGTGAAGTATTTTCCATGGATATGTTTTACAGCTGTTTTAAAAAAGAAGGGATAATGAATCCAGAGGTATAGTATTATTTTTCTCCTTTTATTAATTTTGTAGTTGCTCCCTCCCCTTTAACTCCTAGTGTAAAATATTGGTCACATCTAGATTTTACTGTAAGAGGCTTGGTAACAGCTTTTACCTCTGAGGCCCTGCATCTTTCAAATCATCATACATCATTAAGTTGCAGTATACAAGTGATTAATTCTATAGTTTAAAAAAAACTAGTATATTTTCTTGCTTATTAACATTCTGATATATTACATAATTAAAAATTCAAAGCTTTGTTTATGGATTTGAGAATCTGTAGCTGCTAGTTTTGACATGTACCATACAACATTTTAGTTTTATAGGAGGTTGGGAAAGAAAGGTAAACTCCTTCCTGATGTAAATGGTTTCCCTGTGTTTTGATATTCTCTACACACTTTGTGCACTTTCTGTGGGAGACGCCCTTTTTCTGTGGCTGGCATGCCCCACCCACTACATAGTTTGTGACCTTTGTCACAAAGTTGCTTCGTTAACCTGAGCCATTACTTTCTGTATGCAGTGAATTGACTGCCAGGTAGCTGCCAGACAAACCTTCCTGATTTACAGCCCCCAATCTCCATTCTCATTGAAGTCTCATCCATCAGATTATTTCCAAGGCTGATGCATTTTCCAATGTATGTTTTTAAATTCTTCGATTCAGAAATTAGAAGAACAAATTATCAAAATCAGGCTCTCTGTACTGATTTCAACCAATAGATTTTTTTCTCCAAATGTTTTTTCTAGATTGCATAGTACCTTATACATATGTATTGAAATACATTGATGTGATTTAGATCACCATTCCCTCCCCATCTTCCTCCTGAAATAACACCTCCAAGGTACCCATACTTCATTATTTTGAAGCATTTCATCTCCCATCCCACCCCACCCAATCTGTTAAGTCCTTGTAATTCTTTTTCCATTACCTGGCCAACCCATTTACAAAGGTCAACTGCTGACTATTGTTCTCACAGACATACCTATTCCTGCATGACCTTCAACCAGGACCCATCCCTTAATGCCTCCACCATAGAGATAGTGCCCTTAGGATTCAAAGTGTTCTGGGGAAGATTGTATGACTCCACTGACATGCCCAACTGCAAAGTCATGCATGTAGCCTGAACTGGACCCCAGTGTTCTCTGTGGTCCAACTCCATTCCCCTTATTGATTTCCCTCCAAGTTCCCACCACCTCTCTCATCTGTCAGCAGATGATCTCTCCTCTTTATTAAGAAAATTAAGATCATTGAAGCTGGCTGCAGTGGCTCACACCTGTAATCCCAGAACTTTGGGAGGCTGAGGTGGGAGGATCGCTCAAGTCCAGGAATTTGAAACCAACCTATTTGATATAGCAAGACCTCATCTCTACAAAAAATAAACAGAATTAGCCAGGTGTGGTGGTAGAAGCCTATAGCCCCAGCTACTCTGGAAGCTGAGATGGGAGAGTTGCTTGAGCCTAGGAGAGGTGGAAGCTGCAGTGAGCCGAGATCATGCTACTACACTCCAGCCTGAATGACAGAGTGAGATTATCTCAAAAAAAAAAAAATCATTGAGAATGAGTACCTTCATCTTTCTTTCTGTGTACTTCAATACTTGTCTTATTTTCTCCTGTCTCAGAGGAGATGTCTCTAGCTCCAGGAGTTCCTGGTAAGAGTTCCTGGTTTGCTGTCTTGGAAAAAAAACTTGCTACTGACTCTGATAACCCCAATCAGTGCTACTACTCTGTTCTTTTCACAGCCTAATTTCTTGGTATAAGAAGTCTTTGCAAACCTCTCTTTCCTTGCTTTTGCCCCAACCAACAGAAATGGAAAGTTACCCTTCCTCCGTAGTTACCACTGATGACCCAGTTACCAACTCCAAAGGCCCTCGTCCTTCTTCTTTACCTCCTGCTGCTTGTTATTCCTCTGTCTGTTCACAGCCCTCAGCTGGGCAATCAAACCCTTCTTTACTTCCCAGTACTCCCTGTGTGTTAGACAAGTTTATGTGTTCCCTTAGGTCTCTCCACCTTCACAAATTTATTCGTTCTATTTCGTTCACCTAAAATATATGCCTCCTTCATCTGTGCATCTCAAAAATTCCAGCAGTCTTAATTGAAGGTCTCACTCACATAACTGCATGTTCAAGAAGTCTTTGAAATTATCCAAAACCAAAAGTGATCTTTACATCCTTTGAACATATGAGTGGACTTGGAGGAGTGGACCAAGCCTTCCCCGTCACCTCCTCAGTGCTGCCACTATGTGACCACATACCCAGTACCTTCTCTCATTACCTTTTCTCTTCTCTTTTGGAGAACTGTCCCCAAAACAAATAGAAATTAAAAATCCAAAGATAAAAATAAAAAATGGAAAATAGACTAGTTTTTAAAGAAAAAAGACAAAAAAAAGTGGTCTTGAGCATGGAAGAAGGGCTTCAATAAGCTTTTACTATGTCTGCAATATTTAATGTAACTATTACCAAGTGAAAAAACATCATATTATAAAATATTTTATACCATACAATACGAATGTTGATTTTAAAGTGTGTTTTAAAAAAAAGTACATCAAAATGTCAATGATTATCTTTGGGGATAAGTTTATGAGTGATTATTAATTTTTTCTGTATTTTTCCTAGAGCTTTTCCTTATTTTTACATAGTACATAGATTATTTTAGAAGCCAGAAACAATGTTTCAAAGAGAAAAAAGTCTAACTAGGTAAAGGTACAATTATGACGTCTTACTGGCAATCATTGGTGAGGCTTCCTGGCATAAGTGTACACTGCCTCTCCCAGCCAAGCTTCGCCATCACCTCCTCTGTGCTTGCCCTTATGTGACCATATACCCAGAACCCTCTATCATTACCTTTTCTCTTCCAGCTGTCAAGGTAGCAGCCAAATTACTGATCCCTGTGGTTCCAAGGAACTTGCAAGTGTAATAGAAGCAATTCCTGCATTGTCTTCTCTATACTTCCTCTTATTCTCAGGCTTCACAGTTTGGCAGGCAGCCATACTACTCTTATTTAGACAAAGGTGCTGGGTTGAACTTAGAGAAAGCATCATCCCAACAACTTGGAGTTAAAACTTGTGATGTTGAAAACAATTTTCAGTGTTACTAAAATTCTGGATTCAGCAGTGCTGTTATTATTAGATGTCTTATGCCATAAGGCTGGTGTTAATTCCTTCCTTTACACTTTTTCCTTTCCTTTCAAATGCTCTGAGTATCATGGCACTTCCTGATCCTCTGCTGTCACAGCAATAATGGACCTGGCTCCAAAAGCCAAGAAGAATCCCTTGGCCCCTCACCCTCACACCCTTTGCAGATACTAAAAGATGATTTTTAAACAAACATTTTGTTCCCTCCTACAATATACTATTTGGGGTTTTTTGTTGGTGGCGGCGGGGGATGTTCTTCAAAAAAAAACCCACAAATATTTGCTCTAAAATAACACTTGCCTTACAAAATACAGGTACCCAGTTATTAAAAATTAATGCTTTGGGACAACAATCCTAGTCTCCAAAAAACTTAGATCATTATTATAGCTATGTGTGATGAAGAGAAAAAGAAATTCTTTTGTTGTCCCAAAGCATTAATTTTTGGTAACTGGGTACTTGTATTTTCTAATGTGAGTGTTACTTTAGAGCGAACATTTATTTTAAAAAGAAAAGAGGAAGAAGAACTCCCCCCACAAAAACAATGTATACCACGGAATACAGTGCAGCCAAGAAAAAGAACAAGATCTGAACCCAGAAGGCAGAGGTTGCAGTGAGCCAAGATTGCACCATTGCACTCCAGCCTGGGCAACAAGAGTGAAACTCATCTCAAAAAAAAAATAAAAAGAACAAGATCATGTCCTTTGTAGGGACATGGATGGAGCTGGAGGCCATTACCTTTAGCAAACTAACACAGGAATCAAAAACCAAATACCACATGTTCTCACTTAAAAGTGGGAGCTAAATGATGCGAACACATGGACACGTAGAGGAGAACAGCACACACTGGGGCCTTTTGGAGAAGGTGAAAGATGGGAGGAAGGAGAGGATCAGGAAAAGTAACTAATCGGTACTAGCTTTAATACCTGGATAATGAAATAATCTGTATGGCAAACCCATGTGACACAAGTTTACCTATGTAACAAACCTGTACTCGTACCCCGAACGTAAAAGTTAAAAAAAAAAAAAAGAAACAGAAAAATACTTCTTCAGACCAGTACACCATACATTACTTATTTTGTGCCACAACCACAGAGTGTTATTAGCCAACACTGAGAAAGATGGCATTATCTTGAGTTGTTCCAAACTCGGTGCATTTGCTTTAGTTTCACATGTCAGTGAGTGGTGGCTTCAGATACATAGACAGGATAAAAATATGAATTTTTATGATATAAAGGAATACTTCATTTGATCTGAAGTCATGGGAAGCAGACAAATCAAAATATATCCTGCAGACTTTGTTGTCTCACCCTCCCTAATGTGTGTGTGGGTCATTTTGAGAAGGTAGCGGGATGGCCCTTCAAAGCGTCAGTGCCTTCTATTGTTAGTCCCCAGGCACTAGAGAGGCTGGGAGCTAAGAAACCACATGTTGTTGATGTTATTGGTTATGCAATAGAGAAGACTGTGTCCAGGCCTTCCTTCTCTCTGTAACCTCCTGCCATCCTACAAACCCCAGGGTCTGCTCTGGGGACCATTTCAGATCTTGGCAAGCAGAACTATAGAAAGTAGCAGTAGAATATTTTAGGGTATAGTTTTCATTCTGTTTTGAGGGCCTCTATCAAAGTATAATAACTGACTGCTTACCTATAATAGCCTAAAACTTTGCTACCTCTGGTTTTATCTGTAGTTTTTTAAATATTGTTCTTCATAGTAAATAGACATCACATCGTAACTGTTTAATTACTTTGTTATATATTACCTAAAGTACTTTTTTCTCAGTGAACATGAAGTTGTCTCATTGTCAGACATACTTTTCACTTTTCTAACTGTTCTGCTAAATAATTATGGAATGGAACTGCTTGGGATTAATGCTTTTCCAGGAAGCTCTCAAAGGTCTTTAAGGTCACCAAATGTGAATTCAGAATCCAGCAGCTAATCATAGGTTGAAATAATGGGGGCATTTTAACCAAGGCCATTTCTTTTTATAAGGCAACTTCATTGTGGGAAAATTTTCTAAGAGGTAATAGACATTGTGAATTCAAAGGCAATTATATTGTTAAGCTACTATTATCTTCCTCCTCTTTTGCATTTGAAGAAATTGCTAAGCTTTGTTTCTTCCATCAGAGGAGAAGAAATATGAACAAGTATCACTTCTGAAAGAAATACTGAGAAATTCAAGAGAGTTAAGTGTAACTATATTTCAGTCTGTAATGCCATAAGGAAGGAGCTACATCTTACATAAAATAATAGCCACAAAAACATGAAGAGTCTTGGTTAAACATGACAAAGAATCACTTGATAGAGAATCTATAATATAAAGCTAAGGATCCCAGTGCTTGAAACAGAATCTTAGGCCCAATTCTTCCTGTAATGTGTTGCTAAAAGAGAATATGAAATTTCCTCTCCAGAAGGTTTTTACAAATGGCTTTAATTCTCTTCTCTGTCTCAGCTCTCCTGATGTACCACCCAACAGCTGATTTTTCTTATAACTGAACCTTTTCTAGTAGCCTCAGGTTTCGCCTGACTTGAGGGACAAAGGAAGGAATTCGAATTGATTTCCAACCTACTTCTTGAATATTTACAAGGCCAGGCCTTCTAAATCTTGAATCCCAACCAGCTGGAAGCAGTTCATCTTCCTTTGGGCTCTTACAGCCCTTCTTTGTTTGCTCTTAGTACCCCAATAATCTGCCTGGTTAGTTGTCTATTTCTTTATCTTCCCTGATAGATCATAAGACTCGTGTAAAAGGAACTATTTTATTCAGCGTTGGGTTCCCTTCTCTGCTTCACAACTATTTAATTTAATTAATGTTTTACATATTTGTGCCTCTTTGGACCTGACGGTTTTCTCCATCCGCTTCCACTTCTCTACCCCCCCATACATACTCCTACCCAGTGTGTTTTTTCCTTTGGATCTCCTCCCTCCCCAGAAATAAAGGTTTACCCTTCTATCCTCACAAATCAGTAAGGTTTCCAGAAGACCTCTTCTAATCAGGCAACAATTCCTACTACTATTCTTGTCTCCATCTCTCAGTCAGCACCAGTTTTTTTCTCTCCCTCCTTTGTTGTTGTCAAAGCAATTCTATTTTTAATTTTTGTCCATTCAAGATCTCCCCACCCTCACAGAAAACAAAGGGTGTGCTCTTGGGAGGGAGTTATGGACTATGGAAGGAGAGGTTTCAAAGTCCAGCTTTAGAGCAGGCTGGTGAGCTTGTCAGGTGCCTGATCGTCATCCCCCGTCCTTGGCTGGTCGCTCTCTGCCCTGATGACTGCCGCTCAGTGTAGGAAGGAGACAGCTCTGGCTGCCCTCCCCAGAGTCATCCATGCTGGGAAGGATGGAGGAGGGGTGGAAAGTTAGTGAGAGCCTGCATGTGCTGCTGCAGAGATGCCCAAGATAGCAGGAGACCCAATCTGTTTCCCATTTATATATTCTCATTGCTGATAGATGATGGACATCCTTCATTTAGGTAATTATTATTGCTATTAAAATATTACCTGAAAGGGTGCATATTATTGAGCAAAATGAGTGCCTAAGTGCCTTATCTCTCCCACTTAATATTTCTACTGAATTATGTATTCTATTTCTTACTAATAGAGAAAATGAAGTTCCTTATGCCTTTCTTTAGCTTTATTAGGAGATAGAACTAATTTTGAGGAAGTGCTACACCAGGAATGCATTTGTTTCCCTGAACTGTATATAAGTAACTGAGCTGGGGCAGTGTGAAAGGAAAGAGAGGAGAGGGGAGGAGGAAAGGAGATGGGAGGAGGAGAGGTTTGTTGATTACCACTCTATGCCAGATATTATGCTAGAGAGCAAACAGAATACTGAAATCACCTCCTCCAACTGCCCAGAAACTGAGTGAGGTAGGCATATTCCCATTTGACAGATGAGGAAATCAAGGCCCCAGGTCACATAGCTAAGGATTGAGCCAAGATTCAAACCCGGGCCTGAGTCTAGAGTTCCTGATCTTGCTTCAGAAATTGTCACTGTTAGAGAAGACTTGCATAGCTGCCAAAAGATACATGCTAATCTTCTAGGATTAAAAAAGCCACAGAGGTGGATGACACTGGTTTTCCTCCATAGGAAAGCTCTAGTTTTTACTGTATGCAGATCTTCCTGAAGGATGTTTCTAATATGAAAAATTTTAGCAGTTGTCTTAGAGCTTCTTTTCTTGATTTCCTCACAGTTAGTTTCTTTATAAACAAAGTATTAATAGAACAACTTAGGGCAAAGACTCCCTCCACCTGTGGCATATGTCTCCCAGACCACGTTCTCTCACACAAAAGAGCCTGGTACCCCCCGAAACACAAAAATTCACTTAACTATTTTTTTTTCCCTAAGAAAAGCAAGATCCTGTTACCAAAATGACTCTTAAACTCTTCTCAAAACTTCATTGCAAAGGAAATGAAACTATTAAAAGACCATTGCTCTGTAATTCAGGAAATTGAATCAACTTGTTTGGAGCCATAGGCAGAGGAAGATTTGAGCTGTACTGAGCCACATATTGTGAGACTAAACAGTGCCCTGCTCTGAAATGATTTTACCATTCATGAGCTGTCTCTTTATAACACCATGGAGCTCCTCAAATGCTTCCTTTTCTTTACTACCTAAAATTACAGTTCTCTGCACAAAATGAAAATACTTTTATCAGATGTTCACATTTGGAGTGATTTTTTAAAACTTTCATTTCAATTTTCCTTAATGTTTCTATACTTGTCAAATGCGTATGTCTTTTTAATAAATAAAAGATACATGATACATACATCTTGAGGCTGAAGAATTTCTGCAGACGAAATATTGATGATTGAGACTGGATGATAGGTTTGTGAGAGCTCATTATACTGTTGTCTCTACTATTAGTATGTATTTTAAGTTTTTCATAATAAAATGTTTAAAATATTTTTGTAATTCTGCAGAAAAATTTAACTCACATTGTCTGCGTTCTTCCTGTACTGCTCTACCCAGAGAGCACAGTCTTTCCATGCTCCTCCCACTAATTTAACACTAGTCAAATTTTGGCATTTTGACCAAAGAAAGGAAGGGAAGGGAGGTAAATTGTGGTTGGGCTCAAGAGCCATGATATGCTCCTTCTTAGCTTAATTAAAATCCATGACAAGCACAGCCATCACTCACATTTTAGATTCTAGATTGCTGCTGTAGTAGTCATGAATTGCTGCAGAACAGGCAAGAAATGACATGTTTTTTTTTGTTTGTTTGTTTGTTTTCCCGAAAGCTAATTGAAGGCTGGGCACAGTAGCTCACACCTGTAATCCCAGCACTTTGGGAGGCCGAGGCAGGCAGATCACTTGAGGCCAAGAGTTAGAGACCAGCCTGGCCAACATCGCAAAACCCCATCTTTACTAAAAACACAAAAAATGAGCCAGGTGTGGTGGTGTGCTCCTGTAATCTCACTTACTTGGAGGCTGAGGCATAAGAATCACTTGACCCCTGGGAGGCAGAGGTTGCAGTAAGCCTAAACTGTGCCACTGCACTCCACCCTGGGCGACAGAATGAGACTCTGTCTCAAAAAAAAAAAAAAAAGAAAAGAGAGAAAGAAAAGGAAAGGCAGAGGCAGCGGCAGGGGCAGGAATGGGGGGCGGAAAGGGAAGGGAGCTAATTGAATCTAGCTTCAAGCCCTCGTCGTCAGGTTTGGGAAGTTCGGTATCAGTGACTGAGTGCCTTCTCTTAAGAAAATTGATTGAAAACTTGTAAATAAGGCAACAAGACTGCTGTGTACCTTTTTAATATCATACTAGAACACTGTGTAGCAAACCTTCCTAAAGACTATTTTATGCTCTGGGCCCTAGACCTGTCCAGTATGGTAGCCACGTGTAGCTGTTGAGCGCTTGAAATGAGGCTAAGTACAACTGAAGAACTGAATTGAGATGTACCATAAGTATAAAAAACACGTTGGATTTTGAGCACTTAGAACAACAGCAACAAAAGTCTCCATAATGTGTATATTGACACGTGTTGAAATGATACTATTGTAGATATAGTGGTTTAAAATAGTAAAATTAATTTTACCTATTTGTTTCTTTAACTTTAAAAAAATGTGGTTAGTAGAAAGTTTAAAGTTACATATGTGCTTCATATTATGTTTCTGTTGGACAGTGCAGCCCTAGAGTTTCTGAGAAGGTAACTTTGACTAGTTATTTACTCCTGATTAGAGTCCAGACTGTGAAGTTACATGTTGGCCTATAGATGATTAATAAGCTGCAAATGATTTCTATTTATAGCCAAAAGGTAACCCCAAAAGTTTGTGTTCTTATGGCCCTAGGACATAAATCATTTTGTGTCTGACTTGGTAGATTTCATCCATGTTTTATTTTCCTTAAAAGTTTGACTAAATTTACCTCTGATGGTTGTACCAATCAAAATGTTGTTATACGACAGAGCTGGAAATTCTCTAGCTCTTCTTGTACTAAGTCCTTTTGATCAAGTGATATAATGGATATAAATTTAAGTGTTACTCTGTGAATTGTTTATTATCTGTATATTTGGAATTATGCTTCTGAATTGTCTTGCCTTGTTTCCTTAAAAGGACAGTGAAAGGGAAGTGAAAATATTGAACAATGCTGATACTGAATAACAACTATTTTCTTTCACTCTATCTGCACCTGTGTTTGTGTAAATAAAAGTAGAGGAACTGTGACGTTTTAAAATTCCAGACCTCCATCCCCAAAGAAAACTTTCCAAAGGTCCTCATTCCCAGCATCGGACCCACAAAAATGTCTTGCCCTCCCCTGCGGGGCACGTACAGCCCTTCTTCTCTCATCCATAAGGAAGAGGGTTCTGTTGTTGTTGTTTTGAATGAGCCCATCATAAAAGCAGCAGAAACCATTTGACAGTAGCCATGCTACTGTTTCTGAGTACCCAGAAGGCTATTTGTAGCCTTCGTGAACACTTGCTTTCTAAGCCTTTTGAAATCACGAGAGATAGCATAGCAAATAGGAACCTGTTGTATATTCCATTTGGCTATATTTTGTTTGTTTGTTCATGTTGTCAGCTCACTGCTTAGAATCTAAGGAGACAAGACCATAATAAAGGACAGTGTAGAAGACCTGAAGTTTTAAGCTCCAAATCTCTTAGCTACCAAAATAAATAAATACTACAGAGCTGTTTGTGAGCAAGAGAAAACATCTAGACAGAGTAAGGCTAAAGTCCTTTTTCCTTCACCCCTACCCTCTCCTCTTTTGCATCTAGAGATTTGGAAAATTGCTAGAACCATGAATTATTAGGTATGATGTTTTATTTTATTAGGTTGGAATGAAATACAGAAACCTAATCCTGAAACCTGGGGGATCTCTGGACGGCATGGACATGCTCCACAATTTCTTGAAACGTGAGCCAAACCAAAAAGCGTTCCTAATGAGTAGAGGCCTGCATGCTCCGTGAACTGGGGATCTTTGGTAGCCGTCCATGTCTGGAGGACAAGTCGACATCACCATGTGTTACTGGCCTGGAAACTGAAGGGAGTTTTGCAAGTGAAAATTTAGATTTCTATTGACATCCTTTTGTTTTCTAATTTTAAAAATTATAAAGATGTAAATGGAATTATAAATACTGTGACCTAAGAAAAGACCCACTAGAAAGTAATTGTACTATAAAATTTCATAAAACTGGATTTGATTTCTTTTTATGAAAGTTTCATATGAATGTAACTTGATTTTTTACTATTATAATCTAGATAATATGATATAAGAGGGCTAAGAATTTTTAAATTGAATCATATATATGATATAATTTGATCCTTCTTGTATCTTGAAGTTTTGTACTTGGGATTTCTGGACTGATAAATGAATCATCACATTCTTCTGGTAAATATTTTCTTGGAGCTCTGTGTCAACTTTGATCCTTTGTCTCCCAGGAAGGTGTGACCTCTCCTTTGCCTGCATACCTCAAGGCCAGGGGAATATGCCTCAGTGATGCATTTATCTTTGTATATCAGGCCGCATGATTCCCAACTTTCTGCCACACTTAAATTACGTTCCTCCATTTCAGTTTTGTCTTTTCTGTCTAAAGTTCAGTCAAAGAGTATCAAAAAATTATGTTTCAGCTAGACTGGTGTAATGTATAAGTTTTTGTATCTTGTATTAGAGGATTTCGTAGCTTTTATTAGAGGCTCATTTCCACCTCAGCATACAAGATCGTTAGTCTTTTGGCATGTGTGCCAATTAGAATACTAAAGCAAGTCCAAGCACATTTTTCTCTTCTCACGTTTCTAATAAGTGTTAGGGACTTTGCCTCTTTTACTTACCACGTCCCCAAAAGTGTCAGGTAGACATGTCACAAATGGCTCTGTAGAGAGCCATGGGAAGAGAGAGGAGGTGGATGTGGAACATAAAGGGTTCAGAAACTCCAGAAGAGGAGTGGGTTTTGGATAGAAGCATTTGAGGACAGCTGCTCCAAAGCCTTATGTGTATGATGAAACTTAACCACGGGGAAGAGACTCTTCAGTAGCCTGTTCTGTCTGGTGATTTTTATTTTAAGTGAACCTTTGGATCTATCTTTAACTCTCTTTATTGTGAGTCTAAATTCCAATTCTGCAGCAGATCAGTAAACTCACAGTATTTTTCCTGTGGAAATCTATTCAATAAGGAAACCAAGACAGGATAATAAAATTTAAAAAAAAAACAACTTTGAATTCCCCTGCCTAGGTCTTCCAGTTGTTTTCCAGCGCATACCTCAGGTATGACTTTGCTAGCCGGGGACAAAATTAGCACCTTCCGATTCTCTAGTCCAAATGAACTTTGTGCTAAATAAAAAATTATTATACTACATAATAAAGTTACAGATAGCAGGAAATGCAAGAGCTAGGAGATTCCTAGATTATATCTGCCAAGCAAATACCTTAAACATCCACCTGAAATCCTACTACCCCCTCTTCTGAGATAATTTGCCCAGCCCTTCTCTTCCCACACACTCACTCAATGTCACCCCCTTCTAATCCCCAAAACTGTTTTTGTGGTCTTTGTAGCCTATAGTAGTTTTCTCACATCTTTCCCCCTAGACTTTTCTGTTTTTCAGTTTCAGACAAAAAAACTCTTCAGCTTTTTCCAGTGTGTCTCCTTAACAGTAACTTTACCACTTGAAATCTTATTTCATAGAAAAACTAAATTGGTGTGGAAAGGCTGCACACAATAAAGTTATATTATTATCCATGAAAATGAACTCATATTTCTTTCATACTTTAACGTTAAAACCGAAATGCATGAGAGCAAAAGCACCATGGTGTTCTTTCTATTTAGGGCCTACCTCTAATATTTAAAATCTACCAAAGAGCAGTCACAAAATTAAAACTCAGCCCGGGCGCAGTGGCTCATGCCTGTAATCCCAGCACTTTGGGAGGCCAAGGCAGGAGGATCACCTGAGGTCAGAGTTCAAGACCAGCATGGTCAACATGGTGAAACCCTGTCTCTACAAAAATACAAAAAGCTGGGCATGATGTTGGGTTCCTGTAGTCCCAGCTACTTAGGAGGCTGAGGCAGGAGAATAGCTTGAACCCGGGAGGTGGAGGTTGCAGTGAGCTGAGATCATGCCATTGCACTCCAGCCTGGACGACAGAGTGAGATTCAGTCTCAAAAAAAATTAATACTCAAAGAATTATCTAGCATAATTTAAAAGAAAGGACTTTTTAAAAATTCTCTAGCATAATTCAAAAGAAAGGACTTAACTTTTTTTTTTTTAGTGTGGTCATCCGTCTAGTTGTTCTTTTTTTCCAGATCAGAGCAGAGAATATCACTGACATGCTTGAAATGGTGGATAACTATGTAAATTGTAATTGGACAAATGTACACTTTAGATTTATGGACTGAGCCACATATAATAAGGTCTCTCCTGGTAATTGATCCAGGGGATTTAGGCCTCTTTCGGGTTTTTTGTTTTTTTTTTAGGCATTGTTATGTTGTGAAGGATAAAATCTTCAACATCTTATGCAAATGGATAGTAGGCATGATCCTAAAGGTTTAGTTTTACGATGCTGCAGAGAAGAGAAATGTCTTGACGTTTTGCCACCTGATGTAGACTTTGTCCCCCTCTAGTATAAATGTTGCATGTTACCTAGATAAACAACTAAAAATTGCCTTGAGTTATCACCTGAGCTACTTATGCCAAGGTCTTGCCTTTCTAAAGCTAATAAGGTGAGAGGTGGATATCTGTAGCTCTTCGGATGAAAAATTGCATTGTGGGAGATACCAAAATTGAGGAAATAGCTCTTCAAAGAAAAATTACTGATATGATCATTGTACTTGTAAATGCCTTAAGTAGCAGGCAGTGACTCAATTTTCTACTTTACCATTTTACCTTTAGCTTTTATGTATGAATTATAGGTCTGTGGAGATTCTGCCTCCCCACTAGGCCAGTGTGTGTTTACCATTTATTCATTTTCTATCATACACAGGTGGATTAAAATTTACATTAAAATTTACATTAAAATACCATCATACTTCAGGCTTCTATAACAAAATATCAGACTGGGTGGCTTCAAAAGCAGACATTTCTTACAGTTCTGGAAGCTGGGAAGTCCCACAATCCACATGCTGGTAAATTTGGTTCGTGGTGAGGCCCCTCTTCCTCTTTTACTGACCACATCCCCAAAAGTGTCAGGTAGACATGTTACAAATAGCTCTGTAGAGAGCCATGGGAAGAGACAGGAGGCAGATGTGGAACATAAAGGGTTTAGAAACTTCTGCAGGCAGCAGTGGCAGGGAGCAAGCCCTAGAGTGTCTCTTTTTACGAGAGCAGGAATCCCATCATGAGAGTTCCTTCCTCATGACTTTATCTAAACCCAGTCACCCCCAACAAAGGCCCCACCCCCTAACCCCATCACATTGGCTGTTACGGCTTCAATGTAGGGGATGGGGCACAAACATTCAGTCCATAACGAATACTGATTCCTCAAATAGGGTTTAAACATAGTTAACTGAGCCCCCAAAGAATGTTAAAAGAGAAAATCCATTTTATTTGAATAGATGCAGTGACCACAGCTTCTTCCCTCAAATCAACACATTACAGTTAGATGTCTCCCATCTGAAATTGGATAGCCCACTGAAATTGAACATGCCTTCTCTTATAAATGTGTGGTGAGAATAAAAGCAACAAAGAAATGAATGTGGTGGCTCACACCTGTAATCCTAACACTTTGGAAGGTTGAGGCAGGAGGATCCTTTGTGCTCAAGAGTTTGAGACCAGCCTGAGCAACACAGTGAGACCCTGTCTCTACAAAAACTAAAAAAATTAGCTAGGGATGGTGGCACATGCCTGTAGTCCCAGCTACTTGGGAGGCTGAGGTGGGAGGATTGCTTGAGCCCAAGAAGGTCAAGGCTGCCATGAGCCATAATCACGCCACTGCACTCCAGCCTGGGTGACAGAGACCCTGTCTTAAAATAAAATAAAAAAAAAAGGAAAAGGAAAGACATACATACCCTCAGTTCTTCGAAAAACAGTCAACGTCCAAAAAGTTTATTTTTTGAGTCACCTTTAATAGAGAAATTTCCCACTGGAAACAGATCCACCTAAGTGATTATCTAGTATCAGCTGTATCAAGGCAAAAGGTAAAGGTTATAAGATGTAAATATTAGACCAAAATAGCCTTTTTTAACAAACACAATAATGCTGTACGTCTGTAACAAAACAAAATTTGAAAAATTGAGGTAATGTACACAGCGATGCACACACCCCCACACCACACCGTGATTCCTGAGTTTTGATTTGGTTGAATTCACCTTGTAGTTCCCTTTCCTGAGAAAATACAGGTTCAACACATCTAGTCCACGATGTACGTACAAGGGGAAGGGGTGAACAGGAAATAGACTCCCTTATTCTGCTCACATGAGCTGGAACCTGTACTAGCTGCATATTTCATAGACCCCAGAGGCTCACCTCAATTGTACTCCTATGATAAAATGTCTCTAGCATTTGTCATGAGAGAAACTGGCTAGAAATAGTTTGTTCATTGCGTCCAGCAAGACACGCATTGCTGTTGATATCTTTGTGGCTAAGATGGAGAATGTGACTGGATAATAGTTATCCAGGTGGATTACTAGCTATTGAAACAGTCTGAGATAGTTGCATGATGATTAACGTTAAACTGGGAGTAATTTCAAGTCATTTGGCTAAAAATGAAAAAAAAGTCCCATAAAAAGGTATCAAATGTACAGATAATAGGGCTGGAATTATTAAGTATGATGATGTTATTAACATCTAAAATTATTTTGGCCGGGCAAGGTGGGTCACGCCTGTAATCTCAGCACTTTGGGATGCCAAGATGGGTGGATCACCTGAGTTCAGGAGTTCAAGACCAGCTTGGCCAACATGGCGAAACCCGTCTCTACTAAAGAATACAAAAATTAGCCAGGTGTTGTGGCACATGCCTGTACTCCCAGCTACTCAGGAGGCTGAGGCAGAAGAATCATTTGAACCCCGGAGGTGGAGGTTGCAGTGAGCCGACATTGTGCCGCTTCATTCCAGCCTGGGCAACAGAGTGAAACTCTTGTCTCAAAAGTAAAAAAATAATAATGTTTAAAAATATTTCAATGTGGAGACAAGCTCAAAATGAAATTAGACACATTCCATTACCCAGGTAAAAGAAGGGGAAGCCTGACTTGATAGTAGTATTCAGGAAAAAAGAGTTGGCAGTTTTATTTGGCCAAATTCCAATATCAGCTCATGGTACAGCACACCGGGGGAGGGGGACGGGAGGCGAGAACTAAGGCTTTTTAAGAATGTGTTGATGGAAGTATGTGCCTAGATCAAAAGAATAATCCCCCCGGACTCCAGTGTAAGATCAATTACTGTTGGAATATTGTGTTCCTTTCTAGATATCACATTTTAAGCAGACTTTGGCCAAGTAGTACAGTGTTTGCAGGAGCAGTAACAAGATGGTGATAACTTTGAAAATACTTCTCAAAAGAAAAATAAAAAAGAATTAGGGAAGTTCAGTCTGGAGATAATTCAGAAATACAGATGATAATTGTTTTCAAATTCTTGAAGGAAATGGGAGAGAGAATAGGCTAATTCTGTATTGCTTCAGAAACCAAATGGAAACAATTAAATTCCATTAGAGAAACGGTTGGAAAATATGAGGAGGATTTAGTTCAGTACGAGGAAGCTGTTTCTAATACTTTTTGTTGGTTAAAAATACATTCCGCTGCTGTGGAAAGCCTGTAGCTGCCAGGAGTGTTACAGAGGGCATTCCTCCCTTGAGTTGACATTTGTGCCAAACCGGCTTTTAGGGCTTCTCCAGCTTTTAAGATGCGATAATGATAAGATGATCATCGGGAAAACATCCCTCAGATGAAACGTTCACAGGCTGGCTCTGAAAACTGGCATTCAGATGATTGCGGCTCCCCCATACTGTAGGAATATTGTTTATGGCTTAAGGTTGCCTCGCTCCTCATCTGTAATCAGTGAAAGTTTATCCAGAGGTTAATTACCGGTTTTCTGGTGGGTATCTGGGAACTGAGGATGGGAGATTAACTGTTGTATATGACCATAGTAAAGCAAAAGACTGTTAGAGAATGAGTAAACGTTCGTTTTCCTCCCTACAGAATTTACAGTTACTCTCTGTCCATTCCACTCACTACTGTCTTCATCACACACACAGAGGCAAACGTCTGATTCAGATAGCCAGGTGTGCCATGCATGCACTCCACCATATTGTGATCTCTTCGAGGCTTGTTTCTGTCCCCTGTCCTCCACAGTCCTGGATTGTTAATGAATAGTTCATACATGTTTGTTAAATAAATATACCTTCTTTAAAATTATCTTTTGTTATAAAGATGCCTTTTTCTATGGTAACTGCAAAATACCTAATTTGTAACTAAACCTAAAACTATGTGGATAAGTTATTTCTACACCTGCGGGGGGCAGATTTCTACATGAGAGTCCTTTCTTAGTGTACTGAGAGTTTCTGCATGAGGTAAATGAAAGAAACATGTTTTTTGTAAAAAAAAAAAAAAAGAAAAGAAAAAAATTGGCAATGGAGAACGTTTCTAAAGCTTCTCAGCTTCTCCCTATGATTATGTATTGAAACCTCGGAATTTGTTCATCTGGTTTTCTTGGGGGGTCTATGAAAAGGGCAGAGCAAGCAGATGTCCCATGATTGCCCTGAAATTATATTAGATATGTTCGTGTGCATGGATACCTGCATTTTTCTAGGGATAGAGTCCTTAGCTTTAATCAGAAGAAATTAAGAACTACTGTCTTTAAAAATGTGCTTTCAAACATTTGTTTTTTGAATTCATTTCAAAGACTCTAACGTGCCCATTATGTGTCAGGCGCTGTGCTTGGCAATGAGGATACAAAAAGACACCCCAGAACTGGAGCTGCTCACAGTGGAGTGGAGAAGGCAAATGAGTTCATAATTTATTGGGATAAATTATAATAGAAAGGCATGTATCCAAAACTTTTCTGTGTTTTCCCCTCAACCCTGGTTGACTCCACTATACAATTTGACTGTGGTGCCACAAAATTTTACATAGTTACCACGCCACCTGCCACCGCAGGCTTCTATTTTTAACAAAATAATTGCTTTTCTCTTTTCAGCATTTCAGGAGTGGGACCAAATGGTGTTCTATATCTGGTATATCCAGGAGTTTCTTAGATCTGGTAGTTAAAGGGCTTATAAAAAAGAGATGAAAATGTTCACTTTGCCACTTTTGTGCAAGTGGTTATAAATTGACAGCCATTAGAAGAATGATGTGGGACCCCTTTTAAGCTGATATGTATTAGATAGCCAAGAGGCATTGGTACATCCTATAAGTCTAGAAAACAGGTTGTTAAAATAATCACTGAGTTGTTTAGAGATGGTCCAGATTAGTCAAGATTTCTTACTTCCTGTTCCCAGCAACTTTTTTTTTGAGATGAGATCTTCCCATGTTGCCCGGGCTGGTCTGGAATTATTGGGCTCAAGAGATTCTCCCACCTCAGCCTCCCAAAGTGCTGGGATTACTGGTGTGAGCCACTGTGCGCGGCCCCATCAGTGTTAATAATTTCCATTACCACCAGTAAGAGCCAAAAAAAGCACCCTAGCATTTCAACCTCTTACTGCCTATTTGTGACTTCTTTATGTAGGGATAGAAACTGACTAAACAGATCAATGGAAGACTAAAGAAGCCTCAGGGCTCCAAGGTTCAGACAAAGACTGGGGCTGGACTTTAAACTTACACTCCATTCCCTTCTGTTTCTTTAAATAATCATCTGCTTCTCAGAAATCCTTGTTTTAGTCTATCAGACCTATATATTTTATTTTCTTGTCTTTTACTTATTCATGTAATTATTTAAATTTTTGATGAGATAATACATTTGATGAGAGAAAGTGGTAGGAGTGATTCCAGACAGGAATTTTCTTTCTCTTTTAATGATTGGATGGATAGGTCTTAAAAGGAATGTAAGACTTTATTCCAGAACAAAGCAGTCATCAGTCCCTTTGTATTCAGGGCAAAGTGGGGAAAACCAAAAGATACATTTTGTCCTCCCTGTTCCAAATCAGATGCCTTTCTATGGTCTTCAACATTTGTGTGACTGACAAGTGGGACTTCTGTTGTAATTCACAATGCAATCACTGTTCTCAACATGCACATGGCCCACTCTGTCTCAGCTTCAATTATAAAATCTTCAGCCAGAGGCTATTATCCTCTGTTTTGTTCAGTCAGCGAGATAGCCAGTGAATTTCCAACTGAGATCAGGTGGCAGGAGAAAAATTTCTCACACTTCATCTATCAAGCCGTTATAGACCCCAGTATATTTCCTCCACTGGGGGGTCCTGATAGGGAAGTTTTTCTGAAGTCATTTGGGAAGGTGTCCTAACATTGCATTTCCATTCCTAATTCCACCTTAGGTGAGGGCAGGGAAATAATAGCTTAAGAAACCGTAAATTCACAGAGCTCCATCCTCCTGTTTCATTATTTTCATGTCACTAATTTTTCAGTAGATAAGCTACATCCTGTGGTCTACCCAGCCATGTGAAGCATTTCTTTCTCTCCTGCCCACCCTTCCTTTCTCCCCAAAGTCCAATTAAATAAATGAAAGATTCTGGGCAAATCTCTCCAAATCCCAGCAGGAACACAACAGAAGTCTGAGGCAAAAAACATAGTTAGTGAGGCCATGGACAACAAATCTAGGTGCTTTTTAATTTGGGAGTGGGGGATTGGAGGCTTTTCTGTGAAACACCCTAGTTTTAAATTACAGTCAGTGTCCCAGTGCCTGCCAGCTAAATGAGAGGTTTGGAAGGATTAGGGTAAGAGTAGACTATATATAACCACTTCTACAAGTAAATGCCTTTTAATTTTTTTCTAACATAAATATTGCAGGAAGAGTAAATGCCTTTTTTAAATGTCTGTGCAAGCTAGGCACGGTGGTGCATTCCTATAGTCCTAGCTCTTCAGAAGGCTTGAGGCAGGGGGATCGCTTGATCCCAGGAATCAGAGGCTGTAATGAGCTATGACTGTGCCACTGCACTCCAGCCTGGGTGACAGAGTGAGACATTGTCTCTTAAAAAAAAAAAAAAAAAAAGGTGGGGCCGCGCATGGTGGCTCAGGTCTGTAATCCCAGCACTTTGGGAGGCTGAGGTGAGGGGATGGCTTGAGCCCAGGAGTTCAAGAACAGCCTGGGCAACATAGTGAGGCCCCTTCTCTGCAAAATTTTTTTTTAAATTAGCCTGCTGTGGTGGCACACACCTGTGGTTCCAGCTACTCAGGAGGCTAAGGTGGGAGGATACTTTGAGCCTGGGAAGTCCAGACTGCAGTGAGCTGTGATTGCACCACTGCACTCCAGCCTGGGTGACAGAGTGAAGTCTTGTCTCAAAAAATGAATGAATGAATGAATGAATGAATGAATGAATGTCTGCAGAATCCAGAAGAGCTCTATGGAAGATTTGGCATCTTTGAAAACTCATTGACCAAATTTTAAGTATAATTATGAACTTGTTCCAGGAAAGCCAAACTACTATCTGGTTGACTTTTATCTTCTGAAGTTCAAGTTAATGGGGAGGTGGGGGAAAAGCCAGTTAAAGTCAACTTGTCTTATAAGGGTGGTGAGTATTTGTGTTAAGGCATACAAAAACCTGATTAATTCCTCTGTCTACCTAGTAAGTTTCTTAATACCCTATCAGAATTCAGCTGGAGCACTAGTAGAGCAACACACTGTTTTCTCTTGTGCCAGTAGACAAAATGTCAGAACGCCTGCTGCATTCCTCTGGGATAATAGAAATGAAGTCATTACGTTAGAAAGTGGATCATGTGCCCAGGATACACTTCTCTCACCCTGAACCCAGTGACTCTTTCCTGGGTTAAAGTTACTGATCTGGTGGCAGATGCAGTTCTGGTAGCCAGAAGAGGGTGAGACAGAAGAGCCACTTAAGGAACATTGAGGTTTTATGATATTTGAAATGGCAATGACAGATTGGTGTGGTGGCTGAAGTACAGATGTGCCTATCAGAAGGTGAACACCAAGAGGGAAGTGTTAGGACAGAGAGCCAAGAACTTGATTGCTGGCAAGTGCTGGCTTGAACAAGGGCAATTGCTGGAATCTAAGAGGGGTGCTAATATTCAAGAGAAGAAGGTGTCCAGTTTCAGGGCTCTCCTTGATTAGCAAACAATTGTTTTGTAATTCAAGGTGACTAGAAGTTTTACTTTTCAAAGGTACTGTAAGAGACTGTCTAACCTCCTCCAAAGGATTTTCAGGACTTGTTAACCATGAATAATAAAAGGTATGAGTTCATGGCCAGGTGCGGCAGCTCACACCTGTAATCCTAGCTCTTTGGGAGGCTGAGGCAGGTGGATCACTTCTGCCCAGGAGTTCGAGACCAGCCTAGGCAATATGGTGAAACCTTGGCTCTACTAAAAATACGAGAATTAGCCAAGTGTGGTGGCACGTGCCTGTAGTCCCAGCTACTTGGGAGGCTGAGGTGGGAGGATCACCTGGGCTTGGGAGGTCAAGGCTATAATAAGGCAAGATTGTAGCACTGCACTCCAGCCTGGGCCATGACAGTAAGACCCTGTCTCAAAAAAAAAAAAAAAACAAAATAAAATAAAAGGTATCAGTTCAAACAAAACTCCTTAAAACTACTTTATTACCTCTTATGTATAAAAACTTTTGTAGTCATGTTTTAATGGAATATTACCAAAGTTGACCTTTATTGTGCCTGTCAGAAAAATCTGGCTGTTATCTTGGGTTCCTAAAGGAAGAAGTAATAGGAGCTGTTTGGCAGACTTGACAACAGTTTCTAACATTTCTAAACAGTCTAATCAATAATCAAAAGGACAGGCAGGGCTTGGCGACTCACGCCTGTAATCCCAGCACTTTTGTAGGCTGAGATGGGCTGATCACTTGAGCTCAGGAGTTTGAGACCAGCCTGGGCAACATGGTGAAACCCCTGTCTCTGCGTAATACACAAAAATTAGCTGGGCATGGTGGTGCATGCCTGTAGTCCCAGCCACTTGAGCCTGGGAGATAGAGGCTGCAGTGAGCGATGATGGCACCACTGCTGTCCAGGCTTAGCGAGAGAGTGAGACCCTGTCTCAAAAACAAAAAGACAAAACAAAACAAAAACCACAGAAGGACAAATTGTTTGGCTCAACCCTCTAGAAACCATAACAATATAAATAACTCTCCCCAGTGAATTGTTTCTGTCTTAAATCTTGGAAATAATCATTTTTATCGTGATTTTTATCATTTTTATCTTGAATATTTGTTTCCACAAATCTCACCCTCTTCCTCCATCCTCTTATACACATTCTCACACCACGTTCTTTAAGCAAAGAAAATATACTTTCAAGCTAAGTGTTTCTTTTGATGCTAAGACACTTAAAAAATAACAGTGGGGAAAGCAAAAGAAATAAATGCTTATTCCTTTCCCATCTGGATTTTACAAAGCAAACTGGAGGAGAAAACAATACAAGCTCAGTCAGTATGCATTTTATTTCCTCCTGCCGCTCTCTCACTCTGCTTGGGATTAAATGTTCCCTTAGTCCTCAACCAAAATGGCAATATGATCTCATGTTTGTTTATTGTGTTGTCTTTGTATTTCCTAGGTCAACAGGGTGCAAATTTTGATTTACTGATGTAGCTTCTCTCCCCAAACACAGAGAAATTCTTCAGGGAGCTTGCTGTAAGCATATCCAAGTGCAGCTGAATCTCACAGGTAGACATTATATAAAAATAGAGTAACACTTTAAGATGCAAAAGTGGCATCATTCAGTAGTGCCATCTCTGCACTCCAGGTGCAAGTCCAAGGATTCTACCAAACAGGGTTGCCAAATACTAATTAAACTAATTGGTTATCAATGCTGTTCTTAAATGTTATGATCCTGGGGTTTCTACAATGAGAAGAAAAGGGGATGCTTTCCATTCCCCATACAAAACGCATAAATTCTATTATGTACTCTCAAATCAGCAAGAAATTACCAAGAAAAAAATTATCTTGTCTGAAATAACAATTTGGAGAGAAAATGACCAGTATCTGTATATGTGTATTTATTTCCTTTTATCTTGTCATTTCTCTATGTCCAATACATAATAAACTTTAAAAAACAGGCTAACATATCAAGATGAAGAGATTCATTATAGCCACTATGATTTTCTATGATAAAAGAAAAAAATTTTTTCAATACACTAAAATGGGATAAGCTCAACAGACTAGAGAGTTTCAAATGCATAGGAAAAGGAAATAAAAAGAGATAAAAGAAATTATAATACTTCTGAAACCAGCAATGTGATTCTGCTTCACACTCATGCAACTGGCAGCAATCTAGCTACTAAGGCTGAAGATGAGCACACCCAGTAGTTCCACTCCAAGATATGGACCGCCAAACAAACTTCTACATGGACACCATGAGATATCTACTACAATGTTCACAGTAGCTTTGTTTACAATGGCAAAGCATTGAAAACCACCAAAGCATCTATCAGCAGAAGAGTGGATAATGTTTATTTGAACAATGGGCTGTATTGTAATTAGGATAAGGGAACTAAAGCTCCATGTATCAATGTAGATACAACTCAAGAGCAGTGTTACAATGCCATTGCAGAAGGGTTCGTTCAGATTGCCCTTTATTTAAGTTAAAAATATATATGTAATATATATATTCAAAATAATGATGTATCTTTGGTGGAGCTATACATACTAGTATAAAAACATCCACATGAAAATGGATAATAAATTCAAGGCTTCCTCTGATGAGGGAGAAAGGAGAATAGGATTCAGAAGAGATATACAAGGAGCTGAAACTACAACTACAATAAATGTTTTTATTTAAAAACCCAATGCAAGGCCAGGTGCGGTGGCTCATGCCTGTAATCCCAGCAGTTTTGGGAGGCCAAGGCAGGCAGATCACTTGAGGTCAGGAGTTCTAGACCAGACTGGCCAACATGGTGAAACCCCATCTCTACTAAAAGTCCAAAACTTAGCCATGTGTGGTAGCGGGTGCCTGTAATCCCAGCTACTCCAGCACGAGAATAGCTGGAACCTAGGAGGTGGAGGTTGCAGTGAGTCTAAATTGCACCACCACACTCCAGTCTGGGCAACAAAGCAAGACTCCATCCAAAAAAAAAAAAAAAACAAAAAACCCCAAATATGTCAGTATGTTAAAGATTTCTTTAAGCTTTTGTTTTTTATTGTTTGATCTTTTTACCATTTTTAAAAATGCTTCTGAGTGATTTATCAGAACGTGTCTTTCAAAGCACATTTTTTTAAACCAGAAATCCATCTGACTTCTATCATGCAAAACCCAGGCATATGGGATTCCCACATACAGTTGTTTCTAAAGACTACCCCTTGGATGTCCCCCATAAAACCCAAAAATGAGCATCCTAATCTACTGAAAATCTAAAATAATTGAAGTCATCACACAAGAAGCATAGAAGTTAGGTGGCCTGCCTCCTGCCATTTTGATTATTCTGAAACACCTTTTCTTGCTCTGGGCATTAGTGCTTTGAGCAGAGGGAGATCCCTGGGCTTAGCCTCAAGAGTTGGGTTAGACTCCTGACTGCTCCTTCCCGGGTTGTAGTGCTCAATCAGCATTCATTATCATTCCCTTTTTCCTCCTTCCTAACAGAGCCTTAATTTTCTTTTTTTCTCTTTTTTCTTTTTTTTTGAGACAGAATCTCGCTCTGTTACCCAGGCTGGAGTGCAGTGGCATGATCTCGGCTCACTACAACCTCTGCCTCCCGGGTTCAAGCCTCAGCCTCCCGAGCAGCTGGGACTACAGGTGGGCACCACCATGCCCGGCTAATTTTTGTATTTTTTGGTAGAGACAGGGTTTCACCATGTTGGCCAGGCTGATCTCAAACTCCTGACCTCAAGTGATCCACTCACCTCAGCCTCCCAAAATGCTGGTATTACAGGCGTGAGGCACCACGCCTGGCCAAGAGCCTTTATTTTCATTAAGTATCCCAAGTCATCTAAGGATAATTTCATGCCTCTTGCCAATAATTGATTCAGGAATAGGTATGTGAATTAATCAAGGGCAGTGATAGGTGAGGAGAAGTTTGCTAAGGACTTTAAAGGAAAGTTTCCTAGTTTTCAAGAAAAAGCTACAGAAAGAAACAATCTCTTCCTCTGGCATTATTGTGTGCAGATTTGAGGCCCAGAACTAGAGAAACAGAGTCAGCGCAGCTAGGTATGTCAGCCCTGAAGACCACCTCTCACCTCTGAAGGTTCACACAAGTGAGCCAATATCTTTCTGCATTATTTAAACCAGTTAAGATAGATTTTTGTTAGCTGTGGCCAAAGACATTCTAACTGATACATACATACATGATTCAGCTTCTGCAGTTGTCAGCAGGTATATTAATTTCTGCCTTGCTAGTTCCTTCAGTGGTTTTGGAAAGCAAAATGATTCAGTGCATGTGAATGTGCTTTGTAAACTGTAAATTGCTATTCAAGGGCAAGCTGTTACTATTAGTAATAATTTTGCTACTAAGTCTTAGGTCTTAGATACCAATTTTGTTTCTTTCTTTTTCATTTTTATTTTTTTAGGACAGGATGTTGCTCTGTTTTTTTTTTTTTTATTTTTATTTTTTTGAGACGAAGCCTCGCTCTTGTCTCCCATGCTGGAGTGTGATGGCACGATCTCAGCTCACTGCAACCTCCGCCTCCCGGGTTCAAGCGATTCTCCTGCCTCAGCGTCCTGTGTAACTGGGATTACAGGCACCTGCCACCATGCGCGGCTAATTTTTGTGTTTTTAGTAGAGACGGGGGTTTCACCATGTTGGCCAGGCTGGTCTCAAACTCCGGACCTCAGGTGATCCACCGCGCCCGGCCTGTTGCCCAGGCTGGAGTACAGTGACATAGTAACAGCTGACCTGTTACTCAGGAGCCTCGAACTCCTGAGCTCAAGCAATCCTCCTGCCTCGGCCTTACAAAGTGCTGGGATTACAGGCATGAGCCATTGTGCCTGCCAGATACAAATTTTAATTCACTATATAAATTGTATGTCTTAGAATGTATTTAACTCATTTATTTTAAATTGATACTTCCAGTGACCTTATGAGCACTTACATATCATCATTTTACATCATATAAAGCAGTTATATATTTATAGTATCTGTTGAGGATATTTTCAGCAATTAGTTTTTATATAAAGGCCCTAAGGCCTTTTGAATAGCCATTATGTTAAAGGGTTAAAAAATGTCCACAAAATAGGGTCTTCTTACCTAAAAACTGATCTTTAGCATATCCTCTGTGTCAGTATCTACATTTGTAAGGAGGGTTTTCATAAAAATTAAGGGAGACAGTACATGTGAGGTACTCACAGCAGGACCTGAAACATAGTTACCAGCAGAATAATAACAGTTCGACCTAACACTATGTTCCAGGGATGTTCTAAGAACTTCACATTAATCGACTGGTACTGCAGAACTGTATTCTTGTTCTATTGCATTTTTAAATTTTTAAAATAGCTTTATTGCTTAAGGAAAAATGTCACATTTTTATTATTTAGACAAGATTGGGCGTGCTGAAGGTATTATGGCTGTAGACACATTTTTATTATTTAAAAAATTCAAATACAGAAAAGTATGAAGATGAAATGAAAGTCACCTCAAATTCCATCTTGTTACTTGTAGGCTGGATAAGCAACCAGGCCTTTGTGTTTACTAAGGCAGGTACACATATGTATACACACATATACACACAAGTATATATATGCACTTATAGTGTATATGTGTGTGTATATATATACATACTTATGCATACATAAGTTATTTCCATATGTACTATATACATGTCTATTTTTAGTTGGACAAAAGGAAAAACTGGCATTATTTTTTAAATTATAGTTGATTCCACATCCTAGGGTATGAAAGAAGCCAGATTTTTCATATTGTTTGGGATATTGCTTGTAAGTGGGTAGGGTCTAGTTAGGCAGCAGATACTTAAATACATATTTACTTAAATAAGGTCATACTGTCTTTTTAAATGCTCTTAATTTTTTTAAAATTTAAAGTAGCCCTTTAGTCACATAACACATCGCTATGATTTTTTACATCATAATTACTTACTTCTACCCAATTTCTCTTGTTTATTTATTATTCTCCCTAACAGCTGCCTTTTTTCTTTTATAAAAAAAAAATTTTTTTTTTTTTGAGACAGGGTCTCACTCCATCCCCAGGCTAAAATGCAATGGTGTGATCGTGGCTCACTACAATCTCAAACTCCTGGGCTCAAGTGATCCTCACAGCCTCCTGAGTAGCTGGGATTATATGCATACACCACCATACCTGGCTAATTTTTTCTTATTTTGTACAGACAGGTTCTCCCATGGAATCAACCTAAATGCCCATCAACAGTAAACTGGATAAAGAAAATGTGGTACATATACACCATGAAATACTATGCAGCCATAAAAAGGGCACAATCATGTCCTTTGCAGCAACATGGATGGAGCTGGAGGACATTATCCTAAGTGAAGCAACACAAGAACAGAAAACCAAATACTGCATGTTCTCACTTACAACTGGGAGCTAGACAATGAGAATATATGGATACTAGGAGGGGAACAACACACACTGGGGCCTACTTGAGGATGGAGGCTGGCAGGAGGGAGAGGATCAGAAAAAATACCTATCAATACTACGCATATTACCCAGATGACAAACCCCATGACACTCAGTTTACCGATATAACAAACCTACACATATACCCTTGAACCTAAAATAAAAGTAAAAAAGGGCCAGGCATGGTGGCTCATGCCTGTAATCCCAGCAGTTTGGGAGGCCGAGGCTGGCAGATCACCTGAGATCAGGAGTTCGAGACCAGCCTGGCCAACATGGTGAAACCCTGTCTCTACTAAAAATAAAAAAATACAAAAATTAGCCAGATGTAGTGGCAGGCCCCTTTAATCCCAGCTACTCAGGAGCTGAGGCCAGAGAATCCCTTGAACCTGGGAGGCAGCGGTTGCAGTGAGCCGAGATCATGCCATTGCACTCCAGTCTGGGGACAGAGTGAGACTTCATCTCAAAAAAAAAAAGGAGAGAGAGAGATTGAGAGAGAGTCCCTGCCCAGGCTGGTCTCGAACTCCTAGGCTTAAAAGATCCTCCTGCCTTGGCCTCCCAAAATGCTGGGATTATAGGCATAAGCCACAACACCCAGCCTCTTTTTAGAAGTTTCTAATTGTGGTAAAAACTCATAACAAAATTTACCATCTTAATCATTTTTTAGTATGTAGTTCAATAGTGCTAAGGGTATTCACATAGTTACTCAGCAGATTAATAGAACTTTTTCATCTCGCAAAACTGAAACTGTATACTGACCAAACAATCCCCTTTTCCTCCTCCTTCCAGGCCCTAGTAACCATCATTCTACTTCCTGTTTCTGCGAATTTGCAGCAGTCGTATATTTTATGTCAATTTATATTCTCCAGCACCTAGTATAGTCATGCTCCATAAATATTTGTTAAGTGATGAATGAATCTGTATTTGAGCTATACACAAACAAATGAAACAAGAAGAAAGTCACACAGCCTCATCTGTACTAAGGAATCAATACCCGCTGTCTTAGGCCATTCTTGCCATTGCTATAAAGAAACACCTGAGGCTGAGATTTTTTTTAACACTTCAGCAATTTGTCTAAGGTCTCAGCATTTGCAAAGTGGCAAAGTTATAATTCAAACTCAGGTGTGTCTGATTCCCAAGCTTGTCTTCTTTGTATGAGGTTATGCTGCCTACCCTAAGCTCTGCCGTCCCTCGTTTCCATAACTGGCCCCACTGAGTTCTTCACCATAGGACTCAGTCTCACTATTTTCAGATTATTCTCAGATTTATACATCTCTGGGACAGGCAATACATTTTTGGCTATGTCTTTCTCCAATTTTCGAAGTACAAGGCAAATAAACACAGTGTGTTTCCTAGGACAAGAGTCATTACCTCTCAGAAGCTTGGATTCCAAATCTAAAATCATATACTTAACTGATACTCAATGACAATGTGATTGAGAGTTCTATTTGTCAACTTGTCTAGGCTATATCGTACCTAGCCATTCAACCAAACACTGTGTCACAACCAAAGATGGTGTTGTGAAGGTATTTTGCAGATGTGATAAATATCTACAGCCAGCTAACTTTAAGGAAAGGGGATTATCCTGGATAATCTGGGTAGGATAAATCCAGTTCGTTGAAAGTCTTTAAGAGTAGAATTCAGGTTTCCCTAAGGAAAAAAGAAATTGTGTCTATGGACCAAAGTGTCCGCCTCTGCCTGAGAGTTTCTAGCCTGCCGTTCCTGATGGCCTGCCCTGCACATATCAGACTTGCCTACCTTGCCCCCATAATCACAGAAACCAATTCCTCACAATAAAGCTCTTTCCTCTCTCTCTCTCTGTGTGTGTGTGTGTGTGTGTGTGTGTATGTTTCTGTGTGTGACACAAAAAGCACCCAGGAGTGCTGAACAAACATGATTTCTTCCAACTATTAGTGTCCTGATGATAACCCCTGGGGCTAATTAGTCCCCAAGTATTCACATTGTTAACTGGATAGAGTGTCTGCAGGGACAAACCCTAGAGCCCTGGATGATAGATATGTTACCATCTCTTCCCTCTCCCTGCCTCTGATGGAGTGGGCTTTGTATTGATCTCTACACCCAACTTATCCCAGACTTAACCCTGGCCCTATCTCTCCAACACTTGCCTCATATTTCACCCTTTAGCCTGAGTCCTGAGTGATAAGTACCATCTGACTTTCCTACTACTGTGCCCAGCCTAATTTAATGGAAACCCAGTGGTTACCATTTCTGGAATTGAAATGTGTGTCCTTTAGACGCTTCAAGCGTGGCTCTGCCTGTCCCAGCTGCTTAGGCTTCTGGAGTCGTCCTTGGGAGCCAGGTCCATCTTACTGTCCAACCTTGATGGGCAGCTCTTAAGCCATCCCCATCTCACCAATTCCATGCAGCCACCAACAGAGCATCCTGCTTCCTAATCATTGCACAAGCCATGAAGGATGGCTAGAACGATCTATTCCAGCTAACCATGAGTAACCCAGCCATGGAACATACAGCCTTTTCCAAAAACGAGTAGAACCTAGTTTTCCAAAGCTGAGCTTGAAAATATTCGGCATGTGTTTGTGTGGTACATTCCCAACTTTGTGACTGAAGTTTCAGAAATCAAATTCACTTTCACCTAGCTGTGTTGCTATGTTATCTATAGTTCGTAATGATTCTGTCTCTGCAGGCAATTGCAGTATATGCTAAATTCTGTCTACTCTTTTTTTTTTTTTTTTTTTGAGACGGAGTCTCGCTCAGTTCCCCAGGCTGGAGTGCAGTGGCGCGAACTCGGCTCACTGCAAGCTCCACCTTCCGAGTTCACGCTATTCTCCCGCCTCAGCCTCCCGAGTAGCTGGGACTACAGGCGCCCGCCGCCACGCCCGGCCAGGATGGTCTCGATCTCCTGATCTCGTGATCCGCCCGCCTCGGCCTCCCAAAGTGCTGGGATTACAGGCGTGAGCCACCGCGCCCGGCCCTGTCTACTCTTAAATATCCATGAGAATGGGAGACTGTGGAGCAGATATAGAGTCTTAAAAAAATTATTCATTTTAGTCATGAATTCAACTTCCTTCACCACAAAAACTTAGATCCAAGTTGTGAACAACTACCAAGAATGACCAATCAGGGATTCCTTTTATCTCCTCACTTCTCCCCTGATGAAAGCATGTAAAGCAGTGATTGAAAGCCAACTACAAAAAGGGAGACATCCTCATTATTCCTAGACTTAATGGTGGAGATTTCTACAGACAATGGTTGTATTCTTGGCCACATCATTTAACATCCTTGAACTTCATCCAAAACTGGAAGGAACTGGACTTTTTTTCCAAGGTCCCTTTTGCCACTGAAGTCCCATGAGCCTTGAGAATCAAAGTACTGTTGAGATGTCCATTCACCCAAGGAAGGAGGAGATAAGGGCAGGCAATCAGAAGTCCTGTTTGCATGAGGTTCTCCTAAGCTCCATAGGCAGTGGCAGTGGGCTAATCGGTAAAAATATGGCCAGTACAACGTGAAGGCCCACTGCATATAATGGCAGGAAGAACTCACTCACTTTCTCTTTCCAGAAGATTTTTTTTTTTTTTTTGGAAACAGGTCTTGCTCTGTGGCACAGGCTGGAGTGCAGTGGTATAACTGGCTCACTGCAGCCTCCATCTCCCAGTCTCAAGTGATCCTCCCACCTCAGCCTCCCAAGTAGTTGGGACCACAGGCATGGGCCACAACACCACAACACCCAGTTTTTTTTTTTTTGTCTTCTAAATTTTGTACAGACAGCATCTCATGCTTCCCAGACTGATGCTGAACTCTTGAGCTGCGGCAATCCTCCTATCTTGGCCTCTCAAAGTGGTAGGATTACAGGCGTGAGCCACCATGCCCAGTTGAAAGTAAGTTGAACTAAGCAGAATTGGGCTTTGAATAGTGAAAAGGAACTGGAACAGTGTTTGCTGTTGTTTTATTTTTCTAATGGTGGTGGAAGGGACGATGCTACAGGGTAGACTTCTAAGTTCTGGATGCTGTCAGAGTCAGACAGAGAATCAGGCAGCTGCTGAGATGCCTGGGTCTTATGGAGCCCGGGCAGAAGCCCATCCTGCCCAGGTCTGTTGTGACCCGGCACTCTTGTCAGTATCACTTCGTGCTCACCCCAGCCCCACTCAAGCACCATTGGTCCACCTTAGTTTCACCTCGTCACTGCATCAGCAAAAGGGATTTTGGGACTGAGAATAAAGTTCTCCCATTAGGAGAGATGAAAGCTGCTCCAACTCTGAGGAGAGAGTCCCCGAAAAGAACAGAAACTTACCATCAGATTGAAGAGAAGGGGACGTGTTCCTTTTGCGACCATGAGCTGAGGTTGTTGAGCATGCCTGAGAGAGTGGTGCAGACTAGGGTCACAGGAATAGTGACCCCCCTCTAGCCCAGAACCTGATGAAGATAAATCTCTCCGTGTCTATAAGGATCTGGCGCAATCTGGAGAAATAAGGGTCATATGTAAATAAACCTAATTGGATTGAAGGGAACTGAGAGGATAGAAGTTAATTCCTGTAAATTTGGATTGATGCCACTAATACCTCCCAATGTAGGCCAGACCATGGGCAAGAGAATATGAATTGAGATGAATCTAAGTTTTCTGTTTTTTAAAGGCTTTAGATAGTTTTCTGACAAGTTAGATCTTCCTTAGTCATAATAGATATAAGGCCAGGCATGGTGGCTCATGCCTGTAGTCCTGTTATTGGAAAGGGGTTCTTATCCAGACCCCAAGAGAGGGTTCTTGGATCTTACACAAGAAAGAATTAGGGGCCAGTCCACAGACTAAAATGAAAGCAAGTTTATTAGGAAAGTAAAGGAATAAAGAATGGCTACTCCATAGACAGAGCAGCCCTAAGGGCTGCTGGTTGCCCATTTTTATGGTTATTTTTTGATGATATGCTAAACAAGGGGTGGATTATTCATGCCTCCCCTTTTAGACCACATAGGTATCTTCCTGACGTTGCCATGGCATTTGCAAACTGTCATGCTGCTGGCAGGAGTGTAGCAGTGAGGACAACCAGAGGCCACTCTCATCGCCATCTTGGTTTTGGTGGGTTTTGGCCAGCTTCTTTACTGCAACTTGTTTTATCAGCAAGGTCTTTATGACCTGTATTTTGTGCCAATCTCCTATCTCATCCTGTGGCTTAGAATGCCTTAACTGTCTGAAAATGCAGCCCAATAGGTCTCAGCCTCATTTTACCCAGCCCCTTTCCAAGATGGAGTTGCTCTGGTTCAAATGCCTCTGACAATCCCAGTGTTTTGGGAGGCTGAAGTGAGAGGATTGCTTGAGCCCAGGAGTTTGAGACCAGCCTGGGCAAGATAGCAAGACCCTGTCTCTAAAAAAAAAAAAAAAAATTAGCCGGGCATGGGGAGCTATGATCCTCCCACTGCACTTCAGCCTGGGTGATAGATTGTCTCTTAAAAAATAAATAAATAAATAAATAAATAAATAAATAAATAAATAAACGAATACATACCTCTATGTAGAGAACAATTGTTTTTTATTTTATTTTTATTTTTATTGAAACAGTGTCTCACTCTCTCACCCAGGCTGGATTGCAATGGCGCAATTTCATCTCACTGCAATCTCCACCTCCTGGGCTCAAGTGATCCTCCCTGCCTCCCGAGTAGCTGGGACTACAGGAACATGCCACCACACCGAGCTAACTGGCTAATTTTTGTATTTTTTAGAGACAGGGTTTTGCCATGTTGCCCAGGCTGGTCTTGAACTCCCGGATTCAAGTAATCCTCCTTCCTTGGCCTCCCAAAGTGCTGGGATTACAGCCACTATGCCCAGCCTAACAGTTGTTTTTTAAATTGAGATAAGATAATAGCATAACATAAAATTTGCCACTTAAAGCACTTTTAAATATACAGTTCTGTGACATTAAACATATTCACATTGTTGTGCAATCATCACCACTATCTATCTCCAGAACTCTTCTTGCAAAACTGAAACTTGTACCCATTACACAACAACTCATTTTGCCCTCCCACCCAGCCTGTGGCAACCACAATTCTACTTTCTGTCTCTATGAATTTGACTACCCTAGATATGTTATATAAGTGGAATCATACAGCATTTGTTCTTTGTGTCTAGCTTAATTTACTTAGCCTCGAGATTCATCTATGTTATGTTAAGAATTCCCTTCCCTTTTTAAGGCTGAATAATATTACACACACACACACACACACACACACACACACACACACACTATATTTTCTTTCTTTTTTTTTTTTTTTGAGACAGAGTTTCATTCCTGTTGCCCAGGCTGGAGTGCAGTGGTGCAATCTTGGCTCACCACAACCTCCCGCTTCTGGGTTCAAGCAGTTCTCCAGCCTCAGCCTCCCGAGTAGCTGGGATTACAGGCATGTGCCACCACACCTGGCTAATTTTGTGTTTTTAGTAGAGACACAGTTTCTCCATGTTGATCAGGCTGGTGTCGAACTCCTGATCTCAGGTGATCCTCCTGCCTCGGCCTCCTAAAATGTTGGGATTACGGGCATGAGCCACCACTCCTGGCCGCCATATTTTCTTTATCCATCCATCAGTGGACATTTGAATTGTTTCTAGCTTTTGACTACTGTGAACAATGCAGCTACAAACATTGGTGTGTAAATCTCTAAGACCTTGTTTTCATTCTTTTGGATGGAAGAATGGACTACCCAGGAGTGGAAGTCCCAAGATCAGCAGTTTGCAAGCTGTAGTATCAAGAGAACTGATAATATATTTCCACACTGAGTCCAAAGGCCTGAGAACCAGAAGAGGCAATGGTGTAAGTTCTAGTTTAAGTTCAAGTCCAAAGGCAGGGGGAAACTGACGTCCCAGGTCAAAGATCAGATCAGATACAGTGAATCCTTCCCTACTCAGCCTTTTGTTCCATTCAGGGCCTTCAATGGGTTGGATGAGGCCTACTCACATTGGGGTGAGCAATCTACTTTACTGAGTCTACTGATTCAAATGTTAATCTCATCCTGAAACACCTTCACAGACACACCCAGAATAATGTTTTATCGAATATTTGGGCACATGGTGGCCCAGTCAAGTTGTCACATAAAATTAACCATCACATATGCAAATTCTCTGTTTAATATTTTAAGGAACCACCATATTGTTTTTTATAGCAGATGTACCATTTTACTATCCCTCCAGCAATGCACAATAGTTCCAATTTCCTCACATCCTTGCCAGCTCTTGTTGTTTTCTGGTTGTTGTTGTTGTTTTTTTAATAGTAGCCATCCTAGTGCATATGAAGTATACTTCTTCCATCATGGGTATAATTTTTATTTCCCTAATGATTAGTGACATTGAGCATCTTTTTCATGTGCTTCTTGGCCATTTATATATCTTATTTGAAGAAATGACTATTCAAATCATCAATTTTTATTATTATTATGTTTTAAGTTCTAGGGCACATGTGCACCACGTGCAAGTTTCTTACATAGGTATACATGTGCCATGTTGGTTTGCTGCACCCATCAACTCATCATTTACATTAGGTATTTCTCCTAACGCTATCCCTCCCCCAGGCCCCCGCCCCACAAAAGTCCCAGTGTGTGATGTTCCCCTCCCTATGTCCATGTGTTCTCATTGTTCAATTCCCACTTATGAGTGAGAACATGCAGTATTTGGTTTTCTGTCCTTGTGATATTTTGCTGAGAATGATGGTTTCCAGCTTCATCCACGTCCCTGCAAAGGATATAAACTCATCCTTTTTTGTAGCTGCATAGTATTCCATGGTGTATATGTGCCACATTTTCTTTATTGCGCCTATTATTGATGGACATTTGGGGTTGGTTCCAAGTCTTTGCTATTGTGAATAGTGCCGCAATAAACATATGTGTGCATGTGTCTTTATAGTAGCATGATTTATAATCCTTTGGGTATATACCCAGTAATGGGATCCCTGGGTCAAATGGTATTTCTAGTTCTGGATCCTTGAGGAATCACCACACTGTCTTCCACAATGGTTGAATTAATTTACACTCCCACCAACAGTGTAAAAGTGTTCCTATTTCTCCACATCCTCTCCAACATCTGTGGTTTCCTGACTTTTTAATGATCGCCATTCTAACTGGTGTGAGACGGTATCTCATTGTGGTTTTGATTTGCATTTCTCTGATGACCAGTGATGATGACCATTTTTTCATGTGTCTGTTGGCTGCATAAATGTCTTCTTTTGAGAAGTGTCTGTTCATATCCTTTGCCCACTTTTTGATGGGTTTGTTTTTTTCTGGTAAATTTGTTTAAGTTCATTGTAGATTCTGGATATTAGCCCTTTGTCAGACGGAGAGATTGCAAAAATTTTCTCCCATTCTGTAGGTTGCTGTTCACTCTGATGGTAGTTTCTTTTGCTGTGCAGAAGCTCTTTAGTTTAATTAGATCCCATTTGTCAATTTTGGCTTTTGTTGCCATTGCTTTTGGTGTTTTAGTCATTAAGTCCTTGACCATGCCTATGTCCTGAATGGTATTGCCTAGGTTTTCTTCTAGAGTTTTTATGGTTTTAGGTCTTATATTTAAGTCTTTAATCCATCTTGAGTTAATTTTTGTATAAGGTGTAAGGAAGGGATCCAGTTTCAGCTTTCTGCATATGGCCAGCCAGTTTTCCCAACACCATTTATTAAATAGGGAATCCTTTCCCCGTTGCTTGTTTTTGTCAGGTTTGTCAAAGATCAGATGGTTGTAGATGTGTGGTGTTATTTCTGAGGCCTCTGTTCTGTTCCACTGGTCTATATATCTGTTTTGATGCCAGTACCATGCTGTTTTGGTTACTGTAGCCTTATAGTATAGTTTGAAGTCAGGTAGCGTGATGCCTCCAGCTTTGTTCTTTTTGCTTAGGATCATCTTGGCTACTTGGGCTCTTTTTTGGTTCCATATAAAATTTAAAGTAGCTTTTTCCAATTCTGTGAAGAAAGTCAGTGGTAGCTTGATGGGGATGGCATTGAATCTATAAATTACTTTGGGCAGTATGGCCATTTTCACAATATTGATTCTTCCTATCCATGAGCATGGGATAGTCTTCCATTTGTTTGTGTCCTCTTTTATTTCATTGAGAAGTGGTTTGTAGTTCTCCCTGAAGAGATCCTTTGCATCCCTTGTAAGTTGGATTCCTAAGTATTTTATTCTCTTTGTAGTAATTGTGAATGGGAATTCACTCATGATTTGGCTCTCTGTTTGTCTCTTATTGGTGTATAGGAATGCTTGTGATTTTTGCACATTGATTTTGTATCCTGAGACTTTGCTGAAGTTGCTTATCAGCTTAAGGAGATTTTGGGCTGAGACGATGGGGTTTTCTAAATATACAATCATGTCATATGCAAATAGAGACAATTTTACTTCCTCTTTTCCTAATCGAATACCCTTTATTTCTTTCTCTTGCCTGATTACCCTGGCCAGAACTTCCAATACTATGTTGAATAGGAGTGGTGAGAGAGAGCATCCTTGTCTTGTGCTGGTTTTCAAAGGGAATGCTTCCAGTTTTTGCCCATTCAGTATGATATTGGCTGTGGATCTGTCATAAATAGCTCTTATTATTTTGAGATACATTCCATCAATACCTAGTTTATTGAGAGTTTTTAGCATTAAAGGCTGTTGAATTTTGTCAAAGACCTTTTCTGCATCTATTGAGATAATCATGTGGTTTTTGTCATTGGTTCTGTTTATGTGATAGATTACATTTATTGATTTGCATGTGTTGAACCAGCCTTGCATCCCAGGGATGAAGCCAACTTGATCGTGGTGGATAAGCTTTTTGATGTGCTGCTGGATTTGGTTTGCCAGTATTTCACTGAGGATTTTCGTATCAATGTTCATCAGGGATATTGGTCTAAAATTCTCTTTTTTGTTGTTGTGTCTCTGCCAGGCTTTGGTATCAGGATGATGCTGGCCTCATAAAATGAGTTAGGGAGGATTCCCTCTTTTTCTATTGATTGGAATAGTTTCAGAAGGAATGGTACCAGCTCCTCTTTGTACCTCTGGTAGAATGTGGCTGTGAATCCATCTGGTCCTGGACTTTTTTTTTTGGTTGGTAGGCTACTAATTATTGCCTCAATTTCAGAACCTGTTATTGGTCTATTCAGAGATTCAACTTCTTCCTGGTTCAGTCTTGGGAGGGTGTATGTGTCCAGGAATTTATCCATTTCTTCTAGATTTTCTAGTTTATTTGCATAGAGGTGTTTATGGTATTCTCTGATGGTAGTTTGTATTTCTGTGGGATCAGTGGTGATATCCCCTTTATCATTTTTTACTGTGTCTATTTGATTCTTCTCTCTTTTCTTCTTTATTAGTCTTGCTAGTGGTCTATCAATTTTGTTGATCTTTTCAAAAAACCAGCTCCTGGATTCATTGATTTTTTGAAGGGTTTTTCTTTTTTTTTTTGTCTCTATCTCCTTCAGTTCTGCTCCTTATCTTAGTTATTTCTTGCCTTCTGCTAGCTTTTGAATTTGTTTGCTCTTGCTTCTCTAGTTCTTTTCATTGTGATGTTAGGGTGTCGATTTTAGATCTTTCCTGCTTTCTCTTGTGGGCATTTAGTGCTATAAATTTCCCTCTACACACTGCTTTAAATGTCTCCCAGAGATTCTGGTATATTGTGTCTTTGTTCTCATTGGTGTCAAAGAACATCTTTGTTTCTGCCTTCATTTCATTATTTACCCAGTAGTCATTCATGAACTAGTTGTTTGATTTCCATGTAGTTGTGCAGTTTTGAGTAAGTTTCTTAATCCTGAGTTCTAATTTGATTGCACTGTGGTCTGAGAGACAGTTTGTTGTGATTTCTGTTCTTTTACAGTTGCTGAGGAGTGTTTTACTTCCAATTATGTGGCCAATTTTAGAATAAGTGTGATGTGGTGCTGAGAAGAATGTATATTCTGTTGATTTGGGGTGGAGAGTTCTGTAAATATCTATTAGGTCCACTTGGTCCAGAGCTGAGTTCAAGTCCTGGATATCCTTGTTAATTTTCTGTCTCATTTGTTTGTCTAATATTGACAGTGGGGTGTTAAAGTCTCCCATTATTATTGTGTGGGAGTCTAAGTCTCTTTGTAGGTCTTTAAGAACTTGCTTTATGAATCTGGGTGCTCCTGTATTGGGTGCATATATATTTAGGATAGTTAGCTCTTCTTGTTGCATTGATCCATTTACCGTTATGTAATGGCCTTCTTTGTCTCTTTTGATCTTTGTTGGTTTAAAGTCTGGTTTATCAGAGACCAGGATTGCAACTCCTGGGTTTTTTGTTTTTGTTTTCCATTTGCTTAGTAGATCTTCCTCCATCCCTTTATTTTGAGCCTATGTATGTCTTTGCATGTGAGATGGGTCTCCTGAATACAGCACACTGATGGGTCTTGACTCTTTATCCAATTTGCCCGTCTGTATCTTTTAATTGGGGCATTTAGCTCATTTAAATTTAAGATTGATATTGTTATGTGTGAATTTGATGCTGTCATTATGATGCTAGCTGGTTATTTTGCCCGTTAATTGATGCAGTTTCTTCATAGCATTGATAGTCTTTACAATTTGGCATGTTTTTGCCGTGGCTGGTACTGGTTGTTCCTTTCCATGTTTAGTGCTTCCTTCAGGAACCGTTGTAAGGCAGGCCTGGTGGTGACAAAATCTCTCAGCATTTGCTTGTCTGTAAAGGATTTTATTTCTCCTTCACTTATGAAGTTTTGTTTGGCTGGATATGAAATTCTGGGTTGAAAATTCTTTTCTTTCAGAATGTTGAATATTGGCCGCCACTCTTTTCTGGCTTGTACGTTTTCTGCCGAGAGATCCACTATTAGTCTGATGGGCTTCCCTTTGTGGGTAACCCGACCTGTCTCTCTGGCTGCCCTTAACATTTTTTCTTTCATTTCGACCTTGGTGAATCTGAGAATTATGTGTCTTGGGGTTGCTCTTCTCAAGGAGTATCCTTGTGGTGTTCTCTGTATTTCCTGAATTTGAATGTTGGCCTGCCTTGCTAGGTTGGGGAAGTTCTCTTGGATAATATCCAAGAAGAGTGTTTTCTAACTTGCTTCCATTCTCCCCGTCACTTTCAGGTACACCAATCAAATGTACATTTGGTCTTTTCACATAGTCCCATATTTTTTGGAGGCTTTGTTCATTTCTTTTCACTCTTTTTTCTCTAATTTTGTCTTCCTGCTTTTTTTCATTAATTTGATCTTCAATCACTCATATTCTTTCTTCCGCTTGATCAATTCGGCTATTGAAGCTTGTGCATGCTTCATGAAGTTCTCGTACTGTGGTTTTCAGCTCCATCAGGTCATTTAAGCTCTTCTCTACACTGGTGATTCTAGTTAGCCATTCATCTAACTTTTTTTCAAAGTTTTTAGCTTCCTTGCGATGGGTTAGAACATACTCCTTTAGCTCGGAGAAGTTTGTTATTACCGACCTTCTGAAGCCTACTTCTGTCAACTCATCAAAGTCATTCTCTGTCCAGTTTCGTTTGCTTGCTGGAAAGTTGTGTTCCTTTGAAGGAGAAGAGGCATTCTGGTTTTTGGAATTTTCAGCCTTTCTACTCTGGTTTCTCCCCATCTTTGTGGTTTTATCTACCTTTGGTCTTTGATGTTGGTGACCTACGGATGGGGTTTTGGTGTGGATGTCCTTTTTGTTAATGTTGATGCTATTCCTTTCTGTTTGTTAGTGTTCCTTCTAACAGACAGGCCCCCCGGGTGCAGGTCTGTTGGAGTTTGCTCGAGGTCCATTACAGACCCTGTTTGTCTCGGTATCACCAGCAGAGGCTGCAGAACAGCAAATATTGCTGCCTGATCCTTCCTCTGGAAGCTTCATCCCAGAGGGGCCCCTGCCTGTATCAGGTGTCTGTCAGACCCTACTGGGAGGTGTCTCCCAGTCATGCTATACAGGGGTCAGGGACCCACTTGACAAGGCAGTCTGTCTGTTATTGGAGCTCGAATGTCATGCTGGGAGAACCACTGCTCTCTTCAGAATTGTCAGGCAGGGTTGTTTAAGTCTGCAGAAGCTGTCTGCTGCCTTTTGTTCAGATATGCCCTGCCCCCAGAGGTGGAATCTAGAGAGGCAGTGGGCCTTGCTGAACTGTGGTGGGCTCCACCCAGTTCAAGCTTCCCTGCCACTTTGTTTATACTGTGAGCATAGAACCACCTACTCAAGCCTCAGCAATGGCGGATCTCCCCATCCCTACCAAGCTCCAGCATCCCAGGTCGATCTCAGACTGCTGCACTAGCAGCGAGCAAGGCTCTGTGGGCATAGGACCCGCCAAGCCAGGCACAGGAGGGAATCTCCTGGACTGCCAGTTGCAAAGACCATGGGAAAAGCACAGTATTTGGGCTGGAGTGTACCATTCCTCCAGGTACAGTCACTCATGGTTTCCCTTAGCTAGGAAAGGGAAATCCCCTGACCCCTTGAACTTCCCGGGTGAGGTGATGCCCTGCCCTGCTTCGGCTCACCCTCTGTGGGCTGCACCCACTGTCCAACCAGTCCCAATGAGATGAACCAGGTACCTCAGCTGGAAATGCAGAAATCACCCGTCTTCTGCGCCAATCTCGCTGGGACCTGTAGACCGGAGTTGTTCCTATTTGGCCACCTTGAAAGTGACCCTAAATCATCAATTTTTTAATTGGATTGCTTGGTTTCTTTGGTGTGGTTGAGTTATAGGAGTTCTTTCTATATTCTAGATGCTAATCTCTTATCAGATAAATGATTTGCAAATATTTTCTCCTAAAAACAATTGTTCAAGTTGACATGTTGATATAGTTTGAATGTATATTCCCACCAAATTTCATGCTGAATGATAACCCCCAATGTTGGAGGTGGGGTCTGGTGGGAGGTGTTTGGATCATGGGGGCAGATCTCTCATGAATGGCTTGGGCCATCCTCTTTGGTAATAAATGATCTCTTGGTCTGAGATCTGGTTGTTTAAAAGTGTGTGGCATGGCCCCTACTCTTGTGCTTACTCTTGTTCCCGCCATGTCATGTGCCTGCTCGCCCTTTGCCTTCCACCATGATTGGAAGCTTCCTAAGACCTCCCAAGAAGCAGATGCTGATATGCTTCCTGTGCAGCCTGCAGAATTATGAGCCAATTAAATATATTTTCTCTATAAATTATACAGTCTCAGGTCTTTCTCTTTCTTTCTTTTCCTTCCTTCCTTCCTTCTCTCTCTTTCTTCTCTGTCTTTCTTTCTTTCTCTTTTTCTCTCTTCTTTCTCTTTCTCTTTCTTTTCTTTTCTTTCCTTTTCTTTCTTTCGAGACAAGATCTCACTCTGCCACCCAGGCTGGCGTGCAATGGCTTGCTCATAGCTCACTGCAGACTTGATTTCCTAGGCTCAAGCAATCCTCTTGCTTCACCTTCCCAAGTAGCTGAGACTATCTGGGTAGGTGTGAGCTATGAGGTGTGAGCCACCACGCCCAGATAATTTTTAAACTTTTTGTAGAGATGGGTTTTTGCTATGTTGCCCAGGCTGTTCTCAAATGCCTGGCCTCAAGCAATCCTGGCCCCGTAAAGTCCTACAATTACAGCCGAGATCCGCCATGCTCTATTTCTCTATTGCAATGCAAGAAGGGCCTAACATACATGTCTTAATTGTTTTTTAAGCCAGAAGACATGTCATCAACAAAATTCATATGTTCAAGCCTTAACGTTCAATGTGACTATATTTAGACATAGAGCCTATGAGAAGGTGATAAAGGTTAAATGACATCATAAGGGTTAGACCCTAATCCTATAGAACTGATGCCCTTATAAGAAGAGACAGAGCAGCCGGGCGCAGTGGCTCATGCCTGTAATCCCAGCACTTTGGGAGGCCAAGGTGGGGAGATCACTTGAGGTCAGGAGTTTGAGACCAGCCTGGCCAACATGGTGAACCTCCATCTCTATTAAAAAAATGCAAAAACTAGCTGGGCGTGGTGGTGGGCACCTGTAGTTCCAGCTACTCGGGAGCCTGAGGCAGGAGAATTGCTTGAACTGGGAGATGGAGGTTGCAGTGAGCCGAGATCACGCCACTGCACTCCAGCCTGGGCAACAGAGCAAGACCCTGTCTAAAAAAAAAAAAGAGGCAGAGCCTGGGTACAGCAGCTCACATCTGTAATCCCACACTTTGAGAGGCTGAGGTGAGAGGATCACTTGAGGCCAGGAGTTCAAGACCAGCCTGAGCCACAAAGTGAGATCCTGTCTCTATAAAAAATAAAACTTAGCCAGGTGTGGTAGTGTGTGCCTGTAGTGGCAGCTACTCAGGAGGCTGAAGCTGGAGGCTCATTTGAACCCAGGAGTTGGAGGTTGCAGTGAGCTATGATTGCACCACTGTACTCCAGCCTGGGCAACAGAGTGAGACCCTGTCTCAAAAAAAAAAAAACAAAAAAAAAACCCTAAAAAAAAAAAAAGCAGAACAGGCAGAGGTACAAGGCTCTTGGTCTGTCTGTCTGTCTGTCTGTCTGTCTCTCTCTCTCTGTCTTTCTCACTCTCTGTCTCTACCATGTGAGGACACAGTGAAAAACAGGCCATCTGCAAGCCAGGAAGAAGGCCCTCACCAAGAACAAAACCAGCTGATATCTTGATCTTGGACTTTTCAGCCTCCAGGAATGGGAGAAATAAATTTTTGTTGCTTAAGCCACCCAATCTGTGGTATTTTGTTATGGCAGCCCAAGCTGACTACTATGACGTATATTTTATGATTAAACTAGTGATACATGCTGATGGGACAGTTTCAACAAACATAAAAGGAATAAAGAAGTAAAAATCATTTGAAACCCTGAAACCCGGAGATAATCATGTTATGTTATGCATCCTTCCAGGCTTCTTCCTATGCATGTAGAAAACTTTTCACAATCCAGATGCTGTTTTGTAACCTTTTCTTAGCAATAAACACAAGTGTACATGATGGTTTTGTTTTGGTTTGTTTGGTTTTTTTGAGACGGAGTTTTGCTCTTGTTGCGCAGGCTAGAGTACAATGGCGTGACCTTGGCTCACTGCAACCTCTGCCTCCCGGGTTCAAGCAATTATCCTGCCTCAGCCTCCTGAGTAGCTGGGATTACAGGCATGCGCCACCATGGCCGGCTAATTTTGTATTTTTAGTAGAGATGGGGTTTCTCCATGTTGGTCAGGCTGGTCTTGAACTCCTGACCTCAGGTGATCTGCCCACCTCAGCCTCTCAAAGTGCTGGGATTACAGGCACGAGCCACCACGCCCGGCCACGTGGTCGTTTTAATGCACTGCAAAATACTCCACTGAACAGATCTACCATAATGTATTTAATCAGTCCCCTAGTGATAGAGATGTAGGTGATTTCTAATTTATCATTATTGTAAACAATGCTTCATGAAGGCCTTTTATGTATATCTTTGCATGTTTGTCCAATTTGTTCAGTGGGATGAATTCCCAGAAATTAAATTTCTGGGCCAAAGGATATGCTTATTTAAAATGTTGACATCCTGTATATTGCCAAATTACCTTCCAGAAAGGCTGAACCAATTTATACTCCTACTGTGCATGAGAGTGCCCACTGCTCCACACCCTTGCCAAACTGGCATGCTTTCAACAGCAGTAAAAATAGGTTCTTGTCTGCTTTTCTCCTATGAGTCCTACCAAGTGCATGATGTGAAAGTGAATGAGAGGAATATAAAGTTGACAGATGGGAGGTATTTTGGTCACTGTAATGTTTTATCTAAAGCACACCATTTTCCTCTCAAAACAAGTGTGATAGATAAGCCCCCTTCATTTTTTAGTACAAGTTCTAGGACATAATTTCCTAAATGGATTGATTCCTTAGAGAATGAATGTCTCTGAGGATGTGGAAATTATTCAAGCCAAATGTGCTTTGGGCTGATAGAGGATATACAATTTTGACATAGCAGTATCTATGTGACCTCTTTTTTAAAGATGCAAAGTATAATATTTTTGCCCTGTGCTATCCAAAGTGTCATACTGCAGCCTACTCTGAATGTACTCATTCATTTGCCTGAAGTTCCCACAGAGAAAAGTTTTCTCTGACTTTGTTTTATATTGAAAAAGTTTTTTAATTGAAGTATAATTTACACACAATATGAATAATTTTTCTCTTTAAAATCTGATTGTGAATAACTGCAACCTTCATAGATAACCTTTCATTACATTAAATGAGAGAGAAAAGCTCTTTTTTTTCCTCGAGACAGAGTCTCACTCTGTTGCCCAGGCCGGAGTGCAATGGTGCAATCTCGGCTCACTGCAACCTTTGTCTCCTGGGTTGAAGCCATCCTCCTGTCTCAGCCTCCCAAGCAGCTGGGATTACAGGGGTACGCCACCACACTCAACTAATTTTTGTATTTTTAGTAGTGACAGGACTTTACCATGTTGGCCAGGCTGATCTCAAACCCCTGACCTCAGCTGATGCTCCTGCCTCAGCCTCCCAAAGGGCTGGAATTACAGGTGTGAGCCTTCGTGCCCAGCAGAAAAGCTTATAATTAAACACACACTCTTTGAAAAGCACAGAGAAAAGAGAATGGAGTTTTACATGCAGCTATTTCACTCCTTAGTTGTATGGTCTGAAGCACATAATTTAGCACAATACGCTTCTTTTACTCTCATCTGATAAACTAGCAAAATGAAATCTACACTACCTTCTCCATAGAGATGTTGGAAGCACATCCAATATCTCTAGGAAGGTCCTTAGCACTATAGTGAGTTAAATTATATATATTTTTAAAAATGTGCATCCAGTCAAATATATCTAATCTACTTGTATCTGATCTTAAAGTTTTTGTGCTTGAGGGGAATGTATTTCTTTTTCAAATGAAAACATGTTGATCAGATAAATGTTTACGATGGAAAATTATCCTTTTGTTTTGGCATTAATGTCAATTAAAAGCATTCTGAAACTGTTCAGCTTCACTGATGATATTAATGAACCTTACATGAGAAAAAGCCAGAAAATAATTAGCATAATTATAAAATGTGAACTGTACATTAATAATTCTCTTTGTTTTTTCCCTTTTAGCCACTTAATAAATTGTGTGTATCAAATTATTATAAATGTGGTACTTCTGATGTTAGCAGAATTATGTTTTAAAAGGCATAACAATAATATTTGTTTAATTTAGAAAAAAGAAAGATCACTTTACATCCTGTTATCCTAGTGATACTGTGAATACAATTGGTTAATGCAAATATAATTCATACTACTGAATTGTACACTTAAAAATGGTAAGATGATAAATTTTATCATCTTTATAAATTTTCAAATTTATATTCTAATATCGTCTTTCTTTTTATTTATTTATTTAGAGACAGGGCTTGCTCTTTCACCCACCTGGCCAGAGTGCAGTGGCACTATCATAGCTCACTGTAGCCTTGACCTCCTGGGCTCAAGCCATCCTTCTGCCTCAGCCTCCCTAGTAGCTAGGACTATAGGCTCTCAGCACCACACCCGGCTAATTTTGTTTTGTTGCTTTGGTAGAGATGAGTTCTCTCCATGTTGCCCAGGCTGGTCTGAGATTCCTGGTCTCAAGCCCTCCTGCCTTGGCATCCCAAAGCACTGGGATCACAGGCATGAGAGCCTTGCCCTAATGTGCCTGCCTGTCTGCCTGCCTTCCTTCCTTCCTTCCTTCCTTCCTTCCTTATTTCTTTCTTCCTTCCTCTTTTTTTTTTCTTTTTTTTTTTTTTGAGACAGAATCTTGCTCAGTCGCCCAAGCTGCAGTGCAGTCGCACAATCTTGGCTCACTGCAACTTCTGCTTCCCGGGTTCAAGCAATTCTGGTGCCTCAGCCTCCCAAGTAGCTGGGATTAGAGGCACGCACCACCATGCCTGGCTAATTTTTGTATTTTCAGTAGAGACAGGGTTTCACCATGTTGGCCAGGCTGGTCTCAAACTCCTAGGCTCGAGCAATCCACCTGCCTGAGCCTCTCAAAGTGCTGGGATTACAGGTACCCAGCTTTTCTTTCAACACACTGGTTAGGGGTGAATGCTTATCCCCTCAGCTCTCTGTCTGCTCCCCACGAGTGACAGCTTGGGATGCTTGGGCTTCTTCCCTTGTCTCACTCTCTCCTCGGGAAAAAGCACCTTCTTTGGCAAGATTGAGGGAAAGAATTGCTAAATGTGTGACTCAGCCCCTCTTTCTCTCTGAGTGGCCAGACCTTAAGGACTTGACTTACCTTGCAATAAGTTTCCTAGAGTAAGCCCTGCCCTGCAAAAAGGACTGAAGTTAGAAGAGGTTTATTTTAATTCAGGGAAGTGAGTATCAGTAAGCCCATTTGGCCACAGACTATGCCACATTCTCCAACCAGCTTTATTAGCTGTGAACTAATGTTTTTTAAAAAATAATTTTTATTGTGGTTTAAAAAAATAGATGACATAAAATTTATCATCTTACCATTTTTAAGTGTACAATTCAGTAGTATTAATTATATTTGCATTAACCAATCTCTACCAGTCTCCAGAACTTTTTCCTCTTGCAAAGCTGAAACTCTATATCCATTAATCAACAATTCATCATTTTCCCCTCCTTCCAGCCGTTGGCAACCACCATTCTACTTTCTGTGTCTATGATTTTCACTACTCTAGATACCTCATAGGAGTGGAACCATGCAGTGTTTGTCCTTTTTGTGACTGGCTCATTTCACTTAGCATGATGTCTTCAAGGCTCATCCATGTTGTAGCATGGTGTCAGAACTTCCTTCCTTTTTAAGACTGACATTTTGAGCTCCCAGATTCCCTGCTTCTATGTCTCCACTGACTCAAAACTGAGAGCTAGAGGGAGGGTGTAACTAATTTTCATCCCCTCAAGCCCCATCCAACTGGATAATAGTGTGTTGTGGTAGACATCTATTGTTTTCTCTGGCCAGGGTCAAATAGCAAATCTGGACAGAGGTAAAGTGAGACTTTACTCAAAAGGGTTATTGCAGTAAGAGGAAGAGGACTATTATAATAGAGAGAATGCTCTGATGGTCAACTGTAAGATCTGCAAGCATCTCCAAGACCAGGCAGAAAAGGGCTTTTCTTTTACAGGGAGGAGGAAAGCAGGCTGGAAGGAAGCAGGTGAGGTCTACCAGGATGAGCAGGTTATCCTGCGGTGCGTCAGGGAACAGTTCCCCCTGCTGGGTACGCTAGTCTCAGTAGGGGCCATTAAGGAGGGCTTGTTCCTAGCTCTAATGTTTAAGGGTGGGCCAAGTTCAGGGACTTGGAAGAATGACAGAGGCCTGACTAAAGTTTAGCCCAGTTAGCAGGCATTTTGTCCAGATTGGCCTGTGGAAACAAACAGGTCAGCTAATCATTTATGAGTCAAAGAATGGGAAATTAGAGGATCTCTATATGGCTTTGTCATAGTTAGACAAGGGGGTCACTCCAAGTCTCTAAGTCGTATGGGGAAGGGCAATTATTTGCTGTAAGTCATTTCCTGGAACACAAAGGTTGGAGGGAGGCTGGGCGCAGTGGCTCATGCCTGTAATCCCAGCACTTTGGGAGGCAGAGGCAGGCAGATCATTTGAGGTCATGAGTTTGAAACCAGATGGCCAACATGGCAAAACCCCGTCTTTACTAAAAATACAGAAATTAACCGGCGTGATGGTGTGCACCTGTAGTCCTAGCTACTTGGGAGACTGGGGGAGGAGAATCACTTGAACCCAGGAGACGGAGGTTGCAGTGAGCCAAGATCTCACCACTGCACTCCAGCCTGGGCAACAGAGCAAGACCTTGTCTCAAAACAAAACAAAACAAAACAAAAAAGTTGGAGGGAGATGGTTTCCTGATCCTTGCTGTTTTCCAGGGGCACAGGGCTTGACGTTGTCACTAATACCCTTTCCTACTCCAGGTGTTGACAGAACCCCTCTTTCTCATGGAAAATCCACCTCACTTATTTTGAGTGAGGCTGATCCCACTTTCTACTCATACGGATGGACATGTGGCCCAGGCCTTGCCAATTCAAATCACTTATTCTCTGATTAGTATTATTGCTCCAGCAAATATGTAGATGCTCCAAGCAGTACCGATCAGTCTCTCCTGAGATTTGATCATGTAGATGCTGGGAGAGAACCCTGATATGAACCCAGCCATGCCTAGCTTAGGTCTACCTCCAGACTTCCCAGTTATGTGAACAAATAAAACCCCTCTTTGCTTAACTGTGTGATTCTTTTGTTATCCCCCACCCCACAAATAACTATGTTGTGGGCACTGAGGCCTTGTTGGCTTGGGGTGTTTGAAGGATCCTGGCTACCTCTGATTCTGGAGGATTTCAAGGGTCTTATTTTAGTTCCAACAGTGAGACTGTTGACTGCAGAGTTGTGGCTCTATTTCAAGCTTGAGTAATTTCATCTGCCCTCCTTGAAAAATTTTACTGCAAGATATTTAATATTCTTTCTTCCTTCATAGACTTCTAAACATCATGGAATCTCCTTGATCATGTTTCACTATTCAAAGGTAAGTCCTGGCTGGATGCAGTGGCTCATGCCTGTAATCCCAAAACTTTGGGAGGCCAAAGCAGGTGAATCCCTTGAGCCCAGGAGTTTGAGACCAGCCCAGGCAACATAGGGAGAGCCTGTCTCTACAAAAAGTTTAAAAATTAGCTGGGTGTGGTGGCGTGTGTCTATAGTCCCAGCTACTCAGGAGGCTGAGGTGGGATGATTGCTTGATCCCAGGAGATGGAGGCTGCAGTGAGCCAAGAGGTCTCACCCCTGCTTTGGAGGGAAAAAATATAGTATCCCAACATAAATTTTTTAAAAAAATCCTGTTTTTCCTTTAAAAAATAAGCTGTAATGCCCTAGATGTTAAATTGATTTTCAAGTTATTATTATTATTTTTAATAGAAATGGGATCTCATGCTGTCCCCAAGCTAGAGTGCAGTGGTATAATCATAGCTCACTGCAGCCTCAAACTCTTGGGCTCAAGAGATCCTCCTCCCTCAGTAGCTAGGACTACAGGTGCATGCCACCATGCCCAGCTAAGTTTTGTTTTGTTTTGTTTTTGGTCTGGTAGAGATAAGGATCTGAATATGTTGGTTTAGGAACACCTGGCCTCAAACGATCCTCCTGCCTCGGCCTCCCAAAGCACTGAGATTACAGGCATGAGCCACCACACCAGGCCTCGAGTTCTTTTTGATAAATTATATGAACAATAGATTAACATAAAGAATGGAAGGAATCGTTTTTGCGAGTTTTCAGGGATAGTGCATGAAAAGGCCTCATAGAAGAAATAAAATGGGGACACTCATATAAACCACAAAGCTTTAGTTTACATTTGACATTTTCCCAACTTCAACAGATAGATCTACTTAATGACTAGATTGATCTGGTAAATTAGAAAAGTCATGAAATGGATCATGAAAATGATTTAAAATGTTTTAATTATGGAAGGGAAAAAATAAGAAATAGCAGCTAATCTTCCTAAGTAAATGTGAAAAAAAAAAAAAAGGTAATTTAACAAATATTCCTGGAATGCCACTTATGTGCTAGTCACTGGGGATATAGCAATGAACAACACAGACAAAATTTTCTGCCGTCATGAATCTTCTAGTAAAAAATGCACCAATAAAATAAAATGATGAATCTCCAAGAATAAACAACATTTGTGTTCCCAAGGCAAGGGAGCCTTTCACTGACTTGACATTTTGCTGCTCTCTGTTTGCTGGAAATTGCCCTATACCAGCCTGGGCAACATGACAAAACCCCATCTCTACCAAAACCACAAAAATTAGCCAGGCATGGTGGTGCATACCTGTGGTCCCAGCTACTCAGGAGGTTGAGATGGGAGGATCACTTGAGCCCAAGAGGTTGAGATCGCAGTGAGCTGAGATCACGCCACTGCACTCCAGCCTGGGTGACAAAGCAAGACTCTGAAAAAAAAAAAAAAAAAAAGAAGGAAGGAAGGAAGGAAAAATAAATTGTACTATACCAAAATGTTACAGTGTTCATCTCTGAGTGATTTTTTTATTTCTCCTTAATATTCTTCTGCATTTTCCAAATTTTCTACAATAAGCTTCTATTACTTTTTAATCAGAGAAGTAACTTATTAGGGGGAAAAAACCCTAATAAACTAGAAGTTGAAATCCTTCAGTGCAGAGGGCTGACCTGAATACTTGCCTTTGGCACCTTCCTGAACTGAAAAAGTCTAAAAAGCAGGACTTGTTGCTTTCACTTTGGGTAACTGTCCCCCTCCCTCCTCTCATTCTTGAGCTTTCCTGATGTATCCTAAAGCAATTTGTTTTATAGTATCACATACCTTTTTTTTTGTTCACTTTTAAACATTCTGGGTGCCTAGAGCCTTGTCTCTTTCTTGCCTCTCTCTCTCTTCTTCCTGACTACCTGGTTCTTCTGACCTTTTCTCTACAAAGATCACCACTGTTCTACCTCTCTGTGGACCAGATAAACCCTATTACTCCACATTGCCCTTGTCCCTTCCAAGTCTAACTACCACTTTTCAACAAACTGAACTCTCTCTCGGTTACTATGGCATCCCCTGAAAAAATGTCAGTCAAAGCTTTCTCCTATACGCTTACATTTCTAAAAGTTGTTTAACAAATTTACGAAAGAATTTTTTTAGCCCCTGATGGGCCGAAGCATTATGTTACAGTCTTTGAGAACTTAAGGTCATAATAGATAATTCTTTCATTTTGTTTTTTATAATTGGTTTAATCAGAATTTTATTGTTACAATCAATAGTTGCTTTACTTTTCTCTCTCTTTAGTTTAAAGAAATCCCTAGCAGTTTCCCTATTTTTTTTTATTGGTTCTTAGTATGAAAGTTGCATTGACTTTTTTTTTTTTTTTTTTTTTTTTTTGAGATGGAGGTTTGCTCTTGTCGCCCAGGCTGGAGTGCAATGGTGTGATCTCTGCTCACTGCAACCTCTGCCTGCCGGGTTCAAGCGATTCTCCTGCCTCAGCCTCCCAAGTAGCTGGGATTACAGGTGCCTGCCACCATGCCAGGTTAATTTTTTGTAGTTTTAATAGAGACAGGGTTTCACCATGTTGACCACGCTGGTCTCAAACTCCTGACCTCAGGTGATGCACCTGCCTCAGCCTCCTAAAATGCTGGGATTACAGGTGTGAGTCACCACACACAGCCACATTGACTTTTATCAATGTAAAGGGAGAAGTCACTTGATATTTAGGTAAATTGTTTAATAGTATTTTATCTACTTTTTTCAAATTGGTAAGGTGTATTTTTCATGCCTTAAAAATGTCTTTATTGAAGTATAACATACAGTAAAATACATTTAGTGTATTTAGTGAGCTTTAGTGTACAACTCAGTTTTTTTTTTTAACATAGGTATATTCCCATTTAACCACCACCAGCTCAAGACACAGAACACTCCCAGCAACCCCACAATTTCTCTTATCTCTTCCCAGTCAATATCCTCTTGCCCCATACTCCTAGCCTACTCTTGCCAGAATAGTTACCACTATTCTGACTTCTATCACCATTTATAAGTTTTGCCTATTTTTAAACTTGAAATAAACAGAACCACCCAGTATTTACTCTTTTGTTTTGGCTTCTGTAACTCAACATTATTTTCCTGTTCAGTTGCGTCATCATTTTTTTCTTTTTTATTACTGTATGGTATTCCATTAAATAAATATACTTCAATTTATATATCTATTCTCCTGTTGATGGACATTTAGGGGTTTTTCGATTTTTTAGTATGATGAGAAAAGTTATTACAAACATTCTTGTACATGTCTGTTGGTGGACATATGCACTCATTTCTCTTGGGTATATACCAAGGGGTGGAATTGCTGGGTCGTAGAGTAGACATACTTCTACTTTTGGTAAAATTCTTAACATATTTGCATGGCACAAAATTCAGCAGGCACAAAAGAGTGTACAGTGAAAAGTCTCTCTCTTATCTACATCTCAGTTCTACAGTTCTCTTCTCCAGAGGAAACCATATTACCAGTTTCTTACGGAAACATACTTTGTATATAGAAGTATATGTATGTATAGTCTTGTGTTTTACACCAAAGCTACTACACAATCCAAACTCCTTTACACCTTACTTCTTTCACTAAACAATTTATCTTTGGGATTAGTCTATATTAGTAACGTTGAACTGCTTCATTCCATTAAAGCAGCGGCCCTCAAACTTTTTGGCACAAGGCACTGGTTTTGTGGAAGACAGTTTTTCCACAGAGGTCAGGGGCTGGGGAGATGGTTTTGGGATGAAACTGTTCCACCTCAGATCATCAGGCATTAGATTCTCATAAGGAACACACAACCTAGATTCCTCACATGTGCAGTTCACAAACGGGTCCGTGCTCCTATGAGAATTTATTACTGCCTCTCATCTGACAGAATTCGGAGCTCAGGCCGTAATGCTGGCTCACCTGCTACTCACTTCCTGCTGTGCAGCCTGGTTCCTAACAGGCCATGGACCCGTACCAGTCCATGGCCCAGAGGTTGGGACCCCTGCACTAAATGACTGCATAGTATGCTAACTTGCACATCTAAGAATATATCTGTAGGATGAAAACAGCTTTGGGCATTTAAAATTTTGCCTTAATTATATAAGAAAGCCTGTTTTCCCCCACTTTCACCAACACAATGAGTTTGTAGACATTTTAATTCTTGCTAGTCTTAGGTGGAAAATGGTATCTCATTGTACCCTTAAATCTTAAATCTCCCTTAATATAAGGAAGGTCTTTCCATATGTAAAGATTTATTTTTATTTCCTGACCTGTAAGCTGTTTATATTGTTTGTGTATTTTTCTTCGATTATTTTTTCTTATTTTATAATAATTATTTATATATTAAGGGAATTAGCCCTCGGTCTGTGATATGAGTTACACTTTTTTAAATGAAAATTATTTTATTTTAATTTTGAGACAAGGTCTCACTCTATTGCCTAGGCTGGAGTCCAGTGGCACAATCATGGTTCACTGCAGCCTAGACCTCCCAGGCTCAAGAGATCCTCCCACCTCACTCCCACCTCAGCCTCCTGAGTAGCTGGGACTACAGGTGCACACCACCACACGGGGCTAACTTTTTTTTTTTTTTTTTTTTTAGAGATGGAGTCTTGCTATGTTGCCCAGGCTGGTCTTGAACTTCTGGGCTCAAGCAATCCTCCCAGCTCAGCCTCCCAAAGTGCTGGGATTACAGGCATGAGCCACCACCTCTAGCCTGAAACTCATATAATACATAGCAATTTAAGCTCCCACATATATTAATTTAGAAAGGATTGCAACTTAACAAACATTTATTGTGCCAGGCACTGCGAAAAGTGCTGAATATATAATAAAGATTGATTTGTACCTTTAAAACACTTACAATCTAAGAACAGAAAGACACTCCCAAACCAAATGATCATTACTTTATCATTTGGTAAGTTTTATTATAGGATAGACGTGTACACTACATGCACTTCAAGCTCAACGTGTCCAAAACTGAGTTTGTTGTCTTCTTCTAGGACCTCTTTTTCCATTGTTCCGTATCACAGATAATGGCATCATTAGTCACTCAGCTGCTTTGTTTAGAAACCTTGGAGTGATCCTTGAGTCCTTTCTCTCCTTCACTCTCAAAATGGATTTGCCATTTATCTGAAAGATCATTGTGAAGGACTGTAGGAAGGAGGAGGCTGGTGGCTGAGAAACTATTAATTGCATTAGTCCAGATAGCAATCGATGAGGTAGCAACCATGAGAATGGGGAAGAAGACAGAAGAGGGACTTGATGATTTTTAAGTATAGCCAGTGAGGAAGAGTTGGGGATAAGTTCCACATTTCTGGCTGAGTGGATGATGGAAGTCATGCATAGAGATGGGGATGGAGTGCGTAACTGTTTCAGGAAGGGAAAGATACAGGATTCAGTTTAGACATTTTGTGTTTGAGGTCTGGTGTGACAACCAAATATAATTTTAAGTACAGTACTGCCAACTCCCACTTTCCTGAGGTCATAAAAGGGCATGTTACTATGGTTAATTAAAAATCGATATGGATAATTCTTAAACTGTCCCTCTTTATTGCTCACGGCTTTCCTGGGTGTTCACAGTCTTCCTGGGCGCCCTGGTCACTGGCCCTGATCCAGCCACACCTTCTCACAGGTACTCTTATGAAAATTAAGCCCTGAAATAGGCAGAATATTGTCTGGTTTGAGTCTCACAACTTTTTCTCCTAGATAGAATTAAGGAGGCAATGAACAGCCAAAACAGAAACAGGAGGGAGTTGTGAGAGAGTAGCAAAGGGGTTGAATAATTTGAAGCATAGTTAATTGGCCTTTGAATAATCAGATTGCTACAAAAGTATCAGCTTATTTACTTTTGAAATATTATATTACCCCCATACCAGGAAAATAAAGGAATGAGGGGGAAATTACCTATAATCCAGTCACTCCCATAGGACCACTCTAAGCATTATGTAATACTATACTCGCTCCCATTTTTTCCCAGCCTCCTTTTCAAATGGTTATAAGTCACAGTGTAATCATTAATTGTCTAAAATGAATAGTGGTATCCTGGTGGCATAAGATAATTTTTATAAGTGGCCTTAGAGGAACATTGAATATAAAGTAAATGATCATTGTACCCTCTTTACCCTGCTATAAATCATTACTCTCTTTAAGGACATAGAAGGAAATGTGGGCTTATGTTCCAGGTACCTAACATACAAACAGGAAGTCGTGCAGACCTGAGACAGTCTGGTATATTAGCACTGAAATACAGCTACCTTTTAAATTAGTAAGAACTTTTTTTTAACTTATGTATGTTTTGTGGCATGGTAGCATGAAAAGATCACTGGTCTTAGAGGTGGGAGACTCAGGCTATAGTCCTAGCTTTGGCATTAACTGTGTGGTCTTGGGTTTAGTTTTCCTTCTGTACTAAATCAATTCAGATCTCCCGCATACCTGTCAGTGAGTGCGTTAATGTGACCCTGTTTGTCCGTGCCTGATACATGCCCACCCCTGAAGCTGGAGGTGAGATCACCCCTCTCTACACTAAAAAGACCTTGAGTCGGGAAAGAGTCCAGCCCCCAGAATTCCATGGGATGGGTTGTTACCAGAAGGGGAAATGGATTTGAGCAGGCAAAAACACTAGATGTTATCTAACTTTGTTCTCCGTATCTTTATCCCCAAAATGAAGGGATTGGTGTAAAAAGTTCTATTAATAAGTCTCTCTAGATCTGCCTTCACAGGATTGAAAGTACAGAATTGTACCAGTTGAAGTATGAAAAAAACTATGCTCTTCATTTGACTTCTAATTTGTGGTATCTACTCTCTATGACTTCAGGGCAATTTCATGAGTTCAGACCAGGAGTTTTAAACCAGGTTCCTGAGTGACTTTCCTGTTTTTGTGAGCTGTCTGTGTATACTTCCTGCAGAGAGAATGTTTTATTAATAGCAACATATGCCCTGAAACAACATACTTCTTTGACCCCAACACCGTTTTTATCTTTGGAAAACCGATGATGTGTTACTAAGTGTTAAGAATAGTTTATTATTTACTGTGCAGTTGCCAAACCGAATTTATTTTTACTCAAACTGGACAGTACCTGGCTAATACAATGACTCCCCCAAATTCAAGTTTTTCGCGGCATGTCGTCTTATTCTACAAGCTGGGAGAGTGTGTGAGATCAAAGGAATGTGCAAACAGGCCGGAGCCATGGCTCACGCCAGTAATCCCAGCACTTTGGAAGCCCGAGGCAAGCGGATCACTTGAGCTCAGGCATTCAAGACCAGCCTGGGCAACATGGAGAAACCCGGTTGTATTAGGGTTCTCTTAGAGGGACAGAACTAATAGGATATATAAAATATTATATATATATATCATATATACACATATATCATATATACATACATATATATCATATATATACACATATATATATCATATATATGAGAGTTTATTAAGTATTAACTTACATGATCACAAGGTCCCACAATAGGCTGTCTGCAAGCTGAGGAGCAAGGAGAGCCAGTCCAAGTCCTAAAACTGAAAAACTTGGAGTACAATGTTTGAGGGCAGGATCAGCATGGCAGAAAGATAAAGGCTCGGAGGCTAGGCCCATCTCTTTTTCACATTTTTCTACCTGCTTTATATTCACTGGCAGCTGATTAGGTTGTGCCCGCCAGATTAAGGGTGGGTCTGCCTTTCCCAGCCCACTGACTCAAATGTTAATCTCTTCTGGCAACACCCTCACAGACAAATCCAGGATCAATACTCTGTATCTTTCAATCCAATGAAGTTAACAGTATTAACCATCACACTGGTCTTTGCAAAAAGGACAAGAATTAGCCAGGCATGGTGGCACATGCCTGTGGTCCCAGCTACTTGGGAGGCCGAGGTGGGAGGATCACTTGAGCCTGGGGGACAGAGGTTGCAGTGAGCCTTGATTGCACTACTGCACTCCAGCCTGGGTGACAGAGTAAGACCCTGTCGAAAAAAAAAAAAAAAAAAGGAATGTGCAAACATACTTTAAGCATAATTTTGCCCTGACAACTCTTTTTTCCCCAATCTCTACTTGAACGATTATTTTTAATGGGACTGGCTCTGACAAAATAATCCTCACAGGACCTTTAAATTACATAATTAAGCAGAATAAAACAATGTATAATAAAAAGTTTCCTGTTCTTCAATTCTAATAGCAAATTTGCATATATATTCTCTCCATTAGCAAACTGGGATAATAATAGTGGCTCTCTATCTCAGAAGGTTGTTGAACTGATTAAAACGAGATAATGCATGTAAAATACGTGGCACAATGTTTGATGCAAACAAAATGGCCATAAATATTAGCTATTACTGTTTTACCATCCATAAAAAGAATATAATGCCTACCTCAGAGGGTGATTCTGATGATCGAAAGGGATACAAAGTGTTTAACAGGCCAGCACAGTGGCTTCACGCCTGTAATCCCAGCACTTTGGGAGGCTGAGGCGGGCAGATCACCTGAGGTCAGGAGTTCGAGACCAGCATGACCAACATGGAGAAATCCCATCTCTAATAAAAACACAAAATTAGCCAGGTATGGTGGCGCGCCTGTGGTCCCAGCTACTTGGGTGGCTGAAATGGGAGTATCGCTTGAGCCTGGGAGGCAGAGGTTGCAGTGAGTCTAGATCTGGCCACTGCACTCCAGCCTGGGAGAAAGAACAAAACCCTGTCTCGAAATTAATTAATGTAATTAAATGTTTAACATATGTTTAAAACACACATATATAAGCATATAAAGTGTTTAATATTTAAAAATAATTTCTGCTGCTGCTAATAGAAGAAATTTGTGGCTGTTTTTAAGGAATAATAGAATTTCCAAAATCAGTGTCTAGCAACATTTACCTTACTCATGAATTTAAAAAAACCTTCTGATTAGAATACCAGTTTCACTGCTGTTTAATAGTTTAACCCTATTTTGAATCAGCAAATTAGTGTTATGGTTAATTTTATATAAAACATAATGAAATGCATGTCCCAGCTCTGTCATCAAGCAGCTATTCCATCTTGGGCACATTCTTAATGTTTCTAGGCCTTCCTTACCTTATCTTTTAAAGGGCTATTATAATACTTATCTTGTGTACTTCCCATCATAATAATAAAATATTATGTGAGGTTGAAAATTTCCTTATCTTTAAAAGGGCTATAATAATACTTATCTTGTGTACTTTTCGTCATAATAATAAAATATTATGTGAGGTTGAGTTGATTAAAGAACCTTGTAAAGGGTCAAAAGAATAACAATCTGGCAGGGAGCGGTGGCTCATGCCTGTAATCCCAGCACTTTGGGAGGCCGAGGCAGGCAGATCACCTGAGGTCGGGAGTTTGAGACCAGCCTGACCAACATGGAGAAACCCCATCTCTACTAAACATGCAAAATTAGCCGGGTGTGGTGGTGCATGCCTCTAATCTCAGCTACTCAGGAGGCTGAGGCAGGAGAATTGCTTGAACCTGGGAGGTGGAGGTTGTGGTGAGCCAAGGTTGGGTCATTGCACTCCAGCCTGGGCAACAAGAGTGAAACTCCGTCTCAGAAAAAAAAAAAAAGTAACAATCTAACAATAATTTCTTGACTTGTCATGTACCAACTAAATGCCAAGCCTATGCTAACTGCTATATTTATATTGTCTCATTTAATTCTCACAACAGCTCCATTAAGTAGTTGCTATTTTTATGTTTATTTTACAAATGAGGATCCTAAGTCTTAGAGATGTTACGTAACTTGCTTAAAGTCACATTTCATATTAAATGTGCAAATAAACATCTATTCAAACTCCAGATTACTCTTAACCTTTCTACTATAAAAATGCAAGTTATTATTATTTTTGTATAATAAGCAGTTTTTTTTAATGACATCGTGGTAGGGAAGCCCATAGAGGTGATTATTCAAATAGTAATTTTTTTTTTTTATGAGACAGAGTCTCACTCTGTCACCCAGGCTGGAGTGCAGTGGAGCAATCTTGGCTCACTGCAACCTCCGCCCCATGGGTTCAAGCAATCCTCGTGCTTCAGCCTCCCAAGTAGCTGGGACTGCAGGCATGTGCCACCACTTCCAGCTAATTTTTGTTTTTGTTTTTGTTTTGAGATGGAGTCTTGCTCTGTTGCCAGGCTGGAGTGCAGTGGTGCGATCCCGGCTTACTGCAACCTCTGCCTCCCGGGTTCAAGCGATTCTCCTGCCTCAGCCTCCTGAGTAGCAGGGACTAAGGTCGCTAGCCACCCCACCCAGCTAATTTTTTTTGTATTTTAGTAGAGAAGGGTTTTCACCATGTTGGCCAGGATGGTCTCGATCTCCTGACCTGGTGATCTGCCCGCCTCAGCCTCCCAAAATGCTGGGATTATAGACATGAGCCACCACACCCAGCCTAATTTTCGTATTTTCAATAGAGACGAGGATTTCCATGTCTGTCAGGCTGGTTTCGAACTCCTGACCTCAGGTGATCCACCCACCTCTGCCTCCCGAAGTGCTGGGATTAGTCATGAGCCACCTCATCCGGCTCAAATAGTAATTTACTAACACATTTTACTCACACATTTCTGACATTTTTAAGGGAACAGTGGTAAATAAAAATGACTACTCCTTGAAATATGTGTTTAATTTTCTAGGGAGAGGTGGATCTTGTTCCTTTTTGAAGTAGGAGCCAGGCTAGCCAGTGTTCCCTTCTCCTCTAGGAGCCATACACTTGATGGACATAAAACATTGCAGAGAAAACAGAAGCCCTTTCTTCTAAAAAGATTACAACTCATATTTGCTTCAAATAAGACCTGAAATAGCTGCTCACTCCTAAAAGAGTATCTGAACTTTATGGGAAAAGAAGAGCACCATCAAGTAGGCAACCATTCCTGGGGAGAAGTTGATTTGGCTATCAGGTTAAATAAACATCTTTTATATTTCAATCTATTCCATGGTCCTTGTATTAGTCCATTTTCATGCTGCTGATAAAGACATACCGAAAACTGGGTAATTTATAAAGAAAAAGAGGTTTAGTGGACTCACTGTTCCACGTGGCTGGGGAGGCCTCACAATCATGGCAGAAGGCGAAAGGCACATCTTACATGGCAGCAGACAAGAGAGAATGAGAGCCAGGCAAAAGGGGAAACCCCCTTATAAAATCATCAGATTCAAATCTCGTGAGACTTACTCACTACCACGAGAACAATATGGGGGAAAACACCACCATGATTCAATTATCTTCCACCAGGCCCCTCTCACAACATATAGGAATTATGAGAGCTACAATTCAAGATGAGATTTGGGTGGGGACACATCCAAACCTTGTAAGTCCTCATCCAAAATAATTATTTTGCTTAATTTTAGACTATAGATTTTTATAAACAAACCTCTTTGAAGCACTAATAGCTGAGTTTTTCCATTATTAGACCCTTAGAGTCTTTGAAAGTAGGTACTAAGAAACTTGTGGTCTAGGGGTAAGAAGAGCTCTGCTGCTTGTTTAGGTTTAATTTTGAGCCACAAAATGACCTCAACTTTTATATAATTATACTATATCTTGGCTGTCAATTTATAATTGCCCACCAGAAAACCAAGATTGTTGATTCTTAATGAGGCAAACCCAGCAGTGTGATGGAGCCAACTCCTACATGCTGTGGATAATTGATTATTAAACATTTAAAATTTTTTAATCCCAACATTTTTGAAGGCTGAGGCAGGAGGATTGCTTGAGGCCAGGAAGACAATACCAGCCTGGGCAATATAGTAAGACTCTGCCTCTCTCTCTCTCTCTCTATGTATATGTATATATATATACATAATTTTTTTTAAATTAGCCTGGTGTGATGGCATGTGCCTGTAGTCCTAGCTACTCTGGAGGCTGAGGTGGAAGGATGTCTTGAGCCCAGGAATTTGAAGTTACAGGGATATATATATATCACTGTGATCTATCTATCTATCTATCTATCATCTATCTATCTATCTATCTATCTATCTATCTATCATCTATCTATCATCTATCTATATCTATCTATCTATCTATCTATCTATCTATCTATCTATCTATCTATCTATCATCATCTATCTATCATCTATCTATCTGTCTGTCTATAGAGAGAGAGAGAGATAATTTTTATGAGAGTTATATGAGGCAATGTTAAACCTTGGTAGCTTGAAATCAGACATGATGGGGGTATTTATACCTCAGAAAATGGCAAATGCTGCCAGTCAGGTCCTCCATTTCCCCGTTTCCTTTCTCCATGTATCCCCCACCCATCCACCCACCCAACCTGCCCTGAGAGCCTGTTCACCAGCACACAATTGAGTAGAGCCATCCTGTTTCCAGTGAAGTATCAGAAAATGAACCCCAGGCCTGATGCTCTGTTGCCAATGATCAGCAACCCGCTTCTCATCATACTTAGAAAATGGCAGCCCTCACAGCCTTGGTTACCAACCCAGGCAAATGTGAAACTCCAAATACCAATGGTAAGAGAATAATTTTCATCTCTGAAGGTCAGAAGTTCACTTTAAAGTGTCAGCTGCTGTTTGGCAATGATAGGTTGACATGGAGTACCAAAATATTCTAAGGTCTGTGGGAAATGAGTGACTCATTTTCCCAATCAGCAGAGTAGGGGAAATTCATCCCTCAAAACATGATGGGATTTTCCTTCCAATGTCATTAATCACAATGAATATGTTTGAGGATTATACAGTAACAAGGTGGGAGAAACTAGATCTCATGCAGTCAAAATACGTGAAGAACAGTTCTCCATTGGACTAGGTAATTCATTATTCTACTAATTTTGCCTTGTGTAAATCCTGCCTTCTCTGTATATCAGCCAGGCCAGAACTGTTCTAACTTGTACATTTCATCTTCCAGCGAATGTTCCAAGAAACATGTTTGTTTATTTTGTTTGTTTTCTGCAGATTTATCAGGACTTTATTTAATTCACCTGAGGCCTAACATAACATCTGACTCAAGCCTGTGAATATTTGTGTTTCTTAGTCTTTGGGCTCACAGTATAGAAATGAACTAGAAATGAACTAAAATCCTGGAAAACAATCCAGGGTCTTTGCCAAATAAAGAAATATATATTCCTTCAGACTAGGACTATACAGTACCTGGTTTGAATCTAGTGAAATCTCCCCCAACAATTGTGGAACCCATACACACTTTCAATTCTCATTCTTTTTTTAAGACCTTAGGAAAAAGAAACTACATCAGGCATCTTTATGAGACAGGTGAGCATGAAGTTCACGAAATTTTAAAATTAACATCTAAAGCAGAAATTCTCAATTGTGGCTCATATTAGAATCATCTAAGGGGCTTTAAAAAAATCTCAATATTCAGGCCACACCACAGACCAATTAAATGAGAATTTTGGGGGTGAGACCCAGGCATTGATAGTTTTTAAAGCTCCCTAGACAATTTCAATGTGCGCCAAGGCTTTTCTGTTTGTTTTTTATCTTTATTATTTATTTATTTATTTATTTATTTTCAATGTGCGCCAAGGTTTGAGAACCACTGACTTAAAGCAATAAACTTGGTTTTCTGCCAGGTGAGATTTATTCTGTGTTTAGTCACTCTTCCTAATATATTAGAAATCTTCATTTCCTTAGTGTCCGATTGCCCAGTTGTTGGCTTTAAGACTTTAAATAGACAATGAATCATGCATTAAAAACAATGATCTGGAATAGGCCAGCTACCTGATGTACCAAAGCTGTGATCATGTTACATCCTTGCTCAAAAAACTTCTTGGTTAATAAGATCTGATATTGGTGAAAGTACAGAGCAGAAAGCGTTTGAATACCTTCTTTAAGAGCATAAATTGATGCAAATTTTCCAGAGAGCAAATTGAAAGCATATCTCAAATTTTAATACATATATATCCAGCAATTCTACTTTTAAGAATTTAGTCTAAAGAAATAATTGGCAAGTGTGCAAAGGTATTCATACAAAGATATTGATAACAACATTGGTTATGTTATTAGTAATATATATTTTCTAGATATGTTTTCATTTCAGTGCATCCAAGCTTTTGAAATACTGGAGGCTTGTTCAAAAGCCTTAATAGTATATATTGATATGCAAAAGTGTTCACAACCCATTACTGAATTAAAGAAAAATACAGATTGCCAAAAAGCATGTCTAGTATAATTCCACATATGTTTTTAAAAAAAGATCTATATTTTTATAAATTTTAAAAGGCTGGGGCTAGGTGTGGTGGCTCATGCTTGTAATTCCAGCAGTTTGGGAGGCCAAGGCAGGAAGATCACTTGAGCTCAGGAGTTCGAGACCAGCCTGGCCAACATGGTGAAACCCCATATCTACCAAAAATACAAAAAATTAGCCTGGTGTGGGTGCACACCTGTGGTTACAGCTACTCAGGAGGCTGAGGTGGGAGGATTGCTTGAGCCTGGAGGCAGAGGCTGCAGAGAGCCTGCAATGAGCCACTTCCACTCTAGCTTGGGTGACAGAGTGAGACTCCTGTCTCAAAAAAAAAAAAAAAGTTGGAAAATTGTACCCAAACTATTAACTGACTGCATCTGAGGAATAAAATTATACCAAGATAGGAGGGGAAAGCTTTGCCTCATTCTTTCTACACTTGTGTATTGTTTGAATTTTTTAAATGTACATGTGTTACGATTATAATTTACACAATGCAAACATGTTAAATTATTTTTTACCCACCACTTTCTATAGAATAAAGTCTAAACTTCTTAGCTTTATATTTAAAGCACTCAACAATTTGTCCCTCAACTACCTTTTGCCAGTCATTTAGACAAGTTTGTTGATAGAATTGAATTTCACTTTCATCTCTCCTATTTATACTAACTTGAGCCCAACTGTTCCCACCAAATTTGCCTTCATATTTGATCTCTGGGAGTATCTTTTCCTTTGCCTGAAATGCTCTCACTCTTCCTCCCCGTTCACTAAAATCCAACCAAGCTATGAAGGCTCAGATTCAGTGCTATCAAGTAGAGCTCTCCCTCCCTTGAATTACTGTATTATATAATATCTGATACTTAAGAAATGAGTATATCAAACAGAGGAATGAATCCTCACAGTGAAGATCAAGGTCCTGTTTAGTTTTCTCATTTAGGAAATGGGGACATACTACCTATCACATTAGGTTATTGTGAGGATTTAATGAGATAATTATGAAAAACACTTAGGACAATACCAGAATATGGTAATTCATAGTTCAAAAAAGCTAGTATTACCATTATCTTTTTTAAACCATTGACATCTTATCTCTATAGACACTTAATCTCTGGATACCAGAAACTGCATGCTAGGTACTCGAGTATCCTTCTTCAAACTCTGTGCAGTAGAACCTTCTATGTGATACATACTAATATTTGTTGCTGATGGTAACAAAGATTATTAAATCTATATATGACTAACTTCATTTTATTTTATTTTATTTTATTTTATTTTATTTTTTGAGATGGAGTCTCCTTCTGTTGCACAGGCTGGAGTACAACTGGTGCTATCTCAGTTCACTGCAGACTCACTGCAGCCTCTACCTCCTGGGTTCAAGCAATTCCCCTGCCTCAGCCTCCCAAATAACTGGGACTGCAGGCATGCAACACCATGCCTGGCTAATTTTTGTATTTTTAGTAGAGATGGGGTTTCACCATGTTGGCCAGGCTAGTCTCGAACTCCTGACCTCAAGTGATCTGCCTTGGCCTCCCAAAGTGCTGGGATTACAGGCATGAGCCACTGCACCTAGCCACTACTAACTTTAAAAAATAACAAATCACTTAGTTTGGACAATATTATAACTTCATGGTGCCAAGAATAAAATACAGGCATACCTCATTTTATTATGCATCACTTAATTACACTTTGAAGATATTGCATTTTTTACAAGTTGAATGTGGCAACCTGGCTTCAAACAAGACTATTGGCACCATTTTTCCAATGGCATGTGCTCACTTCCTGTCTCTGTCATAGTTTGGTAATTCTCACAACATTTCAAACTTTTTTATTATTGTTGTATCTGTAATGATGATCTGTGATAAGTGATTTTTTTAAAAAATAGAGGTAGGCTCTCACTGTCACCCAGACTGGAATGCAGTGGCACAATCACAGCTCACTGCAGCCTCGATATTCTGGGATCAAGTGATCCTCCCACCTCACTATCCCAGGTAGCTAGGACCACAGGTCCATCACCTTGCCTGGCTATTTTTAAATTTTTTGTTGAGATAGGGTCTTCCTATGTTGCCCAGGCTGGTCTTGAACTCCTGGGCTCAAATGATCCTCCTGCCCCAGCCTTGCAAAGTGCTGAGATGGACCACAGGATCAACCACCACACCCAGCCATCGTCGTCATCTCCTCCTCCTCCTCTTCCTCCTCCTCCTCCTTCTTCTTCCTCCTCTTCCTCTTCCTCCTTCTCCTCCTCCTCTTCTTCTTTTTTTTTTGTAGCGATGAAGCCTTGCTGTGTTGCCACACTGGTGTTGAACTCCTGCCCTCAAGCAATCATCACACCTTGGCCTCCTAAAGCACTAGGATTGTGTGATCAGTGATCTTTAATGTTACTATTGTAATTGTTTTTGTATGCCACGAACTGCACCCATATAAGATGGTGAACTTAATCACTAAATGCTGTGTGTGTTCTTACTGCTTTACCAACTGGCTTTCCTTCATCTCTCACCTTTCCTTAGGCCTCCTATTCACTGAAACACAACAGTATGGAAATAAGGTCACTAATAACCAACCCTACAATGGTCTTTAAGTGTTCACCTTTCAGGTGAAAGGAAAAGTTGTGTGTGTCTCACTTTATATCAAAAGCTAGAAGTGATTAAGCTTCATGAGGAAGGCATGTCAAAAGCTGCATTAGGCCTAAAGCTAGGCCTCTTGTACCATACAGTTAGCCAAGTTGTGAATGCAAAGGAGAAGCTGTTGAAGGATATTAAAAGTACTACTCCAGTGAATACACAAATAATAAGAAAGCAAAGTAGTTGATATGGAGAAAGTTTTAGTAGTTGATATGGAGATAGAAGATGAAACCAGTCACAACATTCCCTTAAGCCAAAGCCTAATCCAGAGCAAGACCCTAACTCTCTTACTATGAAAGCTGAGAGAGGTGAGAAAGCTGTAGAAGAAAAGTTGGAAGCCAGCAGAGTTTCGTTCATGAGGTTTAAGGAAAGAAACTGTCTCCATAAAAGTGCAAGGTGAAGCAGCAAATGCTAATATAGAAGTACAACAAGTTATCCAGAAGACCTAACTAAACTCATTGATGAAGGTGGCTACACTAAATGACAGGTTTTCCATGTAGATGAAACAACCTTCCATTGGAAGAAGATACCATCCAAAACTTTCATAGCTAGAGAGATCAATGCCTGGATTCAAAGTTTCACATGACAGGCTGACTCTCCTGTTATGGGCTAATGTAGCTAGTGACTTGAAGTTGAAGCCAATGCTCATTTACCATTCTGAAAATTCTAGGGCCCTTAAGGATTATGGTAAATCTGCTCTATGCTGTGTAAATGGAACAACAAAGCCTGGATGACAGCACATTTGTTTCAAGCATGGTTTACTGAATAGTTTAAGCCCATTGTTGAGACCTACTGCTACAAAAGAAAAAAAAAAGACTTTTTTCGAAATATTACTGCTCCTTCACAAGGCACTGGACACCCAAGAGCTCTGATGGAGATGTTCAAGGGGATTAATGTTGTTTTCGTGCCTGCTAACACAACAGCCATTCTGCAGCCTGTGGATCAAGGAGTAATTTCAACTTTCGAGTCTTATTATATAAGAAATACATTTCATAAGGATATAGTTGCCAAAGATAGTAATTCCTCTGATGGATCTGGGCAAAGTACATTGAAAATCTCCTGGAAAAGATTCACCATTCCAAATGCCACTAAGAACATGCATGATTCATGGGAGAAGATCAAAATATCAACATTAACAGGAGTTTGGAAAAAGCTGATTCCAACCCTCATGGATGATTTTGAGGGGTTCAAGACTTTAGTGGAAGAAATAATTGCAGATATGGTGGAAATAGCAAGATGACTAGAATTATTATTTTTATTTTTTTATTTTTTTTGAGACAAAGTCTCACTCTGTCACCCAGGCTGGAGTGCAGTGGCATTATCTCGGCTCACTGTAACCTCCACCCCCTGGGTTCAAGCAATTCTCCTGCCTCAGCCTCCCGAGTAGCTGAGATTACAGGCACATGCCACCACGTCAGGCTAATTTTTGTATTTTTAGTAGAGAAAGGGTTTCCCCATGCTGGCCAGGCTGGTCTCAAACTCCTGACCTCAGGTGATCCGCCCACCTTGGCCTCCCAAAGTGCTGGGATTACAGGCATGACCCACCAAGTCAGGTAATTCTAGTTCTCATGGTGAGAACTAGAATTAGAAGTGGAGCCTGAAGATGTGACTGAATTGCAGCAATCTTATGATAAAATCTGAAGAGATGAGGAGTTGCTTCTTACGGATAAGCAAAGAAAGTGGCTTTTTTTTTTTGAGGCAGAGTCTTGCTCTGTCACCCAGGCTGGAGTGCAGTGGTACAATCTCGGCTCACTGCAACCTCCACCTTCCGGGTTCAAGCGATTCTCCTGCCTCAGCCTCCCAAGTAGCTGGGACTACAGGAGCGTGCTACCACGCCTGGCTAATTTTTTTTTTTTTTGTATTTTTAGTAGAGATGGGCCTGCCTCGGCCTCCCAAAGTGCTGGGATTACAGGCATGAGCCATGGCGCCTGGCCTGAAAGTGGCTTCTTGAGATAAAATCCACTCCTGGTGAAGATGCTGTGAACATGGTGGAAATGACCACAAAGGGATTTAGAATATTATATAAACTTAGTTGATAAAGCAGTGGTAGGCTTTGAAAGGATTGACTCCAATTTTGAAAAAAAGGTCTACTGTGGGTAAAATGCTATCAAACAATATTGCATTCTACAGAGAAATCTTTTGTGAAAGAAAGAATCCATCAATGCAGTGGACTTCACTGTTGTCTTATTTCAAGAATTTTTCACAGCCATCCCAGTATTTAGCAACCACCAATCACTCTGATCAGTCAGCAGCCATCCACAGTGAGTCATGACACTCTACCAGTACAAAGATTATGACTCACTGAAGGCACAGATGATTGTTGTCATTTTTAAGCAAGAACGTATTTTTTAGTTATGTACAGTTATTTTAGACATAATGCTATTGAACACTTAATAGATTACAGTGTAGGCTGGGTGTGGTGGCTCACGCCTGTAATTCCAGCACTTCAGAAGGCCGAGGTGGGCAGATTACTTGAGGTCAGGAGTTCGAGACCAGCCTGGCTAACATGGTGAAACCCCATCTCTACTAAAAACACAAAAATTAGCCAGGCTTGGTGGCAGGCACCTGTAATCCCAGCTACTCGGGAGGCTGAGGCGGGAGAATCACTTGAGCCCGGGAGGTGGAGATTGCAGTGAGCTGAGACTGCAACACTGTACTCCAGCCCGGGCAACAGAAAGAGACTTCATCTCAAAAAATAAAAAAATAAAAAAAGTAAAAAAAAAGATTATGGTGTAAACACAACTTTTATATGGGCTGGGAAACAAAAAAATGCATGTGACTTACTTTTTTTGTGATATTTGCTTTATTGCAGTGGTCTGAAACTGAACCTGCAATATCTCCAAGGTATGCCTGTACCAACAGGAGATTATAATACTAAAACATTGCTGCCCTAAAATATACAAATAAAAAATATGCTCTTTCTTTGGTGAAATCACAGAATATAGGATAAGTCATTTTCAGAATTCTATTTTCATAAACACAGTTGACACTTACAAGATGCTGGACAAGTATAGTGAAGTATTTACAGAAAACACCAGATGAGTTTGGTTTATTTAATATATTTTTGGCAGATAACACACCATACTTCAGTAGAAGACTCCATGTGTTCTAGAGTTTTCACATATGGGACTTTATATGCAGCCATAGAAATAGAGTGCTGTACTCCAACAATCATAGCAAGAATGACCAAGTCTCGATATGCTTAGTTCCTCATGTTTTTCTAGCTTAAAATCACCACTAGATTACAGTTTTAAAATCTCAGTAACGTTATTGGCAGGCTGATTGGAACAGTTTCTGTTCTCACTTAATCCCACCGGACAGACATGATCTGTGTGTCCTGGCACAGTGCCATTGAAACAACTGGAGTCACCTGATACAGTACATTACTCTAGGATAAAGAAAGTCAGATTGTTATTTTATCTTTGGAGGCCTAACAAATATTTTGCTGAGCATAGCTTCTTCTTTTTTAGTTTGTGTGTCCATATACTACTTTATAGGTTAACAGACTTGGTCCCTCAGCACTGTGTGTCTAACTTTAACTGTGTCTTCATTGGGGTCAACACCTTGCTTTGTAGTCAAAAATGTCAAAATGTGAATCATTAAGAAAAGATAATATATACCTTACCTATTTTATTTAAACTGATAAATGTAAGTAACTCAGCAATCTTTTGAAGGAGGGTCAAAGCCTTCATCTTTAATCTCCTGGTTATCCAGTTGTTGTTGTTTTTTTTAAGTAGAGATAGGGTCTCACTGTGTTGATCAGGCTGGTCTTGAACTCCTAGCCTCAAGATATCCTCCCACCTCAGCCTTGCAAAGTACTGGGATTACAAGTGTGAGCCACCGTGCCTGGCCTTTTTTGGTTTTTGTTTGTTTGTTTCTTTTTTAAGAGTGAGGCACTCAAACTGACCAACCAATAAAACTAACCAGCGTGTATGATATGAGTTCATTTATGTAAAACATATAAAGATAATAGAATAAAAGATAGAGTTAGAGAACGTCATGATAATAAGCAAGTGTAAAAAGCAGGTTGCAGAATCATATGTTTAGTATAGTCTTGTTCTGGTAAAGCAACAAACCAACACTTTGCATATTTATATATATACTAAGTGAACAAGGAGAAAAGTGTGGAAGGCTGTTATAATAGTAAACATGAAGTAAATGGGAAGACATGGAACCTGGAATGTGACAGGGGAGGAGGAAAATAGTTTTGTTTTTAGACATCTTTGTATTGTAGTGAATTATTATACAAGCATGTTGTTGTCCATTTGTTAACATGAAATAGATACTATGATTATTGGCAAACTGAAAATAATTTATTAGAAAAATATTAGAATTAATGTGAGAATTTAGTAAGATTGTCAGATAAAAATAAAAATCCATTGTATTTCTAAAATTGGCAACAAGCTGTTGGAAAATACCAGTTATAATAGCAACACGAAGTGTAAAGTACCTGGGAATAAATCTAATAAAACATGTGCAAGACTTGTATGAAGATTATTATACTTTATTGAATGACATTAAAGGAGGCTTCAATATCTGGAGAGATAAACCATCTTCATGGATAGGTAGATTCAAGATTTTATAAATACCAATTCTCACAAAATTGATCTATGGCTACAACAAAGGTATATATGATAGTGTGTTATTGGTAGAAGGATAAACAAATAGACCAGTGGAACAGACTGGAAAGTCTAGAAACAAAACTATACATTATGGAATCAGCTGAAGAGAATTGTCTTGCTCAAGGTATGCACCCTCCCTGGGGGCAGCCTGCATCCAATGACTGGTCACATGAGACCTAGCCTCCTCCTCATCCTAAATAGGGACAACTCTAAAGGGCTATCTCAGCTTCAGAGCTCTCTGTGGGGTGAGCTGAGGCTTTCCTTGAGATTGCATCACAGTCCAACTTTCTCACAGCCCAGTCCTGCTTCACTCCCTGCCCCTTCACAACTGTTGATCCCAAGAGCACTCCCTAATAAACCTTCTGTATGCTAATCTCTGTCTCAGAGTCTACTTCCCTGGGGGAGTGCTCCTTTCAACACATCTCCCGCTGGTAGGAATATAAATTGATACGAGCACATTATAAAATAGTTTGGAATTACCTGGTAAAGTTTAAAATGTAAGCCAGGCAAGGTGGCATGCACCAAGGAGCTGAGGTGGGAGGACCACTTGAACCCAGGAGTTGAGTCCAGCTTGGGCAATGTAGCAAGACCCCATCTCTTAAAAAAAAAAAAAGCTGAAGATGCATATAGCTTACAATGTAAATTTCCACTCTTGGGTATACAATCTAGAGACACTCTCACACCAAATTCATAGTGGCAGTTCTTGAGTGGAGGGATGAGGATGTTATCAGGATGGAGAGATATTGGGGCTTCAAAGGTACTAGAAAAGACTAAAAACTTCAAACAGGAACAAAAAAAAGAGAAGAGCATTCCTATAAAATGAGAAACTTGTCTGAGGAAGCTAAGTACTGAGGGACTGAGCATGAGCTCACTGAAGGTTGATTGGATCAAGGACAGTTGCGTATCTGTAAATGGGGAGTCTAGAATGGGCTCTGGGGTTTGAAAATGTGGGAAGGAATCTGAGACGGTGATATAGGTACGTGGAATAGCACCAGCAAAAGCTTTCTAGAGTGGCCAGAGTAGGATTCATGCAAGTAGTCAGAAAGAATTTTTACTATATAGAATGAGGCCAGATAATGGATTGCCTTGAAAGCCAATTAAAATGATGCACATTTGCTACATCAGAGAGAATAACCATGAACCGTTTCAAGCAGAGGAGGAGCATACTAGAAGAGGTCTTTCTGGAAGGTGAATCCAGCGTAGTTCCTGTCCCTGGGAGTAGCATTTTCAGTTTGATCAACACATGCTTTAGTCCTGATTGAAAAACAAAATACTTCTAATAAATGGCATTGGCGAATAGGACCAGTAGCTAGCTTGGAAAGATCTCCAAACTTAATTACTGGACTTCTATTTGATTGCCCAGTTTGGTGCTGGTCTCTGATGACTACAATGTATTCTCAGATGCAGCTGTTGTTTATGACTGCATTGTTGTCTTTGCATGATAAAACGGTTAATGTTATCCTTAAATGACTGCATGGAGAGCCACTCTCTTCTTCTGATTACAATAGCATCTATGTCTGATCTTAGACAAGCCATTCTTATATTCATGAATCTACTGATTGCCATGAGAGACTCCACCCTGCCATTCCGTTATGTGTCACTATGCCAGTGACATGTTATATTTATCCCAAAGTTGAAAGTCATGCCGGTAATAGACAAGTTCTCATATCCTGAGAAGATTCAATATTAGATTTGTTTTGAGTGCCTCTACCTCTTTGTGGAACATTAGATTAAAATGCAATGCAAATGTACCTGAATGGAACTGGAGATCATTATGTTAAGTGAAGTAAGCCAGGCACAGAAAGACAAAATTGTCCTCACTTACATGTGGAAGTAAGAAGTTGATCTCATGGAGGTAGAGAGTAGAATGATGGTTACTAGAGACTGGAAACGGTGGGGCAGGTGGTAGGAGCTGAAGACAAGTTAGTTAATGGTTACAAAAATATAGTTAGATAAGAGGAGTTAAGTTCTAGTGTTTGATAGCACAGTAGAATGACTATAGTTAACAACAGTATATTGTATATTCCAAAATAGCTAGAAGAGAATATTTGAAATGTTCCCAACACAAAGAAATGATAAATGTTTGAGGTGATGAATATACTAACTACCTTGATTAGATCATTACACATTGTATGTATGTATCAAAATACCACACATACCCCACAAATCTGTACAATTATTATGTTTCAATTTAAAAACTTTAAAAAAAATACAACAAAAACTAGTTTAAGGTTTCGGGCTACTTCCTTGATGAGAGCTGGTTTCCCTTGGTTTATATGGCCTCAGGTGGTAGTTCTAATGGATTGCTCTGGCTCCTTTTATAAAACAGGGTCACACAGTCACACAACAATCCTTACTTGTAGTTTAATCCCACCACAGAGCTTGTTCTTAGACCAGAAGAGTCACAGATCCAGGGCCATTAGCTCCATGGTGTTCAGCAAAATCATTGCTGCTTCTAGTCCTTCCAGGCAGGAAAGGACTCTGACTTTGCTTTTGTGGCCAAGTCTTTCTTCCTTTCCTTTCCTTTCCTGCCTTTCTTTCTTCCTTTCCTTTCCTCTCCTCTCCTCTCCTCTCCTCTCCTCTCCTCTCCTCTCCTCTCCTCTCCTCTCCTCTCCTCTCCTCTCCTTTCCTTTCCTTTCCTTTCCTTCCTTCCTTCTTTCTTTTTTTTGAGATAGAGTCTTGCTTTGTCACCCAGGCTGGAGTGCAGTGTCACAATCTCAGCTCACTGCAGCCTCTGCCTTCTTGGGTTCAAGCTATTCTCATGCCTCAGCCTCCTGAGTAGCTGGGATTACAGGTGCACACCACCACACCCAGCTAATTTTTGTATTTTTAGCAGAGACGGAGTTTTGCCCTGTTGGCCAGGCTGGTCTTGAACTCCTGGCCTCAAGTGATCCACTGGCCTCAGCTTCCCAAAATGCTAAAATTACAGGCATGAGCTACCATGCCCGGCCTTTTTTTTTTTTTTTTTAATGGGCCGGGGACTGAACCCAGGCCTCCCATGTGGTGTGTTGCGTTGATGTGGCCAAGTCTTGTTAGTACCTAATCTTACCCCTGTAATTCCTCCTTTCCTTTAGGGTTCCAGACTTGCCCACTCCACTCCCAAATTTCAGGAAATGAAGTTCCACCCATGTATCCAGCACCTTGGCCTGGGACTATGTTCTGTGCCACTACATTCGTGGCACCCTTACCACTGGAGGAAACGCAAGGTTGCTCCTTCCTACACTGCTGAGGAAGGGGAACTCAGAGGTAAACTGGCCAATGCAGTTGGCCTATATAATGTGTGTGTGTGTGTGTGTGTGTGTGTGTGTGTGTCCCCTGAAAGTCAGGTTATTGTTGGCTTTTATTATCTCACTTCAAAGAATCCTTGCTGCTTCACATTTCACTCTCATCCTGGTACTGATGCTGTCACAGGTGTTTGAGGAAGAACATGGTTTATCTACATGCAAGTTATTTTTACTTTATTTTATTTTTTATTTTTTGAGACGGAGTCTTGCTCTTTCGCCCATGCCGGCTGCAGTGGCACTATCTCGGCTCGCTGCAAGCTCCGCCTCCCGGGTTCATGCCTTTCTCCTGGCTCAGCCTCCCGAGTATCTGGGACTACAGGCACCCGGCTAATTTTTTGCATTTTTAGTAGAGACGGGGTTTCACCATGTTAGCCAGGATGGTTTTGATCTCCTGACCTCGTGATCCGCCCGCCTCGGCCTCCCAAAGTGCTGGGATTACAGGCGTGAGCCACCGCGCCCGGTTGCAAGTTATTTACTTACCTGTCTTCCACATTAGATTAGCCTGCCTAGGGTAGGATGGTCTTCTCTCTCCCTCTCTCTGTCTCTCTCTGTCTCTCTCTCTCTCTCTCTCTCTCTCTGTCTCTCTCTCTCTCTCTCTCTCTCTGACTCATGGGCTGAGCATTATGCCTGGAGCACAGCAGCTTCTTAGTAAATGACAACTGCTATGTCACCAGGAAGGCACTGACTTCCAGGATATTCACCCTTCACCCTTGCTTGGAAAATCCTTTGCTGCTGGTAGCCACTTATCATTTGATTCATACTCAAACACAAAGGGAAAATAAATTCTGATGTGATCAGTATGACTGTTTTTGATGCAGAGCCAAATTTAGCAAATAGTCTAATAAAGATCTTCACTTTTTTATATAAAGGCTTAGAACTTCCAGAAGTCAAACAAAAAGCCTGTTTAAGGCTAAGCCTTCTCCCATCACTCATCACTATTCAACAACACCGTTTAAGCACTGAATATGCACTAGGTGCTGGGAACACAAAAGTTGGTGAGGAAAGGGTCCCTGGTTTCCTGAATGAGACGAATCATTCAGAGGAAAAGACTAACACAGTAACATAGATGACAATTCAACGTGATGTGGTGAGTGCTGTAATGAAAGGAATAAATGCAGGGTTGTGGTGGCTCAGACAGGTGAGGTGCCAGCTCTGCACAAGGCAACCTATAGACCTCACGTGGACGTCACTAACAAAAGAAATTAGCAGATGAGGGAAACTCCGGGAAACAGGATTCTCTACTTGCAGTTTGGGTGCCCTGGGAGGCAGACTCCGAAACACAGCTTAGTGTTTGGGATATTTATTAGGAAAGAAGAGAAGGAAGAATCAGGCAGAGGGAGAAGCCAAGCTGTGATGCCAGCCTGGCAGCCTCAGCCAATTCTAAGGGGAGCTCTGGAGCTGAAATGGCTCCTCAGGGTTATCCCACAGTGAGCCAAAGTAGCCAGACATTTGTACTCTCACTCCAGTCATTGGATAAGGACTACCTCCAGAGGGATGTAACCTTGGTAGGGGGGATTTCTGCAGCTGAGCCAATTTCTACAAGAACTGACAGTTGAAGGCTGTCTGTCAATTGCATTCCCAGCAGCTGAGACAGCAAATCTTTCCTCACAGGGGGATCTGGGCAGATCATCTCCATGTTCAGCATAGACTACCCCATGTGCTACTTGGATTCATTGCTTCATGTATGAATGGGGCTGTCTTCCTTAGAAGGGGAAGGTTGGTGGAACAAACTACACCTGCTGCTGTGACTGGTCTTGAGACTGCAACTGGTACTCACTTTATCTCTTCTCTTAACCATTCTAAAATCCCTGGGCCCTCAGCTAACATCTCTACTGGTTTTGGTGGCTTACCTGGTGGCATGACCCAGACTATCATTCCTAAGGGGAATGAGCCCATGGTCTCCATGTCCTTCTCAGGCAAGGGACACTTCCTTTGTCTATTTCCATCACCATTTGGCAAGGAGGTAACAAGGATGCCCAAGTAGATTACCTGAGTTCCACAACATAGTCGTCCATGTCCTATTGTGTACTAGCAGCCCTGTCTCTTTCTGATAATCAGTCAATTATCTTTGCCTAGAGAGTGACTCCTCTTCTTGTCTGCTGGTCCCTCAATGCAAGGAGCTCGAAGTGCTCAAGGACAACCTGCTTATGGTTCAACAGGACTCTTATTGTGTTTCCTGAAGGCAGTGTTCTTCCTGTGGGGATCAGAATCTCTAACCCTGCAGAAACTAATGCAATGCAGATGGGCAGCACAAAGTCCCTAGATGGGTCATTGGGAATGATAATAAGTAGGATCATTCCTTCTTCTGCCCCTTGGTTCTCAGTCTCATGATTCTTCCCACTGGGACACTGCACCCTGGAGGATAATGCCCCATCCTCACAAATTATTGGCTTTGAGCTGGTGCTTAAGCACGTTTTCAGCAAACCATTCCAATTCTCTATCTGGCTAGTAGCTTCTGGTTGGTTCGGTATGTGATGAAGACCAGGGAAATTCCAAGGTCATGGGCCCACTGTCACATCTCCTTTGCTGTAAAAAGGGGATGTGTTCTGGGCTGGGGGCGGTGGCTCACGCCTGTAATCACAGCACTTTGGGAGGCCAAGGCGGGCGGATCACGAAGTCAGGAGCTCAAGACCAGCCTGACCAACATGGTGAAACCATGTATTTACTAAAAATCCAAAAAAATTAGCCGGGCATGGTGGTGCCACTTGTAATCTCAGCTACCCGGGTGGCTGAGGCAGGAGAATTGCTTGAACCTGGGAGGCGGAGGTTGCAGTGAGCCGAGATCACACCACTGCACTCCAGCCTGGGGGACAGAGTGAGACTCCATCTCAAAAAAACAAAAAACATACAAACAAACAAACAAACAAACAAAAAATTGGTCTTCTGGTCAGATGGATATTATGTGGAATTCAGTTGGTGGATCAAATACTGCATAAGCTCTTGGAAGATAGTGCTGGCAGAGGCTCTGTAAGCAGGAAAAGCTAACATATAACCAAAACGTTTATCTATTACTGTCCAAAAAAATTGAGTGGAAGGGGCCCACTCTATTCAACTTCTCATCAAGTAGCTGTCTGGTCTCTTGGGGATGGTGTTGCAGTGGTGGCTCAACATTGGTTTCTGTTACTGCCATGTTGGACATCTGGCAACGGCACCAGTTAGGTCAGATTTGGTAAGTGGTAGCCCATGCAACTGGGCTGATGCACAGCCTTCATCTTTCCGCAAGGCTCTACTCATGCGGCCATCATGCCAGCAGTGGGTGGCCAATAACATAGTCTGATTGACATCAGCTAGCCAAGTCATTTTTGTTTATTTGGCTTTTTAGTGTCTCTTTCATGGTTGATTGTCTCTGGTGGGTGTTAATGTGTGATACAAAGATCTTCACACTTTATGCCCACTTTCATATATCCATACACAAATACATCTGCTACTTAATGAGAAATACTGTCAAGAAACCCAAAACCAATTATTTCACCTTAGTCTCTGGGCACTTGTTATTCTGAGTTTCCCAATCTAACCTTTGGATGAGTTTTCCCCACAAAGACTACCACTAATTTGGTAGCAGAATTGAGTGTTAAGATTATTTTCATTTATTTTTAGAAAAAGACACCATTTAAGCTTGTTTTCTATAAAAAGTCGGTAATTTCTTACTTTAATCTTGTCTTCAAATATTCTAAGACCTCTATCCCTATTATTGCTTGTCTTTGCAGAATCTCAGGCTGTATTATAAAACTTGATTTTTAGAATGCCTAACTTGGCAGGCCAGAGAAAAATTTACACCTTGAGGGATCAGTATCCATTACAGGAAAGTGAATGGGAGGCAAAGCCTTCTTATTGTGAGCTATTATTTTCCACATGAATTTTTGGACCATTCAAAAAATATTATAGTTCAGCCATGGTGGCTCATGCCTGTAATCCAAGCACTTTGGGAGGCCAAAGTGGGAGGATCACTTGAGCCCAGAAGTTTGAGACCAGCCTGGGCAACATAGCAAGATCCCATGCCAATTTTTTTAAAATTGTGAATTAACTTTACCTTTTTTACTTTCCGCAAAGGAAAGAGGACTTTGGAAAACCACTCTCATTTCACAGTAATGATGCTTGTATTCTCTATAACATTAAGAAATATTAAAATGTTGCTATACATTTTATTGCTGAAAGCTAATATCCCAAACTCATTTTGTGCATGAGTAAAGAATGAAATTATTTCTGACAACTACAATAAAAATATGTTGTTGTTAAATAAAGGGTTGTTATTAGAAAGAAGTTATCCAACCAATTAGGCCTGTGCTAACTGCATTAACAGGACTATGCTCCCTGTTAATGTTAGGATCCTACAAACCCTGTGAGCTCATAGGGTTTCCAAAAGCATAAGCCGCCTTGGCATTTGGGTTTATAAGAATATTTCTTCTTAGTGATCTTGTTCTGATGTGAAACATGAAAGATTTGGCAAGAAGTCCTGGTCATTAGCTCATCCCCATTTTTGCTACCCTCACCAATTAATTATAGAATTATTAAGGTAAAAGTCTGAAAAAAGCTGTGTTATATGTCATGAACAAAGATATAAAGAACTTTTTGTAGTTTGTTCCTTGTCTTCAAGGCTGGAGATAATGTAGAAGTATTTTTTGGTTCCTTTGAAATAAGTGTTTAATTTTTTTTTCTCCCACAATGCTTGCCTTCAGACAATGAACCACATGGCTTTTTATTCTCTTTTTCCATCTCTTTGGCTCTATATCTTGTTCATACCCACTAGGGGGTAAAGCTAAAGGAAACAGAAGAAGAGATTCAGTTCAGATGAGGAGGTACCTGATACAAGAGAGAAGAGATCTTTTGCTTTCCTCAAAAACCAATGTGTAGCAAATACTCCACCTGTGTTAAATTCTGTCATTACGTACTGTTAATAGAAGTAAGAAGTCAGCAGGAATTTGAGTCTCAAGAAGAATCATGAATGCAGTTGATTGAAACCTTCTTCATTTGACACCATGGATGTAACTAGGATATCAACTTGTCAAATAAAAAGAAAGAATTAGGCATTTATTCTCTCTTTAACCAACTAAGCTTAGTTGATAAGGAAAGTTTCTCTTCACAGAAGCATTTCGGCTAATAAATGCAGAAGGAATAATAAGATTAGAAAATAATGATTTGAGACCTCTGAAATAAGTGATTCAAGCAAAGATAATGAATGATTGATACCCTTAGTTGAAAGGCTGGTGGGAAACATTACAATAGAGGGATCAAGCTGTCACCACACTAACCCTCTGATCAATGTTAGCATCACTAAGAGTGGAACAACCAGACACTCTGGGCCTCTTCATATGAGGTAACAGGAAGCTCACAAGCACCTCCTATGAAGCGTTCTTGCAACAACAATAAAAAAAGGGTTTAACTTGAACCTAATCAAGTCTCTAGGGCTAACTTCCATTCATAGAAAATATGAGAAATAAAGAGACAAGTGATACCATGAAGAAGCAAACAGATAATTTCAAAATCTGGGACGTTCTTCAGGGCAACTTACCTGGTTTCTACAACTAGTCAACAGCAGGGTATGAGACGAAAAAGGGAGAGAGCTGTGCCAGAGTGCCACAGTGACATGGCAGCCAAATGTCACGTTTGGTTTCCTATTTGAATGCCCCAACTATGAAAGTACTGTTTTTCTAAAAACAATCTGAGGAATTTTATTAAGGAATGGATTTTATTTCATTTTACTTTTTAGAGAAAGGGTCTCACTCTGCCACCCAGGCTGGAGCACAGTGATGTGATCATAGTTCACTATAATCTCCAACACCTGGGCTCAAGGAATCCTCCTGCCTCAGTCTCTTACTAGCTAGGATTATAGGTATGCCAATGCCTGGCAAATTAAAACGAATTTTTTTTTCTTTTTGTAGAGATGGGGTCTTGTCATGTTGCCCAGGCTGGTCTTGAACTCCTGGCCTCAAGCAATCCTCCTGCCTCAGCCTCCCAAAGTGCTGGGATTACAAGCATGAGCCACTGTATCCAGCCAGGAGTGGATTTTAGATGATACAAAGACATTGTTAAATTTTGGGGTGGGGGATAATGGCATTATGACGATGGGTTAAAAGTTCTTATTTTTAGAGACTCATATGTAGGTCAAGTATACAAGATGAGATTACCTGATGTCTGGGATTTTTTTTTAAAGTTTGGCAAATGCAAAAAAAAGGGACAAATGAAATGTGTTTGGTAAAATCTTCATAATTATATAATTATAATTGCATGTAATTACCATCAGGATGGTAGGTACATAGAGGTTTATTGTAATATTCTTGGTATGCCTGCATGTGTTTGGAATTGTTTACAATAAAGAATCAGGCATAGGAGGGAGAAGAGAAGGCAAAAAAGCAAGATCATATACTAATATGATAGGACATTAAGCAATCTGCAACCCAAGAACCAAAGCTTAAACAACTATAACTTTTTACAGGAGCCTACAGATTTCAAATATCCTATTATGAAGAAAAAGCATTCAATAGGAAAATGATACAATGAAGTGTATGTGTGTGTGTGTCTCTGTGTGTATTTTTTTCCCTTTTTTTTTTTTGAGACAGAGTCTCACCCCGTCACTCAGGCTGGAGTGCAGTGGTGTAATCACAGCTCACTGCAACCTCCACCTCCTGAGCTTAAGTGATCCTCTCACCTCAGCCTCCCAAGTAGCTGGAACTGTAGGAGAATGCCATCATGCCTGGCTAAATTTTGTATTTTCTGTAGATATGGGGTCTTGCTATGTTGCCCAGGCTGGTCTCGAATTCCTGGCCTCAAGCAATCCTCCTGCCTCCACATGAAATGTGTTTGGTAAAATTTGGCCTCCCAAAGTGCTGGGATTACAGGTATGAGCCACTGTGCCCAGCCTGTTTCTAATTCCTGGGTTTTCTTTTTTGAGACAGGGTCTTGGTCTGTCACCCAGGGTGGAGTATAGTGGCATGACTATGGCTCACTGCAGCCTTGGCCTCCTGGGCTCAAGCTATCCTCCTGCCTCAGCCTCTCAAGTAGCTGGACCACAGGTGCATACCACCACAACTGACTAATTAAAACAGTTTTTTTTTTTTTTTGTAGAAACAGTCTCACCATGTTGCCACACTGATCTTGAACTCCTGGCCTCAAGCATCCTCCCACCTCAGCATGTCAAAGTGCTGGGATTACAGGCATGAGCCACCGTTCCCAGCCTATGTTTCTAATTTCTTAAACAGCAGGTAATAAGTCTAATCTTTAGCAAAATAATAAAGTTTCTATTGACAGTAGAAGTTCCTAGACAGGCAACCACATGCAATACATTAGATGAAATGTTTTAATCTCGCTGCACTGTTTAAACCCCTCAAATGCCTTCATTTAAAAATAATAGTTAAGAATCATCACCAGTGTAAATAGCAAACAGAGATATGACCTTGAACAGATGTCTTATTAGTTCATTGCAATTGTATACATGAGGACTCAAATGTACCAAGCCAAACAAGAACTGGTTTGGTACCTGCCCAACATTATAAAATGCCAGATCTCTGAGAATGAGAAGACCTGAGATTCATCCCTTCCCTGCCACTGACGTATTATATGTCCTTGGGCATGTTCATTCATTTCTCTTGGCCTTGTTCCCCAACTATTAAATGTGCATAACACTTTCCATCTACTTACCTTGGGGAAATGGTGAGGACCAAAGAGAAAACATCAGTGAAGTGCTTTGACCTCCTCAGGAAAAACAATATTTTTTCAGTACTACAGTATATTACATTTTTATTTTGACAGAGAACCACATAAAGTTTTTAAATTATAGATAATAAACCCAGCTTTATAATCATTAACAAACACTATGTAGATAATATGTCCAGCAAGGAACGCTGTCCAAATAACTTTTTAATTACACTCAGATTCAATTCACCTTTAAACCTCACAGTTTCACTAGAAAGGCTGTGTAAATTGCAATTAAACAGAGAAGATTTGCAAGATTTCAGCTATTCACTTAAAGGTCTAGAATGAAGGTTTAAAACTGACTTCTGGTTGGACGTGACTGTTAGAAGTTCTGATTTTAATTGCGATAACCACATGGGAGCAGAATAGGTTAAAATTAGTGACTGCTTTAATTTTAGTTCTTAAACAAAATTACTTTCTAATCTCCCATTGGGTAGGGACACTAAAAAAATTACAATGTGCAAGAAGTGTTCGTTCTTTACCTAGAATCACGAATGGCAGTGATATTTCCAAGTTCTTCAATTTAGGAAGAACTACAATTTATTAGGAAATAAAATGTATAATCAATGTGTTTTAACAGGTCAGCAATTCATTCTGAGTACAGAAATGCTGGAAAGCAGAAATACGCAGTTTTAGTTTAAGGAGGAAAGGTTAAAAAAAAGTTCTCTTTTCCCCACTTTACCCTCTACCTGCTCAGTCTGTAAATTCAAGGATATTTAGATAAAGTCAGTCACTTGCTCAGAACCCTCCAGAGGCTTCCCAGTGGACTGATTGTTAAGCCCCAACTCCCCAGAGTGTAAACATGTAAGCACCCCTCCCTTTCTCCATAACGTGCAACTATGCTCCCCTTGTTCGCACCACTCTTTTTGCTGTTCTTCAAACTTGTAAATTTTTTCTTTGCACTTGCTATTCTTCCCTTCCAATGGGATTATTCTTTCTCTCTTTCTTATTTATTTATTTATTCATTTTTGGAGACAGGGTCTTGCTCTGTCACCGGGCTGGAATGCAGTAGTGCGATCACAGCTCACTACAGCCTCGACATCTAGGGCTCAAGAGAGTCCTGCCTTAGGCCCCCAGGTGGCTGAGACTACAGGCACGCCCCACCATACCTTGCTAATGTTTTTGTATTGATTGTAGAGATGGGGTTTCATCATGTTGTCCAGGCTGGTCTTAAGTGATCCGCCTGCCTAGCCTCCCAAAATGCTGAGATTACAGGTGTGAGCTACCAGGCCCGCCTTTTTTTTTTTTTTTTTTTAACATTTCTTTACATGCCTGTCTCCTTTTCCCCATTCAGATCTCAGCTCAAATCTTCAAAGAGGCCTTTCTTGACCCCCTATGATAAGCAGCTACTTCCCCACCCCCACCCTCTATCACATAACTTTGTTTTGACATCATAGTATTTATTACCTTCTGATTTTATCTTGTTGATTTGTTTGCTTGCTTGTTGTCTGATGCTTCCCTTCTACACAGCCAGAGGCATTGTCTCTTGTTCACCTTTGTTTCTGTATATTCCCATAAAAGTATTCCAACTATTCAACCCATTCATTCAAAAGCTCTGTCCCTGCTTTACTCTCCAGTACTAATCTCCATCTTCTTGTGCCTATCTCTTCTTCTGGGATCTAAGGTTGAAAACATCTAATCCCTAGGTGAATGCTTAAAGGAAGAAAAGAGCAGAAAATTCACTTTGCCTAATATATAACTCATCTTGGAAGATGAAGTTCCTTCTATTAGAATTAGGGATTAGGGGTCGGGCGCAATGCCTCACGCCGGTAATCCCAGCACTTTGGGAGGCCAAGGCAGGGGGATTACCTAAGGTCAGGAGTTTGAGACCACTCTGGCCAAAATGGTGAAACCTCGTCTCTACTAAAAGTAAAAAAATTATCCAGGTGCGGTGACGCATGTCTGTAGTCCCAGCTACTCGGGAAGGCTGAGGCACGAGAATCGCTGAACCCGGGAGGCAGAGGTTGCAGTGAGCCAAGATTGTGCTGCTGCACTCCAGCCTGGGTGACAGAGCTAGACTTCAACTAATAATAATAATAATTATTATTATTATTATTAAGGATTAAGGGCTTTTTACAATTTGCATGCCTCACACTGGTAAGGAAACAGCTGGCTGTGGAGCCTACTGTCCAGGCCAGGCTCTCCATCAAAAGTAGGAGTCCTGATTTCCACCAATCTGGCCTAGACCTGAAGATTTACTTGTTAATCCAAACAATTAGAGTAACTTGAGCTTCATTAGTAAGTGTTCTAGCAGCCAGGGAACCTATCACTTCTACAACTTCATTCATTAGTTCAGCCAATGGTCATTGAGAGCTTACTGATTCCAAGACTTTACTAGGATCATTACAAGACCTTTACAGGGTCACTTTACATGAGAGTTAAAAGTAAATGAGGCCGGGCGCGGTGGCTCACGCCTGTAATCCCAGCACTTTGGGAGGCCAAGGCGGGCGGATCACGAGGTCAGGAGATCGAGACCAAGGTGAAACCCCGCCTCTACTAAAAATACAAAAAGTTAGCCGGGCGTAGTGGCGGGCGCCTGTAGTCCCAGCTACTCGGGAGGCTGAGGCAGGAGAATGGCGTGAACCCGGGAGGCGGAGCTTGCAGTGAGCCGAGATCGCGCCACTGCACTCCAGCCTGGGTGACAGAGCGAGACTCCGTCTCAAAAAAAAAAAAAAAAAGTAAATGAGACATTTTATGTCCTTAGGGAGTTAACAATCTAGTAAGGGGAGACATACAGGTAAATAAAAAATTAGAAAACAGTGTGCAATATACTCTGACAAGAGTGAGTATGGGGTGCCATGGGAGTGTAGAGGGGGTGCCTTACTTAGCCAAGGGCGGGACTCATGCCGAGAAGCTTTCCAAGGCATGCAGCATTTACACTGAGATCTGAAACTGAGTGTGGTTGATAACCAGTATCAGGTGATGCAGAGAAGCCAGAGTGTTCCAAGTGGTGTCTAGTATATGCAAAGACTGTGAAACACTAGAACACACAGAAAGCAGCTCACTGTGGCTACAGTAAGGTTTGGGGAAGCGGGAAAGAAAAGGGTTAAAACAAGTAGGGACCAAATCATGAAAGTCTTATAAAGCCATGTTGAGAAATTTGGACTTAATCCTGAAAATTTGGTAGTAGCAGAGTGACATGATTATGTTGGTGATTTAGAATAATCACTTCAGCTGCAATCTGTAGCTTGGATCTCCGAGGACAAAGACTGAAGTCAAGGAGGTGATTAAGAAGACTTTTGCAGTAATTGAGGCAAGAAATGATAGTGGCCTGGACTATTAGTAGCAGTGGTGATGGGGAGAGAGGATTTGAAATATATTTAGGAAGTATAATCAATAAGACTTGGCATTTGGATGGAGGGGATGATGAATGGGGATGGGTCCAAAGATGACAGGTTGTTGGCTTGGGAAAGCAGGTAGACAGCGAGGCCTTCCTCTAGGTAGGAAATTAAGAGGAGAATATGGGGGGAAAATAAGTTTCGAATACATAGCACATGAGATGCTTCTGTACATCCAGATTGAGATATTTAGCTTACAGTTGTTCATCTAAGGTTCAGGACAGGGGTTTGGGCAAAAGATGTAAAACTGGGAGCCACTGGCATAGAAATGATAACTGGAGCTGTGGGAGTGGATACAACTGACATGGGACATGTTGGAAAAAACAATCAATTCATTTTTTAAAAAAAGGAATTGATTTCTTCAATAAGAACAGCAAAAGTAGACTAGAAATATGCCATCAAAAAGACAAAGGACAGCACTGAAGCCATGTATCATTATTGCTATCAGAATTCAGAGTGCCCAAGATCGCTCAAAAGTTTGAATGAACAAGGTATGGGTAGCTAAGAACATTTTTGGCAGGGTGGTGTGGGGCTACACCACTACTTGAGGGAGCTCATGTTTTTTCCCATGATTCTTCTACCTAAAGAGCTTTCTAAAAAGTGCTTTGAGATGCATAATTGCTGATTGTACTGGTTATTTCTCCATTGCCTCTGTCCTGTCCCTGTGAACCAGTGTAGCAGCTTTCAGGCTGTCAAGAATTGAAATTAGCTTTACAGCATAGGAAGTGCCATTTTCCAAGCTACACTCCTTTAAATTTTTACAAAGGAAGGGGATCTACAAAAGAGCTAAACTTTTTGTTTGGGTAGGAAATGCTATAGGCAGGCTGGGTGCGGTGATTCATGCCTGAAATCCCAGCACTTTGGGAGGCTGAGGCAGGTGGATCACCTGAGATCAGGAGTTCGAGACCACCCTGGCCAACATGTAAAACCCCGTCTCTACTAAAAATACAAAAGTCAGCTGGGCGTGGTGGCACATGCCTGTAATCCCAGCTACTCAGGAGGCTGAGGCAGAAGAATCAGGAGGGCAGAGGTTGCGGTGAGCTGAGATGGTGCCACTGCACTCCAGCCTGGGCAACAGAGTGAAACTCTGTCTCAAAAAAAAAAAAAAAAGAAAAAGAAAAAGAAAAAGAAAAGCTACAGGCAGCCAAATGTGGTGGCTCACGCCTGTAATCCCAGCACTTTGGGAGGCCAAGCCAGGTGGATTGCTTGAGCCTAGGAGTTCAAGACCAGCCTGGGCAATGTGGTGAAACCCTGTTTCTACAAAAAATACAAAAATTAGCCAGGCATAGTGGTGGGCACTTGTGGTCCCAGCTACATGGGAGGCTGAGGTGGGAGGATCACTTGAACCTAGGAGGAGAAGGTTGCAGTGAGATTGCACGACTGCATTCCAGCCTGGGCAACAGAGCAAGACTCCATCTCGAGATATAAGAAGAGAAGAAAAGAAAAGAGAAGCAAACAGAAGAGAAGAAAACAAAAGAAAAAAGAAAAGCTGCAAGCAGAAGAAAGGAAAAAAAGAAAAAAATGGTTCTTGAGCTGCTTTATTCTTTTCTCAGGGATCATGAGGATGAGAAGGAAAGAGTCTTTACAGAACACCTGGTATGCACTTTATCTATCATTAACTAATTTAATCCAATAGTCACAAAATCTAATATTATCTGCAACTCTTGGAAACTGATTTCTGTAATGTCCCGTATTTATTGGAATGTCAGAGGCCCTAACTCATTTTCTGAATGTCCTAAAGCATGCAAGTGTCAATGAAGACCGAAATTGGCAGCCACACAAGGAATAATAAGATGAGGACTGCAAAAGCTTTCTATGGAATTGCATCCAGAAGGAAGAACAGCATTTCTGTGAAAAAAAAAAAAAAAAAAAAAAAAAAAAGAAGTGAAGCCATTAATACTTGCATCAAATGAATAGGGCATGTAGCCCAAAGTTAAGCCAAGAGTGTGTCAATTCATTTCATAAACTGAGAACTGAGGGACCTCAAGAATATGGAATAGAAACAAAATACATGTTAAATATGTCATATCTACTTTTAAAGTTTATTAATTTTTCTTGATGATGCCAAAATACAGATCCTCTCCTTGTAGAAACATTGCAGAAAATATGAAGAATAAAGGAAAAATTAATCATAATCCCACATCACACCAACCTTAATATTTTGCTGTATTTCCTGACATTTTTTCTCCAAATATAAGTGTGTGCGTATGTGTGTATTTAAGACACACATTCTTTCATATTATAACGTATTGGAAATTGCACTGAGCCTTAAAATTGTTGGCTTCTCTTCTTTTCTCTTCTCTTCTCTTCTCTTCCCCTCCTCCTCTTCTTCTTCTTCTTCTTCTTCTTCTTCTTCTTCTTCTTCTTCTTCTTCTTCTTCTTCAACTAATTTGGGGTCTTGACACATTTAATTTCCTTTTCTTTTTTTTTTTTTGAGACAGAGTCTCACTCTGTCACCCAGGCTGGAGTGCAGTGGTCCCGTCTCAGCTCACTGCAACCTCTGCCCCCCTGATTCTCCTGCCTCAGCCTCCCAAGTAGCTGGGATTACAGGCATGCGCCACCACACCCGGCTAATTTTTGTATTTTTAGTAGAGACGGGGCTTTGCCATGCTGGCCAGGCTGGTCTCAAACTCCTGATCTCATATGATCTGCCAGCCTCAGCCTCCCAAAGTGCTGAGATGACAGGTGTGAGCCGCTGCACTGATACATTTAATTTCATATTTGTTTTTTCCCTGAAAAGGCAAAAAAAATGGCATCTTAGAATTGTGGAACTACAATGTATAATTTTCTAAATATTAAAATTCGTGTCATTTTATTCAGAGGTAAAGCAATGTGTTTATATTAGGATAAAATATTATAAGCTGGAAAGAGGTTATTTAGAAGTATTTTATGCAGAGGTAGGAACTATAAGAAAGAGAAAGAGTGGTGGCGAGTAAAAGGTGACTTTCAAGAAAAGTTAAAGGCCTCATCTGATAACATCAGATGTCCAGGTATACTTATATGCTACAAAATAGTCTAACATCAGAGTCAGCCCTTTTAATGTGTGTCCTAGACATAAATATACTCTCAACCCAAAGGAAACATTCTAATGCCTTCCTTCCAGGCATTCAGTAAAGAACAATATTCATGAACAAAACTATATTAACACAACTTAATAAATTAGCTGATAAGATTCTTCTTTTCCATGGTTTCACCATTACCCAATATGACAATCCTATTTTTCACCACAAAAGAAAGCATAGTTCTTTTTCCAGAGTGTATCTCTAATTGATTTAAGTGCTTACACATTCCAGGGCCTGTGCTAAGTTCTGGTGATATAACTGAGCACATAGATAAGGTCCCTGTCTTCATGGAGCTAAGAGTCTTGTGTAGGAATCAGGGAAGTAAAGTGTAGTACAGAGAAGTAACAGACAATGAAAGGAAGCACAGGGTGCTTTGAAAGCACAGAAGAGCCTTTTTAAAACTCAGGTTTTGAAGACTGAAGGGATTTCCAGGGGATATGATATCTAAGTGAATTCAAGGATGAATAGGAGTTAGCCAGGCAAAGATGGGGTAGCAGACTATTCCGGGAGCAAGAGAGGGCATGGTGAATTCCAAGAATGGAAAAGCTGGAACACAGAAGGTGAGGGTGGCAAGAGAAGATGAGGAGGCTGGAGCCACATCCTGAAAGGACTTGCGAGCGTATGAAGGAATCTAGGCTTCTCCCTGAGGACAATGAAGAGCCATCCAAAGGTTTTGAGTGGGAGAGACATGATTAGATTGCTGGCCACAGTGTGGAGAAAGAATTAAAGGGAAATAGGACTAAAGAGAGAGAAGTCATTAAGGAGGCTGTGAAGGTAGCCAGGAGAGAGCATATAATGTCCCAGGTCAAATTAGCAGCAGCGGGAATGGAGAAAATTGAACACATTTGAGAGGTTATCAATTAAATTACTTCTCACCATTTGTGCCTCAGGAATTTTCCTATCAAGGTGCCACAATCACCAATAGCAAGGAAAAGAAGATACATCGGGCTTAAAATCTTGTCTTCAAACAACATAGTAGATCAATTAGCTATTTTGGTCAACAACGTTAAAAAAAGATCCAAATTATGTAGAAAACGAGAGGAATTAAAACCAACAGTCAGATCAATGGAAAAAGGCACAGAGTCTTTCATACTTTGATATTGACCCAAACAGGAATACAAGATTAGTATTTTTATTAATTATTTAGCTAATGCTGAATAAGAAATACATATGATATAAAATCCCAAACAGTACCAAGAGGTTTGAAATGAAAATTCTCCCTCATACTCTGTATAAGTTGGTTCTTGCACTGCTATAAAGAAATACCTGAGCCTGGGTAATTTATAAAGAAAAGAGGTTTAATTGGCTCACAGTTCTGCAGGCTGTACAGGAAGCATTGTGGCCTCTGCTTCTGGAGAGGCCGCAGGAAGTTTCCAATCATGGCAGAAGGCAAAGGAGGTACAAGGCACGTTACATGGCTGGAGCAGAAGGAAGACAGAATGGGGAGGTGCTACATACTTTTAAACAACCAGATCTTTTGAGAACTCACTATCACAGGAACAGCACCAAGTGGATGGTGCTAAACTATTCATGAGAAAACTGCCCCCATGATCAAATCACCCCCCAACCAGGCCCCACCTCCAACACTGGGAATTACAACTGAATATGAAATTGGGGTGGGAACATAGATCCTAACCCTATTACATCCCAACTCCTGCCTTTTAGATCTCCCTCCTAGAGGCAATTACGAATTTCTTGTGTCTTCTTCCAAAGATATATCATGAATATAGAATCATATGTTAAAGCATAGTATCTTGATACTTTATATCCTACTTTGATACTTTCTTTACAAATGTCAAGTTTATAACTATTGTCATACATGGTAAATTATCCAAAGATATGCGATATTCTAAAACCATGTCAATTCATTTTTCTAAATAATGTAATAATTCTTTTCCAGGTAAGCAGATCTCATTTTAAATTTAAGTAAACATTTAAGAACTTACAGGAGTACATGACCTAATGTGTTTTGTAAATACCATAAGAGCCTGAATGAGACTCACTCATCAATGGTTCTGCCATTATCTCAAATTTCTGATTCATTGTTCTGCACATTTCTCGTTCTAGTCTAGTTAAACAGAACCTCTTACTATGCCTGTTATTCTCTTTTCTCAATCCCAGCTGTATAGTGTAGAACAATTCTTTATTGTTTTCCTGAAAATCGTGTCCATTTTATTCCTCAAAGTATTTTAAAAACCAACCTCTTCTAAGAGATTGACCCTAAAACTCTCCAACCTTTGGATATAATTTGGGATAACTCGGGAATGTTATGAATTCCTTATCCTTGCTGTATATTATCCCTTTTTTCCCTCAAATCTGAAGCCAATCACCCCTTTGAATGTTTCTGTTTCAAAAGACAATACATTCTCTTCAGTGTGTAAACTGGTTTGAATTGAGTTGCAACATGACTAATACGGATACCTTTTTATGGCTAGGTTCTCCCTCCCACCAGACCCAAAATGCCCCCTAAAGCTTTCACTCATTTGCATTTCCTACCTATAAAATGAGATTAAGACTATTACCTCTCCTGCAGAACAGCTGTTCATGTACAGAATACAGTTGTACCAACTACACATCATTGCTTTTTTTTGCCAGGTTAAACTCCTCCAGTTTCACCAGCTTTTCCTTGTGTAACATAATCTTTCTCAGTCTTTTGGCCAAGATCAAATGCGTATATATGGTACAATTTCTAGGTATTTCATCATCTTGGCTGCCCTTAGCTTATCAATGTGTGTCTCAATAAGATTCCCATAACCAAATAAAATGTTCCATCATAGAGTAAACTAAGACTTGCCAAATCTCTTGCTAAATTACTGGGGCCCAAGTTTGATCCAGACCAGAATTTTTGCGGTGGCTGTGGGAGTGGACATTGCTGGCTTGGGTCTCTTGAGCCCAAAGCAATGACAGTTGGTGGCCGCTTCCCAAGCGTGATAGTTAATTTTAGGTGTCAATTTGACTGAATTCAGGAATACCTGGAAACTTGGTAAAGCATCATTTTTGGGTGTGTCTGTGAGGGTGTTTCCAGAGAAGATTAGCATGTGAGTCTGAGTAGAGGAGGTGAGGAATATCTGCCCTCAGTGTGGGTGGGTACCAACCGAATCAGCTGGGGCCCCTAAGAGCACAGAAACAGAGAAAAGGCGAATGTGTTCATCTATCCATGAGAGCTGGGATACACTTTTCCTCTCTTGCCCTTGGACATCAGAACTCCAGGTTTCCCAGCCTTTGGACTCCAAAACTTACACAAGCACCTCTTCACCCCAGCCCTCCAGGTTCTTGGAGCTTGGCTTCCCTGGTTCTGAGGCTTGTCAGACTAGGACTGAGCCATTCTAGCAGCATCCCACAGTCTCCAGTTTGCAGATGGCTTATGGGATTTCTCGGCCTCTGTAACCGTGTGAGCCGTTACCCTAGTAAATTCCCTATCATCTGTCTATCTGTCTATTTATCTATCTATCTATCTATCTATCATCTATCTATCTATCTATCTATCTATCCATCCTATTTCTTCAGTCTTGCTGGAGAACCCTGACTAACACACCAAGTAAGGATAGGCCAGAAGTAAGGGACAATCCAACATGCCTAATAAGGGGAACGGGGGCAAGAATCGGACCTGAAACAAAGAATTGGTAATCAAGAATGATTATAATTGGAAAGTCTTGGCCGGGCGCGGTGGGCCACACATGTAATCCCAGAACTTTGGGAGGCCGAGGTGGGCAGATCATGTGAGGCCAGGAGTTTGAGACCAGCCTGGCCAACATGGCAAAACCCCGTCTCTACTAAAAATATAAACATTAGCCAGGCATGGTGGTGCACATCTGTAATCCCAGTTACTCAGGGGTGAGGCATGACAATCTCTTGAACCCAGGAGGTGGAGGTTGCCGTGAGCTGAGATTGTGCCACTGCACTCCAGCCTAGGCAGCAGAGTGAGACTCTATCTCAAAAAAAAACAAATAAATAAAAAGGGAAAGTCTTAATCTGTTCTTGGTTACTTTTCCGTATGAAGTGAAGCCTGTATATTTCTGGTGATAGTAAAACACAAGGACACAAAGACAAGGAACTGAATATTTTTACAACATCCTGTCCCAGACATTGGTCAAGGAGATAAAAGTAAAAGGTTCTGAGCTGGGTTGAACAGGACTTTTACTGCTTTAATATGTTGATTAATGCAGCTTCAGACAGAATTCGCTTTTTTAATGGTGTATCACACTGTGGGCTCAGCTGACATTGTGGTCAACCAAAGCCATGAGGTCTCTTTTACATGAGCAGTGGCCATTAACAATACACAATTATGTACTTGTGCAACTTATTTTTGCCTCTTCAGAGCAGGAACTTACATTTACCCATTAGCATTTCTTTTCTGAGTATTCCACCTAGTTTAGAGGTTAAGTGCTTTGGAGTTAGTCTGAGACTGTAACTCAGCTCATTCATCTTTTGGCTGTCTGCGTTTGGGCAAATTCCTTTTAACATTATTTGCTTAAATAACATTTAACAAAATTAATCATATTGATTTTGCCCCAACAGTCATTTTTCCATCTATCAACTCATTTACTCATTCATTCAACAAATACATGTCTTCTAAGAGCCAGGCACTGTGTTAGATATGCAGTAAATGCCTTCTCTGGGGTCTTCATTAAGTTCACTAATACAATTGTTTTACAAACAGAATTCAAGGATCAACCCCTGGACACATCTCTTAATTCTAGCTTTTTCTCTAAGTGGGTAAGTAGATAGAAATCTATTAATAAAAATGTAGAGGCCAGGCATGGTGGCTCATGTCTGTAATCCCAGCACTTTGGGAGGCTGAGGCAGGCGGATCACCTGAGGTCAGAAGTTCAAGACCAGCCTGGCCAACATGGTGAAACCTTGTCTCTACTAAAAATACAAAAATTAGCTGGGCGTGTTGGCAGGCGCCTGTAATCCCAGCTACTCAGGAGGCTGAGGCATGAGAATCGCTTGAACCCGGGAGACAGAGGTTGCAGTGAGCCAAGATCGCGCCACTGCACTCTAGCCTGGGCAACAAGAATGAAACTCTGCCTCAAAAAAAAAAAAAAAAAAAAAGAATGCAGAGAGTATGATTGTTGAACTTGATATAAATACAACTGAGTAGGCCAGGCATGGTGGCTCATGCCTGTAACCCCAGCACTTTGGGCGGCTGAGGCGGGTGGATCGCTTGAGGTCAGGAGTTGAGACCAGCCTGGCCAACGTGGTGGAACCCTGTCTCTACTTAAAAATACAAAAATTAGACGGGCATGGTGGCACACACCTGTAATACCAGCTATTCAGGAGAATGAGGGAGGCTGAGCCAGGAGAATCGCTTGAACCCAAGAGGCAGAGGTTGTAGTAGGCCGAGATCATGCCACTGCACTCCAGCCTGGGTGACGGAGTAAGACTCTGTCTCAAAATAAAATTAATTAATTAATTAATTAATTAGGCCAGGCGCGGTGGCTCACGCCTGTAATCCCAGCACTTTGAGAGGCCGAGGTGGGTGGATCGCAAGGTCAGGAGTTCGAGACCAGCCTGACCAACATGGTGAAACCCCGTCTCTACTAAAAATACAAAAATTAGCCAGGCGTGATAGCGCATGCCTGTAATCCCAGCTACTCAGGAGGCTGAGGCGGGAGAATTGCTTGAACCCGGGAGGCGGAGGTTGCAGTGAGCCGAGATCATGCCATTGCACTCCAGCCTGGGTGACAGAGCGAGACCCCGTCTCAAAAAAAAAAAAATTAATTAATTACAACTGAGTAAACTATTTTCCAGTCCGTGGGCACATCCGTATACCTTTTTTGTTAAATGTCTCACACTGGGAAAACAAAAGAGCTCGGGACCCAGTCAGTATGATTAATAGAATAACACACACACACACAAAATACAGTCAACATACATGTTTTCCTAATGAATGCACCTTTTAGCCTATTTTTTTTTCAGAAAATAACTGTTTTTAATATCTAAAACTGAAAACAACCCAACAGTAGAGAAATTAATTGTGGTATATGAACTCATTGGAATAACAGCTAGCAATGAAAAAGAACAAATTACAACAACCTGGGTGAATCTCACAAAACAATGTCAAGTGAAAGAAGACAGACATGATAATACACATAGCATTCCACTTACATAAAGTACAAAAACAGGCGAAAGTTTATACTGTTAGAAGTTGGTCTAGTGGGGAAGGGGGAGGTAGTGACTGGAAGGGGGCATGAGATTTAGCCTGTATTTTGCACTAGTGGTCTTCAGAGTACCAATTCATGAACCATCCTGTTGTCATAACTTAAGACTTTCTCATAAAAATAAAAGTTTTGTCCATAAAATATATACAAATACATAAAGGAGGCTAAAACACATTTTGCCTAAATGTGGCAGAAACACCATCAAATTACATTTAAGTTAGAAGTGATTACTTCTTCCTTCTTAAAATACTTAGTCATCACCTCTGTATCTTCTCAGGCCCAATATGCATTTTGAGATTGGTTGTATGACCCAAGTGTCTGGCAGCCTTTCTTCTAGACCAGCTGTCAATGACTGAAAAACAAGCAAGCTCTCAAATGCACAATGTGTATCAAGTCATGCAGTTCTATAAAAGGAATACTTGATTTGATCTTCAGCAGCCAGAGTCGGGTAGCCGAAAGGTGATTATAACTACGTCTGGTATTCATATCAACCTCAATCATTCACTGTCTACCAATTGACTCTAATAAGATGCTCCCAACCATATATTTAATTCCCATGAATTACTTGTTGATTATCCACACTGCAGGTTATCTGCAATACATTTTCTTTGTCCTGGGCCAGCTTCATCTTGTTCTCTCCTAGATCACTTTCCCTATTGTCCAGCTGGTGTGTGCCCAGCAGAAAAGGTGAACTAATCTTTATAGCAGTGTAAATCAGTGGTTTCCAACTGGGAGAGATTTTGGCTCCAAAGGGGACATTTGGCAATGTCTGTAAACATGTTTGGTTGCCACAAATATGAGGTGCTTTTGGCATCTATTGGTAGAAACCAGGGACACTAGTAACATCCTACAATGCACAAAACAGCCCCTACAGCAAAGACTTGTCCAGTCTAAAATGTCAATAGTGCTGAAGTTTTGAAGCCCTCACCTAAGTAAAGATAAAATAGGGAAACAATTTACAATTAACAAATACACTTCAAGTGGAAGTATGAGTGATTTGGAGGTTAACATTTGTTTTGGATTCTCTATTTCAAAGCTTCCCTCATGAACAAGGGTAATGGACATTGAATATACATTTATTATTTCCTGTGCATGCCTTTCCATGGTTATTTAGGTTTGTAACCTTTGAATTAGGGTGGTAAAAATGCCTTCTTTTCAAATGGGTTTTTTTTTTTTTTTTTTTTTTAGGAGACAGGGTCTCATTCAGGCTGGAGTGCAGTGGCACCATCATAGCTCACTATAGCCTCGAACTCTTGGACTCAAGCAATCTTCCTGCCTCAGCCTCCCAAAGTGATGAGATTACAGGTATGAGCCACCATGCCTGACTCCAAATGAGAAAGTTTAATGCTGATCATTTGTACAATGGCTGGGGCACATTTATGGGCAGTTGAAATTCATTTAAAGAACTTCTTATAGGGGCTTAACAAGGAGAGTGGAAGATATTCTCAGTGTCAAATATTTTGGACTCTATGAGGGTCAAGAATGTGGGAGGTGGTTTGTTTGTTTGTTTGTTTGTTTCTGCGTCTTTATCCAATTTTTATATGTTCTTTATATGTCTCAAAGGCCTATTTCATTATCCTCCTTTGATTCTGATTGAGTCACTTGCATGCTCAGACTTCAGTTCTGCATGACTGAACAAATTCTTGGCATGAACTTTACTTTTTCATCCTCGTACTAAAAGCATGGGTAATATTGATAATTTTAATTGTTTTTCATATTTCTTTCAGTAGTGAGTTTGCACAGCTCCCAAATTTCCATTTGTGTTGACAGCTCTCAAAATAGCTTCCTTATTTTAAATGAATTCATTATTATATTTTATTTGGGGAAATTAAGTCAATGCAGTGCAAAGTTATTAGCAGGCTTCCAGTACACTGTTTCATTTCATTGCTCATCTGAACTTCAAATCCTAGGTAGCTTACTGCATCCCAAACTTGAGCCTTCAGTATCCAAAGGGTCAGTCCAAGGGTCTCAAAGAAACTTGTTCCTATTAATTGCTCGTCGAAGAGTGGGTCAGAGGTCTGGTTCAAAATTGAAACTCATAATAGCATCTAAGGGAGTGAATTCATTCTAGGGTCCTTGCAGGAACTCTAAGCCATGCCAGAAGATCCTAGTGCGTATAAATTCTACCAACCCTTAACCAGCACTCACTCCTAAGAACTTTGGAGTATGAGGAAGAAGTAAGGGGTGGGTCTTAGAACTAATGTGCTGCCCTTCCAGTATACTAGCAAAGGATAAAACTTCAGCTTCCAAATTGGAAAAAGAATGTGTGAGCTGACTCTGTTTTTTAAACTCAGGACCAAACCTTGGTCCTCTCTTTGGACCCTGTAGACTCTGAATTGATGGATTTAGAAAGATAATTGGGTGATTCTTTTCTACATCATTTCCAGAAAGCTACTAACCTTGCTTCAGAAAAATGTGTTCAAAATGCATCTTAAATTGCATCTTCTTGTTGACTTTGTCTCTAACCAAAGTAAATGTACCATAATGATCATGTTTAGCATGATGATAAAGTTAATAAGAATAATAATCATGTGAATGATTTCCATGAAAACTCTGTTAATCAGGTTTTTTTTTTGGGGTTTTGTTTTGTTTTGTTTTGTTTTTAACGGAGTCTCACTCTGTCGCCAGGCTGGAGTGCAGTGGCACGATCCCGGCTTACTGCAAACTCCACCTCCTGGGTTCAAGTGATTCTCCTGCCTCAGCCTCCTGAGTAGCTGGGATTACAGGTGTGCACCACCACATCCAGCTAATTTTCATATTTTTAGTAGAGACAGGGTTTCACCATGTTGGCTGGGATGGTCTCAATCTCTTGACCTTGTGATCTGCCCACCTCGGGCTCCCAAAGTGCAGGGATTACAGGCGTGAGCTACTGTGCCTGGCCTAATCAGTTTTTAAAATATAGTGGAAACAGAAAAGTTTAAAAATAAACATGGCAGACTCTTTAAGTAAACTCATAGCTGGAAAGTTAGGAAAGAATTTTTCATAACCATGGAGATGCTGTGTAACAAGTTTCTATATGGCAACACTGTATAGAGCTGATGTAGTCAAATTGCTCTAACAAGGAGGTGAAGAGCAGTGATATGTCAAACAGACCTTGAATCAGACCCTGTTTTGACACTTAACTAGCTGAGTGGCCTTAAACTTTCTTAGCCTCAGTTTCTTCATATTCAAAATGGAGATAATAATGGTATTTATCTCATAGACTTTGGGGACTATTAAATGACTTATTGTGTGTAAAATGTACACACATTTTATGTTTAAAAACTCAGCCCCTCTATGTGAAAAAAATGCATATATATATAAAAAAAAATGAGGCCAGGGATGGTAGCACACGCTTGTAATCCCAGCACTTTGGGACGCCAAGGCAGGAGGGTCACTTGAGCCCAAGAGTACGAGAACAGCCTGGGCAACATGGCGAAATCCCATCTCCAGAAAAAATACAAAAATTAGCCGGGCCTGGTGGGGCTGCCTGTAGTCTTAGCTACTTGGGAGGCTGAGGCAGGAGAATCGCTTGAACTCAGGAGGTGGAGGTTGCAGTGGGCAGAGATCATACCACTGCACTCCAGGCTGGGAGACAAGAGTGAGAACCTGTCTCAAACGAAAAGAAATAAAAAGAAAAAAGAAAAGAAAAGTATCAACTTTGTAGGCTTGTGGGAAAAAAAAGAAAAAAGAAAAACTCAGCCCCTCAATAAATATTAATTTATATTTTTTACTCCTACATACCAAGCAAGTAATAATGTGTTTTGGATGCTGGTCTAAAGAACATAAGTGAAGCATGGCAAGATCATGGTCCATAAGAAGTTTCATTTAATTCTAGGGATCATCTGTAGTAAAAATACACACACACACACACACACACACACACACACATATATATATATATACACATTTTTTTTTCTTTTTTTGAGGCTAAGTTTCACTATGTTGCCCAGTCTGGAGTTCAGTGGCCGATCTCAGCTCACTGCAAGCTCCGCCTCCCGGGTTTACGCCATTCTCCTGTCTCAGCCTCCCAAGTAGCTGGGACTACAGGCGCCTGCCACTGCGCCAGGCTAATTTTTTGTATTTTTAGTAGAGACGGGGTTTCACCGTTTTAGCCAGGATGGTCTCGATCTCCCGACCTAGTGATCCGCCCGCCTTGGCCACCCAAAGTGCTGGGATTATAGGTGTGAGCCACTGCGCCCAGCCCATCCGTAGTAATACTTTTAACTTCTTTATGTAGTTTTTAAATTGTGGTATAATATGCATAATACACATTATTATTTTAACCATTATAAATTGTACAATTCAATGGCATTAAGTACATTGACAAGGTTGTGAAACAATCAATCACTATGCATTTCTAGAACTTTTTCATCATCCCGAACAGAAACTACACCCATGAAACAGCAATTCCACTTTTGAGTGGTTATTTTAAAATGAATATTTTATCTTTTTATGTAAGGGAAAGAAAACTACCTTTTTAGCATTATTTGAGTATATTATCATATAGAAAATGAGAAAATAGAGATAAAAACGAATGAAAATGAAATCACTTTAAATTTCACTCTCCATAAATAAGTAGCTTCAATATTTTGTGATATGTTGGAGCTAAGCTATGAGAATGCAAAGGTATAAGAATGATACAATGGACACTGAGGACTCGGGGGAAAGGGTGAGAGGAGGGAGAGGGATAAAAGACTACAAATAGGGGACAGTGTATACTGCTCGGGTGATGGGTGCAAGAAAATATCAGAAATCACTACTAAAAAACTTATTCATGTAACCAAACACCACCTGTTCCCCCAAAACCTATGGAAATAAAAATAAATAAATAAAGTCTTGTGGAAAAAAAAAAGAATGAGATTGGAGGTGTGGAGCTGAAACCAGAGATATCGTACCAAATGTATTAAGCCTTAGCCAACTCAATGAAAGCTTGCCAACCTCACAAACCTAAATTGATATGAAATACTGACTTGAATAAATTATTCCAATGTCCTGGAAAAAAATTTTTGTGATCTAGCTGTCACCAGTTTTCCTCTTGCAAACATCTATATATGTAAAATGAAATCCTATTATGAATTCTACTTTCTAACCATTTAAAAAATCTTTTAACTAGATAAGCACATTTTAGTAGATGTGGTAGGTAAATAACCATGAGGAAGAGAGGCAGAGAACTACTTCTCCGTTTTAAAAAGACTTTGATGAGGAAGCAGTGAGGGGATAAAAACCAAAATGACCTGTTTTCATGAAGACCACTTCATCAGAAGACTAATTCTTCCTCAATCTACAACTGTCATGATCCTAAAAATTACTGTAGCAATTTGGCGTAAAGCCTAATTGTCATCCCTCGTGGTGTCTCAAAATGAACATAAATGAATGAAAAATCTTTAAAAAATATAACATAAAACAAAACTAATAGAAATGACTCCCTAAAGGGAGGGAACAGGATAACGGAAGAAGGAATGAAATGAGTTTATTATCTTATTATTATCTATCTTATTATATAGTTATATATATATAACATATATATATATAGTCAGAGATATATTATAAGATGGTGGAGACAGAAGTAAGCCATGATCACATCACTGCACTGCAGCCTCGGCAACAGAGGGAGACCCTGTTTCTAAATAAGTAAATAAATACAATTTTATTTTACATATAAAACATTTATGTAATTTATATGGCCAAACTATATAATATATATATTATGGCTGGAGCTGAACAGTTAGGGGGAAGGGAGGGTGGGGCAGCTGGGGGCTGGCCAGGGAGCTCTCTCTCTTTGTCTCTCATTTCCTGTATGTAATCACAGGGCCTCTCCAAGTGGTCTTTCCATGTGGGCTAGTTTGGCCTTTCCCATACATGGCACCTTCAGGGCAGTCAGAATGCTCACTTAGCAGCTGATGTCTTCGAGAGCAAGTATTCCAGTGAACAAGGTGGAGGCTGCATTGCCTTTTATGCCCTCACCTGGGAAGTCACACCATATTATTTCCTCTGTACTCTATTGGTTGAAACAGAATTAAAAAACAGCCCATTTTCAAGGAGAGGGTTCATAGATTGCACCTCTCGGTGACAGTAATGTCAAAGAATTTGTGGACATATTTTTAAACTGCCAGCCATAGCATCCTTAAAAACCTCACAACAGTACCCAACTCAAAAGGCCACAAAAGAATGGACAGTCTACATATCACGGTTACTCACAAGTAGGGACTTTGCTGATTCCCAGGCCCATGGAACAACCAATTCCTCTTAGAATTGCATATACCTTATAGATTTATGCAAAACATCATAACTTGGTGTCTTTTAAATTACTTTATGACTTATCACATGTGAAACGCCCAGCCTAGTACTGGGTCCATAATAGACACTCTGTAAATATCGATGATAGCTGACACTTGTTTGAATTCCTCAGAAGATTTTACTGATTGAGCACACTATTAATAAGTAGTAGTTTGTGTGATCTCATGATTCTCTGAAAGACTTGACGGAGTTACAGTTTGAAAGAAGAATGGACCTCTAGAAAACTAAAATTCAGTATAAAATGTTGCAGTTGGCTGATGTTTAGTGATAACAAAGAGTGGGTAGGCCAGAAAAGTGCCATTTCTCTCTCTTTTTTTATTTTTCCGAGACAGGATCTCACTCTGTCACTCAAATGGGAGTGCAGTGGTGTGATCATGGCTTACTGGAACCTTGAACTCCTGGGCTAAAGCAATCCTCCCACCTTAGGCTCCAGAGTAACTGGGACTACAGGTGCATGCTGCCATACCTGGCTAATTTTAAAAAATTTTTTTGTAGAGATAGGATCTCGCTATGTTGACTATGCTGGTGTTGAACTCCTGCCCTCAAGCGATCCTCCTTCCTCAGCCTCTATTTTTACTTTCTATCAGCTTTCTTCTTCCACAGATTGCCTTCTGAAAAACTCTCCTGAGCAACAGAAAAAAAGGAGCATCTCCCTTATGTGAAGTATCAATGTATCATGCCAAAGCTTTTTAAAGAATACTAATGATGGTTAGAATCCAATCTGTTTAAAAATATTTCTGAATATTAAGCAAAACATATACCAGATTTTTGAATCTGGAGTATTCCTTTGGCTTATAAGAAACCTTAGATTTTCTGTTAAGTCTGAAATGTCAAAAATGACCTTAAGTTATGGTGTTAGATACAGTAATTCATTTTGTAATGTAAATTAGTGTGTAATTTCCCAAACTGACAGAAATGTTAGATAATACCTATAGCTATGCAAAGAAAGAAAATCTAATATTATACTAAAGTAGAAGTTCCCTTAAAATTACAAGTCACATAAACAATGAGTAATTATAAATTATGAGTATTTATTTATTAAAATACTCAATTGTAATTGATGCTACTATATTACCCAATAAAATTACAACATAGTGTTCCAACTCTTCACTAATGTAGATTGCCAACAATTACATAAATTTCAGTGCTTTTACTTTTCCTATTTAGCGACTTTTATTTACCTCAGAATACTTGTGGAATTGATATCTAGCTCCACGTATCTTGATCTAAGAAGCTCAAGAACTCTGTGTACCCAATCAGTCAATTATGATGTATCATAGGGCACAAAGTTTCAGAGGTTCAAAGGCTGTTGACTGAATTCAACTGTGCTTTTTACATCACACATACCAAAAAATCTCAAAAATTGCAAACAGATGACTCTAGAATTATATGAAAGTCTCTTCACATTCTCTGCAAAATGACCTTCTAAATCATGTCCTATAAGAAAAATGTTTTTTTTGTTGATGGAATTTTATTAAAATTAATAATAGGCCTGAAAAAAAGAGAAGTACTACATATACTTTATTACATTCTTTGTGGAATATGTTCTGGAAAAATAGAAGGCACTACAGAAATAATTTAACTGAGGAAGAAGTTCTACTCTGCACAAAACTCCCATTGATGTCAGTGGGAGTTCTGTGAATGGAACAAATGTTGAACTTGACCCTGCAATGTTTAAACTGCAATCCTCCCTGCTCTTGGCTTAGCCTGGCTTCCCACTGAAAGGCGTTGTGGTCCGTGCAGGGATTACACAGCAGGTTAATAGTCTGGTTTTTCACTTCTTCTGGAGCAACAGATGAAACACATAATACCTTCTTTTAGGGCTATTACATACTTTTAAACACAAAAGACTTTAAATGAGGTAGCGTGAGAAAGTAAAAGGTAGAATCTGTGAATGGAAACTTCTGTTGGGAATTATTTTTAAACTATCTTCTCCACTAGTGCCTGAGAACCATCAATGAGTCCTATTTACATTAAAGGAAAAGGGAAGAATACCAAGATCTTAGAGACCACTTAGTATATCGGTATTGAAAATCATCACTGAGTGAGCCATGTTCACTCTGTTTTTGTTATATTCCATTACACACGTATAAGGAATGGTTACCAGCAAGATCCCAATACAATTGTTTTTTGGTAAAATAAGACGGTATGATTATAAATAAAGTTAAGAAAAAAACACATGTTTTTACCACAAGGTAAGCTACTGAAGAACCAAACTAGAGTGGCTCATTTTTCACTCGATCTCACAAAAAAAGATGTGACTCTAGTTATGGATCTAGCATAATCACATATTGCTGCTACCTAAAAGTATTATGTTCTGGAGCAAGGGCCTTGAAATCACCTAGTCTATATAGTTATACTCAGGCACTTGAATAACAACATAATCAGGGTCTTATTTTTAGCTGTTGGTATTCAGTGGAATTATTTGTCCTCCTTTGTATACTTTGTAAATCCTTTATTTTCTATAACACATACATATTGCCCTTATGGAGAGGAAAAAATAAAAGAAAGGGATCAGCTTTTGTTTGAAAGGAGCAGAAGAAGAGGAAGATGAAAAAACAGGAAGTATTTCAAGTTGAAATTAAAACTTTTTGTTTTTATTTGACAGAAGATTGTGGATTTAAAACAAAACAAAACAAAACCCAATGATTAGAAGTGAAAATGTTGGCTTATACATGGTGTGGGAAATCTACTGTTGCAGGCATTAAAAGTAGTTACAGGTTTACATATAGTTTATGGTTGGCATTTATGCTCTGGTCTTTCAGGTTGCTGGGTTCAGATTCCAGCTCTCCAACTTCCGAGCTACATAGTCTTGTACAGGCAGGTTATCTATTAACCAGCATCCTAATTTATTATTCTGATAGGAATGTATTGAAGAGGAGGAGGGAATGGAGGAAGGCTTGGGAGAAGTTTACAGAGGCTGAGCTGTGTTGCTTGGATCAGCTGTAGAAGCTTGGGCTTTCAGGCGTCAGATGCTTGCTTGCACAGCTAGCTGAGAAGGACACTTTGTGAGCCATGAGCTTCAGGGTCTCAGAGCAGTTTCAGAGTGGCCTTCTGTTTCATTAATTCTCTACCCCGGAGGCTCCTGGTGCTGCAGGATCCTCTTTCCAGGGGAAATCAGACTCACTTAGGAACTGAATGACTTCTAGCAGTTCTCTTTCTTTTTAACTAATTCAGAACTTGTTACTGTTTTATTATTTTTTATATTATAGATTTACAAGTTTTAAATCAATACGTCTTTTAATGTTAATGCCATTCATCTTTAAATATTTATCGAAAAATTTTCTTATGTATACATTATACTGAAATCCATTTCATGTTCTGGCTTTTATGAAAGTTTAACCCTAAATCTTTTTTTTTCCTCTACTTGCTCTTTTTCACAATTTTAACTCTCACATCTCTCATCTCGTTTTCTACAAACATTTTAATCTTTTAAAAAGATGTTATTTCAATTCCTAGTTTTAGGTCTGTTTTAGTCCTTTATTTTTTATTTATTTATTTTTTGAGATGGAGTTTTGTTCTGTTGCCCAGGCTGGAGTACAATGGCACGATCTCTGCTCACTGCAGTCTCTGCCTCCCAGGTTCAAGTGATTCTCCTGCTTCAGCCTCCTAAGCAGCTGAGATTACAGGTGCCTGCCACCATGCTAGGCTAACATGCCAGCTAATTTTTGTATTTGAACTAGTGACAGGCTTTCACCATGTTGATCACGCTGGTCTTGAACTCCTGCCCTTCAGTGATCCACCCATCTTGGCCTCCCAGAGTGGTGGGATTACAGGCCTGAGCCACCGTGCCCAGCCTGTTTTAGTCTTTTAAAAATTTATGTTGCTGGGTGTGGTGGCTCACACCTGTAATCTCAGCACGTTGGGAAGCTGAGGCTGGCAGATCACCTGAGGTCAGGAGTTCAAGACCAGCCTGGCCAACATGGCGAAACCCTGTCTCTACTAAAAATACAAAAAAAATTAGCTGGGTGTGGTGGGGCGGGCACCTGTAATCCCAGCTGCTTGGGAGGCTGAGTCAAGAGAATTGCTGTAACCCGGGAGTTGGAGGTTGCAGTGAGCTGAGACTGTGCCACTACAGTCCAGCCTGGGCGACAGAGTGGGACTCCATCTAAAAAAAATAAATAAAATTTATGTTGAGCCTAGTTTTTTCCCTTCTTCTACCTGAGCCCGTATTTTTTCCCTATTACTTGTCTTTATAATAGCTGGCAGGAAGTAAATTCAAGGAAGTGTGAAGAGCGGATAAAGTCCATATTATAAATAGAGGCAGAAAGAGAAAGACTTTCTTCCTCTCTCTCCCTGACTCCTGCAGCTGTTCCTGCACTGGCCTCCTTAGATCCTTCCATAGGATTCTTTAGTCCAAATAGAACTTTAATCCATTTAACCTAGGAGAATTTGAGAGTTAATTCCCTTCAGGGCCTTAAATCCATTACACAAACAGCACTTTTGATTTGCCAGAACAATTTGCTGCCATCTCACACTGTTCAGCCCTTATTTTAAAATCCATGGTTTCCAAAGTATATAATTATTGGAATTGGGCAAAGTATGTAATTATTGGAATTTGGGAAAACTATGGCAAATACATACCCAGAAGCCTGGTGGTCTGTCTAGAGGAATATGATCAAGGAGGGGTTCACTAGGATATGCCCAGGTCTGACCCTTTTGAGATGGTGCTTCCTCAAATATTCCATGCTTCCTCAAAAAGTTCCATGAACTTCCCTACTGACATTCATGGAGAGTGGCACCAGAAAGACTCTTGTCTAGTTTCAGGGACCATGTTTAAACTGGTTTAATTCCAACCCACGATCATCAGATTAGTTCACTTCCCTTTCTGTTCAGGTCATGGGAGCACCCTTTAATTATAGTCCAGTGGAGTTCTCTTTGCTTGAGAGAACTGGAAAACAATCACTGCCCCAAATACAATAATAACAGCCAAAGCTGGCTAGAGTTTCATTATCATTTCATTTCAAATGGGGTTATTCCTCACCTAGGTTTTTAAAGCCCCTACATGTTTTCAAATATTGATTGGCTCTTTATATATGTATTTTTGTAAACTTTTAAAATGTCTTTTGTAAATGGTTTAATTGGATTGTCCAGTTGGATTTTGTAAATAGTTCAACTGGATTGTTATTTCCTCCCAGACCTATAAGAGCTCTTTGTATATATGGATATTAAATTGTTTCTTATATTTTTTCTAATGTTTTAACTTTGTTTGGTGTCTTTTGCCAACAGGAGTTTTCAACATAGTTCTGTCAAACTTTTCTTTGGTGGCTGCTGGGTTGTTCCGTGTTTGGATTGCTATGTGGTAGCAATGTGGCATGGTTGAACATATACTGAGGTGAGAGGGAACTGAGTTCTAATTATGGTTTTGCCACTAACCAGTAGAGTGACTTTGGGCAAGTCTTCAAACCTGTGTTCGCTCAGCTATAAAATGCAGTTGAAGCAGAAACAGGATGACCTCTGAGGTTTCTTCCTGCTTATTCTTCCACTACTGAACATTCTCAGATTCTAGAGTTTTAAAAGCTTATTTTCTTTAAGTAGGCCAATTATTCTCCCTGAAACGAACACTTCTTATTTGCCTAGTGACATTTTCATAGTGTAAAATCTAGCTAGTGTCAGAATTATCTAAATTTCTGAATTTTTGGCATCTGGATTAATAATAAATTTTTATATAAGATTTGGTGAGTTTATGCTTGTTTTCTCTTATGGGTTACAGCATAGGCTTTATAGAGAATAGATATTGCATTTAATATGTAATCTAAAATATGTATATTACGGAGCAACTAAGTCAATAGATATTTAATATGGCTTATTATATTTTATTGATGATAATGAATTGCAGTCCTCTTGATACAAAAAAAAAGGATAGCTTTTATTTGTGTAGTGTTGATAGTGTGCTTTCATGTTCATCATCTTGTTTGGTGCCCACAATAATCCTATGAGAAAGATTAGGCCAGGTGCGGTGGCTCACGCCTGTAATCCCAGGACTTTGGGAGGCCTAGGCGGGTGGATCACGAGGTCAGGAGATCGAGACCATCCTGGCTAACACAGTGAAACCCCGTCTCTACTAAAAATACAAAAAATTAGCTGGGCGTGGTGGTGGGCGCCTGTAGTCCCAGCTGCTCAGGAGGCTGAGGCAGGAGAATGGCATGAACCCGGGAGGCGGAGGTTGCAGTGAGCCGAGATCGCGCCACTGCACTCCAGCCTGGGTGACAGAGCAAGACTCCGTCTCAAAAAAAAAAAAAAAAAAAAGAAAAAGAAAGATTAGATAGGACTTATTCTATTTTATAAATCATGAAGCATTACACAAGAGATTAAATGATTTATCCAAAGTCACCAGCTAGTAAATGCTAATGTCAGTGCCCATACCTTTTTCTTTCTTTCCTTCCTTCTTTCTTTCTCTCTTTCTTTCTTTCCTTCCTTCCTTTCTTTCTTTCTCTTTCTTTCCTTTCTTTTTTCTTTCCTTCTCTCTTTCTTTCTTTCTATCTCTCTCTCTCTTTCTTTTTTTGAGACGGAGTTTCACTCTTGTTGCCCAGTGGTCAGATATAGGTAAATTAAATAAAATATCAAGAATAAAAAGTATTTCTATTAATAGCTTGGTATGCTACATACCAGGAGATATGAAAGATATACTACATATAGTTTTGTATAAGAAAACAAAAAGCCTCAGAGGGAATTTCAAGAAGTAGAAAGAAACATCCATCTTAGAGAAAAACTAGGAGAACAAAAGAATTGAAAATAAGTTAGAATTGGAAAACCATCCATCTTAGAGAACCATTCATCTTAGAGTAAAACTAAAAGAACAAGAGAATTGAAAGTAATTAAAAACTAAGGAAACTGGAGCCAGGCATGGTGGCTCACATCTGTAATCCCAGCACTTTGGGAGGCTGAGGTGGTAGAATCACTTGAGCCCAGGAGTTTGAGACTACAGTGAGCTACGATCATGGCACTACACTCCAGCCTGGGAAAAATGCTAAGAAAACTAAAATAATAGATCTGAAGCTAGAGAAAAACAGAAGGGAGAGGAAATATTTAAAAATATGTTATAATTTAGATCAGCATTTTTGAAGGAAATTGACAGCATTTATAGTCACTTCCCAGAAAATAAATTTCATCCCAAGGGAATAAAGTATGTGTGCCAAAGTATATTCAGAATTATTTTAGAAAACTCAATGGAAAAACATCATTTTCCAATACTGATTAAATCAGACGTAGGTGAGATTTGTCCAGTAGTCTGCTTATGATACAGTAGTTTTTGACAATACAGAGAGAATTTACTCTGACTTTATTTTTTATTTTTTAATTTTTTTGAGACGGAGTCTCCCTCTGTCGCCCAGGCTGGAGTGCAGTGGCGCGATCTCAGCTCACTGCAAGCTCCTCCTCCCAGGTTCACCCCATTCTCTGCCTCAGCCTCCCGAGTAGCTGAGACTACAGGTGCCCGCTACCACGCCCGGCTAATTTTTTTGTATTTTTAGTAGAGACGGGGTTTCACCGTGTTAGCCAGGATGGTCTCGATGTCCTGATTGTGATCCACCCGCCTCGGCCTCCCAAAGAGCTGAGATTACAGGCGTGAGCCACCGTGCCTGGCCTACTCTGACTTTAAAATAGGAATGATGTGATACTTAACTAGTAAATAAAGTTTCTATGTAACATAGTTGGCATTTTTGAACAGGGCATTTAAGCATCTTACTACACCTCGAATTATGTTTAATTCCAATTTATTGGCTATTTTCATGGCATTTTTTATGCTAAACAGTTTTCTAAAATAAAATATTATAGAAAAATGTAAATTTATTAAGTGTGGGAATAAGTGAGGAAAAGAGCAATTTCATTACCTAAAGAAAGATAGTATTAAGTGAAAACATGCATTGAAGGGCAATAAGCAGTCTAACAGAAGTCTAAGTAGAAGTCTAAATAAACTTCTTTTGTTGATTTAATACTGCTCTGATTTGGAAAGAGGTATGCATATTGTAATATGATAGAAATAGATTATGATTCATACTAGGGAGGACTGGAGAGGAGAAGTGGATCAGAAGAAGGCACAAAGTTGAAAATTATTAGTTTGATCATTTGCCTCAGTTGATCCAGGACAGTCTTAGTTTTACATTTGCTGTCCCTGTGTAATTATTATTTATTGTTATTATTATTTTGAGATAGGATCTCACTCTATCACCCAGGCTGGAGTGCAGTGGCACGATCTCAGCTCATTGCAACCTCTGTCTTCTGGGCTCAAGTGATCCTCCCACCTCAGCCTCCCAAGTAGTTGGGACTACAGGCACCCACCCTATACCCAGCTAATTTTTGCATTTTTTTGAAGATATGTGGTTTCACTATGTTGCCCAGGCTGGTCTTGAACTCCTGGATTCAAGCGGTCTGCTCACCTTGGCCTCCAAAAGAGCTGGGATTACAGGCATGAGTCACTGAGCCCCACCCCTGTGTAATTATTAATAATGTCTTTGTTCACTCTCAAAGTATCCTACTTTGGATGATAGACTATATGGTCACCTTAGAAATAATGGAAATAGTGGAAGCATAGTACATATTATTGGTGCCTTTACTACGATTGGTCCAGTAGTACACTAGTCCCAGTAACTCAGGAAGCTGAGGTGGCACAATCGCTGGAGCCCAGGGGTTCTAGGCCACAGTGTGCTATGACTGTGCCTGTGAAGAGCCACTGTAGTTCAGCTTGGAGCAACATAGTGAGACCCTTGTCTCTAAAAAAAGAGTGCACTACTAGTAATAGCTAATACTTTTGAGTCTGCCAAGCACTGTGATACTGCGTTAAATACTTTATGAGCATTGTCCCATTTAGTTTTCCTAATAATCTGTAAGGCAGTATTATAATCTCCTTTCTAGAGAAGAGGATGCTCAAGTATATGTTTATAGGTGTTCAGGAACTTGCTCAAGGTCACTCAAGTAGCCAAGTTTCTAATTCAAGCAGTCTTGTTTCAGAAGCCACACAAATAATCATAATGCATTATTTATTTCTCTCCCCATATTTAAAAACTTCATAAGACATCTGAAAGAAATTCAGCTTTGATAGTTTACAAAATATATAGCATAGAAAAAAAGATTATTAAGCATATACAAGAGGAAAAAAAATCAGTTTTCCAAAAGCTTTTCACAAATAGAGGCAGACTTTCCATGCGATGCATAAAATATTTTAAAAAATATGCTTGAAATGTCGAAACATGTTATGGGAGAGGTGATTCCATTCTCAAAGTATTACAGAATCCATAATATTGGTTCTTGCATGTACAGCCTCTTTTGAGCCAAAGAACTTCTTTCCTGCATACTTGCCACCCTAACCTCCTGGCCTCTCTATCAAGAGTCTAAGATGGAAGTAAAAAGGGGGAAGTCAAATCCCTATTAAAAATACATGTTATAGTGCATTTTGATCTAATTGAACCAATGTTTCTAGACTTCATTCAAATCTAACCCTATTCTAGCCTGAAGATTCACTTTTCCCAAACACTACTCTACTAAAAACTGGTTTTAGGTAACCAGTTCTTTACTAGGGGTCTGGTAAAGGAGAAAAGAAGAATTATCATCCCAAACTTGTCCTTGCCCTCTATTTTTGTCTCCTCAATGCTCCTGTGCAGGTGCTTGGCTGGTATGGGGAAGTGACAGGGGTATCCTTTTTAAAAGTGGATGAGCTCTCCCTTAGAGCAGTTTTTCCCCCCGATGGATGCTGTGTACTTTCCTTGGAATGCTTAAGGCCCTAAGCTTTCCTTCAGTTGAAATAGCTTATCTCTAGCAGACAGTAATTCCTTTCCTGAGCCCAGCCATTGGGAAGGGGAATCCCAAAGAAAAGATTTTCTGCCTTTCACAGAGAATCATTCAGAGAATCACAACAGGGAACTTGAAGCTATACTATCAATAAACATTAGTTAACTTACTCTCTAAGGTGGTCTTGGAATTCAGTTAATTGTTGCAGACTCACAGGCAGCCTTGTTTAAGGTGGGGTTTTAGTTCTTCTTTAATCATAACTGAAAAGTTAAGTCCATCTTAGTGTAACGTCCTGCGGGAGGATTTTCAAAGGAAACTAATCTGTAAAGCATAGAATGAGAGTACCTTGTAGAATAAATGGAAGATTTGGCTCTGTGTGTGCTGCTTATATGAAACAAAATTAAATACTCAGTGATTAATAACAAAGATGAATTGTTGTTTGTGATTGCTGAACACTCTGATCATATACCTGCCATTTCACCCTTCTGTATGCACACAGATGCAGAATTCCAGAGAAAATACTTTTTAAACAGATTATTAAGGAAATATTTGACAAAATAGGTAACTACAGTTGACCTTTGACCACGCAGGGTTGACTGCATTGGTCAATGCAATTTTTTTTCAATAAATATATTGGACTTTTTTTTGAAGATTTGCAACAATTTGAAAAACTTGCAAACTGTGTAGCCTAGAAATACTGAAAATTTTTATATATGTCATGAATGCATAAAATATGTGTAGACACTAGTCTATTTTTATCATTTACTACCATAAAATATAAACAAACCTATCATAAAAAGTTAAAATTTATCAAAATGTAGGCACACACTTACAGACCAAACATGGTGCTATTTGTAGTGGGGAGAAATGTAAACAAATGTAAAGCTACAGTATTAAATCATAACTGCATAAAATTAACTGTCATGCAAACTGTACTACTGTAATAATTTCATAGCCACTGCTTGGTGCAATTGCAGCGAGCTTAAGTGTTGCCAGTATTCGCTTTAAGCTGTGTAATGCTAATCATCTCTGAGTGAGCAGTTCATCTCTCCAGTAAATTGCGTATTGCAGTAAAAAGTTCTCTCTCATGGTTCTCACGTATTTTCCATCATGTTTAGTGCAATACTGCAAAACTTTAATAACACTATGGCATCCATACGAAGCACCACTGGTGATGCTGGAAGTGTTCCCATGAAGCAAAGTCATGACATTACAAGAAAAAGTTGAACTGCTTGATATGTACCATAGACTGAGGCCTGCAGCTGAGGTTGCCTGGTATTTCAGACAGACAATTCATCTTGTAAACAGACAATGTAAACTTATGGTATGGACATAGTACATTACTGTGAATGTAGTTTCTCTTCCTTATGATTTTCTTAATAACATTTATTTCTCTACTTACTGTAGGAAGACAGTACATAATACATATAAGATACAAGCAATGTGTTAATCAACTGTTTTATGTTATCAGGCTTCTGGTCAGTAGTAGGCTTATTAGTAGTTGTTCAGTTTTGGGAGAGTCAAATGTTATATGCTCACATAGTTGGTTGGTGCCCCTAAATTCCATATTATTCAAGGGTCAACTGTATTGACAAGTGTATCCTGGATTCCATCCTCCTTTCTTGGTTTTGTAGAGACAAGGTCTCACCATGTTGTCCAGGCTGATCTTGAACCCCTAGGCTCAAGCAATCCTCCCGCCTCAGCCTCCAAAGTGCTGGGATTACAGGTGCGAGCCACTGCAACCGGCCAGATTCCATCCTCTTAAGGCCAGTGTATTAGGTGGCTCATTCTTACAGTATGAGTAAGCAGGACTTATTTAGCCATCAAAAGGGTCCTTTTATTGCCTGTAATCCTCTACTCTCTATATAACGCTCCAAGGAATGAGACTATATTTCCGTCTCCTATCAACTCAGCCTCAGCATATGTTATCTCTAGTTATCTCTATTTTTCCCTTCCAACAAAAGCTGCTTTGGGGAAACAATCTGATGAATTAGGTATAAATGACTAATAAGGATTAAAATATTACTTTTCCCAGGATTATGGTTTTGTGCTAGAGAAAAAAACTACTTAAAGGGATAAAACTCTAATGGCAGAATTTCAGGTGAGTTGGAGGGTTTTTGATTATAGGTACTTTTCTAGCCTAGATGGTAGTCTGTCAGATTGGTCCTGAGTGTGAGTATAAATTTTAAAAAGGCTAGGACCAGGGCAAGTCTTAGCCTAAAGCAGTGGCTTGATCAGTTAAGTTTAGAGAGGAGGGTTAGGTTTACTCGAATCTATGGCATCACATTTAAAGGGGTCTCGAATCAACCTGAGATTAGAAGCAACACTGGAATCCCAGAATCTAGCTGGTTTTCCACTAGTATGGGAGATATTCCATCCTGGGATGCTTTAGGAGAGTGACCCTTTCAGTTCAGAGCTATGCCACTGAGTTCTGATCAGGCGCAAAACGGTTTTTGAAAACGGAGCAAGAAATCTTCCCAGCGATGATTACAAATAGCTTGTACAATATGCTAACTTTAGCTTTTTATGCAATGGTTAAGATTCATTTTCACATAGATATCCAGCTTGGTAACACTGGCATAGCTGCTGCCATTTCCTAGCTTCCAGCGAATACTCTTACCTCTAATTCAGCACTGAATATATCTGAACACTTCAGTACTACCTGTAAATCTTCAACTTCTGCTGTATGCTAAATAACCTAACATCTGTATTAATTCCAGCAGTTCTTCAAGTAGTTAAAAATGCTCCCAACCTGAATAAAATGACTTGAATATCTTCGGCGTTATTTCAAGTGTTTGCAACTAATGTACAACTCATTTTGGTAAATGATTACTTGGTGGAATTTATGAACTCTTTCCATTGGCAAGCCAAAAAAAAAAAAAAAAAAAAGGTCTGTAGGGGATATAGCTCTTTATTCAAACTTGGTAATAAATAATTATCTCTAGAATACAGACGGAAGAACTGAACCAGGGACTTCAGGGACCCAGAGGCTAATTATCATCACTGTACACAGTTAAGTGCAGCAGAGAATGGGGGTGACGAATGGTTCGCTCCGCATTACGCTCCTTCTCTGGGTAAAACAAGGCCGTCTTTTCTGTGAACATATTTAAAGCAAGAACTGCAAAAACTGTGCAATGTTATGGTTGAGGCTTTCTATTTGCCATATGTGTTGACAGAATGCTTAAGAGTCTCTCTCCGCAATAAACGCGAACCCTGCCAGGCTGAATTATTAGGGCCAGCGCAATTCAACGACTGCACCACCACCGAACCGCTGGGGTTGGAAGCCTGCGTCGCATCGGAGCGTACCCATGTTTCTTCTAACAAAGGCACGATCTTGAGGCCATTTCGCGGGCCCTTTTCCCACTCCCAGCGCCAGCTTTGTCTCCCCGCCGGTATGAGGCTGAGACTTGGAGGAGGCTGAGCTGCGCCGCTGGGGAACAAGCTCGAAGGGCGGGCGTGGGAAGCTGCACCGCGCTGCCGCTGTGGTTTCCTGCGACCTGACCGTGCCATTAGAGGAAGTTGGAGTGCTGCAGCTGCAAGAGATACCTGCTGCCTTCAAATCAGGGCTGGACTCCAACAACCCCTGTGCACCGATTACTGTCGTACAAAGAAACTCCATCGGCCGGCGCGGCGGAGGCCTGTGGGCTCTCTATCTCTCTGGCTGGGCGCTGGGCCGCGAGCAGACAGCAGGGTCGGCGTTGCCAGCGTTCCCCACCCTGGGGGGCTCGGGAGTCCGGGAGTGCGGGGTCGGGGAGCGGGCAGGGAGCAGCGGGCAGGCCTCGAGGGGCCTGGGCCAGAGTGGGCCTCACGGCGCGCCTTGCACGCGAACCCACGGCCGCCGGCTGCCCCTCCCCCGGCCCCCGGCCCGCTGCCCCCAGCCGCCGACGTCGGCCCGCACCGCCCCCGCGCGCTGACTGGCCCGCGCAGGCCTCCTGCCCGGCTGTTGGCGGTTGGGGCGAAGCCGGCGGGAGGCCGCCCCGCCCCCGCCCCCGCCGCAGAGTCGCGGCGCGCAGCCTCTTCACCCGTCGCGGCCGGGGCGGTGGCGCTGTTGCCGCCGCGGCCTGTGAGGCAGTAACTCCCCTCCGCCCCTGCCCCATTCCTCCTCCTTTCTCTCCGCTCCCTCCGTCCTCCCTCCCCTCGCCGTCTCTCGCTCGAGTGAATGTGGCGCGGCGGCGCGGGACGCAGTCTCGGCCCCTGCCGCGGCCCCGCAAGCTCGTGAGGAGACGGAGCTGCCTCCTGCTCCCGCCCCCTGCGCGTCTCGGGGAGCCACCGCCGCTGGCGAAGGAGAACAAGCAGGGCAGCGGAGGGACGGTGGCGGGAAAACGGGAGAGGGAGGAGAAGAGGGTTCGAGGGCGAGTAGGGAAAGCGGGGAGGGACGGACGGAAGGACGGACGGCCCGACGGACGGCCCGGGGAGGGGGCCGCTATTGAGCCTGCCCGACTCCTCGGCTCCGGCTCCGGGTGGCGGCGGCAGCGGCGTCGCGGACGAAGGGCGCGGCAAGCGCTATCGAGACAATAACCCTGCCGCCCGGCTCTGGGGGCAACGGAGAGGAAGCGGTGGCGGCCTAGCGCGGCCGAGGCTCGCCGAGCGCCCGGGCAGCGTCCTCGCCCCCGCCGGCCGGGTGCTGCTGCCGTCCGGTGTGCCGGGCGCGCCGGTTGCCCGGAACCCGAGGCTCCCGGCGGCCGTCCCCTCCCCTCCCCCTCTCCGGTGCGCGCGGAGCTGGTTTTCCGGGTTCCCCTGGACGGAGCTGGATCCTGCTTCTCGCCAAGGCAGGAAGTGAGTTTCGCACTGCAATTCCGGGCGGTGTCACGAGTGAAAAGTTTTGTTTTTTTTTTTTTCGGCGGAGATCCTCGTTGGGGCTGGGAAACTCCTGCAAAACTCGAGACCAGGAAGCCAGCCCGCACCCCAACCCCCACCAAAGCCACCTACTCTTCTTCTGTGGGAGGCCAGTCCACATCCGCTCTCACCCGAGAGAGATATTCAGCTGGATCCAAAGTGACTGATGAAGGGAAGGAAATCATGTCAAGCGAAGCCTTGAAAAAGCTGCCCTGAGACGGTGTCCCGCCGAAAGGTAATTTTCACGAAAAGTGTCTCTGAGTCACAAAGTTCATGGGACTTTGTGACTCGGAAAAGAGATGATTCTTTAGTGTTTTTCACTCTTCTCCAAGTTGCCCTAAACCCTCCTTTTCTCATATCGAAGCGGTTAATAATTGAGGGGCTAAATAATCGAACTGCACCCCACCGCGTCCCTTCTCCCCCCTGCCCCCCCCACCATCTGGACTTTGAATTTTTTGGAAGAGGTTGTAAGAATGCGGTGGGACGAAAAGTTTTTAGTAATCCGAAGAACGATTGCCTTTGTTCAGCACAGGGGCCAGAAGTTTTGGCTTTCTGGAACGTATAGAGTGTATATTAAGTTGCTCAGCCAGGCACCTTCTGTTTGGGAAGAAAGTTTGGTCGCTGCAGTGAGTGATTTGCTGTTATTGAGATGGCTGCCGCGTTTGTTTATACTCATACCGATTATATTGGCGCTTGCGTTAATTGTATATAGAGGTATTTATTTTTATTTTTTTATTTCCAACCCTGATCAGTATATTTAGTTAGATTTTAGAAACCAAAAAATCTTGCCATTCTTAGTTGTTTTTCAGGGTGAGTAATATATTTCTTTAGTTGTGTGTAGTGTGTGTTTTTCAGACGTTTAGCGCCGTATAACTTGTTTAATTAATTGAAAGCAAGGATCGACTAGGCTTTTCTTGTAACTGATCCATTACGAAGAAAAAAGGAGTAAGGACTAAGAATAGGGAGAGATAATTAAACAACATTAACAACCTGTAAGACGTTTAATAGGACTTCTGTACAGTTCAGAACAGACGATGGGAGGGGAAGTAAAACGCTTAAAACGATTTTCAAGGGAATCACAGTGATTGTGATAAAAAGCTGTGCTTTTCGAGTAGTATGGTCTTTACATTTTTGTGTTGTCCCAAATGTTTTTGGTCGGTTCTGCATAAATAGTGATAGGTTCTGCCTACATCTGTGGGGGCAGGATTCATGAAGCATGGCAGACATTCCACCAGTCAGAGCTATGAACACTTCTGAACCAATGGGGACTAGTTTTGATAGCAGTAAACCCAAAGTTTTTTTCAGTGGTGTTTTAGTCTTTTTCTGTTTACTTTTTTTCCCGGTATTTTTGCGGTACAGGGAGGTGAAATACAATACTGTACTTTTGAATATATATTGAATAAATTTGGTAATCCTGTTGGTAGGTATATCCTAAATATATATTGATGTTTAGATTGCCTATGCTGTCTCACGTAATGACCGGAAACCCGAGGAGAGAGTTGATTTTCTTTAGTTCAAAGAGAAAAAATAAGTTTTAAAGATCAGGATCAAATTATTTCACAATTTGTTCTTTGCTACTTCAGCTTCATTAAGTACATCTCCAAAGGCAGTCCTTTATTTATTACTGTAGTTTTGATTTTTTTTTTCCTCCCCGGGGCATGGTCTCAGGAGATTCTTTTTTTTTTTCATTGTTGGTAAGATTTGTGAACCATGGAATAATTCTTGTTAAGTCAAACTAGCTTTATCAAAGAATTTAAAGTGCATAACTCATCTACTTTATGATTTTGGAACGTATCATTAGGCTGCAAAAGAGGTTATTCTTGGGCATCTGAAAGAGGTGAACAAAATAAATGGCATTGAACTTCAGTTTCCTTATATGGCTTATACTTGGCTTCAAAAGCAACAAAACCTTAATAGAGCAAGTCCCTTACAGAGAATTATCGCTTTATGAAGATGGTTATTTATTAGTAAATTTTGTATAAAAAAAGTATTGTAGCACTTGAAAATGACTATTTAAGCCTCTATTTTTAGATTTAGTTCTTGATTTTTTTTCTCAGGAGAAGAGTAGTATGTTTCGATGCAGACAACACGTTTTATGAAGTGAGGTGTTCACCTTTGTGTTTCTTTTTTTTCTCCTCAACAAGGCATAATTTACTTCGTAGTTTTCTTGGAATTCTGTTAGTTTATCACCGAATTAACTTAAATTTTAGGTTTTATACTATTGTGAAACTATAAGTATTTTCGAAGCTTTGTTTAAACTGTGACAAAGGTTTGAAAAGAGGTTAATAGAGGAGTCATCCGTTAAAATATTTTTAAATGGCTTCAAAATTTGGATATTCTTCTAGTATGGTGTGGATTTTCAAAGATTAAATTGGCAAATAGAGAGTACTTCCAAAGTCTATATTGCACAAAATACACACTTAAAGGCTCTGTTTATTGAAGGTAATCATGAATTTTCAGGACTTCAACTGATTCAAGTAGTACTGTTACGAGGTCTCCTTGCCATTTGAGATCAAACTATTGTAAACTTTATGTATAAAAAGCTTACAGAGGTACAAACATGGAAACCAAATTTTTATTGTATGCTGTTTCTTAATGAAGTGATAACTATAGATACATTAACATATATCATTGGCAAATCTCAAAAATCGATTATTTTACACATTGTTGGTATTGCACTATTAGTAGTAAATAATACCCTTTAAGAAATAGTTAAAAGTTTCAGAAAATAGGTGTATATTTCAAAATTACTTATTTGAAATAATTGCTTACGGATAATACGATTTAGACTTTAAGCTGCTTTTGTTTTGGAAATAGATTATGGCAGTACTTACAGAGTATTTGGGATTATGCAGAATTTTAGTGATGCTGGGTAGCAGTTTCTTTTTTATTTTTCGTAATTGCTGCTTATCCAGATTCTCCTTACATACCCTACTTGGCTGCTTGCATTTTGACTCTTTGCCTTGCTCATTCATTTCTTGAATTTGTTACATGCTTGCTTCCGTTTTCTTTTTCTGGGAATACATCTCTATTATAAACCTCTAAAGATGTCTTTGTCTTTTCCTCTTTTTTTTTTTTTTTTTTTTCGAGATGGAGTCTTGCTCTGTTGCCTAGGCTGGAGTGCAGTGGCACAATCTCGACTCACCACAACCTCCACCTCCCGGGTTCCAGCGATTCTCCTGCTTCAGCCTCCCAAGTAGCTGGGATTACAAGCGCACATCATCATGCCTAGCTAATTTTTGTATTTTTAGTAGAGACAGGTTTTGCCATGTTGGCCAGGCTGGTCTCGAACTCCCGACCTCAGGTGATCTGCCCACCTTGGCCTACCGAAGTGCTGGGATTACAGGTGTGAGCCACTGAGCCCGGCCTACTGCTAACTCCCATTTTTCAGATTCACTTTTTAGCTGTCTCTTCTTAGGTTTCCTAATTGTAAAAAAGAAACTTAGCTGCTATTCAGCTTTCTCTTCTGATTCCCTTAGCTTCCTATATTTATAGTTAGCTTCATTTACCTAGCCTTATTTTCTCTGTGTTCAGTTGGTCGTTCTTAATTATATTTTGCCATTTCCCTCTTTTCCAAACTGTTAGTCTATGTTTATCACCTCAAAAAACTGTTCAAAACATGCAGTGGAAAAAGTTTATCTGATCTTATTTTATTAGCCCATTTAATTCTGAATATCCCCTTTGCATTTCAACTAAGTGTACATGCTGGTATTTTAACTTTATATTCATCAGTATATTGCTTTGTTTATTTTGAGATGGAGTCTTGCTCTGTCGCCCAGGCTGGAGTGCAGTGGCAAGATTTTGGCCCACTGCAAGCTGCGCCTCCCCCAGGTTCACGCCATTCTCCTGCCTCAGCCTCCCGAGTAGCTGGGACTAGAGGCGCCCGCCACTGTGCCCGGCTAATTTTTTTGTATTTTTAGTAGAGACGCGGTTTCACCGTGTTAGCCAGGATGGTCTTTATCTCCTGACCTCGTGATCTGCCCACCTCGGCCTCTCAAAGTGCTGGGATTACAGGCATGAGCCACCGCTCCCGGCCATTGTTTGTTTTATACTTTGTTTTCTCAGTTTTCCTTTTTCTCTTTAGTGTTCTTAAAATTGACTGTTAAGATAATACCAGGTTGTTATTTATTCTTATGTATTAAGACTTTGTAACCCTCTCTACCTTCTTGTTTTATTATACTTTTGGCCTCTTAAAACATACAGATATATTTCTCTGTTCCTTCTTCTCTGTACCTTCCTCTTCTGTCCTACCTTTCAAGTTAGATGTCTTCTCTGACACAGAATCCCTAAAATTTTGAAATTATCTTTCTTTGATTTCATGAAATAAGCACAATAGTACTCTATCACTCTATTTTTGTCACTTCAAATTTTGTTCCAGACACCATTGAATGAAGGTCTTGCCAGGCTTTAAGTGATAGTGTGGAAGACGATAGAAAAGGAGAATATCTAAAAATTCACTTTGTGGAAGACGATAGAAAAGGAGAATATCTAAAAATTCACTTAATAAGACTCTACTTATCTGGAGGTTATTTATTATAGCTTTAAAAGCATATTGAATGTAGTAGAAAAACTAGAAAATAAAAAATGACATCTCCTTAATCACAACAGGTATGACAGAGTCTGGGGACTTCACTTTTAGGGCCATTATTATTCAGAGCCCATTTACTTATGTACATAATGAGCTGTTTTTGGTTCTTTGGTATCCCAGAAGGCGTGAGAAAGGTACGTTTACAGCATTGTGAAGTTATGACCTGTGGTGTTACAGTGAAGCAATAGAAAAATGGAAAGATGACTGAATAACTTAGAAAATAATCTGGGACAACTTACTTTGAGGCTAAGTGCCTTGTACATTTCATTTCCCTGTAGGAGGATTCACTCTGTTATAATATGGTATAATTACAAGAAATAGTAATAGTCCTAAGGCAGCTGTTCTCAGACTTTTTGGTTTGACTCAAAACAGAAATTAAAAAAAATTAATTTATTTGAAAATAAGCTATTGCATGTTAGTGTAACATTGTTTTAATAAAAATATAATTGTTTTCTAAAATAAATAGCAAAAATAGTGGCAATGTTTTATATTTTTGCAAGTCTCTTATGTTTGGCTTAATAGAAAACAGCTCGATTCTCATATCTGCTTCTTCACTCCATCTGTTACAGTATGTTCTTTTGGCTAAAGTATATGAAGAAAATCCAGCCTTATACAGGTATTTGGTTGGAAAAGGGAGGAAGATTTTCTTTCTTTTCTTTCTTTTTTTTTTTTTTTTTGAGATGGAGTTTGCTCTTGTTGCCCAGACTGGAGTGCAGTGGTGCAGTCTCGGCTCACCGCAGCCTCTGCCTCCCGGGTTTAAGCGATTCTCTTGCCTCAGCCTCCTGAGTAGCTGGGATTACAGGCATGCGCCACCATGTCCAGCTAATTTTGTATTTTTTGTAGAGACAGGGTTTCTCCACGTTGGTCAGGCTGGTCTTGAACTCCTGACCTCAGGTGATCTGCCCGCCTCGGCCTCCCAAAGTGCTGGGATTACAGGCGTGAGCCACCGCGCAAAGTGCTGGTCACAAGGTCAGGAGATCAAGACCATGGACAACACAGTGAAACCCTGTCTCTACTAAAATACAAAAAATTAGCTCGGTGTGGTCACAAACGCCTGTAATCCCAGCTACTCAGGAGGCTGAGGCAGGAGAATTGCCTGAACTCGGGAGGTGGAGGTTGCAGTGAGCCGAGATCGCGCCACTGCATTCCAGCCTGGCGACAGAGCAAGACTCCGTCTCAAAAAAAAAAAAAAAAAAAGACATAAACCTGGGAATATGTAGTGGTACTATTGCAGCTTGAAGGCATTGCCTTTGTTCTTGTAAAGGTGTTAGCTGTTGCAACCATTGCTTTTGCAACATCAGTGTAAAATGTAAATATAATGGAAAAGGGAAAAATGACATTTCAATATTATAAACACAGTTTTGACCTGGAAGGTTCCTTGAAAGTGTCTCAGGGACTTCCAGAGACTGTGGACTTCCAGGGCCTATGGACTGCACTTCAAGAACTTAGGTGGAAGTTGGGATTTATGGAACTTTCATTAATTAAATTTTTTTTCTTGTCTGTTCGTATTGGATTCTGGGAGAGTGTTGAAGCTTGATCTTTAAGCCCACTTACTTGATTTTCATTTGTTTTCAGTTATTTTGTTACTTGTTTTTGGAACAGAGTTTCTAAGAATTCTAGTTTTTCATAGGAGTTATTTTTGTTTTTATTTTTTTGAGACAGGATCTCACTGTGTTGCCCAGGCTGGAGTGCAGTGGCATACTCACGGCTCACTGCAGCCTCGGACTCCTGGGCTCAAGCTATCCTGTCACCTCACCTTCAGCCGAGACTATAGGCATGCACCACCATGCCCGGCTAATGTTTTATTTTTTTTTGTAGAGATGGGTTCTTGCTCTGTTGTTCAGGCTGGTCTTGAACTCCTGGCCTCAAGCAGTCCTCCCTCCTTGGTCTCCCAAAGTGCTGGGATTATGGCATGAGCCGCTGCACCTGGCCCAATTTTGGTTTTCTAGCCCTATTTTTGGTCTGCATGTAACCTTTAATCTCTGAGATGTTCTTTTAACATTGTCTTTTGTTTATTCTACTAACACTACAGAAAATTTGATCTTACTGTGCTTTTGGTGTATGTCATGCTTTTTGTTTTTTCTTCAAATACTAGATTTTCATGGTAGTCAAAGTTTTATATGATGACCTAGTCTCTACTGTATTGGTCATTTAAATATATGTTCCCAGCCCAATGAATCCTTCTTCTGGCTTTGGTGATTGCTTAGAAGAGGAAAGGGAGAAATATTTAACGAGTTTCTCTTTGAAGGTATGTGGGTAGCTTGACCTTTTGGTACAGGTGCTTACTGTTCCTCAGGAGGCAGTCTCCTTTTTTCATAATCACACTGTCCAAGTGTCACATCTCCTACATACATAGAGCTGTACTAGAGGCTTTAGCTACACAGTGTTTTACTATGGTTTTGCTCTCTGGCTGACCGCTCAGGATATGCTTCTCTTAATCCTTCTTGCTAAGAAAACTCATCTTTTTTGGAGATCCCACTTTCTTCTTGTTTTGGGTGTCTGGTTCCTCAAGTGTATTGCATTTTGTTATTTCCCCGACCCCAGCCTACTTTGTATTCTTTATAAATTCCGTTCTGTTCTTATCTGTAGGTATACCCCTCCCAGGTTTTCAGCACTGCTATAGATATTTTTAAATTAAATTTTAATTTTTGAAACAATGACTGACATATGGAAAAGTTTGAACATTTTTTTTCCTGAACCATTTGACTAAGTTGCTAACATGATGCCCTGTCGTCATCCCTAAATATATATTTTTTTTTATTTGAGAGCTCTGTCGCCCAGGCTGGAGTGCAGTGGCGTGATCTTGGCTCACTGCAAGCTCCACCTCCTGGATTCACGCCAGTTCTCCTGCCTCAGCCTCCCAAGTAGCTGAGACTATAGACGCCCGCCACCACGCCTGGCTAATTTTTTGTATTTTTAGTAGAGATGGGGTTTCACCGTGTTAGCCAGGGTGGTCTTGATCTCCTGATGTCATGATTTGCCTGCCTTGGCCTCCCAAAGTGCTGGGACTACAGGCGTGAGCCACCGCGCCCAGCCCGTCACCCCTAAATATTTTAATGTTTATTTCCTACAAACAAGGATATTCTCCTGCATATAATGACATCATTACCATCAAAATCAGAAAGTAAACATGAATATATTACTAACATCTGAACCTCAATTATCCCAATAATGTGTTTTACAGCAAACTATTCCAGTTTGGAATCATGTGTTACATTTTGTTGTCATCTCTTTATTCTCCTTCAATCTGGAATAATTTCTTTCTCTTTTTTTTCAAGGCCTTGACACTTTTGAAGATCTGAAGATGACAGGCCTAGTTATTCTGTAGAATACCCCTCAATTTTCATTTGTGTGATATTTTTCATGATTAGATCTTTGATTAGATTTTTATGATTAGATCTTTGGCAGGGTTATTGTAAAAGTGATGCTGCATTCTTCTTATTACGTCTTATCAGGTGGCAGGCAATTTCAGTGTGTCCTATTATGGTATTCACTTTATGTGATTAAAGTTGTGGCTGCCAGACTTGCCCTTTTTAAGGTATTCATTCCCTGTTTGTAATTAACTAATATTTTGCGGTAGGTGCTTTGAAACTATGTAAATATTTTGTTTTGTTTGTCATATTTTAAATTCACTTATTTACATGTACCTAGGTTTATCTTCGCAAGGACATAATGCATTACTATTTATTTTGGTGCTCAAATTGTTCTTGATTGGCCAGTGAGAACCCCCTGGCTTATTTTCTTTTTTGTTTTTGATACCTCTTCCTTTTTTGAGTACTCCTTGTTTTTTAGCACAATTAGATGTTCTAACATATCTTCTACTTTTCCTGGTTGTTTTTAGTGGAAAATGATACTTAGAAGCCAAGATCTGGGGCTTGTGTACATTGTTGTTTTTAGGGTATTGTTACTCTCAGGCCCTCTTCATATACAAAGCTAGGAAATATTTTTATGTACTTACACATATTTACATCTATTTTTATTTATATATCTATAAATATATACAATGGTCCCTGATTTATACTTCTTTGACTTTACCAGGGGTTTTATTGGGGTACTAAGTGCATTTTCAACCTGTGATATTTTTGGCTTAAATGATGGGTTTATCCAGATGTAAACCCATTGTAAATCGAGGAGCATCTGCATATTTCTATAATGCAATTCTAATCCAGCACCACCAGGTTCACTCTAAGTTGTTTTTTTTCCCCTTTCCATACTTGTAACTTATCTCTAACAGTGAGAAATAGTTTTGTTTCCATATGTTATGTGTGTGAGGAAGTTAAGGTAAACATTTGTTCAAACATTTTTGAGCCAGAAGTGTCTGCAGTCCAATTAATTTCTGAAGTATTTCTAAAGAGATAAAATTCCAAACTGTAAAAAGGCAAGTTTTAATTCCGTGATAAAGTACATTTATGTGAAATATTTCATTCCTTAGTAATTCTTGAGGCGACTGTGAAAGGAGGATGGAAGAAATCCAGTACTTTTACTCTTTACATTGGACAAGTTATTTGTGGAGATAATTGCTCAATTTCAGTATGAGTGCAGTGATTTTGATGCAGTTGTGTTTTTCTTTTTTATTCTTTTTTGGAGAAGGGTCTCGCTCTGTCGCCCAGGCTGTAGTGCAGTGGCATGATCACTGCTCACTGCAGCTTTGAACTCATGGCCTCAATCAATCCTTTCACCTCAGCATCCTGAGTAGCTGAGACTACAGGCATATGCCACCACGCCCAGCTAATTTTTCTATTTTTTATAGAGGTAGAGGTCTTACTATGTTGCCAGGATTGGTCTCCAGCTCCTGGGCTTGAGTGATCCTTCCACCTCGAACCTCCCAAAGTACTGGGATTACAGGTGTGAGCCACTGCACCCAGCTGTGGTTTTCATATATTCAGGTTATATTGTTTGCATGATCCTGAAGTCTTGAAGCACCTAATAATGGTGTTCTTGGAATTTCACACCTTAGGTCACTCTAGACTCTTTGTGGGAGCATGGAGGGAGGTCTGATGGAGGGGGGGTGGGGAGAGGAGGGTATGTTTGTAGTAGGACCAGTGCAAGAAACTAGTGATCTAAAAATGAATCTTGTTGCCAAGGTTATCACACAACCTAGAATAAGTTGGTTTGACTTTCCTCTTCCTTATAGATTTTGGAAGTGATTTAAGAGGCATATCCTTTGAGACTAGAATAAATCTCTCAGTCTTCTAGGAAAAGATAAGGATCTTGGCAGCATCAAATGGATCCTTTGGGTGCCCTATTAATCCCTGGGGACTTCAGAAGATTTAGTTTATTGTCTTGATGCTGACTGCAAAATAGCAGGGACTGTATATAGTAGATGCTTTTTGATTTGTCGTGGATACCTGGTATCAACAGAGGGTCCTGTCTGCTCTTTTAAAAGCCATTCCCAAGCCAGGGACCCTAGGAGTCATCTTTATTTTCCTGACCTTAGTAATTGAAATTTCTGTCGATTCTGTCTTACAAATGTCTACAGAGTGAGACACTTTAGGGTAGGATAGGAAGGCTGGATAAGGTGAAGGGCTTTTGATAGGCAGAGGGTAAAAACAATTACCTTAATCTGTTTTTTCCCCAATTATAAAAATAATCTTGCTGTAAAAATTCAAACATAGAAATATAGAACATAGAAGATGAAAATTCTCCACAATTCCATCTCCCAGATATACTCCGGTATGTGTAGTTAAAATTGATAGCTAGCTAGAATCAAATTCCCTCTGAAGAGTGTGTATCAATTTGTACTTCCATCAATGGTATATAAAATTACCTGTATGCATTTTTGACCAAAATGGGTATTGGTTGTCTTATAATACTTGTGGACATCTGAGAGAGGCAATATAGTATAGTATGTAAGAACATAAGTTTTGGAGTCAGATTGCCTGGATTTAAATCCACGACTTACTAATTATGACATTGAAAAATTAAATGTCAATTCTTTTAGGTATAGTACATATACAGTGTGCCTTTTGTGTTCTACATGGTTTTTATTGATGTGTTGCTTATCCTTATGCATTGGCTCTGGTGTTTGCCATATGGATGCTTAAATTTTAATGTAATCAAATTTGTCAGTCTCTTTATGCCTTTTGGTTTTAATGTTATTATTGGAAAGTATTTGCACCAAGATTATAAAAGTAATAACCTAGCTTTTTAAATTTTGGCTTAAGGAGTGAAAAAATAATCTAGCTTTATGCTCCCCAAATTTCTAACTAGTTGTAGTGCCGTTTGTTGAATAATCGTTTTACTTCTGAAAGTCTGCCTTTATCAATAGTAAATCCCCAAATATGTTTATACTATGTCAGGATTTTCTTTTTTTTATTTGTTGTGTTTTTTATGATACTATGCTATTTTGACCTCTCTCCCCTTCATTGTATATTTAATATCTGGAAGTGTTGCTTTGTTACTCTGCTTTTAAATGAATTTTCCAGGTGGACATGAATCATTTTTATCAGCTTCTAAAAATAATTCTTGGCCGGGTGCGGTGGCTCATGCCTGTAATCCCAGCACTTTGGGAGGCCGAGGCGGGCGGATCACGAGGTCAGGAGATCGAGACCATCCTGGCTAACACGGTGAAACCCTGTCTCTACTAAAAATACAAAAAAATTAGCGGGGTGTGGTAGCAGGCGCCTGTAGTCCCAGCTACTCGGGAGGCTGAGGCAGGAGAATGGCATGAACCCGGGAGGCGGAGCTTGTAGTGAGCCGAGATCGTGCCACTGCACCCAGCCTGGGGGACTGAGCTAGACTCCCATCTCAAAATAATAATAATAATAATTCTTGGTGGTATGTTGATTGAGAGGGTCTGCATTTGTAGATTAATTTAGAAGATCATTGATAACTTTACGATAGCATATCTCTTTCTAGGAAGATAGATTTCCCATTTATTTGATGTTTGATGCCCTTTAGTGGCATTTATGATTTTCATCTTGTCATATCTGTGTTTCTTGTTGATACGCATATTTGTTATTTTTAAGAAACCATATATTTTTGTTATATTTATTTCTAAAAACATTTTGGAGGGAGGGCAAGGGCTTCTGTTTTTATGAGGCTATTTCATCAATTGCATTATTATCTGGCTATTTAAATAAAGGAAGCAATTGAGTTTCATGTTTATTATCTACTATAGTGATGACTTTTGAAGAATTGCTTTTAGTATTTTAGTTGATATGTTTGTATTTTCTGGGTGTATAGTAATAGATTCGTGAGCAGGCATAGGTCTTTTTTTTTTTTTTTTTTGAGACAGGGTCTCGCTCTGTCACTCAGGCTGGAGTCAGTGGTGTGATCATAGCTCACTGCAGCCTTGACCTCCTGGGCTGAAGTGACAGGTGTGCACAACCCAGTTTGCATATTTATTTGTAGAGATGTGGTCCCACTCCGTTGCCCAGGCTAGGGCTGATTCTGTTTTGTTTTTTTTCTTGAGACGGAGTCTTCCTCTGTCACCCAGGCTGGATTGCAGTGGCGCAATCTGGGCTCATTGCAACCTCCACCTCCTGGGTTCAAGCGATTCTTCTGCCTCAGCCTTCCAAGTAGCTGGGACTACAGGTGCACGCCATCATGCCTGGCTAATTTTTGTATTTTTAGTAGAGACGGGGTTTCACCATATTGGCCAGGCTGATCTCGAACTCCTGACCTTATGATCTGCCTGCCTCAGCCTCCCAAAGTGCCGGGATTACAGCTGTGAGCCACCGCGCCCGGCCAGGACTGATTCTTTTAAGTAGAAATTGGTCCCTGCTACTACTCTTCTGCCCCTTGAAGGTGTCATCAGTCATATGAGAATGGCCTCTTCAACCTTGTTGTTCCTGAACTGGATTTTTATTTATCTCTAAGAAATTAATACTAATTATAAACATTTTCTTTGAACTGCTTAGTATTTAGTGTGATGTACAGTAATAGAGCTGGCCCGCTTTATCCATGGGTTACATATGTATGGATTTTGTAGTCATGAATTCAACCAATCATGAATTGAAAATAATTTGAGAAGAAAATCAATAAAAAAATACAATAGCCAGGCATGGTGGCTCACACCTGTAATCCCAGCACTTTGGGAGGCTGAGGCGGGTGGATCACGAGGCCAGGAGGTGGAGACCAGCCTGACCAGTATGGTGAAATCCCATCTCTACTAAAAATACGAAAATTAGCCGAGTGTGGTGGCGTGTGCCTGTAGTCCCAGCTACTTGGGAGGCTGAGGCAGAAGAATTGCTTGAACCCGGGGGGCAGAGGTTGCAGTGAGCCGAGGTTGCGCCACTGCATTCCAGCCTGGGCAACAGGATGAGACTCCATCTCCAAAACAAACACCAATAAAGAACAATACAGATCCAGCCCAGCATCTTCACCAAGAGAGGTGCCTCCGCTCTCCCTCTCCCTCTCCCTTTCCCTCTCCCCCCTCTCCCTCTCCCCACGGTCTCCCTCTCCCTCTCTTTCCACGGTCTCCCACTGATGCCGAGCCGAAGCTGGACTGTACTGCTGCCATCTCGGCTCACTGCAGCCTCCCTGCCTGATTCTCCTGCCTCAGCCTGCCGAGTGCCTGCGATTGCAGGCGTGCGCCACCACGCCTGACTGGTTTTCCTATTTTTTTGGTGGAGACGGGGTTTCGCTGTGTTGGCCGGGCTGGTCTCCAGCTCCGAACTGCGAGTGATCCGCCAGCCTCGGCCTCCCGAGGTGCCGGGATTGCAGACGGAGTCTGGTTCACTCAGTGCTCAATGGTGCCCAGGCTGGAGTGCAGTGGCGTGATCTCGGCTCGCTACAACCTCCACCTCCCAGCCGCCTGCCTTGGCCTCCCAAAGTGCCAAGATTGCAGCCTCTGCCCGGCCGCCACCCCGTCTGGGAAGTGAGGAGCGTCTCTGCCTGGCCGCCCATCGTCTGGGACGTGAGGAGCCCCTCTGCCTGGCTACCCAGTCTGGAAAGTGAGGAGCGTCTCTGCCCGGCCGCCATCCCATCTAGGAAGTGAGGAGCGCCTCTTCCCGGCCGCCATCCCATCTAGGAAGTGAGGAGCGTCTCTGCCCGGCCGCCCATCGTCTAAGATGTGGGGAGCGCCTCTGCCCCGCCGCCCCGTCTGGGATGTGAGGAGCGCCTCTACCCGGCCGTGACCCCGTCTGGGAGGTGAGGAGCGTCTCTGCCCAGCCGCCCCGTCTGAGAAGTGAGGAGACCCTCCGCCTGGCAACCGCCCCATATGAGAAGTGAGGAGCCCCTCCGCCCGGCAGCCACCCCGTCTGGGAAGTGAGGAGCATCTCCGCCCGGCAGCCACCTCGTCCGGGAGGGAGGTGGGGGGGTCAGCCCCCCGCCCGGCCAGCTGCCCCGTCCGGGAGGGAGGTGGGGGGGTCAGTCCCCCCCCCCCCGGCCAGCCGCCCCGTCTGGGAGGGAGGTGGGGGGGGTCAGCCCCCTGCCCGGCCAGCCGCCCCGTCCGGGAGGTGAGGGGCGCCTCTGCCCGGCCGCCCCTACTGGGAAGTGAGGAGCCCCTCTGCCCGGCCAGCCGCCCCGTCCGGGAGGGAGGTGGGGGGTCAGCCCCCCGCCCGGCCAGCCGCCCGGTCCGGGAGGGAGGTGGGGGGGTCAGCCCCCCGCCCGGCCAGCCGCCCCGTCCGGGAGGTGAGGGGCGCCTCTGCCCGGCCGCCCCTACTGGGAAGTGAGGAGCCCCTCTGCCCAGCCACCACCCCGTCTGGGAAGTGTACCCAACAGCTCATTGAGAACGGGCCATGATGACAATGGCGGTTTTGTGGAATAGAAAGGGGGGAAAGGCGGGGAAAGGATTGAGAAATTGGATGGTTGCCATGTCTGTGTAGAAAGAGGTAGACACGGGAGACTTTTCATTTTGTTCTGTACTAAGAAAAATTCTTCTGCCTTGTGATCCTGTTGATCGGTGACCCTACCCCCAACCCTGTGCTCTCTGAAACATGTGCTGTGTCCACTCAGGGTTAAATGGATTAATGGTGGTGCAAGATGTGCTTTGTTAAACAGATGCTTGAAGGCAGCATGCTCATTAAGAGTCATCACCACTCCCTAATCTCAAGTACCCAGGGACACAAACACTGTGGAAGGCCGCAGGGTCCTCTGCATATGAAAACCAGAGACCTTTGTTCACTTGTTTATCTGCTGACCCTCCCTCCACTATTGTCCTATGACCCTGCCAAATCCTCCTCTGTGAGAAACACCCAAGAATGATCAATAAAAAAAAAAAAAAAAAAAGAACAATACAAATAACAACAATATAGCAATTATTTATGTAGCATTTGCATTGTTTTAGGCATTATAAGTAATTTAGAGATGATTTAAGGTATATGGGAGAATGTGCATAGGTTATATACAAATACAACACCATTTTATATGAGGGATACTTGGAGCATCCTCAGATTTTGGCATATGTGAGGGTTCTGGAACTAATCCCCCATAGATACTGAGGGATGACTGTAATTATGTATATCATTAAATGACAGTTATTTTGAGCCTTTATTTAATTATTGTAGTAGGCTTGATGTAATTTACATGTATGATAAACATGTAAATGTGTGACAAGGAAAAGGATCTTTGTCACTACTTATACCCTAAGGTTTATTTTTGTCCCATGTGTTTCATAGACCTTAACCTTACCCTTTCTTGTAGTATTTTTTTTTTGAGACGGAGTGTCGTTTTGTCGCCCAGGCTGGAGTGCAGTGGCACGATCTCTGCTCACTGCAAGCTCCGCCTCCCAGATTCACTCCATTCTCCTGCCCCAGCCTCCTGAGTAGCTGGGACTACAGGTACCCGCCGCCACGCCTGGCTAATTTTTTGTATTTTTAGTAGAGATGGGGTTTCACCATGTTAGCCAGGATGGTCTCGATCTCCTGACCTCGTGATGCGCCCGCCTCGGCCTTCCAAAGTGCTGGGATTACAGGCGTGAGCCACTGCGTCTGGCCCTCTTTCTTGTAATATATTTAACAGATAATTTTGTGTGAATGATAGGTGTGTTCCCCAGAATACTGATGTTTTCCTCATACTCACTCACTATCACTGTAAATGACTAGTCTGGAGTACCACCTCTTTTTTCTTTTTAATTAGTACAACAGGAAGCTGTTAGACCAGTTGGAGAAGTGAAATGTGGAGGTAATTTAGCTTATTAATGACATAACTCAGATTAGAAAAAGAAATCCAAGTTTCCTGACTCTGTTGGTTTTTTTTGCTTATTATACCAGCATTTTCCTAGGTATGTTCTGAAGAATACAGTTTCTTTAGAATAATACTATTTCCCAAAGATTTTTAATAGGTGTTAGAGAAAAAAAGAGTTTTGGGCTCATCTAAGTGAGGAAATTCTGAGTTGATAGACCTGGTTTTCCATCTTCTCTTTGGCGGACGCCAGTTTGTTATAGATGATTATTTTTTTAGTTTAGAAATAACTGGATACAGCTTAATTTACAAAAAAAGTTTACATCAATATTTGAGCCAAGAAGTTTCAGAGAAAGATTTATCCTTAAAGTAGTGTGTAATTCTTCATGATCTCAAGTTTTAAAAAATAGACTTAAGGCTGGGTGCAGTGGCTCATGCCTGTAATCCCAGCACTTTGGGAGGCTGAGGCAGGCGGATCACTTGAGGTCAGGAGTTCGAGACCAGCTTGGCCAACATGGTGAAACTCTGTGTCTACTAAAAATACAAAAATTAGCCGGGTGTGGTTGCGCATGCCTGTAATTCCGCCTACTCGGGAGGCTTGAACTCAGGAGGCGGAGGCTGTGGCGAGCTGAGGTCACGCCAGTGCACTCCAGCCTGGGTGACAGAGCGAGACTCCGTCTCCAAAAAAAAAAAAAAAAATAGACTTTAAGTTTTTTGAGTAGTTTCAGGTTTACAGAAAAATTGATTAAGAAGTGTAAAAAATTCCCAAACCCTCCTTCTCCATTTCCCCTATTATTAACATCTTGCATTCATGCAGTATATTTGTTAGAATTGATAAGCCAATAGTGATACATTATTATTAGCTAAAGTCTATTGTTTATATTAGGCTTCACTCTTTGTGTTGTACATTCTGTGGGTTTTGACAAATGTATACATGTCCCTGATTGTTGCTGATAATGGCAACAATCTGTTCAGTAGTTATAGCTTATGGATGAGCGAAATGAATTACAGGAATGTTAGAAGGGATGAGAAGGAGGAATTGGGAATACTCTCTAATCAGGCACTTGCATTACCTAAGATCAGATTACTTTTTTACTGACAGCATATGTGGGAATAATGTATTACTGATGTTGAAATTACCTGTATTGAATCTTTGGAAGCAGATTTTTAAAGTTATCTCTTCTTTAAAAATGATTATCAACATTTGGTAATCCATGTTCACAATTTCTGGAAAACTGAAATTTGAATGTTGGCGTGTTTTCATTCTGAGAAATGATTTAAATGAAAGTAGAAGCTCTCCCATCATTACTTTTTTTAAGTCATTGCTCTACAGCTCTTAGTTGGCCTCTTTGTGTACATCCTGTTCATCCAAGTCCAACTCAAGTACCATTATTTCCACTGAAACTTCCACCCAATGTTTAAAATTTCCCTTCTTTGGATTTATATATTTTTCTTCTGAACTTTTTTGTTGTGATAAAATACAAATAAAATATCTTAACCATTTTTAAATGTATTCTACACTGGTATTAAGTACATTCATATTATTGTATACCCTTCACCACTGTTCATCTCCAGAACTCTTTTCATTTTGCAAAACTTTAACTCTATACCCATTAAACAATAACTCCCAAAGCCTCCTAGCCGCTGGCAGCTACCATTTAACTTTCTGTGTCTATTATTTTGACCAAGTACCTCGTGAGTCACTTAGCATATTGTCCTCAAGGTTCATCTGTGTTTCAGCATATGTCAGAATTTCCTTCCTAAGACCAAATAATACTCCATTGTATGTATATACCACATTTTGCTTATCCATTCATCTGTGGGTAGACACTGGGGTTGATGCCATATTTTAGCCATTGTGGATAATGCTGTATGAACATGGGTCGATAAATATCTCCTTGAGACCCAGCTTTCATTTCTTTTGGATATATACACCGAAGCGGAATTGCTGGCTCATATGGTAATTCTGTGTTTAGTATTTTTTTTTTTTTTTTTTTTTAAGGAACCACCATATTGTTTTCCACAGTGGCTCTACCACTGTATATTTCCACCGAAAGTATACAAGAGTTCCAGTTTCTCTACATCCTCACCAACACTTGCTATTTTGTTTCTTTGATAATAGCAATCCTAATGGGTGTGAGGTGGTATCTCATCATGGTGGTTGTTGGTTTTTTTGTTTTTTGTTTTTTGTTTTGAGGCAGAGTTTGCTCTGTCACCCAGGCCAGAGTGCAGTGGTGCAATCTCGGCTCACTGCAGCCTCCTCTTCCTCCCATGCTCAAGCAATCCTCCCACCTCGTCCTCCCAGGTAGCTGGGACTATAGGCATGTGCCACCCTACCTGGATAATTTTTGTATTTTTAGTAGAGATGGGGTTTCACCATGTTTGCCAGGCTGGTCTTGAACTCTTGGGCTCATGTGATCCACCTTGGCCTCCCAGAGTGTTGGGATTACAGGTGTGAGCCACTATACCTGGCCTTATTATGGTTTTGATTAGCATTTCCTTGATAATTAGAGATGTCGAGTATCTTTATATGTACTTTTTGGCTATTTGTATATCTTTGGAGAAATGACTATTCAAGTTCTTTGTTTTTGAGTTGGGTTGTTTTTTAGTTGTTGAATTGTAGTAGTTAATATATTTTCAATCCCAGTCTGTTACTAGATACATGATTTGCAAATATTTTCTCCCATTCTCTGGGTTTTATTTTTACTCTCTTGATAGTCTTTTTAAGAAATCAAAAAGCAAATATCAAATTTAAAGAAAAAAATGGAGCAAATGATCTCCTGAAAAAATTCTGTATCTTGATCACATTTATTGGAATGGTTGGAGAAAAATAAAAATACCTCTTAGCTTAGGAAGTTGTGAGTTATCTGCAAATCTCCTCAGTTTAGGAGTGGAAGAATCGTGGAGTCATTTATTTCAAAATGTATGCAGGTTTCTCTTTTGAATGTCTTACAGATTTAAAGAGGCCATTGAACCAAGTCTTGTATTTTTCTATACAGGATAAATTCCTTGTTTCAGCCAGCTGTCAGTGGAAGGCAACTAGTATGACACCATCTCCATGGACAAAGAATGTTGGAATATTCCATTTCATTGATTTATATATCTCTTTATCTGTTTCTTCATTAGTTTCTATAGTAGTCACCGTTTCTTCCAATGTCATTTAAATGTTGATCACATGCCTGTAATCTGCTTTTAAGTTCTTGGTCATTTCTCATTTTCACATAAATTTGTTCATCCAGGATGAGCCTGATGGAGATCCAGGAGCTCCTTTATGGTGCTGGTAATTTGTTTTGGGTCCATGTTGCCTGCCGTATTTCAAACACTGCACCCTTTTCCTCCTCTCTCGAATAGTGGCTTTGGATTTATAACTTAAAAACTGCTTAGCCATTCAATTTAAAACTTAAATATATAAACTATTTTATGTAGTTTTCTAATTGTTCTTGGATATTTTAGTTGCTTTAGCTAATTTTCTTTTTAAAATAAAAATAAAGTTAAAATTCAGATCTCTCTACTACCAGTTTATAAATATGTTTCACTTCAGATTTCTCATTGAAATTAAGTTTTTATTTTGAGATAACTATAGATTCCCATACAGTTTTAAGAACTACTACTGTGAGGTCTTGTGTATCTTTTATCCAGTTACCCCAGTGGTAATATGTTTCAGAATTATAGTATAATTTCACAACCAGGATATTGGAATTTTGGTAGTCAAGATACAGAATAGTTCCATCATCCCAAGGATCACCTGTTTTTTATTTTTATTTTTTATTTTTATTGCTATCACAGCCATCTCCCTCCTATATTCCCTTTACCCCCTGCATTTTGTCTTTTCAAAAATGTTATATAAATGGAATCAGGCTGGGCATGGTAGCTCATGCCTGTAATCCCAGCACTTTGGGAGGCTGAGATGGGCAGCTCACTTGAACTCAAGAGTTCAAGACCAGCCTGGGCAACATGATGAAACATCGTCTCTACAAAAATACAAAAATCAGGTGGGTGTGGTGGTGTGTGCCTGTAGTCTCAGCTACTCAGGAGGCTAAGATGGAGGTATTGCTTGATCCCAGGAAGTCAAGGCTGCAGTGAGCTGAGATTACACCACTGCACTCCAGCCTGGGTGACAGAGCAAGACTCAGTCTCATAAATGAATGAATGAATGAATGAATGAATGGAATCATATAGTACATGACTTTTGGGATTGGCTTTTTACTTGGAAGATTCCAGAGTTGTTGCTTATAGCTATAATTTGTTCATTTTTATTGAGTAGTACTCCATGGCATCCATGTGCTACCAATTTGTTGAATCATTTCATGTTGAAGGTCATCTGGATTGTTGTCAATTTTTGGCTATTAGAAATAAACCTGCTGTGAATATTCATGTAGAGGTTTTTCTGTGAACATCCCAGTTTTCACTGGGATAAAAGTATAAGAGTATGATTGCTGCGGTGTATCGGATAGAAACTGCCAAAGAGTGTTTTCCATAGTGGTTGTACTATTTTGCATTCCCACCAGCAGTGTATGAGAGATCTAGTTTTTCCACATCCTAGCCAGCAATTGGTTGTTACTTTTTTTTTTTTTTTTTACTATTTTAAAAACTATTCTTATAGATAAGGAGTATATCTCATCATGGTATTTCATGTTAGCCTTTTCCTAATGGCTAATATGTGGAACATCTTTAACTGTGCTATTCAACATCTATATTCTCTTCATATCTGTTGCCCATTTTCTAACTGGATTTTTTTTTTGTAAGTATTGAATTTTGAGAGTTCTTTATATGGATCCGTTTTTGGATATATAGTTTGCAGGTATTTTCTCCCATTCCATACCTTATCTTTTAATTCTAACAGCATCTTTTGCAGAACAAAAGCTTTTAATTTTGATGAAATCCCATTTATTATTCTTTTATGGATTGTGCTTCTGTTGTGAAGTCCAGGACTTTTTGGCTATTTTTGTATCCTGAAAAATTTCCCTTATGCATTTTTCTGAAAGTTTTATAGTTTTGCATTTCCCTCTGTGATCCATTTTTTTTGAGATGGAGCCTCTGTCATCCAGGCTGGAGTGCAGTGGTGCCATCTTGGCTCACTGCAACCTCCACCTTCCTGGTTCAAGAGATTCTCCTGCCTCCGTCTCCTGAGTAGCTGGGACTACAGGCACATGCCACCACGCCTGGATAATTTTTGTATTTTCAGTAGAATCATTTAAAATAGGATCCCTGTATGTTCAGCTTCATTGATTATTATTTTTAACATTTCTCCTTACAGATGAGATTTGAGGTGACACTTAATAGGATGTCAATACATAGTTAATAGAAGTAGAAAATCAGATCCAAGGAAAGAAGTGAAGAAATACATTACTTTTAAGTAATTTAACATAATTGCTGTGATAAAACATCAAATTTAGCTAAGCTTCCTGGGAGCCAGAGTTTTCATTACCCTAAATGAAGAAATATGTCACGAATTCTCCAGAAGAGACAAATATTTTTCTTGCATTAAATCTTAAATAAGCTGGATGTGGTGGCTCACACCTGTAATCCCAGCACTTTGGGAGGCCGAGGCAGGCAGATCACGTGAGGTCAGGAGTTTGAAACCAACCTGGCCAACATGACAAAACCCCATCTCTACTAAAAATACAAAAATTAGCCAGGCATGGTGGCAGGTGCCTGTAATCCCAGCTACTCAGGAGGCTGAGGCAGGAGAATCACTTGAACCTCGGAGGCGGAGGTTGCAGTGAGCCGTGATAATGCCACCATTCCACTCCAGCCTGGGCAACAAGAGTGAAACTGCATTTCAAAAAAAAAAAAAAAATCTTAAATAATTTCTAATGTGCACATTGTTTATGTAAGAGCTATTGAATAATGAATGGACAGTGTTGTTGAGAACGATTTTACAGCACGTATTCTATAGCTGTCAAGATCTTTTTCATGAGTTCTTTTTTGTTTGTTTGTTTTTGTTTTTTTTGAGACAGGATGTTGCTCTGTGTCCCAGGATGTTGCTCTGTGTCCCAGGCTGGAGTGCAGTGGGTTGATCACTGCAGCCTGGGCATCCCAGGCTCAAGCAATCTTCCCGCCTCAGCCTCCCAAGTAGCTGGGACTACAAGTGCGGGCTACAATGACTGGCTAATTTTTTTTTTTTTTAAGTAGAGATAAGGTCTCACTGTATTTCCCAGGCTGGTCTTGAACTCTTGAGCTCAAATGATTCTCCTGCTGCAGCATCCCAAAGTGCTGGGCTTTAAAGGTGTGAGCGACTGCATCCAGCTGGTTTTTTTTCTATTTAAATAATAAAAAGAGAAGGGTAAAATATACAAAACGCTCAGGGAAGATAAATTATATGTGAGGGTAGGCTAATGTAGTTTACAATGGTAGATTTTTTTGTTTCTAACTTGACCTAAAGATAACATAGACATAGCCATTTATGGAAACAGTATTGCTTACATCCCTCTAAACATCATTATTCTAATTTTGATTTTTGCTACATGAGTAACAGACAATTTCAGGACTTTATTTCCTAATGAAAGGATGACATACTGGAGTTCTGTTTTGCGTTTTTTTTTTTTTTTTTTTGAGACAGAGTCTCCCTCTGTCACTTACGTTGGAGTGCAGTGGCCCAATTTCAGCTCGCTGCAGCCTCCACCTCACAGGTTCAGGCGATTCTCTTGCCTCGGCCTCTCAGGTAGCTGTGATTAGAGGCATTTTCCACCATGTCCGGCTAATTTTTGTGTTTTTGGTAGAGACGGGGTTTCACCATGTTGGCCAGGCTGGTCTCAAACTCCTGACCTCAGGTGATCCATCCGCCTTGGCCTCCCAGAGTTCTAGGATTACAGGTTTGAGCCACCGTGCCTGGCCATGTTTTGCTTCTTGATGCAAAATCAATTGAGGAAATGGTATGTTTAGTATCATATTAAGAAAGTTGAGAAATATTTATATTTACGTAGAAGTCCCTTTCTTCTCCACAAGGGCTACTTGATATTATTATAAAGTTTATAGTTTATTCAGGAGTCAGGTATAGATCTACTTCTGGCACTTGATGCAAGTGCTTTGAAGACCCCTGAAAATACTAAAGAATATGAGGAGATTTTCAGACTTTCTAATAGTTACCAGTCACATCTGTGCTATAAAAAAAATACTGAGTCCCAGTCCCAGGAAATATTTAATTTCGGGCAGGGTAGTGTCTCACTTTGTTTGACTGTACTAGCTAAAAAACAAGCAAAAAACCCCACTTTCTGGTAATTGAAGGAGGTGAAGTGAAGTGTTAACACTAAATGGTTGAATGTTGGGATATGAGTGCTGCTGTCAGACGTAATTCCTCCAGCTAATGTTCAGCCATTCCTTTTTCACAATAAGTTAAATAACTGGATTAGTTGTCGTTTAGAAAAACTTTATTTTGAAGTAATTATATATTTCTAGAAGAACTGCTAAATAGTCCAGAGGATTCTTAGTATCAACATCTTATATAGACATGGTACATTTATCAAAACTAAGAAATTAACCTTGATAAAATACTATTAATTAAACTACAGAGTTTAATTGAATTTCATCAAGTTTTCCACAAATGTCCTCTTGCTATTTTGGGATCCAGTGTAAGAGACCATGTTGTATTTAGTTTTATGTCTTTTATTTTTTTAATTTTCATTTTTGTGGAGACAGTTTTGCTACCTTGCTCAGGCTGGTCTCAAATTCCTGGCCTCAAATGATCCTCCTGCCTAGGTCTCCCAAGGTGCTGGGATTACAGGCGTGAGCCACTACAGTATGCAGGAACCTAAAATATCTGCCCAGCCCAATTTTCAGGTATTTCCCCGCTCCCCTGAGATGGAGTTTCGCTCTGTCGCCCAGGCTGGAGTGCAGTGGTGTGATCTCTGCTCACTGCAGCCTCCGCCTCCCAGGTTCAAGGGATTCTCCTGCCTCGGCCTCTTGAGTAGCTGGGACTACAGGCGTGTGCCACCATGCCCAGCTAATTTTTTGTATGTTTAGTAGAGACGGGATTTCACCGTGTTAGCCAGGATGGTCTCGATCTCCTGACCTCGTGATCCCCCTGCCTTGTCCTCCCAAAGTGCTGGGATTACAGGCGCCCGGCCTCAGGTCTTTAGTTTCCTCCAATCTGACAATTTCTCAGTCTTTCCTTGTTTTTCATGACTTTGATTTTTGAAGAGTACTGGTTGGATATTTTGTAGAATGTTTCTAAGTTTGGGTTTTTCTGATTTTTTTCATGATTATGTTAGATTGTGGATATTTAGAAAGAATATCACGCAAGGGAAGTGCTTTTCTTACCATATCAAGAAAAGGGTATGATATTAACATTATTTATTACCAGTGATTTGAACTTTGATCACTTGGGTAAGGTGGTGTCTGCCAGGTTTCTCCACTGTAAAGTTACTATTTTTACTTTTCCATCATGGATCTGTTAGAAGCCCAGCTCACCCTTAGGGTGAGGGGAGCTAAGCTCTGCCTTCTTGAGAGAGAAGTACCAAATAATTTGCAGGCATGTTTAAACCACCATATAGATATTTTCGGGGAGATACTTTGATACTATTTCTCCTTAAAGGTTTGACTAGTAATTTTAGCATTCATATGTATTTTTTTTTTTTCCTGTAGGATCAGTTGTCTTTTAAGGGGTATGTCATTGGCATATGAAAGAGAATATGGCATAGTAAGAGGGCTTGTATCTAGTTCATGTAAAAACTTAAGCCAGTAAAGAGTAGTAAAAAGGGGCAATCAAATACAGTCACTTTACACTTTTGAAATTCATTTGATCTGTAAGATTGTTCTGGATCTCAATTCTTGCTGTGCTGTTACATTAGAAGGTAGATTTTGTGAAGGTACTGATCACCAATCAAGTGTGTGCTGGACTGTAGCTGGATTCTATATAGAGACTAAATGCTGGTGACACGCCGGTGGAAGCCCTCAGTTTAACCCCATTAGTGAATTTTTCAAGTGAACCTAAAATTGGTATGATGAGGGGATGCTAATTCTAAAGACTGCTGGCCTCTTAAGTATTTTTCACATCTTTTTCCCTCTCTGGCAGTTTACCTTATTTAGTATTTAGACTACTTAGACTATTGTGTTTCTCTCTCTTGCATTAGAAATAAGTTTCATGAGGGCAGGAATTTTAGCTTTGTTCTCTACCTCATTACCTTGAGCAGTATCTGGCACATAATAAGTGCTCAATAAGTATTATGTGAATGAAAAAATAATATTAAGATAAAGAATTTAAGCTGAATGAGAAATCTGTCGTGAGGCCTTGATACGTTCAGTTAAATAACTTCTGTAATTTTGAAGTTGGAAATGGTGTGTATTTTTAGGTCCTCTGCAGAGACCAGTGAGTAGTAAATTCAGTAGGCTTAGTCACCATAGCTATTTTAGAGCAGTGTTTCCTAAACTTTTATAATTTTTGTAAACTTTTGAGCTCAATTAAATGAAAAACAAAAAATCAAGGAATACCACCTCAATGTTGAATTTTCAAAATAGTGGTACTTAAATATCTCCATTCGTAAAGCTATGTATAAAGTCCTTGTTTTTAGACTGTGGTTACAGTTATAACAGCACAAGTTAATTGTATATAAACTATAACATTTATTTAAATTTTCATTAATACCAAATTCATATAACAAATGATGTTTTGCTGAAATTTAATTGGAGGTTGTATCATGACTGATTCATTTGTGTTTGACACATGTATGCTGTTAAGTGCCTTATGATGTTAATTTTCTTGTCTTTCTCTTGGAACTGTCGCAAGTTTTGGACAACATGTCATCGTGGATTTACTTTGCAAGTTTGAATCTGCATTTATAGATTTTCTGCTTGTGTGATTTTCCCAATAGAATGTAAATACAATTCAGACATTAGGACTCATGTTCTGTGGGATGACTGCCAGACAGATGGCCCTAAGTATAATTGAACGGTATACCTGAAAAGTCAGAAAACACAGGATACTCTTATTTTTATATCTGTTATATTTTCACATAAAGAATCATTAGCTTTTTTTTTCCCCCCAACTTTCAGACCCGTTCACTGGTGCTGAATTTGAAGCAGTATATTCTATTAATCTGGGGGAAAAAGCACCATAGATATACTACAGAGAGTCCACAAAGTCTGGAATAACAGGTTAAATACTGTATTATACTTCTAAAATTTTTATTTTTATTTTTTAAAGAGATGGGCTCTCACTATGCTTCCCAGGCACAAGTTCAGTGGCTATTCATAGGCATGATCATGGTGCATTGCAGCCTCAAACTCCTGGCCCCAAGTGATCTTACCACCTCAGCCTGCCAAGTAGCTGTGATTATAATGAGACCATGGGTTGGCGCCCCTGCTCCTGGCTTGTGTATTTGTTATACTTTTTTTTTTTCTAGATTAACAATTGGACTTACTGTTTAAACTTTGAGATACTTTCCCTGAAAAGGTATATGGAAATAGAAGAAAAACATAATGAGCATATTATATGAATATGTAGCTAGCATACTTTAAAATTTTTTATGCTTCTTGACTTTACAGATACCTTGTATATTAATTTGTCTTAATTTGAAACTCATAGAACTTGTGGTTTACAGTTTAGTGAATACTATTAGCTTAAAGGATCTTATCCAAATGCTTTATTTAGATTGAGATGATTTGGAGAAATAAGCCTTTCAGACATGCTTGCGCTTAACTTTTGTGGGTCTAGGAACAAGAGTACAAATGGAGTGTCACATACCGTACGTCTAATTTAAAAGTTATAAATCAATCTTAAAAAAGAACTTGCCAAAAAAAAAGTTTCGTCCTCCTTCCTTCGTAAGTATACCATAATAAGACCCTGGGAGGCCAGGTTAGAATTTAGTATTTTCAGACTTGTTGGAGTTTCTTGTATCAGACTGTGGTGGTACAAAGTTACCATCTGGCTTCTGGTCCACAGCCCTCTCTGCTTCTGCTTTCTCCACTGCTCGTTACTACAATTAAGAGTATTTGGGCAGACCTGTATAGACATCCCAAGCAACATGTTCACATCCTCTGCATACAGTTGACTCTTGGTACCCTTCAAGCCTAAGGATACACAGTCTAGTTGGTATAGTTTTCCTTCTGGAGTACTGATCTGGTGAAAGAGGCTTTGGAAGCTTGTTGAGGGCTGTTTGGGCAGATATTTTAGGTTCTGCATACCCATAGAATGATGTAGCATTAGGGGAGAAAATGTGCTCCAGTTAGACAAGTCCTCTTGGCGCAATAGACTCCTTGCTTCATGGGGAGGGTTGTATAGCTGGAGTGGTACCCCCTAACTCAAGGAATCCAGGGCTTGAGCCACTGTTGTTTAGGTCTAAGGGATCCATGTTGCTACATTTCTGTTTCCTGAAAACTACAGTGGTCGTCCAAGTCACAATACTCTACCTTGGGAAAATTCAACTGGGATTTATTATGCTTTAAAAAAAATGTAGTACAAACATTGTGGGGAGATTTGATATCAATTATTTGCTAAGTTTTTCTTGATAGTTCTACTTAACCCACCCAAGTGAATTTTTTCTTTGTTGTTTTGAAACTAGAAGCTTACTGATATTAAGACATGGATTATCTGGGAATAGTTTTTGGTTGTCAGTCCTTTGATATAAAGCAGAGGTGGCACATTCATAAGCCAACACATCTCATATTGCATATAAGCTAGGAATGTTTAGGCTGTGGGGGATTGTAGAACATTAATTTCGACATTCTTTTGTGCCTATGCATGAAATTAGACCCCCCTCCCCCAAACATTATAGACCTGGATTCTTTTTTAAAATGTAAAACTTACTGATTTCAGAATGTTGGTTTCCCTACACTCGTTACTCCCCTACACTCTCTACTCTCCTACCCGCTACCCCTTTTAAAACTGTGGTGACCAAAGAACACATCAGTTGGGTTTAGTTTGCTGACTGACAGTTGGGTAATAATGATGTGTGGAGGGAATCAGCTTGTCTTTGATTGAGACGATATATTAAAAGCGCATATAATTTACCCCCCACCTAGATTGTTCTCCTCTCACCCCCAGATTGTTCTCGAGAGTAATACATTTTGAAAATAATCTGTGGGGGAGAGGAGAAGGAAAAAAGAGCTGAGCTGCAACTCCGGTTTCAGAGGTTGTGTCCTGTGCTTGAAAAACACGTAGGAATTGGTGAAAATTAGTCTTTTTAGTCTATGCATTGACTCTTGGGAAAGTATGTTGTGCAAGAGATGAGAGTAACAGGTGAGAGTACTATACTGTATTAGAAAGTGAGAGAGCCCTTTGTTCCATGTAAGACAGTCTTGCCAGTCCAGTTTTGGTTACATGTGGACCTGAGTACATCAAATTTGAGGATTCAGTTTAATGAAAATGATGAACATTGTAACATTTTAGTTTGATTTGTTTCATAGTGCTGTAAATACTACTTCATGCTGTTTCTTTTTTGTTAATTTGCTTTTATGAATATATAGCACTTATCTTGATAAATATACTACAAATGTGATTATTTATTGAGGTTGGCATGTCCCACGAAAGTTTAAAAATTGAGTGTGAAACAATTTTAGCAGGAATATCTTTGCTCAAAGAATGAGGTTTTTCAGAACTGAAAAAAAAAAAATGCATTGTAGGCCAGGTGCGATGGCTCACACCTGTAATCTCAGCACTTTGGGAGGCCGAGGTGGGGGATCACTTGAGGTCAGGAGTTTGAGACCAGCCTGGGCAACATGGTGAAGCTCCGTCTCTACTAAAAATACAGTAATTAGCCGGGCATGGTGGTGGGCGCATGTAATCCCAGCTACTCAGGAGGCTGAGGTAGTAGAATCGCTTGAACTCGGGAGGCGGAGGTTGCAGTGAGCTGAAATTGCCCCACTTGCACTCCAGCCTGGGTAGCAGAGCGAGATTCCGTCTTATAAAAACAAAACAAGAAAAACAAAACAAAAAGTGCACCATAGATTCTTAGGACAACTTTTATGTTAAAAAAAGTCTTAAAATGGTTCGGATTTTTAAAAAATGCCAACCATTTTTTTTCTAAAGAAAATTATGCTAGCACATAGGGGGGCCAACAAGAATATTTAGGAATTTTTGTGTCTACAAAGTATGTGCTGAATTAGAAACACTGAATTTTTTTAGCTTTTGGCATTGCTTCTCAATTGCTGTAATCTGCTTCTTGAAAAGAAAATCAACTCTGAGGGGCCGGGGATGGTGGCTCATGCCTGTAATCCCAGCACTTTGGGAGGCCGAGGTGTGCGGATCACTTGAGGTCAGGAGTTCAAGACCAGCCTGGCCAACATGGTGAAACCCCATCTTTACTAAAAATAGAAAAATTAGCTGGGCATGGTGGCGGGTGCCTATAATCCCAGCCACTTGGGAGGCTGAGGCAGGAGAATCGCTTGAACCTGGGAGGCAGAGGTTGTAGTGAGCCAAGATTGTGCCACTGCACTCCAGCATGGGTGACAGACTCCATCTCAACAAACAAACAAACATCAGAATATAGATTGATATATGTGTTTCTTTGAGAAAATTTTCTCATATCCCAGGTGATTTTGGCTGTCTTCAGGTCAGTAAGTTGTTAGAATTCAGTGACAACTACAACGGTTTTCCCTTACACAAGGCTTTGCCTTCTGCAATTTCAGTTACCCACAGTCAACTACAGTCCAAAAATATTAAATGGAAAATTCCAGAAATAATTTGTAAGTTTGAAATTGCATGCTGTTCTGAGTAGTGATGAAATCTTGTGCCATCATGCACCATCCAGGGCAAGATATGAATTATCCCTTTGTTTACCATATCTATATATGATACCCGCCCATTAGTCACTTAGTAGTAGCTGTCTCAGTTATTAGAGCAACAATACATGGTGTGTATAGAGTTCGACACTATCTGTGGTTTCAGGTATATTCTGAGGGATCTGGAAATGTATTCACCCCTAATAAGGGGAGACCACTGTATAGCAAGAAGAGTTCACATTTGTCCAATGTTATGTTAGAATGTGGCTGTTGTTAGATATTAGGAATGCTCTCTGTGGTAGAGTGTCTACTGCATTATTGAATCTGGTGGTAGTTGGGGATTAGAAACTGAAGGCCCTTCGGGGTGTGGGTGTGTGGTGGTAGTGGTGATGTTTTTTAAATGCCCATATAGCATGCATGCATGCATTCATTTACTTATCTTTTCACTGAACTGGGATGATTAATAATCATACAGCATTCTTTCAGGTGATTTTTTTTTTTTTTTTTTTGAGATGGAGTCTCGCTTCTGTCACCAAGCTGGAGTGCAGTGGCGGTGTGATCTCGGCTCACTGCAACCTTTGCCTCTCAGGCTCAAGCGATTCACCCACCTCAGCCTGGGACTGCAGACACTCGCCACCACACACGCCCAGCTAATTTTTTTACTTTTTTTTTTTTTTTGGTACAGATGGTGTTTTGCCATGTTGCCTAGCTGGTTTCGAACTCCTAGGCTCAAGCAGTCCACCTGCCTCAGACTCCCAAAGTGTTGGGATTACAGGTGTGAGCCACTGCTCCTGGCGGGAAAAAATTTCTTAAAAAGAAATTTCAACCTTCAAAACAAAAAGTATATAAACCTGAACACAAGTTGTGCATTTGGAAGAATCTGCTCTAGTCTGCCAATATTTTTTCACCCTGAAGCACAACGTAGCTGGAGTTGGATTTCTGGTGAACACTTTAATAATTCCACTTGAAGATGACATTGTTGTATCACCAGTGATCTCCACAATACACCCAAAACGGGGATTTTGAAAAGTGTTGGGATTACAGGTGTGAGCCACCACACCTGGCTTTCTTTAAGGTAGTATAACCATGCTGCTATTTGTGTATGGTAATAATATTACAAGCAGCTTAGAATGTAGTTGTTTGGATGAGTCAGAATATATTTAACCAGTCACTACTAAGGTATATTTATTTAGCACCCTCTCCCATTATTTTTTGCTATTATAATTTAACCCTTTTTGTGAAACTGTGGTACATATGTCTAGGTGTATTTTTTAGTACAGATCGTCCCCAATTTAGGATGGTTCAATGTAGGATTTTTTTTTTAAATTTTTATTTTATTTTATTTTATTTTTTTTATTGATCATTCTTGGGTGTTTCTCGCAGAGGGGGATTTGGCAGGGTCACAGGACAACAGTGGAGGGAAGGTCAGCAGACAAACAAGTGAACAAAGGTCTCTGGTTTTCCTAGGCAGAGGACCCTGGGGCCTTCCGCAGTGTTTGTATCCCTGGGTACTTGAGATTAGGGAGTGGTGATGACTCTTAACGAGCATGCTGCCTTCAAGCATCTGTTTAACAAAGCACATCTTGCACCGCCCTTAATCCATTTAACCCTGAGTAGACACAGCACGTTTCAGAGAGCACCGGGTTGGGGGTAAGGTCATAGATCAACAGCATCCCAAGGCAGAAGAATTTTTCTTAGTACAGAACAAAATGGAGTCTCCCATGTCTACTTCTTTCCACACAGACACAGCAACAATCTGATTTCTCTATCCTTTCCCCACATTTCCCCCTTTTCTATTCGACAAAACCGCCATCGTCATCATGGCCCGTTCTCAATGAGCTGTTGGGTACACCTCTAAGATGGGGTGGAGGCCGGGCAGAGGGGCTCCTCACTTCCCAGAAGGGGCGGCAGGGCAGAGGCGCACCCCACCTCCCGGACGGGGCGGCTGCCGGGCGGAGGGGCTCCTCACTTCTCAGACGGGGCGGCTGCCGGGCGGAGGCACTCCTCACTTCTCAGCCGGGGCGGCTGCCGGGCGGAGGGGCTCCTCACTTCTCAGATGGGGCGGCTGCTGGGCGGAGGGGCTCCTCACCTCCCAGACGGGGTCGCGGCCGGGCAGAGGCGCTCCTCACATCCCAGACGGGGTGGCGGGGCAGAGGCGCTCCCCACATCTCAGACGATGGGCGGCAGGGCAGAGACGCTCCTTACTTCCTAGATGGGATGGCGGCCGGGAAGAGGCGCTCCTCACTTCCCAGACTGGGCAGCCGGGCAGAGGGGCTCCTCACATCCCAGACGATGGGCGGCCAGGCAGAGACGCTCCTCACTTCCCAGATGGGGTGGCGGCCGGGCAGAGGCTGCAATCTCGGCACTTTGGGAGGCCAAGGCAGGCGGCTGGGAGGTGGAGGTTGTCGCAAGCCGAGATCACGCCACTGCACTCCAGCCTGGGCAACATTGAGCACTGAGTGAACGAGGACTCCATCTGCAATCCCGGCACCTCGGGAGGCGGAGGCTGGCAGATCACTCGCGGTTAGGAGCTGGAGACCAGCCCGGCCAACACAGCGAAACCCCGTCTCCACCAAAAAAATACGAAAACCAGTCAGGCGGGGCGGTGCGCGCCTGCAATCGCAGGCACTGGGCAGGCTGAGGCAGGAGAATCAGGCAGGGAGGTTGCAGTGAGCAGAAATGGCAGCAGTACAGTCCAGCTTCGGCTGGGCATCAGAGGGAGACCGTGGAAGGAGAGGGAGACCGTGGGGAGAGGGGGAGAGAGAGGGAGACCGTGAGGGAGGGGGAGGGGGAGGGAAATGTAGGATTTTTTTACTTTATGATGGTGTGAAGCAATACATGTTCAATAGAAATCCTACTTTGAGTACCAATACAACCATTCAGTTTTTCACTTTCAATACAGTGTTTGGTAGAGTACATGATGTGTTCAACACTTTCTTATAAAATAGGCTTTGTGTTGGGTGATTCTGCCCAACTGCAGGGTAATGTAAGTGTTCTGAGCATGCTTAAAGTAGGCTAGAGTAAGCTATGATGTTTGATAGGTTACGTGTATTAAATGCATTTTTTACTTAAACCTATCATAAGTGGAAAATATTTCATCGGCATGTAACCCCCATTATAAGACAAGGAGCATCTGTACTTTTTCTAAGGGTAAATTTTTAAAAGTAGACATTGCGTATACACATTAACTTTATTTATACGTGTTGTCAAATTGTCATCAAGGACATTTATACTATTATATGCTTCCACTAAGAATGCGATAATAGATGTGTCTATATAATGCTAGCTAACACGTGGTGTTACCAGTTTTTTTTTTAATTGCCAATCTGGTGGAAATAATGGTAATTTGATCACTTAAAAATTCATCTAATGAGGTGAGCATCTTAAATATTCTGGCCGGTTTTATTTCATTTCAGGAGTCATGTGTTTATTGCCCTTTTTTCATTTTTCTATGGAGGCCATCTTATTGATTTGGAAGAAGTATTAATATTTAGATTCTTTAATTTTATAACTTTTAAAAACACAGTTGATAGTGTCCTTTGTCATATGTTTTATGTAGTTTAATATATTTTATGATTTCTAGCTTTGGTCATCTTACACAAAGTGAAGTCAAGACTCATACAATTTAATGTAAGAGCAGGAGATTTTCGTTTGGGGTTGGTCCATGGACTTGTAAGTATTCTGAGGATGGACTTCATAGTTCTCAAATACAAATTGAATACAACATTGGAATTACACATAAATTTTTATTTTTCTGATGACAGGTTCAGTCAAATTCATCTGGTTCTCAAATCGTATGACACTTATGACTGTGTGCCCCCTTTTATATAGCATATATATTTAAATGCCCCTTTTTTTCTGTTTCAAGTGAAATTCATAGGTAGTATAATCTTCCAACCCATACAAATAATTTAAAAGAAGAAAAAGCAACATGATTTTTTCTTGACTGGAACAAAGAACACGTGACAGACAAAAATGTTAGAATACTTTGCCATGACCTCATTAGAAAATATTGTTAAGGCTTTGCGTTGGAGTTAACTGGAACCTTCAAAAAGTGTTGATACCTGTTTCTTTTAAAATTAAACATACAGCTACATCAGTTCCACTCCTAGGTATTTGCCCAAGAGAGGTGAAAACATGTCCCCAAAATGTATAGGGAGATTTATAACAGCTTTAATAGTCCACAAATTAAAACAGCTCTGCTGTCAGTCAGCAGAAAGAACAGATAAACAAATTGCAGTATATTCATATGCTGGAATACTGCTCCGCAGTCAAAAAGAATGAACTACTTTTTTCATGATGAAATGTATATGAATGAATCTCTGAAACATTGTGTTTAGTGAAAGAAGTCTGATACAGAAGAGTACACACTATATGATGGATTATGTTTATATGAAGTGCAGAAATGAGGCTATAGCATTAGAAATATGAGGAGTGATTGCTTGGTAGGGGCATTGACTGGATGTGGGGCAGGAGGGTACTTTCTGAGTAGTGGAAATGTCCTGTATCTTGATTGGGGTGTTTATTACTCCAAGAGAGTTGTACACCTAAGACCTCTGCATTTCGCTATACGTAAACTTTACCTCAAAAACAAACAATGAAACAGAGCGAAAATACTGATGCCTATGTCCTACCTTCTAGAGATTCTAATTTAATTGGTTAAGGGTGTTGGCCTGGGCATAGATGATTCTCATGTGCCGCCAGAGTTAAGAATCACTGATTAGATGCTTTTGCCCTTGGATGTAGGCTCTTCATGAATGCAACTGCTACTCATGCAGATTGACAACCAAATTATAATTAAGAGAGGCATTGCTATCCTTGACAAGATTTTTTGAAGTGGAGAGACAACACTTGGGGAAATTTCAAGCAAGTTTAATCTTCCCTTAATTTACAATCTGTTAAACTAGTGTGTAAAAAAACTCCATCCCTTTGTCTTTATATGTTTACAGTTAGGTTCTAGGCTTAGATAATTATAATTTTTTTTTCAGCTTCATGGCTGGAGGACATTTGAAAGTTGGTACAGGATATTAACCATCACTGGCCTTTGGCAAGTCTATTCATTTTGACAACGAAAATGTTATCATGTATTTTCAAAATGACTCTTTTGACAACCACTGACTGTCTTAATTCCCTAAACCTCCCTATCCATATGTGTTTAATTTCCATTAAAAGGGAAAAATTTTAAACATTTGATTAAAAACCTTCTTAAAACATTCCAATTTTAGGTCCACAATTCCTTCTGTGTAATTCTGAAATTCAGAAATTCCTGAAAATTGAACTTTTCTCTTTTTTTGCTGTCTTCACTTTGCTCCCAGTTAAAAGGGCTACCTGAAGAGGGCAAGTGGCCTTAATTATGCACAAGCAAGTGTTCTGGCACTATAGTCTCACCCCTGGGCATGAACTTTTTTCCCTAATTCATTTGGTTGATAAAATGTGACTTACGCTGAACTGTGATGTGAGGCTGATACTGGTGTTTATTTATATCGTTTTCCCATCAGAGTTAATATTTGTAAATTATACTTCCCTGCAGCAGTATTTTCCAAAATGAAAAATTCTCAATTCTGAAACACATCTACTGGCCTGAAGAGTTTGGATAAGAGATTGTAGATCTGTATTGCCAATGTATATGTATTAATTGTAATTATTAAGAGCAGGAGTTTTTAATTTGTGGTTGATCCATGGACTTGTAAGTTAACATTAGCTAGCAGTTAAAGTTAGTGAAAATGCTGTTTTTGAGGGGGTTGGGAGTCTAATAAAGAGCATCTAGACTTATTTCCATTAGGAAATTCCAGCTTTATTTTGTAATACTAAGTATGACTATTGATGACTTTTTTTTGTCAGTTCTCTTATTCTGTAGTCTACTTCTTTTACATTTGAGGTAGAGAATGTGTGGTGATGAATTTTAGGTATCTTTGGTGGGGAGGGTGCTTTTTGGTTTTGAGAGCAAGTGGTCAATTTGACTCACATGATTCCTGTGCTGGTATCATGGGAGCATACAGATGAGTCACTAATGAGGTGCCTTACATAGTACTGTATCTTTTTGGTGCTGCAGAAAGCTAGTTGTCTGACATTTTTTACCAGAGAGTTGTTGTAAAACCAAGTAAGGTTTCTTATAAGTTGTATATATTTTAAGTTAATATCTGAAAGAAATGCCTGCTAGAGTAATTACTAGAGTGCTTGACTATGTCGCATTTTTTAAAGCTATGTGGATGGAAGAGCAATTGTTATTTGTAAATGTATAATGTATATTAAAGATGATATCTGAATAAAGAGAATCAAGAGTGAGTGCTTTTACATTTGAATGCAAAAGTTCTATAGGTCAGTGATTTCCTTCCTGACTTGTGTCCCAAAATGTATATAAAATGTGTTTGATTACAACATTTCTTCTTTTCTTCATAAATTGCCATTATGAAAATTTTATTGGGAAATTGGAGAAATTGGCTATTAAGCTACTAGAAAAATGTCAGAATCCATCCATAAGGCTTCATAGTTTAAAATACAGGTTTACAAATGTGTATGTGTGTGTAATTTGGGTGTGGAATAACTAAAACCAAATGTTAGGACTTATGCAACGTGAGAGAAGAAACTGAATTTGTATACTATGGTTCTGCCTAAATCTCCGTAGCTTTTTACTATAACATAGTGTGTTAAATAATGGTATATTTATATTTAGACATTTCATAAATGAAGGTGTTTCATATTCCTGCTTTTATATTTAATACTGGGGAATTAAGTATCTTAAATTATTTTCCCCCTCTTTTAGTAATTTTCATCAGGGCCCACAATTTTCTTCAAACATAAGGCTCATCCTGAGGTTAGAAAGATAAACAAGTAATACTTGAACTGGCAAAATTATTTTTCCATTACTAATACTCTCTGTGTAACTATGCACTTCTAATTAAAGCCTCTTTAAATCTGATATTGTTCATCAATGAACAGTTTGGTTTAGTAATACTAATTAAGGATGGTTCTAAAATTTAAAACTTTGAAAATTAGGATTGTTTCATTTAGTCTAATGCTTTTGATTTGTAATTCTTACAGTGGTTGTTCATAGGATATTAACTTTTCCAGTTACCAGATAAAGGTTTTTTGTTTTCCAGATGATCTGTCTTGAGATTAATTTTTTAAAACAACAAAATATACATTTGTCTCATTTGAGTATCAGGTCATAATTCCATTATTCACAGAAGTTTCATCATGTGATTGATTACTTTTTAAAAGGTAAATTTTTGATAGAATTAATTAAAATAACTACTTTAGAATAGCTTTTTATTGCATAACAATAATTCTCATAGATCCATCCAAATAAAGGTGAATAAATTACTTTTTTATTCTTTTGTTCTTTTCTAAAGTAGTTTCCTATATGCATTGGTTGTTATTATTTGGAAACTATTAACTGAGTAATATTAAATTGGCAACTTTGAGGTAGGATACAACCAAACAAATGGAATTCTCAAGTTATCACTCTGTCAACTATATCTAGAGTTTACTTTTGATCTTTAAAAACTTTACATGACAGCCTGGCCAACACCGTGAAACCCCGTCTCTACTAAAAATACAAAACAATTAGCTGGGCATGGTGGCAGGTGCCTGTAATCCCAGCTACTCCGGAGGCTGAGGCAGGAGAATCGCTTGAACCCGGGAGGTGGAGGTTGCAGTGAGCTGAGATCGTGCCATTGCACTCCAGCCTGGGCAACAAGAGCGAAACTCCATCTCAAAAACAAAACAAAAACCAACAAAAAAAACTACTTTACATGAAATTCTTAGGGAAAATAAATGAGAATGTATTGTTCCTTTACAAATGAAGATACCGCTGCTGAGTTGTATTTGGTAGTGAAATTTTAATATAGACAAATTTTATTTTTTTATAAGTGATTTGCGTTTTTGGTATGACTATTTTCTTTCTTTTCTTTTTTTTTTTTTTTGAGATGGAGTCTCGCTCTGTCGCCCAGGCTGGAGTGCAGTGGTGCGATTTCAACTCACTGCAAGCTCCGCCTCCTGGAGTATTAAATATAAAAGCCATTCTCCTGCCTCAGCTTCCCGAGTAGCTGGGACTACAGGCGCCTGCCACCATGCTTGGCTAATTTTTTGTATTTTTAGTAGAGACGGGGTTTCACCATGTTAGCCAGGATGGTCTTGGTCTCCTGACATTGTGATCTGCCTGCATCGGCCTCCCAAAGTGTTGGGATTACAGGCGTGAGCCACTGCGCCTGGCCGGTGTGACTATTTTCTTTCAAGTTGAAAGTCGGGTTCCATGAAACTCTAGTATTAGATGGATTTAGGTGAAGGTTAATACCTCTGATTGTTTGAGGCCTGAAATATAACTAATTAAGCAGTAGTGAATCTCTTACTACATTTGCTTCAAAGCAGCTACTTCATAATTGAACGTGTGTGTCATTAATTCTAGAAATCTGTTACACATTGATTTGGTGTTGTATCAGAGGAGGATACAGAAGAGGAATGGCACTGACTAGTGGTTTTAAGGCACAATATTGGAATCACCTGGAGAGCTCATAACATGTACATACCTTGACTGTGTCCCAGGCCTTTTGGGGCAGAATCCTGCTGGTTGGAGAACAGGCAGTGTAGTTTGGTAAAATCTTCAGATAATTCTGATATACTCATTTGTATAAGATTACTGAAATTCTATCCTCAAGGAATATATACTTTGTCAGAGGAAGGAAAACTATGTACTTGCAACAAACATGGGCTGTGTATAATGACAGCAATAATAATAATGATAGCCAACATTTGTATGACACATATCCTGTGCAGAAGCATTGATTTTCAGGTACTGCAGACATTTGCACTAATCTTGCCTCTCTATAGCTCTTTCTCAATACAGCAGCCAGAGCAATCTTTTTTTTTTTTTTTTTTTGAGATGGAGTCTCGCTCTGTCACCCAGACTAGAGTGCAGTGGTACAATCTCCGCTCACTACAACCTCTGCCTTCCAGGTTCAAGCGATTCTGCCTCAGCCTCCCAAGTAGCTGGGACTACAGGCGTGGGCCACCACGCCTGGCTGATTTGTGTGTGTGTGTGTGTGTGTGTGTGTGTGTGTGTGTAATTTTTTTTTTTTTTTTTTTTTTAAGTAGAGATGGGGTTTCACTATGTTGGCCAGGCTGGTTTGGAACTCCTGACCTCAAGTGATCCTCCCCCCTCAGCCTCCCAAAGTACCGGGATTACAGGCATGAGCCCCTGTGCCTGGCCAGAACAATCTTTTAAAAACTTAAATTAGATATTACTCTTCTTGTTTAAAACTTTCTAATGAATTCTCATTGTGATTAGAATAAAATGTAAACTGCTTATTATGATTTATAAGGTGGGTACTTGGTCTGTTTGGGTTCTGTGATGTCATCTTACATAATTGTTTCTGTGTTCATTATGTGGTGGTCACACTGGTGTTTGTTCCCACATCCAGGCATTTATACCTTCTCTTTTGGCTGGATTGCTTTTCTCCAGATCTATGACAGGCTGTTCTTACCAGATTTGTTTTTTGTTGTTTTTTTTTTTTTTTTTTTTTTTTTTTTTTTTTTTTTTTTTGAGACGGAGTCTCACTCTGTTGCCCGAGCTGGAGTACAGTGGGCGATCTTGGCTCACTGCACCCTTCGCCTCCTGGGTTCAAGCGATTCTCCTGTCTCAGCCTCTCAGGTAGCTGGGACTACAGGCATGTGCTACCATTTTTGTATTTTTAGTAGAGGTGGGTTTCACCATGTTGGTCAGGCTAATCTTGAACTTCTGAGTTCAAGTGGTTTGCCCACCTCGGCCTCCCGAAGTGCTGGGATTACAGGTGTGAACCACTGCACCTGGCCCCATTCTTATCAGATTTAACCTTCAGTGAGATTTCTCTCGTTCACTCTGTCTGAAGTTGCTCTTCCTCTGATTCCTCTCCCCTTAATGTGTTTTTAGTTCATGGCACATAACACAATCTGAATTTTCCTTATCATTTACTATTGTTTTTTCCTTCTTGGAATGTAAGCTCATTAAGCCCAGACATCTTGTATATATTTAGTCATGCCTGTATCCTCTTGATAAATCCATGGGATCAAATAGTGTCCCTTGAAGCATCATCACATGCAAATAAAATGACGGTGCAGTTAACCTCTACTATAACAAGGTATGTTAGGCTTTTTCTGTATATGTTCTCATGTGAAATGTTAGAGTTGAACATTTTCTGTAAAATTGTTTAATATACAGTCATGTGCCACATAATGACATTTTGGTCAATGATAGACTGTATAAACAATGTTGGTTTCATAACATTATAATGAAGCTGAAAAATATCTATTCCCTAGTGATATAGCTGTCATAATTTTAAAGTGTATTACATGACTCATGGGGTTGTGTTGATGTTTGTGTAAACAAACTTTCTGCACTGCCAGTTGTATAAAAGTATAAGTACAGTTATGTACAGTACACAGTACTTGACAATGACAGTAAACAACTGTTACTGGTTTATGTATTTAGTATATGATAACTTTTATTATCTTTGAGTGTGCTCCTCCATATAAAAAGGTAGGCCGGGCATGGTAGCTCACGCCTGTAATCCCAGCACTTTGGGAGGCCAAGGTGGGCGGATCACCTGTGGTCGGAAGATTGAGATCAGCCTGACCAACATGGAGAAACCCTGTCTCTACTAAAAATACTAAATTAACCGGGCATGGTGGCGCATGCCTGTAATCCCAGCTATTGGGAAGGCTGAGGCAGGAGAATCGCTTGAACCCAGGAGGCAGAGGCTGCGGTGAGCCAAGATCGCACCCTTGCACTCCAGCCTGGGCAACAAGAGTGAAACTCTGTCTCAAAAAAAAAAAAAAAAAAAAAAAAAAAAAGGTAACTGTAAATCATTCCATGACAGGACCTTCAGGAAGTATTCCAGAAGAAGGCATTGTTATCATAGGAGATGACAGTTCCGGTTGTGTTGTTGCCCCTGAAGACCTTCCAGTCAGACAAGATATGGAGGTGGAAGACGGATAGTAATGATCCTGACCCTGTATAGGCCTAGGCTAATGTGTGTGTTTGTGTTTTCATTTTTAACCAAAAAGTTTAAAAAGTTAAAAAAAAATTTCTTTTAAATAGGAAGAAAAAAGCATATAAAATAAGGATATAGGAGCTGGGCCTGGTAGTGTATGCCTGGTAGTCCCAACTACTTAGGAGGCTGAGGTGGGAGGATCCCTTGAGCCCAGGAGTTTGAGTCCAGCCTGGGTAACATAGAGAGATCCCATCTCTAAGAAAAAGAAAAAATATTCTGGTTAGCTGTACAGTGTGTTTGTGTTTTACACCATGTTATTACAAAAGTTAAGATTTTTTTAAAAAGAAAAAGTTTATAACGTTATAATAAGCTAAGGTTTATTATTAAAGAAAAAAAATTTTAAATAAATTTACATAGCCTAAGTGTTTATAAAGTCTGCAGTAGTGTACAGTAGTGTCCTAGACCTTCACATTCACTCACTACTCACTCACTGACCCACAGCAATTTCCAGCCCTGCAAGCTCTATTTATAATAGGTGTACTAGTTTTTTTTTTATCTTTCATACCATATTTTTGCTGCACTGTTTCTATGTTTAGATATGTTTAAATACACAAATACTTATCATTGTGTCACAGATGCCTGCTGTATTCAGTACATCAGCATGCGGTACGTGTTCTTAGTCTAGTGGCAGTAGGCTACACCATATAGCCTAGAGGTGTAGTAGGTTATACCATCTAGGTTTCTGTAAGTAGACTCTGTGATGTTTGTACAATGATGAAATTGCCAAACAGTGCATTTCTTAGAACACATCCTGTCAAGCAATGCACGATTGTTTCTTCCAACAAAGATGCCTTTGGTTAATCAGACCTTATACCAATTATTTATTGTGAAATAAACCATCTGAAACTTAGTGATATTATAAACCAAGAAGAGTCATCAGTATTACCTATCATGGGTCTGGGGCTCATCTTGGCTTAGCTAGTTGGTTCTTGCTCAAATTCTTACGTGGTTGCAGTTAGATGGTTGCCAGGGCCATGAGCCAGAGCACCTGCGTGTGACTTCTCGGTAAGACTTGAGTTTCCTTACAGCAAGTGGCTGGTTTCAGAGGGCAAGTGGATGAAAGGAAAAGGGCAAAAGCCTAAGTGGCAACTGTATTAGCCTTTTTATCCTAGCCTTGGACGTCATGTAGCATCACTTCTGTTATATTTTGTTTTTAAGAAGCGTGTCACCAAGACCAGCTCTTATTCCAATGACGGGGAAGAGGATTTCACCTCTTGAGGGGAGAAGTGTAAAAGAATTTGTGGAAAATGTTATACCTACCACAACCTCATTCTACAAAATAGTGGCATCTTGTTGGTTAGGGATTAAGTTCTAAAGTCAGTGTAAGTAGAAGGTATCATGATGGGGAGACCATTATACATTCTCTGTCCGGCACGGTGAGGATTTTCTATAGGTTCAAGAAAAAGTCACTGTTTCTTCAACTGAATATCAAATAAGATATATTTGGCTTGTGTTCAGTGCCTTTCTTGTGTGGAAAATATATTTAAGTACTAGAGTAGCATTCAGCAAGGTGCAATTACCAGACTTTGAGAGGCTCTGTGGAAAAGAAAATTGACATCACTATCAAACTAGTTACAAGACCTACATTTATTGAGTAAAGAAGGAAGGTAGGCAGAATTACTTGCATTATTACTTTTATTTAATTTTGATTTAATTAATTAATTTATTTGAGACGATGTCTTGCTCCGTTGCCCAGGCTGGAGTGCAGTGGCCCGATCTTGGCTCACTGCAACCTCCACCTCCTGGGTTCAAGCAATTCTCCTATCTCAGTCTCCCGAGTAGCTGGGACTACAAGCGCCTGCCACTATGCCCTGCTAATTTTTCTATTTTTAGTAGAGACAGGGTTCCCTGTGTTGGTCAGGCTGGTCTCAAAACTCCAGACCTCAGGTGATCCACCTGCCTCGGCCTCCCAAAGTGCTGGGATTACAGGCGTGAGCCACTGCGCCTGGCCTATTGCTTTTATTTTTAAATTTGGAGAAATTATGTAGCTCAATTCATAAATAAGTAGATGAACGAAGCAACTACTTTGTTTTCCCAAATCTTTGTTTCAAATAAGAAGGGAAATATCGTGATTGAGAGGTCTCTTCCCTTCTTTTAGTAAAAATAATGCAATACCGCGTTTAAGGGCATATAAGTGAATGAGAGTTAGTATTGACCTTATGCTACTGTGATATATGTCAATTAAAAAAATGCTAATGTGTCAATTTCGGGAGGATAAAGCAAAAAGAAAAAAATGCTAATGTGAGAACAAGCATGCCAGCAAGCCATGGTCACCCCACACCCAATAAAACAGGTAAACAGGAAAACACAAAAAGTACCTGTGAGTATGAATAGTATATATAAAATATTTTCAAAGAAACAAGTTACTCTTATGTATCTTCAATAGAAAGGAAAAACTATTATTTATTCAGCTTATGTATAATTATGTTTTCTGTTGCTGATTCAGTTACTTTTGGGAAAGGCAGTACAAGTAAAGCCACTCAATATGGCTTTGTGTTGGACATTCGTAGTTTCTTAGAACAGCTAACGAAAATGTAGCTTTTATGCCCTTTGTTTTTTAACATAAAGAATCTGAGATTGAAGAGGTAGTGTGTTCAGGATTACAGAATGATAAATGGTGGAATCTAGACTCAAATGTAAAGCAGTATTATTTCCAAAGCCAGCTACTTTTGTGTTCAGCTATATTGTTTTTGAATTTTCAGTGATTTATTGGTAGGCTTTTTGTTATCTGGGAATTCCTTCTATTAAAATTATATTGTCAAGTGTTGAAATATGCAGGTTTTAACTAGTTGCATTGACACAGCTTGATTTTGTGTCACTCTAAAACTCACCCCCTGCTCCCCCAGGGAGCAAAAACAAATAAAAACCACATATAAACATAGCTTTCTAGGAACAGTAGTTTCAGATACTGCTTCCTAAATTGTTCAAATATCTTAGCTTTTCAGTTCTGTTTGTTCCAAGGTGGTCATATATTGTTATTTTTCAATAATCAGATTTAGTTGTTTTGCCATTTTTGTTTAGGGAATTACTATTAATTGTTTTTTAATATTAAGCATGATAAACTTCAGATGTTTCTCTTTTTAAAGACCTGGTTTTCGTATATTGAGTGGTTTCACTTTTGTTACCTTGCCCCAAAGTAATTGAATCAGCAACAGAAGAAAGCATGACATTTTAATTGTCTACGTCAAATTACATAATCTAGTGAAGTATGAAGACTACACTGTTAAATTATTAATGACTTTTGTTTATTAAACCAAGCAGTGAAAGAGATGGTATAGGGACATTCCCCTCATATTTTATAAGTCATACTACTGGCTAAATAGTATCAGGATTGTTTTTAGCTCTGCATTGCTAACTGAGTGATCTGTCTAAAACTTAAATTAGACTATGTCCCTCCTTTGCTTTTAAGTCTTAAAAACTGCTGCTTACCAGTCAAAGTCTATATTACTTAGTATGGTATTTAAAGCTTTTAAGTTCTAGCCCCCTGCTGACTACCCTAACGTCATTCCTATATATTTCAAAGCCTATCCTACCGAAGTTTGTCTGCTGGCAACACTAACTACTATTTTTCTGTATGTAGAGAGATTCTACACTTTGGTTTATATATTCTATTCTGTCCTATTTGACTGTTTTCCCTTACCACCAGACTATTTGGTCTCCTTTTTCCCCACATTTGTAACTTTTTATATTCTTTTTAAGACGTGCTCTTGCTCTTTTGCTCAGAGTTGAGTGCAGTCGTGAATCATAGCTCATCGTGGCCTTGAACTCCTGGGCTCAAGCAATCTTCCTGCCTCAGCCTCCCAAGTGTAGCTGGGGCTACAGACGTACACCAGCATGCCTGGCTAATTTTATTTTTATTTTTATTTTTAGAGACAGGGTGTTGTTGTGTTGCCCAGGCTGGTCTTAAACTCCTGGCCTCAACTCCTGCCTCAGCTGGGATTACAGGTGTGAGCCACTGGGCTGGGTGGCTATCATGTTTTATCTAAAATTAGAAACTCCTTGAGGCAGGGACCATTTATCTTTGTATCTTTAGTGTTCAGCACCTAGTAGTAACTCAGCAAATGTTTGTTTTCTTTCTGACATATTTGTCATATTTGTATTTGTTGTATTTAGCATCAGAAAGCCAAATATGGTCATTCAACGTTAATTTGACTGATTCCTTTTGTTATTTTAGTCCAGAATTGCTACCAAAGTGTTTAGGTTTGACCTTTTTGTGCCCAGGAAGTCTAGTCGTTTTGATGATAAATCTAAATTGGTTGAGGTGTAATGAAAAAGACAACCAGGTGTCTAGAAGTGACTGTGACAATTGCAGATTTATCTTGTTTGTGCATGCTGGTTTTTTTTTTTTTCAGTGTTCAAAGCCTGTATTGCATCAGGTTTTCAGGTTTAGATTTCCTAAATTTGGAACACAAAGTTCCCTTTTTAGAAGAATAGGTATTGAGCCCTTGAGCGTGGGTAGAAAGATAGAGACAGAGTGATTTGCAAAATAATGGAGGATCATATTTATATATGAATTTTCACTTATTTGAACTTTCAGATATCAGCTCAAAAGCTTTGGTATAAGTAAAGTATATTAATGAGACTCCTTGGATGAAAGTAACCAAAACCAGTAAAAATAAGGTAATAAGGATGTAATAGTTTCTTATGGACACTCAACAGCTAGAATGCAGTTAGTCTCAGAAAAGAATTAGAACAAATAACTGGAAGGCCATCAGGAGTCCAAAACCATCACTCTTTTATATTTTATATTTTATTTTTCTCTCTTCAGATGAGCATTCTCTTTCTATGTCCATATGGTAGAAGGCGGCAGCTCCATAGATTATGGCTTCAGATGTTACAGTTCCGCTAAATGCAGGGACAGACTTGCTATCTTTCAGTCCCACTTACATATCCTGGGGAGAGAGCAAATGATTGACTGGCTTGAGTCAGGTGCCCGTTCCCTTTCCAATCTGCTCCATCTAGGAGGGCAGTGTTACCTGGTACCAAAATAGATGTTAGAGGGCCACCCCTTTCAAAAGGGAGAATAGCTCTCACAACAGGGCTTCTATGTTGTGCAGGTTGCTTATTCCACATGCTGCTTGCCAAGCTGTATGCCTATAAGGGCTGCAGTTTTAAAATTTGTACAAAGGTGCTTTATGGATTTGTGGTAACCTTTTCTCAGAGAAAGGAGGAGTCATTGTGAATTGGGGGGCTATTCCAAGGGGGTCTGCTATGTCATTTTTGGGGGATATTTATTGTCCATCTTAGTATTGCCAGACTCTTAGCATTGAAATATTAGATTGTCTCTCACCCTTGGGCCATGGAGTTTTATTGCAGCAAAAACAAAAATCCATATGTATATAAGTGTTTTCTCAATAGGTATATTGACAGTGGACTTACTATGATGTGGAGCTTTGACATTTGTGGACCTGCTGCGGTGTCCTTACACTCATTGAGAACCATTGATGTTACGCAAATGCTATTAAACTTTGCATCTAAGACTTCTTATTTGTCCTGTGACCTTTGATTATATTTCAACATGCATAAAGTACTTTAGAGAGATGGGGAGTGCCATGTATGTGAATGAACTTGGCACTAAGCACCCCATAGTTTCTACAGAAAAATTTAAAGAATATTTGTTACTTAAAATTAAGTACTTTCAAAATAATGTTTGGTTAAGTAGAAGCTTAAATTTTTGTTTTTCTTCTTTTCCTCTCCATATCTGTTATACTATTTCACTTACAAAATAAATCTTCAGCCTTAAGGGATGTTTGGGATAGTTTTACAGGATTATGGATTTTATTCCTAAAATAGATCTGAATGCTACAAAAAGTGAAACTTTTTAAAGATAAGATTGTCATCAAGTGGTGGTATTTTAAAGCTTTACTTATAAGCGGTAATAATTAACCTTTGAAAATCCTGCTGTAATAAGGTGTTGAGAGTGATCTAGCTTTCTTTGGAAGGTTTTTGGTGTTCCTAATCATTCCCAGCCTAAATTAACCCCAAGGAAAATGAGAACTTCAACCTGACCTCTCATTGTTTTGCCAATTCCTACGTTTTTTTCGGTTTCCTTTTGGTTCTTTTATTTCTGTTCCTTCTGTTCAGTTTAGGGGAAAGAATAAACTTATAAAGAAATTCACCTTAAGAAATTAGGGCCTTGTCACATATACACCATGGAATACTATGCAGCCATAAAAAAGGATGAATTCATGTCCTTTCTAGGAACATGGATGAAGCTGGAAACCAACATTCTCAGCAAACTACCCCAAGAACAAAAAACCAAACACCACATGTCATAGGTGGGAATTGAACAGTGAGAACACTTGGACACAGGAAGGGGAACATCACACACTGGGGCCTGTTGTGGGGTGGGGGGAGCGGGGAGGGAAAGCATTAGGAGATATACCCAATGTAAATGACGAGTTAATGGGTGCAGCACACCAACATGGCACATGTATACGTATGTAACAAACTTGCACGTTGGGCACATGTACCCTAGAACTTAAAGTATAATAAAAATAAAATAATAAAATAAATTAAAAAAAAGAAATTAGGGCCTTGTCTCTTCCAGATTAATTTGCATTTTAATAGAGGATGTATGAAGAGGGACCGGAAGAAATAACTAATGGTGGAATTTCATGCACTCTGGCACTCACATCTAGGATTCTCAAATCAGGTCATGCTTTTCAACAGGTCTGGTTCAGTTTCTAGGGCAGTAGACACACTGCATAAAAACATTTTATTTATAGTCACTTTCATTTAAAATACCACTTAAAGAACCGAAGAAGTAATTAGTGTCTTGAATTGGGTAGGTGGAATGAGGAGTCAGTAGTAAGGCAAAAGGCCTCACCTGAACAAAGGGTTTGATTCAGTAGTAAAGTTGTATAAAGGCAAATTGGGAATAGATTAAGGAGGTTTGGGGATTAAGAAATGTTTTTTAGGTTTTTAAAGGGGAAAGGGAGATAGTAAAATAAATGATTTTAAGGAAAAAAATTAGGTGCTGACTAAATAGAATTAGGGAATCAGTTTAGAATCTATTGTGCTAATACATAAAAGTGGGCTGAGGCCAGGCGCTGTGACTCATGCTTGTAATTCCAGCACTTTGGGAGGCTGAGGCTGGGGGATTGCTTGAGGCCAGGAGTTTGAGACCAGCCTGGGCAACATAGCGAAACTCCATCTCTACAAAATAAAAACTAAAAAAATAACCCTGATGTGGTGGTGCACACATGTAGTCCCAGCTACTTGAGAGTACCCTTGGGCCATGGAGTTTTATTGCAGCAAAAACAAAAATCCATATGTATATAAGTGTTTTCTCAATAGGTATATTGACAGTGGACTTATTATGATGTGGAGCTTTGACATTTGTGGACCTGCTGCGGTGTCCTTACACTCATTGAGAACCATTGATGTTATGCAAATGCTATTAAACTTTGCGTCTAAGACTTCTTATTTGTCCTGTGACCTTTGATTATTAGAAAGCAAGCATAGGTTGGTAGTGAGGCAGAGGTAATGCCTATAGAGGCAGTGCTGCTCCTGTATCATACTGGATGGATAAAAGCTCACGTCTCATCCTATCTGGAGAGAATTTTCAGAGACCATCTATATGCTTCTTGGGAGGTTTAAGTAGATTGATACCCTGTTATCTTTAGGGATGACATTGATAGTTACTACTCCTTATATTGGCTTTTCTTCCATCCCCATCTTAACTCTTCCTGCTCCTGTAGGTCATTCTCTAGACAGACTGCTTTTACTCAGGTTCTTACCTCAGCCATTGCTTTTGGGAGAACCCAAACTAAGACAGCAGTCATTAGAGTACTTAGTATTTAAAAGGTAGATAAGAGTTCGGGAATTGAAACTGGATGATCACCAAAGGTGTGAGTATATATAGAAAAGAAAGCCAAGATATATGTTCTTTGTATCATTAGGAATGTGTTAAGAGGTTGGCATAAAGAGGAGCAACTAGCAAAGGAAACTGAGGTTTGACCAGTGGTATAGGAAGAAAACTAGGAGGATGTGTGGTGTGATGGAAGCTAAATGAAGAAATCTCGTAAAGTAAGGGGAAGCGAAGCTACTAAGAAAGCAAGGGGGAGAAGTGAATTTAGATTGTCTATTGAATTTATTTTATTTAGTTATTTATATTTGAGGTGGAGTCTCGCTCTGTTGACCTGGATTGCAGTGGTGTGATCTTGGCTCACTGCAACCTTTGCCTCCTGGGTTCAAGCAATTCCCCTGCCTCAGCCTCTCGAATAGCTGGGATTACAGGCATGTGCCACGATGCCCAGCTGATTTTTGTATTATTGGTAGAGACAGGATTTCACTATGTTGGCCAGGCTGGTCTCAAATTCCTGACCTCAAGTGATCTGCCTGCCTCGGCCTCCCAAAGTGCTGGGATTACATGCGTGAGCCACCACATCCAGCCATATTTTTTAATTTTTGCAATGGAGTCTCACTCTGTCACCCAGGCTGTAGTACAGTGGCGCAATCTCGGCTCACTGTAACCTCCGCCTCCCAGGTTCAAGCGATTGTCTTGCCTCAGCCTCCTGAATAGCTGGAATTATGGGTGCCCGGCATCACGCCTGGCTAATTTTTGCATTTTTAGTAGAAACGGGCTTTCACCATGTTGGCCAGGCTGGTTGTGAACTCTTGGCTTCAAGTGATCCACCTGCTTTGGTCTCCCACAGTGCTGGGATTACAGGTGTGGGCCACTGCGCCCGGCTAGATTGTCTATTGAATTTAGATGTTTTAAGAACTGTTTTTCTTGAAATGATGGGGACAAAAGTGTGATTGGAGTGGATTTAGGAACACTTGATAGAATAATTGAAGTCAGTGCATGTGGACAACTTGTTTGAGGAATTTTTCTGTAAAAGGCAGCAGAGTAATGGGTTGGTAGCTGTAGAGAGAGATGTGGTTTCAGGAGAGATTCTTTTTTAAGATGAGAGACAAAATATACCTGCTTGGTATAGCATATTGCTGTGTGTGGTCACAATCAGTTTAGAGTATTTTAGCCTGTTTCTCTTTGTAAGGATAGACTTAATATTCCCCATCATAATTAGGGTTCTTTCTAGTTAATTTGACTGCCTTTTTCTGTTTCCATTTAGGGCTCCCTAAGTCATGCATAATGAATTCATGGAGGAAAAGAAGTTGTTACAAGTTACTAGGAGAAACAAAGGTGATTGGGAAGTACTCTGGCATAGACATAAACATGAGGAAGTGAACTGGTGGAATACCTGTGGGGAAATTAATCCTGCTACAGGATCGTATCTTATGGGGAAGAGTTTAGAATCCAGTCAAGACTGTATGAGAGGCTGGGCACAGTGGCTTACACCTATAATCCCAGCACTTTGGGAAGCTGAGGTGCTTGGATCACTTGAGGCCAGGAGTTTGAGACCATCTGGCGAACATGGTGAAGCCCCCATCTCCATTAAAAATACAGAAATTAACTATATGTAGTGGCATACACTTTAATCCCAGCTACTGTGGAGGCTGAAGCATGATAATTGCTTGAACCCGGGAGGCAGAGGTTGCAGTGAGCTGAGATCGCACCACTGTACTCCAGCCTGGGTGACAGAATGAGACTGTCTCACCCCAAAAAAAGAAAGATTATATGAGAAAGCTATTTCTTTTCTTTTTTCTTTTTTTTTTTTTTTATTGATCATTCTTGGGTGTTTCTCGCAGAGGGGGATTTGGCAGGGTCACAGGACAATAGTGAAGGGAAGGTCAGCAGATAAACAAGTGAACAAAGGTCTCTGGTTTTCCTAGGCAGAGGACCCTGCGGCCTTCCGCAGTGTTTGTGTCCCTGGGTACTTGAGATTAGGGAGTGGTGATGACTCTTACGGAGCATGCTGCCTTCAAGCATCTGTTTAACAAAGCACATCTTGCACCGCCCTTAATCCATTCAACCCTGAGTGGATACAGCACATGTTTCAGAGAGCACAGGGTTGGGGGTAAGGTCACAGATCAACAGGATCCCAAGGCAGAAGAATTTTTCTTAATACAGAACAAAATGAAAAGTCTCCCATGTCTACCTCTTTCTACACAGACACGGCAGCCATCCGATTTCTCAATCTTTTCCCCACCTTTCCCCTCTTTCTATTCCACAAAACCGCCATTGTCATCATGGCCCGTTCTCAATGAGCTGTTGGGTACACCTCGCAGATGGGGTGGTGGCCGGGCAGAGGGGCTCCTCACTTCCCAGTAGGGGCGGCCGGGCAGAGGCGCCCCTCACCTCCCGGACGGGGCGGCTGGCCGGGCGGGGGGCTGACTCCCCCACCTCCCTCCCGGACGGGGCGGCTGGCCGGGCGGGGGGCTGACCCCCCCCCACCTCCCTCCCGGATGGGGCGGCTGGCCGGGCGGGGGGCTGACCCCCCCACCTCCCTCCCGGATGGGGCGGCTGGCCGGGCGGGGGGCTGACCCCCCCACCTCCCTCCCGGACGAGGTGGCTGCCGGGCGGAGATGCTCCTCACTTCCCAGACGGGGTGGCTGCTGGGCGGAGGGGCTCCTCACTTCTCAGACGGGGCGGCTGCCGGGCGGAGGGGCTCCTCACTTCTCGGACGGGGTGGTTGCCAGGCAGAGGGTCTCCTCACTTCTCAGACGGGGCGGCCGGGCAGAGACGCTCCTCACATCCCGGACGGGGCGGCAGGGCAGAGGTGCTCCCCACATCTCAGACGATGGGCGGCCGGGCAGAGACGCTCCTCACTTCCCAGATGTGATGGCGGCTGGGAAGAGGCGCTCCTCACTTCCTAGATGGGATGGTGGCCGGGCAGAGACGCTCCTCACTTTCCAGACTGGGCAGCCAGGCAGAGGGGCTCCTCACTTCCCAGACGATGGGCGGCCAGGCGGAGACGCTCCTCACTTCCCAGACGGGGTGGCGGCCGGGCAGAGGCTGCAATCTCGGCACTTCGGGAGGCCAAGGCAGGCGGCTGGGAGGTGGAGGTTGTAGCGAGCCGAGATCACGCCACTGCACTCCAGCCTGGGCACCATTGAGCACTGAGTGAACGAGACTCCGTCTGCAATCCCGGCACCTCAGGAGGCCGAGGCTGGCGGATCACTCGCGGTTAGGGAGAGGGTTAGGGGAGAGGGAGAGGGAGAGGGAGAGGGAGCGAGAAAGCTATTTCTAGGTTGGAAACAATGTCATGATTTAATTTCCCTGTCATATTAAGCAACAGCTTTGTGAATATACATATTTGTGATCTGTATTGTCACAAATGTCTTTTTGCACACCTTTTATTGACCTATTGTTGAAAATAGCCAAGTCAACTCTATGCTAGGAACAGGTGAAATTTACCCACAGACTTCCAGTCTTTATTTTATGCAGTTTCACCTTTTCCAAGTATTGCTATGAGCCTATATTGAGCTGTTTCTTTCCTCATTCTCTCCCACCTTTTCCTTCAGATTATAGAATGGTCTAATGTCAGTTTTTCATGGTTAATTCTGTCTGAGATGTTTGCATTTGTAGTCATATTTCTAATTGTGGAATGAACGACTTTTTCTGTTGAAAAAAAAATTGAGGCTCTCTTGTTTCCTAAGTTACATCAGTCCTGCTACACTGAGATGGAAGAGGATTCCACAGATTCTTCAACCTTGATCTACACTTTGTAAAATAGGGCTAGCAAAAATTGGTGGACTCAAGGAAGCCTTAGTGATCTGAATTTCAGAAATAACAAGAGTTCTGTGTAGGTGAATGTGGCAGTTTGCCCGCCTGGGGGCAGGTGCCTAGTATCAGTATAGGCGGATAATATGGAGAGACATTGAAGGGATAGGATAAAGGCATTCAAGAATTAGGATCCTTGAATGACAGTGTGGGCTTTAGGGAAGATGTGGGACTCTGACAGAGCCTCAAAGGCAAAAATCAAATAATTAAGCATGATGCTTGGGTCTGTCCCTGTTACATTTTGCCAAGAAGTCGCAGGAGAGGAGAGGATTGAAAGCATAAAGAAATCATGTAGTCCTGCAAATTCAAGGAGTGCTTGGAATTTGGGACCCTGTTGGACTTGAATCTGAAGGTAAACTGAACCAAAAAAGTATTTGGAACTGCAACCCAAGCTTCTACTACCTCAGATTTGACAAGATCGAAAAGGTGACTGTGGGTCGGTGATGGGGAGGTTGGGATTTGGGCTGATTACAGATGAATTGAGTCTAATTAAAGCTGCTGCCAGCTCAAATGGACTCTACTAGAAATCTGAATTTCCAGCCTTTATCCTGGGAGAAGTAGAAGGACCTTGCACTCCCTGGGAAATAACACTTAAAACAATATTATAGTGGGGCGTGGTGGCTTATGCCTGTAATCCTAGCACTTTGAGAGGTGGAGGCAGGAGGATTGCTTTAGCCCAGGAGTTCAAGACCAGCCTGGGCAACATAGTGGGACCCTGTCTCCACAAAAAATAAAAAACTGCTGACTGTGGTGGTGGTGCATGCCTGTAGTCCCAACTATTTGGGAGACTGAGGTTGGGGATTACTTGAACCTGGGAGGTTGAGGCTGCAGTGAGCTGAGGTTGTGCCAGTGCACTTCAGCCTGGGTGACTGAGACCCTGTCTGGAAAAAAACCCGCAAACCAAATGAGTAAAAATTATACTGAATTTCTGACTATTACCTTACAGTGTCTAGAATATTATAAAATATATGAAACATACAAAGACCTGGAAAAGGGTGATTGTATAGGCTTATAGATGACCCAATTATTGGAATTAGGAGAAAAGAACATTAAGGCAATTGGCAGGATAATATATGGGGGATTGGGTATTTTCAGGTGAGTAATGGACATGCCAAAAAACCAAATGCATATTCTGGAACTGGAAAATAGAATATCTTAAATTTTAAAAATTGATCAAATAGCCTTAATAGCAGTTCTATGATAAGAAATAAAGACAGAAGGAAATGGTAAATGTGTGAATAAATATGAAAGTTTATCTTCTAGTTTTTAAATTTATATCGATGACAGTGGATAGCACAAAGACAAAAATAACAATGTATTATCGAATTTATAGTATGTATCAGTAAAATATAAGAGCACAAAAGTTGGAAGTAAATATACACATACTCTTTTATAGTACTTAGGTTATATGTGAAATGGTGTAATATCATTTGAAAATGGGCTATGATGAATGAAGAATGTATATTGTAATTTCTAGAGCAACCAAAAATGTAGGATAGCTAAAAGTCCACAAAAGGAGATAAAATGGAGTAAAAGGAAAACTTTATTAGAAGGTAAGAAAAGAAGAACAAAGAACAAATAGAAAATAAATATGATACTGGGTGTGGTGGCTCACACCTGTAATCCCAGTGCTTTGGGAGGCCAAGGCAGGGGGATCACTTGAGGTCAGGAGTTCGAGACCAGCCTGGCCAACATGGGGAAACCCTGTCTCTACTAAAAATACAAAAATTAGCTGGGTGTGGTGTTGGGTGCGGTGTCGGGCGCCTGTAGTCCAAGCTACCCAGGAGGCTGAGGCAGGAGAATCGGGTGAACCTGGGAGGTGGAGGTTGCAGTGAGCCGAGATCATGCCACTGCACTCCAGCCTGGATAACAAAGCAAGACTCCGTCTCAAAAAAAACAAAAACAAAGCAAAAATAAATAATAATGTGATAGTTTTAAGTTGTCATAGCAATAATTACATAAAATATGAAAGATCTAAGCCCACCATTAAAACAGAAATTGTCAAATTTGATTTCTAAAAGGACCCAACATTATGCTTCCTACAAATGGGTACTTGAAATGTAAAGACATTTGGTTAAAAGTAATCCATGGAAAATATATACCATATTAACACTAATCAAGAGAAAGCTCCTATGACTATCGTGACATCAGGCAAAATACTAAAAGACAAGGATTACTAGCGGGAAAAAAAAAACCTCGTAATGTGAGAAGGATCCATTCACCAAGAAGATATGAGCCCTAAATATCTATTCACTGTATAATGAATCTCCAACATACATGAAATAAATATAAAAGAATAGACAAATTTACAACTATAGTTAAGAGATGCCTATACTTTTCGATAACTTACAGAAAAAGCCATAAATTGGTAAGGCTATAGAAGATTTGAATACAACTGTCAACCAATTTTATCTAATTGACATTTGTAGAACATTATACCCAAGAGAGGCAGTATGTGACATTCATGTACACGTGGAACCTCTCACTAAGAATTACGTGGGGCGTCAAAAGTCTCAACATATTTCAAAGGCTTGAAATGATAGTACTGTTCTGTTGACTGCATTGGAATTACATAGAAATCAGTAACAAAATGAGGTTTGGTAGATTACCAAATATTTTGAAATTAAGGAAGTCAATTTTGAACAACCCATCAGTAAACGAATAAATCAAATGGAAAATTAGAAAGGACATTAAATAAATTCAGAAAAGACAGCATCAAAATTATTAAATGCAGTGCTTAAATTATTAAAGTAGTACTCAGATAATTTATATCTTTAAAGTTTAATAAAGAAACAAGGATTAGAAAGTTTTATTCTAAGGACAGAAAAAGAAATTCAGAATAAGTGAAAGGCAGAAAATATAGAGAAGAAAGCAGAAATCAATGAAACAGAAAGCATACTCTAAGAAAATGAACAAAATATAACATTTCCTCTTTGAAAAGATCAATACAATTGATAGGCCTCTAGCAAGATTGACTGAGGGGAATAAAAAAATCCGCAGATTACTGGTATAAAAAATGAGGGAGGTGCTTATGGTACAGATTCTATAGCTGTTAACAAGGATAAAAAGGAAATAACTATTTAAAAATTTTGTTTTAGTTATTTTTAAACAACAAAAAAAAAACAATTGTTTTAGGTATCTGTTTCTGTGTTAAGAATCTCTCCACCACTTGGCTTAAAACGATAGCAGTTGACTATTTCTCTGAATTATGTGAATCAGCATGTGGTCTTTTATCTCAGGCTTCTTTGTGGCATTGTATTCTCAGGGCAACATTCAAAGAAGGTAAAGGTGGACTTTGCAAATCATGAGGCATAGGGACTGTCACTTGCCCAACAAAACTTATGCTGCATTGAGTTGATGTAAACAAGTCACAAGGCCTGCCCAAATTCATGGGGTTGGGGAAATAGATTCTATGGCATGATTTTAGGTGGTGTAAAACATTCTGGCCATGTTTTTCAGTCTACAGTGGTTAAGTCAGAAATAGTGAAATCTGAGATTTTACCCTATTTACAAGCTAAAAAGTTAAGCCTGCCAGAAAACAATACCTTTAGATTAGAGACAAAGAGAGATTATTACCACAAAAGCAGTGACTAGAGCAATGTCTTGTGTCAGTTCTTTGAGCCTTAATCTTCACAGGGTGACATACTGAAAGTCCTGTAGTACCTGCTCATGCAGTAGTGTACGTTACAGGAGAAGAACCCCAAATTGGAAAACCTGATCTTATTTAGGACTACTGGTAACCTGTCCATCCTCTCCTCTGGAGTATAAGCAAATCTTTTCTGGGGAGGGGAAGGTGGACTCTCTGAATCTTGCTTAGTGTTATTATCCTAGAATGTCTTTATACAAACACCTTATGTAAATGACATTGCTCAGAGGACCGAGAACATGCAGGAATGTGAAATGTTTATGGAGAATTGTCTTTCAACCCAGTGTACTCTCGATCACAGTAATTTGCCTTCCTCTCATATACAAAATTTGATCACTCTTTTCCAAAAGTCTTATTCCATTAGAGTATGAGGCTTGATGATCTGTCTCATCAAAATAAGATCTAGATACAGATAAGGATCCTCAAAGCCATTTGTAATTAGAAAAATGCAAAATAAAAACCAGATACTGCAATTACATAGGCCAAAATTAAGAAAACAGTACCAAGTGTTGGTGAGAATGTAATTGGAATTCTATTTGCTGGGAGTGTTAAATAATAAAACCACTTTGTAAGACAATAGTTTTGAGTAGAATTAAATTACTTATAGACTATGACTCAGCAGTTTCATTCCCATATATTTACCTATGAGAACAGAAGCATGTGTTCTTATAACGCTTGTACACAAATGTACTTTTATTCAGGACAGGCTGTCTTGGTCAGGATGTTGACTGGGAAGGGGCAAGTGTGAACCTTGTAGGGTGATGGAAATGTTCCATGTCTTGATTCCTGCTGGTTATATGATTGTATTTCTCTACCATCTATACTCTTAGAATGTGTTCATTATGTAAATTGTATCTAAAAATATAAAAATGGAAAATTTTGCAAATGTAAGGATTCCTTGGTAACTTCAGTGTATATGTCTACCACTTAATTGCACAGTAATACATTTTTAGACATGTTTAGGCTAACTATAGTTTGATATAAAATTTTAACACTGTTCATATTGAAATAATACCCAGCTTTCTTCTTGATCAGAATTAGGCTGATGGGACCAGACATTGATGTTGATCTTCTAGTTATAAGTATGATCTAGCCATCAACATCTTTTCCTTATTTCTTGTATATGTTGTAGGCATATCACATTTTATATATATTTAGTTTTTGACTGTTGTCCTTATAAATGCTCTTACACAGCGTTTATAATTTTTTCATTACTTAAGTTCAAAAACTTTTTTTTTACTCTTCTTACCTTCCTATCTTTATTCTTTTTCATATTATTATTTTAATTGTTTACTATTTATGTACTTATCAGTAAGGGGTTAATAATGTTCATAAAATGACTTGGAACTAAGCACAAATATACCAAATACAGATTAGCAACATTGTGATAACTGTGATTAAACTAAATGATCTTACACAACCACTAAATACCATCTAATAGGTGTGGGCATGCCTGAGGAGGCTTTGTTTTACATTTTTACAAAATGAAATATTGCACCACATAAGATTGCTCTTAAATCCAGCCGAGTATACATGTGTGCCTCCAGGCGACCCCAGAGTGCAGCCTTGCCATGGCCTCCAAAGCTTCTCCGCATCTCAGGGCACCCCCCCCAACTGTCTGTGGATCTGGAGACCTGGCATCTATGAGGATGACAAGGGGAGGACCTGGGTGACTGTGGTTGTGCGCCTCAGTCCCCTGCACAGAGAAAGGGCCAGGTGCTCAAGCTCCCAGGGCAGCACATATGAACCTAGCATCACAGTGCACATGTGGTAGATGCCAGTGCACACCCGGGAACCACTGTCCCCCAGCCAGCTGCCCTTCTCCCACCTGCTTCCCGTGTGGCAGCTCTACCCCAAGAGGAGGTATCAAGCAGCAAATTCCAGTTTCTGGGAAATAGTGGACCAGATCGTCTCCATGGAGCAGCTGGTCCTAACATATTGGCCGGCAAGGAATAACTGACTCCTCTGGCCTCATGTCTCTTCGGGCCCCCTCAGTGAGGATCTTTGTGTACTTGCTATTCCGTTTGCACACCCAGCGTGGCCTCCTTGCAGGCAGGAGGCAGTGGGGCCCCTGCCCACTCAGCTTCTCTCATTTTCTTCACTTATCAGTCTTGTCCTGTTCCACTCAGATCTACACTGAGGGCAGTTGGCCTGGATGGGCTTCACTAGGGGCCCCGTCTGTGCACTGGGCCCGTTTCCCCTGCTGGCTGCAAGCCATGGGTTCTTTTTCTCCTCTCTGCCCCTCATGCTGACCTTCTAGATGCCACTCCCAAATCCCCTTCACTCCATACCCACCAGGCTTCATGCCCACCCAGGCCTCTGGCACCCTCAGTGCAGCCCATGATTGGGAACTCACCATCAGCAGTCAGTGGCTCGGTTTAAGAGAGGGCCGCAGAGGGAACTGGGTCTGGATGTGGACTTGGATGCCCTGTGGGTATCAGTTCTGCTGACACTTTGGCCTGAAATAGATAAAGTGCTGAGCAAGCAGTGTATGCTGGAGCCTCAGTAAGTCCATCTGCACAGTGGGGAGCGTGGAGGGATGGGTTTGGCTTATGCTTCTGCTTGTTCAGTCTTTCAGCTCACAGCAGGATGCTAATCCATGAAGGTGACCTCGCAGTACTGGTTAATTAAGCTTTATTGCTCACTGAAAAAGAAAAAAAATCTAGCCAGGTATGTCTTGTGATCTCTTTAGGTAAATAGAAGATGTGCTGTATTTAAAAAAAAAAAAACCTTTATATTGATTTTACTTTTCAATTTTTATAGTAATTCTCAAACTGAGACTTTTGTCAAAACAATCTCAAGTAGTGGATGGGGAAGGCTAAATAATAGTGGCTATGGTATAGATGAAATAAGATTGACCATGCATTGATTATTGTTGAAACTGTGTTGGAAAAAGGAATCACATGACATTTTTTTGTTGTTGGCTTGAGACGGAGTCTCGGTCTGTTGCCCAGGCTGGAGTGCAGTGGCGCAATCTTGGCTCACTCCAGCCTGTGCCTCCCAGGTTCAAGCAATTCTCTCGCCTCAGCCTCTTGAGTACTGGGATTACAGGTGCGCACCACCATGCCCAGTTAATTTTTGTATTTTTAGTAGAGATGGGGTTTCACCATGTTGGCCAGGCGGTCTTAATCTCCTGACCTTGTGATCCACCTACTTCAGCTTCCCAAAGTGCTGGGATTACAGGCGTGAGCCACCACGCCCGGCCCGACATTTTGTTTAAGACAAAGAATTTTGAATTTTATACTGTACCTTTTACTAAATCAGAATCTCTAGGGAGAGGGTATAGTATCTGTATTTTTCAAAAATAACGAGTGAATATTAACTAGCTAGTTGCAATTACAGCCAAGATTTGTTTTTCTTCCTCATGAGCAGCTTTTTAAATTGGTGGCAAAGTTTACTAGGGCAGTCTATGAATGGTTGCCCAAATCCTACTTACGAAAATTATCAATGAGCTCCTCTCTTTCTCTACTAGATTGTTTCTATCTATCTGTCTACAAATCTGCTGTTGTATCTCTTCATTCATATTCGGGTCCGGCAACTACTTGATTTTTCTAATGTTTTATATAGCAAAACTACCTGAGTTGTCGATTCTAGTTCTTCTGTTCTTTCTTGAATCCCTTCCAAATAGTGTTTTGCCCCACCAACCAGAGGTGGTTTTGTCAAGATAATCAATGACTTTCACATTAATACACAGTGGCCATTCTAAGTCCTTATTAACAGAGTTGATAACATCTTCCTCCTTGAAACTTTTTTTTTTTCCGCCTGGCGTTTAGAATATCACACTTTTTCTCTTGGAGTGGGGTGTTTTCTTTTGCCTCACTTGGCTGCTTCTCTTCAGTGTCCTTTGCTGGTCATCTATAATGTTTTGGGGCTCAGCCATTGAACTTGTTCTCTTTTTCTGTCTGCCCTCCTGCCCTTGATGATCTCATCTTATTTCATTGCTTTAAATACCATCTATAAGCAGATGACTTTCAGATTTATATCCACAGCTTGGATCTCTTCCCACATCTCTGAATGCCTATATCCAGCTGCTTACTCAGTGTCCTACTCAGATATCTTTCAAGTATTTCAAAGTAAAGTTTTTGAATACAAACATCTTTCTTCTCTCTGCCTTGCTCCTACCATGGTCTTACTCCATTTCAGTTTAGTGGCAGCTCCGTTCCACCAGACTGTCATGTCTGTGGGAGTGTGTATGAGTGACAGAAGATTTGGTGGCCAGCTTTGCTTGCTGTACACACAGCTTTGTTGTTGTTGTTTTTTGTGGCATGCAGTATATGTAGAATTCTTAGAGAACGTTAAACACACACGTTAAACACGTTAGTCCTATACCATTTGGCATAGCGACAAATAGTTTGATGTATTTAGGGCAATTCTGAAATTCTGAAACACATAAATGGATATTACTCTCAGTTTTTAAGAAAAAGATGATTTATGATGTATGTACTTTTTATTAAGAGTATTATTTTGTGTTTTAGGCTGTCTCACTTTGGAATGTGTTGGCTGCAAGTAAAGAAAACATAGCAATAGTTTAAGCAAATAAGGGAATTAGTTTTCCCACATACCAAGAAATCCAGAAATAGAGAATAGTTAGCATTAATTCAGCTATAATTAATAAAGCAAATAAGGGAATTAGTTTTCCCACATACCAAGAAATCCAGAAATAGAGAATAGTTAGCATTAATTCAGCATTAATTGCTTAGCAATGCTGTTTGAAACCCCAGCTTGTTTTGTTTTTTTCCTCTGTCAGTCTTATTTATTGGCTGGTTATTAATCCTCATCCTTGTTGACTTACGGTAATAGGATGGTTGTTGCAGCACTAGATACTGTGTACACATACGAGGCTAGAAAAATGGGAGAGTGGTGGTGTCAGATGTATTTGCTCCCTTTTATCAGGAAAGCAAATGTTTTTCCAGAATTAACCGGCACTTCACCCCCAAAGCAGACTTCAGAATATAAGTCTTTGATTTTCACTGTGTTACCCATTTCTTGTTTACCCCTCCAGGCATGGAAAGCTCAAAAGTGGTAATTGAGCTGGGCCCCTTACTGCCCTGAATAGTCTAGAGTCTTGAAAGGAAGGCCAGGTCACACCTGTAAACCCAGCACTTTGGGAGGCTGAATTGAGTGGGAGGATTGCTGAGCCAGGAGTTTGAGACCAGCTTGGGCAACATAGTGAGAGACTGTCTACACACACACACACACACACACACACACGAAAAAAGAAAAACAGGTTAGCTGGGTGTGGTGGTGCACGCTTATAGTCCCAGCCACTCAAGAGGCTAAGGCAGGAGAATCCTTTGAGCCCAGGAGGTTGAGGCTGAAGTGAGCCGTGATTGTGCCACTGCATTCCAGCCTGGGTGACAGAGCAAGACCCTGTCTCAAAAAAAAGTCCAGGCGTGGTGGCTCACGCCTGTTAATCCCAGAACTTCGGGAGGCCAAGGTGGTTGGATCACTTGAGGTCAGGAGTTTGAGACCAGCCTGGCCAATATGGCAAAACCCCGTCTCTCTAAAGAGTTAGCCAGGTGTTGTGGTGCACACCTGTAATCCCACCTACTCGGCAGGCTGAGGCAGGAGAATCGCTTGAACCTAGGAAGTGGAGGTTGCAGTGAGCTGAGATTGTACCACTGTACTCCAGCCTGGGCAACAGAGTGATACGTCTCCAAAAAAAAAAAAAAAAATCTTAGAAGGGAAAATAAATCCCATAAACAATTAACAGTGCCTGCCACATAGAACTATGAAAAATTACTAAAATATAATTGGCCATTCGAGTTTATTTGCTTGGAAAGTTATTTCTCAGTAAGTTCAAATTAATGGCATTTTAATGGTAGGTGAAAGAGTATTTATATAATGAGGGCTCTCAAGAGTTTATAAATGTATGAAGACTATCCACTATAAAGATAGCCATTTGGCTGGGTGCAGTGTCTCACGTTTGTAATCCCAGCACTTTGGGAGACTGAGGTGGGAGAATCGCTTAAGGCCAGGAGTTCAAGACCAGCATGGCCAACATAGTGAGACCCTGTCTCTAAAAAAGTTTTTTTAAAATTAGCTGCGTATGGTGGTATACACCTGTAGTCCTAGCTTCTCAGGAGGCTGAGGTGGGAGGATTGATTGTGCCCAGGAGTTTGAGGCCGCAGTCAGTCATGTTTGTGCCATTGGGCTGCAGTCTAGGTGACAGAGTGAGACCCAGTCTCTTAAAAAAAAAAAAAGCTAGTCATTTATTTAGAAGCTGGTAAATATGTGTGTGTGTGTGTGTGCATACACTTGTGTGTACGTTTTTAAGAGGCTAATATTTTGGTTTGACTATTTGGTCTTAACTGTTTTCAGTTTACAGAGGTTAATTTTTGAGAAGTTTAATTTAACTTTTATATAAATTAGGTATTTAAAGAGATGTTCCTTAAAGTCATAAAGATCCGTTTTTATTGTTAATTTTGGTTCTTTTTTTGCTTTCCATAGAATGTTGGCTCAATTAAGAAACATCAGGGAGATAAATTCAACCCAGTGGTAAGTAACTTCAATTTCTTTTGGTAGAAAGTTTTCAGCAGCCAGTTGCAGTGGCACATGCCTCTAATCCCAGCACTTTGGGAGGTCAGTGCAGGAGTTTGAGACCAGCCTGGGTAACATGGCGAAACCCCCATCTCTGTAGAAATTACAAAAATTAGCCAGGCATGGTGGCTGGTGGCATGGTAGTACCCTTGGGAGGCTGAGGTGGGAGGATCGCTTGAGCCTGGGAGATCGAGGCTGCAGTGAGCCAAGATCGCACCACTGCACTCCAGCCTGGGCAACAGAGTGTGACCCTGTTTCCAAAAAAAAAAAAAAAAAAAAAAGCTTATTATTGTGCTCATTTTCTGGGTCGACACTTTCTTCTTCGTTGTGATTAGAAGATTCTTATGTCTACAGTGTTACTTCTGATTTATAAAGTGGCTCTTCCTTATCACATACCTGAAATTCTAATGAGCAGTTCCCATGTTGATCAATTCAGTTCTGATCAGGCTAGGCTTTCTTCCTTTTGGATTATTTCCTTGTGTTATTCTGTAAAGGAGAATCAGTCTTTGGATACTGTTACTCATTTACTTCTCTTTCGTATGTTACTTTCCTCCTCTGCCCTCAAGAATTAAGGTTCTCAGCCTTTCTTATCAGTCAGCAGTTTTTAGTCTATACCACTTCCACTTGCAGGCCTATATAGATTTGGTGTTCGTTTTTATATTGGCACCAGGCCCACTGAATTTGATCTGAGGTCTAAACCGCTGTCTTTGTAGTCTCTATTCACAGAAAGTTTTCCTTTGAGATTTCAACTCTATTTAGCTTCCTAGAGCCCAATCTAATCTTTCTTTTCTGAATTCGTTCTCCTTTCAGAGAAGTTCTGCAATTTCTGTTTGTCTGTCTGCAACATGATTAGCTCTACAGAAAAAAAAATCGGAAATTGTTATATCTCCATGAACAATTACTTGACCCTATAAATTGTCTTATATCTCAAGTGCCCTACATCTTTATATGTTATCTTTATATGTTTGGACCCAGTATGGTCCAGTGGCCATTAAGTGTTTACATGTGTGACTAATAAGCTGAATTTTTAATTTTATTTGATTTAGCTTTTAATACTAAGTGTAAATAGCCACATGTGTCTAGTGGCTACCATACTGGACATAGCAGATAGAATTCTTTCCCATTCTTAAGTGTCCTCCTAACTCAGTATCAGTTGTATTCTTAAAATGTCTAGAACAAGAAATTTTGTATTCATTTTTGGAATTTTTAAAATGATCTCATAAGCACATAGGTAAAATCTAAATTCTCTTCTGGCGATTAAAATCTTATTAGATGAACTGTTTATTCTTACTGATAAAATATGCCTTAATATAAACAAAGATTGTTACTAAGTAGTAAACTTTTCTGGATATTTATTTGTTGACAGAGATTTTAGATGGAAACATTTAATGTTTGACATCTGAGTTTCTTTTTTTAAATTCTGAAGGAGGAGTATGTAGTGAAGATTTACTGATATTTGAATTGTTTTAAGAACCTTCCTTCAAGTATGCATTATTATATATTGAGAAGCAGTATAGAAGAGCACGGACTCAGTTTCTTCATGGAAAAATGCAGATAACAGCACATATCTTAGAAAGTTGTAGTGACGATGGAATGAGAGTCTGCATATAGTTTATCTAAAGAACTTAGCACAGTGCCTGGTATAGAGTGACTGAGTAAGTAGGCCGAGTGCAGTGGCTCACGCCTGTAATCCCAGCACTTTGGGAGGCCAAGACAGGCGGATCATGAGGTCAGGAGATGGAGACCATCCTGGCTAACATGGTGAAACCCTGTCTCTACTAAAAATACAAAAAAAATTAGCTGGGCATGGTGGCGGGCAGCTACTCGGGAGGCTGAGGCAGGAGAATGGCGTGAACCCGGGCAGCGGAGCTTGCAGTGAGCTGAGATCGTGCCACTGCACTCCAGCCTGGGTGACAGAGCAAGACTCCATCTCAAAAAAAAATTGTAGTGATGATGAAATGAGAGTCTGCATGTAGTTTATCTAAAGAACTTAGCACAGTGCCTGGTATAGAGTGATTGAGTAAGTATAGTAAAAAAAAAATTTTTTTTTTTTTGAGACGGAGTCTCGCTGTGTTGCTCAGGCTGGAGTGCAGTGGCACAATCACGGCTCACTGCAGCCTCTGCCTCCCGGGTTCAAGCAGTTATCCTGCCTCAGCCTCCCAAGTACCTGGGATTACAGGCACCCGCCACCACGCCTGGCTAATTTTTTTGTATAAAGATGGGGTTTCACCATGTTGGCCAGGCTGGTTTCGAACTCCTGACCTCTGGTGATCTGCCTGCCTTGGTCTCCCAAAGTGCTAGGATTACCGGTCTGAGCTACTGCGCCCAGCCTAGAATAATCACTTTTTTAAAAAGATTGCAAGGGAAATACATATCTTATTCTTTGTCACTTTTAAAATATCATATAATATGAAGTAGAAGAATTAGAAGCAGTGCCTTGCAGATCCCTGTTACAGCTTGAGGCAAAAGGAAAAATCACTAATACCAGATCCTGTCTGTATTTTAACATTGGACATTTTGTTTATACATGGATTCTTTTTCAGTAATCTGTATTTTTAAAACATTTTATTAAGATATTGTATTTATCTTGATTACTGAATTTTTTGATACCTCCTTATATTTTGTGCCTGAGTCCTTACTAGCCTTAACCTAGTCTTGGTTCTGGTTAGAGGTAATCTAATACTCTAATAGAATCTTCTGACTACAGTAAGAATGGATTGTTTTACACAGAAAGAATTGATAACACTAATTATCATTTTAATTTTATTTATTCCTAAAATTGCTATAAAATTGCCAATGTATTTGTGTGGTGTTTGATTTTTTTGGTTTAATTTTATCTTAGAGTATGCTGCACAATTCAAATTTTTAAAAGTCGATTTTTAAACTTTTATTTCTTCAAGTTAATTGCTTTATTACTTGTGCAAATATAATCTTACTTTGCTAATATAATCTTAGCCTAGTTAGAATTAACCTATGTATATACATTGTGTACTTAATAAAGTTGGCCCTGAGAATGTTCACTAATTCAGAATTGGCCTTTTCCCTCAATTAATTTGAAATCTGTTCTTTATTTAAGCAAGTTTTTGCACCAGTGTGTAACCTTAAACACATTTAAGACATATAAGTTCTTTAGAAAAACTATATGGCCAATATTTAATTGAAACAAAATATACTTGGGGTAGGTGGGAATTTTCATGTGGAAACTTGGACTTTTCATAGGAAGGTTATAGGGTGGTTGATCCCTGATGGCTGGTTAAGAAGACCTGAAAATATCTTCGCATTCCCACTTCCTACTCAAAACTGCACTTAATCATGTCCTTAATGAAGACTCATAGAACTCTTACTCAGAAATTAAGTAAAATTAAATAAAAATCTTCGTCTTATTAGAGTTTTTCTTGTTGAGTACTAAGAAGCAGACTCAAAGCACAGTTTTTTTTGTTTGTTTGTTTGAGTCTCGCTCTGTTGCCCAGGCTGGAATGCAGTGGCGCGATCTCGGCTCACTGCAAGCTCCACCTCCCGGGTTCAAGCCATTCTCCTGCCTCAGCCTCCCGAGTAGCTGGGACTACAGGTGCCCACACCTCGCCCAGCTAATTTTTTGTATTTTTAGGAGAGACGGGGTTTCACTCTGTTAGCCGGGATGGTCTCATCTCCTGACCTCGTGTTCCGCCTGCCTCGGCCTCCCAAAGTGCTGGGATTACAGGTGTGAGCCACTGCGCCCGGCCTCAAAGCACAGTTTTTGAAGAAGCATGTAAATGGCTACTTCATGGATTGCTTTGTGAAGTACTAAAGAGCTTGAGTTTAATTTGAAATCCAGTAGTTATAAATGTGGGTATTAAAGCAATGTTAAATGGGTTCCATTGTGCTTGTATAGTGGCAGGAGAAGTGTTTATCTGTGACATATGAATTGTGATAGATTGGAATGATTTGTTCTGAAAAACCGTTGTAATATGTATGTTTTAAATTTCTTTTTATTCGAATATTGCAGTGTCTAAAAATGACTACAAAACGAAGTTTGTTTGTGCGGTTGGTACCATGTCGCTGTCTACGAGGGGAAGAGGAGACTGTCACTACTCTTGATTATTCTCATTGCAGCTTAGAACAAGTTCCGAAAGAGATTTTTACTTTTGAAAAAACCTTGGAGGAACTCTATTTAGATGCTAATCAGATTGAAGAGCTTCCAAAGGTATGCTAATACTTTCTTTCAAGAATTATCTTTGGTTATTTTTATATCTAGAAATATGATATTCCTAATATTGCTATAAAGTTGCCAATATATTTGTGTGGTTGAATTTTTTGGTTTAATTGTATCGTAGAGTATGCCGTACAATTCAAATTTTTAAAAGTCGATTTTAAAACTTGTATTTCTTCAAGTTAATTGCTTTTATACTTGTGCAGATAACGTAAAATTTTGTATTTAATTTTAGTTGTATTGTAGCCATTAAGGTAAATAATGAGACTAAATAATTTCTGGAGTCAGTAGATTTAACTAGAGCAATAATTGAAATTAATGCTGTCTTTTCCTACTTTTCATAAGACATTAATGTGTATTGTTATAATTGAGGGCAATTGTCCTTTTACCATATCATAATTTTATTGTTAAACAGCTTTTCTTGAGTTCATACAGATATTGTTTTCCTCCATTTACAATTTGTTTGGAAAGGTTTTGGAGGACTTAACATTTCTGAAGTCTAGTAACAACTGAAAGGAGAAAGTTGGTTTGTTGCCATGAAACACCTTCTCAAGTTATCACCTTGTTTTTTTTTCACTAAACTTTTTTCAGTGTACTTTTTCTTCTTAAATCCCAGTCTCTCATTATCCTATTTCAATTTTCCCTCTCATTATCCTATACCAGTTAAATTGCTATATATTTAATTGTTAATTGCTATATATTTAATTGTTGGGATCTTTTGCCACCCAAACAGCAGTGTTTTTGAAACCGTGCGTGGAGACCCATTGGTAGCTCATAAAATCAATTCAGTATGTGTGGGCAGCATTTTGGAAAAAAAACTATAAATTTGGACTGCGAGAATTAGGAAATATAGGACGCTTAAATTAGAATTTTCAAATAAGGAATAATTTGTTAGTGTAAGTGTGTCCCATAAAACTGTGGGATATACTTGTACTAAAAAATTATTTGTTGTTTGTCTGAAATTCAAATTTAATGGACATCTTATACCTACTCCTGCAACCTTAATTATAAAAAATAGAAAATAGAGTGTGTTGTATATAGCCATTGTTTTATGAAAATATTTTAGATTTGTGTGTATATACATACTGGATGACAGTATGCAACAGGCTTTTTTCTGGTGGTCAGTAAGAACATTTTGAAAGCCACTGCTATCCTAGGGGTCATCTTACAGAGAAATCTTTATATGGCTATGGATAAAAGTTAAAGGTTGTTGGTCTCATGTTTATGAACTAGAAACCTAGGTTGTGGTTGGATAATTTACTGTTCTTCCTTATATGTTGTTCTTCAGCAGGCAATTTATCTTCCTTAGCTAGTTCTAGAGAATATAGAGGACCAAAATTTGTCTCCTTCTCTAATCACCACCAGTAGAGTCTTGGTTTAGGGGTTTTGGTGAAAAGAGAAAGTCTTGCTACAACAGTGCGAATAACTGAATCATTTATGTCTTATCACACCTAACACTTTTACATTTTTAGAAGAATACTCTTCTTAAATAGGGCTTTCATTTTGGAATAAGGTTGCTTGAAAGACAAGCTCCAGAGTTTATCACATTTAGTAGCCACTTATTTTTTTTACTAACTCAACAGAGGATATAGCCATATACTTATTCTCACTAAGTGCATTTTACTTAAGGTAGAAGTATGAAGATATAAATTAATCTGAATGGTTCAGTTGTATTCATATCCATAATAGCATAACCAGAACAATGAGGCATCTTTCCTGGTATTAGTGTAGGTTATAACTCATTCAGTTTTAATATGGCTGATAATAAAAGTTAGTTCATGAAATATTTAAAGATGTATATAATTGACATTCTTTCCTCCCTTTTTTCAATAGCAACTTTTTAACTGTCAGTCTTTACACAAACTGAGTTTGCCAGACAATGATTTAACAACGTTACCAGCATCCATTGCAAACCTTATTAATCTCAGGGAACTGGATGTCAGCAAGAATGGTAAGGCTTTTTTTGCCCATAATTTTTTGTACTTGGGAACATGTTTCATTACTAAGATTTCTATTGAGTTTTCAAAAATAAAAATATAAAAATAAGTTAAATCTAATGTATTAATATGAACTTCATCTAAGAATGTTTTATGTAAAGATAGTTGCCCGACTTTACAAGTTTTGCCACCTGTTTTGTATCAAATACAGTAAAATTAAATGTTATAGCCTTGGCTTAGAATTTGTTTAATATGTGTATGTAAAATCTGTGATAGCTTAAAGCACATGGAGAATAAATGTAAGGGATTTTTTTGTTGTTGTTTTTACATTTTTAATTGCGGTCATCATGTTGCAGGATAGATCTCTTGTGCTTATTTCTCCTGTCAAACTGAAATCTTATACCCTTTGAACAACATATTCCAATCCTCCATCCCTGCTTCCCCATCCCCAGCCCCTGGTAACCACCATGCTACTCTGCCTCTGCCTCAGCAAGATTCCATATGTAAGTGAGCTTATGTGGTATTTTTTTTTTTTTTTTCTGTTCCTGGCTTGTTTTACTTAACATAATATCCTCCAGGTTTATCCATGTTATTGCAAATTAACAGGGTTTTCTTCTTTTTAAAGGCTGAATAGTATTCCATTGTGTATATCATATTTTCTTCATTCATTCATCCGTTGATGGACACTTAGGTTGGTTCCTTATCTTGGCTATTGTGAATAGTGCTGTAATGAACATGGGAGTGTAAATATTTCTTCAGCATACTGATTTCATTCACTTTGATACATATCCAGTAGTGGGATTGCTGGATCTTGTGGTAGTTCTGATTTTTTGAGGACTCTCCATACTGTTTTCCATAGCAGCTATACTAATTTACATCCCCACCAACAGTGTGCAAGCATTCCCTTTTCTCGACACCCTCATCAGCACTTATCTTTAGTCTTTTTACTCATTCTAGCAGGTGTGAGGTTGTATCTCACTGTAGATTTAATTTGCATTTCTCTGGTGATTAATGATGTTGAACATTTTTCATATACCTGTTGGTGATTTGTGTGTGTTTTGTTGAGAACTATCTATTCAGGTCATTTGCTGATTTTTATGTCAGATTACTTGTTTTCTTGTTATTGAGGTTTTTTAGTTTCTTACATATTTTGAATGCTAACCCCTTCTCAGATGTATAGCTTGCAAACATTTTCTCCCACTCCATAATCTGTTTCTTCACTCTGTTGTTTCTTTGGCTGTACAGCTGCTGTTTTGTGTGGTGTGATCCCGTTTGTCTGTTTTTGCTTTTTTTGCCTGTGCTTTTGGGGTCATATTAAGAAAAATCATTGTTATAGCCATTGCCAGGCTCCAGAATGTCATGGAGCTTTTCTCCTATTTTTTTTTTCCTAGTAGTTTTTTTTTTTTTTTTTTTTTAACAGTTTTGGGTGTTATAGTTAAGTCTTTAATCCATTTTGAGTTGATTTTTTAAATGGTGTAAGATAAGGGTTTAATTTCATTCTTCTGCATGTGGATGTCCAGTTGTCCCAACACCATTTATTGAAGAGACTGTCCTTTACCCATTGTGTGTTCTTGGCACCTTTGTCAAAAAATAATTGACAAAATACGTGGATTTATTTTTGGGCTGTCTATTCTGTTCCATTGGTCTGTCTGTATTCATGTCATTACCATGCTGCTTTGATTACGATTGCTTTGTAGCATATTGTGAAGTCGGGTGTGATGCCTGCCGTTTAGTTCTTTTTGTTCACCGTTGCTTTGGGTATTCAGTCTTTTGTGGCTCCATATGAATCATAGGATTTTTCTTTTTCTATGAAAAATGTCACTGGAATTTTGGTAGGGATTGGGTTGAATCTGTAGACCACTTTGGGTAGTATGGACGTTTTAACAATATTGATTTTGAAGTCCGTGAACACAGGATTTCTTTCCATTTATTGTGCTGCTTCAATTTTTTTCATCAAATGTTCTATAGTTTTCAGTGTATATGTCTTTTACCTCTTTAGTTAAATTTATTTCTAAGTATTTTATTTTTTTGGTAGCTATTATAAATGGGATTGTTTTCTTAATAACCTTTTCATATAGTTTGTTGTTAATATGTAAAAATGCTACTGATTTTTGTATGTTGATTTTTGTATCCTGCAATTTTACTGAATTTATTCTAACAGTATTTTGGTTGGAGTCTTTAGGGTTTTCTATATATAAGGTTATGTTGTCTGCAAATAGGGACACTTCAATTTCTCCTATTCTAATTTGGAATCCTTTTATTTCTTTCTCTGGGTAGGACTTAAGTACAACGTTGAAAAGAAGTGGCAGGAATAGGCATCCTTGCCTTATCCCAGATCTTAAAGGAAAAGCTTTCAACTTTTCATTGTTAAGTATGATGTGAGCTGTGGGTTTGTCACATATGGCCTTTATTGTGTTGAGGTGCTTTCCGTCTATACCTGATGTGTTGAGAGTTTATTATGAAAGGACGTTGAATTTTGTCAAATGCTTTTTCTGCATCCATTGAGAGATTTTTTTCCTTTGTTTTGTTGATGTGATATATCACTTTTATATATATGTTGAAATTATTAAGGCCAGGTAGTCTTGTTTAGTATGTTTAGTTTGATATTCATTAAGTATGGAAGATACGTTCTAAAATGTTAAGTCCTTACCTCAGAAGGAGAGAGAAATCAGCCCTTGAAATTTTTAGAATGAGTGTGTATTTCTTTTATAATTACAAAAAAGAAAGAATCACATGAGGATAAATTTTAAATGGTCTGACCAAATATAGGACTTTCACTAAACGCTAAATACTGTCATGTAATACTTCTTAATAAGAATTGGGGAAAAAACTTTATAAACAAGTCCCACCAAGTTAGTGCAGCAGTGCCAGCAAATATGTAGTAATCATATTCCACAGCTCTTAGCTTCAAAGTCATTCTTTGTCCTAATGATATGAGTATCCAGAAGTAATCCTTCTCCTATCAGTTTTCCTAAATTTTAGGACTTACTATGAAGCATTTTAGGGCTTATTAGAATTCATCCTGTTTTCACAATTAACAGTTAACTTTGGAAAGCTAATTAACCAGGTGTCTGTCTACACACACACACACACACACAAAGTTATGTTGGCTCACGCCTGTAATCTCAGCACTTTGGGACGCTGAGGTGGGTAGATCACTTGAGGTCAGGAGTTCAAGACCAGCCTGGCCAACGTGGTGAACCCTGTCTGTACTAAAAATACAAAAATTAGCCAGGCGTGGTGGCACGTGCCTGTAGTCCCAGCTAGTCAGGAGGCTGAGGCATGAGAATCACTTGAACCCCAGGAGATGGAGGTTACAGTGAGCCAAGATAGCACCACTGTACTCTAGCTTGGGCGACACAGCAAGACTCTCAAAAAAAAATATATATATATAGATATATATATATATTTATATATCTCCACTTATTAAATTCTGTTTATTTTAGTTGCAGGTCATTGAAATGTATGTTTTATAGGATTATGATCAAATCAGGACTTCTGTTTTAAGGATTTATTATTTGCTTATGTTCATCCTAGGTTAAGGTGAAGGTTTTAGTGGTTAGTGCCGTACTGACGTTCAGTTCACAATAACTAATAAATTTTAGCTTTAAAGATAGTACTGTATTTTATTTTACCTTTTGTTATTGAGCTGTTTAACTTTAGAGCTATTTATATTTTGAATAAATTTATTATTTAATTTTTATTTAGATTGGATTCATGCATAGTGATGTCCTGCTTTTTATCTAGCTATCTTAAAAATTTTTGGCCAGGCCCAGTGGCTCACACCTGTAATCCCAGCACTTTGGGAGGTCGAGGTGGAAGGATCCCTTGAGCTCAGGAGTTTGAGATCAGCCTGGGCGACATAGCAAAACCTTGTTTCTACAAAAAATCATAAACTTAGCTGCACATGGTGGCATGTGCCTGTGGTTCCGACTACTTCAGGCTGTTGTGGGAGGATTGCTTGAGCCTGGGAAGTCAAGGCTGCGGTAAGCCGTGATCATGCCATGGCACTCCAGCCTGGAAAATAGAGCAAGACCCTGTCTCAAAAAAAAAAAAAAAAAAAAAAAAATTATGCCCAAATAAGAAACATGTGTAAAAGGTAAAAGAACACACATGGCTCCACCAGTTGTTAGCATTTTGTTACATTTGTCTTACTTTTCTTTTTCATGTATGTGAATTTAAATATGTTCAGGAAAAAGATATATGCATATCATTGCTTATATAAAATGTCTTTTTGGCTGTGCGTGGTGGCTCACCCCTGTAATCCCAGCATTGTGGGAGGCCAAGGTGAGCAGATTACCTGAGGTCAGGAGTTTGTGACCAGCCTGGCGAATGTGGACCCCGTCTCTACTAAAAATGCAAAAAATAAGCCAGGCTTGGTGGTGGACGCCTATAATCCCAGCTACTCGGGAGTCTGAGGCAGGAGAATTGCTTGAGCTCGGGAGGCAGAGGTGGCAGTGAGCCGAGATTGTGCCATTGCACTCCAGCGACAAGAATGAGACTCCATCTCAAATGAATAAATAAATAAAAACAAAAGTCTTTTTGCTAAGCTTATTTAAATTTAAGTTGGAGGCATCATGTCTTCACTCCTAAATGTTTAAATATGCATCCCCTAAGAACAGGGGAATCGGAATAACCACAACATCATTATCACTCTTGAGAAATTTAACATCACAATTCCCCTGTTGCCTAATAATGCTCTTTTAAACTCTTTAGGCCCCTTCTGCATATCCCTCCTTACAAGTTAAAGATCATGTACAGCATTTAGTTGTTGTGTCTCTGGTCCTTTTAAATCAGGAACAGTTTGCTCATGATTTTCATGACAATTTCCATTTTTGAAGTGTTTAGATCAGTTGGCTTTTGATTTGTGTGACTATTCCTCTCATTATTTTATTCAGGCTAAATGTCTGCCGTTTCAGACTTTTCCTTGAGGGCAGTGTGAAATTTGTGTTTCCATCCCTAGTACTTAGTATTAGTGCTTGGTGGTGCCTGATACATTCCAAAGTAAATGAATTTGATTACCATCAGATCTCTATGGATGTTGACACATAATCCAGAGTATTATAGAATTCTAGAATTATTGTCACTTTAGTTGTCATCATATCTACCTTTTCATCCTAAAGGAGTATCTCTACATATGTTGACAGATAAATTAATCCAGAGTATTATAGAATTCTAGAATTATTGTCACTTTAGAAGTCATCACATCTACCTTTTCATCCTAAAGGAGTATCTTTCTGATCTTTTTAAATGGGAGTTGTTAAGGTATAAGGAAAGGGACTCAAGATAATTTGGGTATTGATTAAAAATCGTATACATCTGAAATTGTATGTATTGGGTAAACTTTGCTATCAGTCTTTATGGTATAGAAGTATTGCTTGGCTCAGTAATGAAAATAACTTGCATATATGCTTCATGAAAATGGATTAACCTCATGTTTATTACTCTAAAATGAGAATGGTGGAATTATGGCTATGTTCTAACCCTACAGCATCATTAAATTAATATCCTAGGCTTTTGTATAACTATTTAAAGAATTACATGTTGTAGAGTTAGGCAACCTATTAGACTGCAGAGTAGCTCTTTTACCTTTCTAGTTTAGCATTTTGTTGTTGCTTCTACTATATTGAAAACTTTTAAACAATTATTTCAACCTGTGAATGTTTTTGAGGCGTTGGAGATAATCTTTATGTGATCAAAAGATTTAGGAAAAGTACTTAACTGTTCTTCCTCAAGGAGGAATGACGTTACTTATTGCTGCCAATAAGTCTTAGTTTATTTGACTAAAAATTAAATTGGTCTGTTCTTGTTATATGATTCCTCACATAGAAGGGACCACATCTATTCTTTAACTTGCAGAATTGGTTTTTTTGCATTTTACTTGTTACTTGTATTTTCTCTCCTTTTAGTCTTGAATTGATGTCTAAGTGAAACTTCACTTCATTGTTCATAACAAGGCTAGCTGAAAGGAGACAAGAGACTATGATAGTGTCAGAAGTTACCTTGCCAAGTAAAAATTCTAGTTATTTTAATTCCTCATCTTATATTCTTCATAAGTGGTGTATTTAACCCATTTTACCTTAAGAGAGCTGAGATAATTTTAATCAACCTGTAGTATTCAACCCTAATATGTATGTTTGTATAGGTCTATTGTGTTGAAAAAAAATTAATAAAGCACACATATTAGGTTGCATATTAGGTCGATGTGGCTGGATGTTAGAAATTTGAATTTTGTTGCATTTTTGATTTGATAATAGACTGCTTAAAAGAAAGGTTAGTACATTTAAGCAAATGTAATATTTTGAAATTATTAAAATGTAATTTCATGAAATTATTAAAATTTAATAATATAAGCTATTACTGTTTCGCTTATATTTAAGCTCTAGTGTTTTCTCCTTTTAGGTTTTTATATCATTTCAGTCTAATATTTAAGTTTATCATAATATGCTAGGTACAGTTTTCAGATTCATTAGCTGTTGTGCACTGTTTGGAAGGAGGCAGGAAATTTGTGGCATACTTTGTTATTCATCATATCATCAAGCTGTATTTCTTTAAAAGCACTTGCTTTTAGGATTTTGGCTTTTAGGCTGTGATAGTTTCTGATTTTTTATGTAGTTCTTATCAGTGTTTTTCATTTGGTAAGTTAGCATGGTTTAGGAATAAAAAGAAATGGCCTCTATTCTTTGCTTCTCTGTTTATTGGTCTGGTTATTAAACTGGGGACTTAATCTAAATTTGTTAGTTCATCTGTAAGATTGTTAAACACATGAAATGGATCAGTCTAGGAAGTATATAATTCTAAGGGATTTAATATTTGTATTTATCAAGAAATTCAGTTTTTTCTTTTACAGTCTATGATAAAACTGGAATGTTAATTTGTTCTGGGTCTTAATTTGCTCTTCTCTTTCTTTTCTCGAGTTTTGGTTTACTGTATGTATGCTTTTTATTTTATTTTATTTTATTTTACTTTAAGTTCTGGGATACATGTGCTGAACGTGCAGGTTTATTACATAGGTATACACGTGCCATGGTGGTTTGCTGCACCTATCAACCCGTCATCTAGGTTTTAAGCTTCACATGCATTAGGTGTTTGTCCTAATGCTATCCCTCCACTTTCCCCTCACTCCCCATCAGGCCCCAGTGTGTGATGTTCCCCTCCCTGCGTCCATGTATTCTGATTGTTCAACTCCCACTTATGAGCAAGAACATGCGGCGTTTGATTTTCTGTTCCTGTGTTAGTTTGCTGAGGATGATGGTTTCCAGCTTTATCCATGTCCCGGTAAAGGACATGAACCCATTCTTTTTTATGGCTGCATAATATTCCATGGTGTATTATGTGCCACATTTTCTTTATCCAATCTGTCATTGATGGGCATTTGAGTTGGTTCTAAGTTTTTGCTATTATAAATAGTGCTGCAATAAACATAATGTGTGCATGTACACTTTTTAAAGTTATAAAAAGTTCTCTAAGCTGCTATCCCAAGCCATTGCAAATAGCAACCAGTATTAGAGAAATGATCTGCTGTTGCAATCAAATGGCTTTTCTTGTAGGGAAGACTGAGAAGATGTGATTAAAACATTCTGTCAAAGTGGTTGATGGGGAAAGCTGGTGGGGAGGGGAGATAAAAGAAAAACCGTGTAGCTATTAATTCTCTTATATGAACATAATGAATAAAATGCCAGGGATTACAAGGCAGAGAAACCAGAAAGAGTAGCTCAGATCCTTCTGTCTAATATGGCAATACTAGCGAGGTTAACCAAGGTATTTCTTTTTAGTTGAGTCAAAAAGCCCAGGAAGAGTGAATTGAAAGTTTGTGGTCAAAGCAGAAAGCAGTTCTTTTAACTTGAGAAAATCTGATGACTGGGGACAAACTAGTGGAAAAGCCTTTTCACATTAAACTAAAAGAAGTTAAATTGATTAAGAGGATATTACAGATTGATGGGGAAGTTATGGTATGTTGCTCTTGTGTTTTAAATTTCTAAAATTGCCATTTTGCTTTGTAGTTGACGTTTTGAGCCCAGCTGTTTTAATAAATCACTTTATTTAAGATAATGAAAGAAGGAAAACCATGTTTTACACTGTCCATGTTTAGACTGGTGATTTCTGGCCACTGCCAAGTGTTTTGATAAATGTAGACTGTTAACTGGAGTGTGCACTCATTTGTGCCCTACCATAGCGTAGGCATTATTATTTGTTGTGTTATATCTGGTCCAAATCATACATGTGTTATCCTCTGGAAGCTATCATCATTTGAGTTTGCAATTTCCGGTTAGTTTTGACCAGAACTCGAATGTTTTATTCTGTAGTATGGTAATCATTGCCTTTGGAGTGCAGGAACAGTAAGGGACTCCTGTTGACTTAAATTCAACAACTGGGACAGTGGGATGTTGACACCTGCCTGGCAGAGACCACCAGGGACTCACCTGCAGTTAAACAGTTTGTGTTTATTACTTCATGGTGAGCAAAAACTCATATTATTGGGATTCATGAGGGTCGCAGAAGGTGTAAAAAAAAAATACAGGATTTGGGCTTTTGCTTGGTGATTGGGAAGGTTTCAGAAAATAACGGTTTGCCGTGGATGGGATGCTGTCAAGAAGTGGGGTAATTCTATGATTGGGTATCTTAATGTTATCTATAGAGAAGTTGATTAGAGTAGAACTAAAGCTGTAATCAGTAAACAATACATCAGTCACTTATTATCTGGGAAAAGGTGCTGTTTGGTATTTTTTGGCTTGGACAATATCATGTTTTGTCTTTTTTCAGACATGATTATAAATGTGTTTTTGTCTTGATATATCATGGTTACAGAATGGATTGGTGTGATATTGATGTTCTGTGAAATAGTTTTGTTCAGCAGGAGAACACTGAGGCCTCCATCTGAATGCCAGGGCTTGTTTGTATTAAGACCAAGGACTAGTGATAGTACCAGGCCAGCTCCTAGGTGTCAGAAGGGGTTTTCTCTTTCTCAGAAGTAAAGAGAGAGAGTTCTTCTGTAACTGAGAGTGATTTGAAGAAGACATTTGTGTTTTGTGATATCTAATCTAGAGCTTCATTTCACATTGGAGCAGCAGTCTTTTTTTTTTTTTTTTTTTTTTTTTATAAGAGGCGGTGTCTTGCTCTGTTTGTTTCCCAGGCTGGAGTACAGTGGCATGATCATAGCTCACTGCATCCCGAACTCTTGGACTCAAGGGAGGCTTCCCCCTCATCCTCCTGAGTAGCTGGGACTACAGGTGTGCACCACCATGCTCGGCTATTTTTTTTTTTTTTTTTTTTAAGAGATGGGGTTTTGCCATGTTGCCCAGGCTGGTCTTGAACTCCTTGTCCTCAAACAGTACTCCGAATACCTTGGCCTCCCAAAGTAGTGGGAATACAGGCGTGAGCCACCATGCCTGGCCAGCAGAATTTTGTTACTAAAGAAGTATACGTCAAAGAAGAAGCATTATTTATTGAAGTCGTGATAATTAGAAAAGAACAGATAGTTGACAGAGAATTAAGAAGTAAATTGTGATAAAATTCAGTCTGTGTGTGCGTGTGTGTGTGCGCGCGCGTGCGTGTGTGTATGTGTGAGTTGAGACAGAATCTCCGTCACCCAGGCTGCAGTACAGTGGTGCGATCTCAGCGTACTGCAGTCTCCACCTCCCAGGTTCAAGCAATTCTTGTACCTCAGCCTCCCAAGTAGCTGAGACTACAGGTGCAGGCCACCATATCTGGCTAATTTTTTTTGGTATTTTCAGTTTACACGGGTTTTCGCCATGTTGGCCAGGCTGGCCTCGAAATTGTGACCTCAAATGATCTGCCCACCTCAGCCTTCCAAAGTGCTGGTATTACATGCGTGAGCCACTGCACCCTGCCCCTGTGTACTTTATCTGTAAGGATAAAATGAGCCATCTTTGGAGAGTAGGTAACACAGTTGTTGAGGGTAGGCCTTGAGCAAAAACTTGAAGCCATGTGAATAACTAAGGTAAGGATGTACCAGAAGCTATTTTGTAAGGTGTGAGCGTCTATAGCATGTGTGAGGACTGTTCCCGGGGTAACTAAAACAGTGTGAGCAAGATGGGAGTGCAATAGGAATAGAAGCCAGGGAGGTGGGGATTTACAGGAGCAGCTAATGAAGAGCCTTGGAGGCATTTGTATGCACTTTGACATTTACCGTCAGTAGAATAGAGTCACTTGGAAAGTTTTGAATAGATAATTCAGAGCATGATGTGACTTGTGTTTAAGTTTAATCTGTCTATATATATATATAGACAGGAACTGTGGGCATGTGGGTGAAAAACAACCAGTTCAAATGCTGTTTCAGTCATCTGAGGTGATAGTGATGGACATAGTGAGATGAGGACAGCCCCTGGATATGCTTGAAGGTGGAATCAATAGCAGTATATGACGGATCGGATGTGGGATGTGAGAGAAGAGTCAAGGATGCCCTCAGTGATTTTGGTCATGCCCTTGGAAGGACAGAGTTGCCATCAGTTGAGATGTGGAAATCTGTGGGAGTTGTAATTTTTAATAGAAAAAATCAGGAGCTCAGTTTTTTTGAGATCTAGTTGTTCATAGGGGTCTGGAGTTTAGTAAAGAGAAAAACTGTGCTAGAGATAAATATTTGGGAGTTGTCACCATATGGATATTTAAAGCCTGAGATTAGATGCATTCGCCAAGGGCATGATTGTCAATAAAAAGAAGGCTAAAGAATGAGCCCTGGTTGGGCAATCAGGAGAAGGAAATAAAGGGTATTCAGTTAGGAAAAGAGGAAGTCAAATTGTCCCTGTTTGCAGATGACATGATTGTATATCTGGAAGACCCCATCGTCTCAGCCCAAAATCTCCTTAAGCTGATAAGCAACTTCAGCAAAGTCTCAGGATACAAAATCAATGTGCAAAAATCACAGGCATTCTTATACACCAGTAACAGACAAACAGCCAAATCATGAGTGAACTCCCATTCACAATTGCTTCAAAGGGAATAAAATACCTAGGAATCCAACTTACAAGGGACGTGAAGGACCTCTTCAAGGAGAACTACAAACCACTACTCAATGAAATAAAAGAGCATACAAACAAATGGAAGAACATTCCATGCTCATGGGTAGGAAGAATCAATATCGTGAAAATGGCCATACTGCCCAAGGTAATTTATAGATTCAATACCATCCCCATCAAGCTACCAATGACTTTCTTCACAGAATTGCAAAAAAAACTAAAGTTCATATGGAACCAAAAAAGAGCCCGCATCGCCAAGTCAATCCTAAGAGAAAAGAACAAAGCTGGAGGCATCACGCTACCTGACTTCAAACTACACTACAAGGCTACAGTAACTAAAACAGCATAGTACTGATACCAAAACAGAGATAAAGACCAATGGAACAGAACAGAGCCCTCAGAAATAATGCCACATACCTACAACTATCTGATCTTTGACAAACCTGACAAAAACAAGCAATGGGGAAAGAATTCCCTACTTAATAAATGGTGCTGGGAAAACTGGCTAGCCATATGTAGAAAGCTGAAACTGGATCCCTTCCTTACACCTTATACGAAAATTAATTCACGATGGATTAAAGACTTACATGTTAGACCTAAAACCATAAAAACCCTAGAAGAAAACCTAGGCAATACCATTCAGGACATAGGCATGGGCAAGGACTTCATGTCTAAAACACCAAAAGCAATGACAACAAAAGCCAAAATTGACAAATGGGATCTAATTAAACTAAAGAGCTTCTGCACAGCAAAAGAAACCACCATCAGAGTGAACAGGCAACCTACAGAATGGGAGAAAATTTTTGCAATCTACTTATCTGACAAAGGGCTAATATCCAGAATCTACAATGAACTCAAACAAATTTACAAGAAAAAAACAACCCCATCAAAAAGTAGGCAAAGCATATGAACAGACACTTCTCAAAAGAAGACACTTATGCAGCCAAAAAACACATGAAAAAGTGCTCATCATCACTGGCCATCAGAGAAATGCAAATCAAAACCACAATGAGATACCATCTCACACCAGTTAGAATGGCAGTCATTAAAAAGTCAGGAAACAACAGGTGCTGGAGAGGATGTGGAGAAATAGGAACACTTTTACACTGTTGGTGGGACTGTAAACTAGTTCAACCATTGTGGAAGTCAGTGTGGCGATTCCTTAGGGATCTAGAATAGAAATACCATTTGACCCAGCAATCCCATTACTGGGTATATACCCAAAGGATGATAAATCATGCTGCTATTAAGACACATGCACACGTATGTTTATTGTGGCACTCTTCACAATAGCAAAGACTTGGAACCAACGCAAATGTCCAACAATGATAGACTGGATTAAGAAAATGTGGCACATATACACCATGGAATACTGTGCAGCCATAAAAAATGATGAATTCATGTCCTTTGTAGGGACATGGGTGAAGCTGAAAACCATCATTCTCAGAAAACTATCACAGGGACAGGGAACCAAACACTGCATGTTCTCACTCATAGGTGGGAATTGAACAATGAGAACACTTGGGCACAGGGAGGGGAACATCACACACCAGGGCCTGTCGTGGGGTTGGGGGAGCGGGGAGGGGATAGCGTTAGGAGATATACCTATACCTAATGTTAAATGACGAGTTAATGGGTGCAGCACACCTGCATGGCACATGTATACATATGTAACAAACCTGCACGTTGTGCACATGTACCCTAAAACTTAAAGTATAATAAAAAAAAAAAAAAGAATGAGCCCTGGTTGTACCCAACATTTAACAGATCTGGAAGAAGAGAAAATGCAAAAGCTACTGAGAAGGAACACTACTAATGGGGGAGAAGCTAGTCAAATGAAAATGTTTGTTTTCCTTATTGCATTTTAGCTTCTCATGAAAAAGGACTGTGCCTTAAATATCTGTGGTATATAGCATAGTGTCTGATACTAACACATTTGCTGAATAACTTTGAAGATAGGTAATTTCAGCTTGGGATAGGTTGAGTTTGAGGCATGTGAACAAAATCTAATGGGCATTTGAAAATTCTTAGCAGCAGCTAAGGAGGGAGGTGGGAACTGGAGATACAGATTTAGAACCTACAAATGTATGTGGTAGGAACTGAAGTCAGACTAAACACATTGCTAGCAATTTTCAAAAGTAGAAAACCAGTGTTTCAAAACTGTTTGCTTAGGGCAAAATTACTACTATGTGTCTGAAAGCCAGTAGTAATTTAGAATTTGTAATTTCACAGGCATTTGTGGAATACTTTTTATAAACCACATGCTATGGAATAAAGTACTTTATAATATAAAAAGTATGAAGTATTCAGGGCCAGGCACGGTGGCTCACACCTGTAATCCCAACACTGGGAGGCTGAGGTGGGCGGATCACGAGGTCAGGAGATCGAGACCATCCTGGGTGACATGGTGAAACCCCATATATAAAACCCCTAATATAAAAAATTAGCCGGGCGTGGTGGCGGGCGCCTATAGTCCCAGCTACTTAGGAGGCTGAGGCAGGAGAATGGTGTGAATACGGGAGGCGGAGCTTGCAGTGAGCTGAGATCGCGCCACTGCACTCCAGTCTGGGCAACAGTGTGAGACTCCATCGCTAAATAAATAAATAATTATGAAGTATTCTTTTGTATTTGTGGGAGATGATCCAAGCATTAATTTCCACTAAATAATATTAAGCTAATAAATACATTTTTATAGGAATTAAACACAATATTTGTAATTTAAAGCTCTTGAAATTGTTCTCCATATGGTATTTTAGATCAGTAGAACATATTATATAGTCTTAGGTCTTTTTCTCTTTAGATAGACTTTATCATGTACTAAAAATACTATAACTCCTGGAAATAATATCTTTTACTTGGCTATTTCGAAATACTGTATAGATTTTAATAACAACCAATAAAGATGAGATATTTAGCTAAATTTTAAAATGAATTTGAATGCCAGTGAGAACTGTATAGAATGTTTTCTTGCTCCACCCAAACATGGAATGTTTTACTTCTTAAAAAGTATTAAGAATTATGTACCACAACCAAATCCATTCCATGTTTTCAAGGTCGGATCATTACTTGAAAATCAGTGTCATCCACCACATCAGTAGACATATAATTAACTCAGCAATTCCAGTCTTAGGTATTTACCCAAGAGAAATGCAAACATTTCCACAGAATGACTTTAAAAAAATACAAAAATTTTCAGTGCAACTTTTTCACAGTAATTCAAAACTCCCTCTGCTTACTCTGTAACTCCACAACTCCACATTGGCGTCTGAGCATGACATGTACCCTAGAATTCTAGCCCCACTGCCACCAGGCACTGCTACATGTTCTCCCTAGGCTCTGCAGCAGCAGACACTGCCCTTTCATTTGAAAAATATTTAGTCAGTTCAGCAAAGGGATGCTCTTGTAATATATTAGGAGCATCATTTCAATGCATCCTCAATGGAATGATCACTTAAAAACAATTGTTCGTCGAAGAACTGATAAAGATTTCACTCCTAAGGAAAAATTCAATAATGTTAAGTATTTTGTATGTAAATGAATGAGAGAAAAGAAGATGGTAGGTAAGTGAAATTCAGCAAACATTTGTTGTACAAAGGTACAATGTGCTGAATAGTAACATGTACTTAAAGTGGAGAATTGAGTCAATCTAAATAAAACCTAGCAATAATACAAAGAGTACACAGGTACTACAAAGTAAACAATTGTAAAAATGCCATAAAATGCATAATTGAACTCTTTGGAGAGTTAAATTTCATTGAGTTTAGAGATCAGGATAGGCTTTCAGAAGATCCTACTGGTTTTGCTGGGAGGAAGAGCATTCTAAGTAAAAAGAATGTCTTGTAGATCAGTGTTCAGTGTTAATTTGGAGGCTTGGAATAGGATTGCCAAGTTTGTTTTACCAGTAAGAAAATTCCTGTCTCCCATCTTCAAAAGAAACATCTCCCACATTCCTATTTTATCATCTTTTTATTAAAAATGACTTTTTTCCATTCAAAAGGGGAAGAATAAATGATACAAAGCTACTAAATTTTAAAACTTAGATTAAGTGAAAAATAAATTACCAAAATCAATGTAAGAAGTAGAAAACTGAAAAGACCAGGGAATGCAACATTAAAATGAATTAGTAGTCCGAAAAAGTGCCAGTTAAAAATTCTGTGTTTAGCATTTTGAACAACCACCAAACTACTTTCCATAGTGGGTATATCAGTTTGCATTCTTACCAGCAATGTGTATAGTTCCCAATTTCTTGACATCCTCACAAACACTTGTTACTTTCGCGTATTGCATTTATTTGTTAGGTCTCGTGGGTCCTTAGTCTTCCTCTCATTACTTCCTTAGTCTTCCTTTGTCGTTTTTTGACCTTGATAGTTTTGAAAGTTATTGGCCATTTATTTGACAGAATTTTACTTAATTTGGATTCGTTTGGTGCTTACTTATGATTAAATTCAGGTTGTGTGTTTTTGGCAAGTATATGTCCAAAGTGATATGATATTGTTTTTGAGTACATCTCAGATTAGTTGCCACATGATGATGTTAACTGATGATGCCAACTTTCAAGCAATTTTGAAGGTTAAGGTGGTGCTTGTCAGATTTCTCTACTGTGAAGTGAATTTTTCCTTTTTAATTGCCATGTGTCTTGTGGAAATAATCTTTTGAGTCTCTATTAATACCCTGTTTTTCATCATACTTTTACCCACTAGTTTTAGCATGCATTGATGAGTTTTGACTGAAACAGTTACTACTGTGTCATTTCCTATTTGGTGGTTTTGCATCATTCATTTTTCATCACCTGACATTCTATATATGATATTGTGGTAAAGTTGTTTACTTAAAATCATGTAGTGATGAAGTTGAAAGGGTCTGAAATGGTTCTCTAATGACAATCCTGTTAATCATATCATGTTAATGGAGCAATGGATCTTACAAACACAGGCTATATAAAATTCATTTTTGGAATGTCTTAAATGTTTTTTATTAGCATTCCTTTAGTCTAGATTAGAACAGTGCTTTTTAAAGTTGATCTGTGGACCAATGGTAGTCCACAAATTATTTATTACTTTATTTTGGCTGTGATAATTTCAAGGAATGAGTAAATGCTCAGAATCTTTCACTGCAGTTTGATGTTATTCCAGTTGTACAGTATTTTGTAAGTGTATTTGGTCCACAACAGATTGGAAAATTTAAAAACCATAATCCTTTATCTCATTTGGCTGGAAAAGCACTGGTCTAGGATACTCCAAAGCTGAAATGTCTAATAGATCTCTTGAATATATCTATCATAGTATTCAGAAATCACTGCATTTTAAAGCAGTTATCATATTTTTAGCATGACATTGGGTTACGTGAAGGGAAAAGGTTGAGAAAAGGGGAATATAAATATAGTTAGGAAAAACAGGATAGGTGCAGGAAAGAGAAAATGTTTCATTATCTTAGGGTGGACAGTGCTGCCTTCAGGCATATCCACTGGCATATCTGATGTAGACTGTCTTCCTCTTCTATCTGCAGCTTTATTTTCAGCTTTGCTTATGTATATTAGGAACCAGCTCAATCAAGAGCCCAGCATTTAAAAAAACAATCCTTGGCCTGTGGGGTGGCTCAAGCCTGTAATCTCAGCACTTTGGGAGATCGAGGTGGGTGGATCACCTGAGGTCAGGAGTTCGAGACCAGTCTGACCAGCATGGTGAAACCCCGTCTCTACTGAAATACAAAAATTAGCTGGGCATGGTGGCGGGCGCCTGTAATCTCAGCTATTCAGGAGGCTGAGGCAGGAGAATCACTTGAACCCAGGAGGCAGAGGTTGCACTGAGCCTAGTTCGCCCCACTGTACTCCAGCGTGGGCAACAGATCAAGACTCCCTCTTAAAAACAAATAAAAATAATGAAAAACGGTCCTTTTTTTTTAAAGTGAGAGAAACAGAAAGAATGTTAAATGTTCTACAATTTAGGTCCTTAACATCACATGTAGAAGGCACTAATTTTCAGAAGGAAAGAAAGGTAAAAACCAATTTAAGTAATTAGCAGTTATAAAGAGGCAAATAAAAGGAGGAAAGATAAAGAAATTGTTGTGCAGGTCATTGTTTAGTTCACATTGATGTTGTCAGTTCATCTAGTTCCTTGTTAATTGGTATATTACTTTAGAATCTGGAAGGCATATATTATTGTTACTGTTATTATTTTGTCCTTTGTAATAGATCTTTTAATTTGATCGTTGTTTGTTTTCTAGGAATACAGGAGTTTCCAGAAAATATAAAAAATTGTAAAGTTTTGACAATTGTGGAGGCCAGTGTAAACCCTATTTCCAAGTAAGTTCTCAGGTGAATTATAAATTACTTTTGTGAATAAAACAATTATGAAACTAGTAGATATTATTGTACATATTTTAACAAAAATTTTATATCAATCTTAAGTCTATACAAAATTTCAATTTTAGAGTTAAAAAGTAATCTTTTAAATAATCATTCTAACCCCATGTACTACTGAGGTAAATTTGTGATCCCAAAGAGATAGTGAGAGTGTTTTGCTCCAAGTCTCACAGATAGTTAATGTCAGAAATGAGAGTAGAATCCACATTTCCTCACTCTGTGTTATTTACACCCTAGAGGAGTGTCTTTGCCTTCAAATCAGGTGTGTGGTACCTTCAAACTTTTGAAAACAATGAAACCAAAAGTTTCTTCACAGTTTTAACAGAAGGCAAAACAACAGGAAACAGAAACAAAACAATAACAAAAAAAGAAAAAACTATATGATTGGTTGCAGTGTATCAGAAGATTGTGAATGTCCATTTATGATGGTGATGACTGTAAACAAAGTTTTCCTGGCACCAAGGCTGTTAAGTTTTGGAAAAATTGAATGGTGAAGCAAAAGATGACTAGAAAGAAGCATAGCAATCCAGAACCAACATGTAAAGATTATGTATAGCCTCTTCATTTGAAAATATTGCTCTAGTATCAAATTCTAGATCTTTACTTGTTTCATAATCAACAAAAAATAGAAGTAAAGCTAACACACGTAGGTTGTTACATGGCCCTAACGTCATTCAGCTTTAAATGTTTTTTCTTTTCATTTGCTTATTATAAAATCGTATAATCTTAAAATTATTTAGGAGCCAAATATTGAAATTGAAAGTAATCTAAACCAGTGGTTCTCAACTGGGGGCTCTCATGCCCCAGCAGACTTTTGGCAGTTTCTGGATACATTTTTGGTTTTCACAGTGGGGTATTTGTGTGCATGCATGCACACTATTGGCATCTAGTTTGTAGAGATCAGTGTTGTAGCTAAACATCCTATAGTGCACAGGGCAGCCTATGTACAACAAAGAATTATTCAGCCCAAAATTTCTCTGCCAAGGTTTAGAAATTCTTTTCTAGTCCTTTGAATTGAGAGTAGATAAGACAGATTTCAAGAGTGCCTGCTGATTTCAGAGTTATACCCTAAATATATTTTTATGTATTGTGGCTCATTCATAGTTGACTGTTTTGTTCATATTTTACATTATTAAAACAAATATTACCTCATTTTCTGTTTACAAAGTGATGAAGATACATTGAAACAAGTAGGTTATTATAAAAGGCAAATCTTTGAAGGGGCTCTCATAAAAGTAGCCACTCATAACAGAAGCGACTGTTTTCTGTCTGTTGGGAAAATATCTTGTGAGAGTCTTAGATTTTAATAAAAGACTGAATTTCTTACATGAACTTAACTTAAATTCTGGTATTTTATGTAGGCTCCCTGATGGATTTTCTCAGCTGTTAAACCTAACCCAGTTGTATCTGAATGATGCTTTTCTTGAGTTCTTGCCAGCAAATTTTGGCAGGTAAATTATGGTTTCTTCTAAAACGTTTTATTATTAGCTCTTATAAAGTTTACAAAACTATAAGCTGCTTTGGTAGTACTACTCATTACAGTTTCATAGGCTCTTTTTAAATTATTCCCAAGCATTGTGACTTTTATACTTTGTTTGGTGGCTTTGACTTAATTTTTCCAAGTAAACAATAATCAGTGAGAGTTTGAAAGAAAAAAAAAGTTTTCTTAGGTGGCCAAAACAGGGCGTTTCAATGGGGTTAATTTCTGTATGCTTGAGATACTGAATGCTATATTCTTAGCATTCTAAAATGATTTAATAATTGATTTATCTGTCTTCTCCCCTGGAATCAAAATTCTTAAGAAAAGAGAATCTGTTTCTGGGGGCGACCTCATCATCTCCCTGCCACCCTCAAGTCTCTGAGTAATTTTTTAAACAAACAGATGAATGTATAATAGATATGCAGTTATTACTGAGTTTAAATTAACTACTAGAGAAAATGCTAGCCAACTAAATGTTAATTTTGTAGCCATCTTTTATCTAAAAATCATTGATGTACTTGTCAGATTCCTCTTCTGTATCTGGCATTTGCATCACTTAATCTGCTCATTTTCTCTCTAGTTTTAGTGGAATGTACATCAATGAAGTGCCAGAGGATTTCTCCTCCTTCTTTTGTTTCATTATTTCTTCTCAGAGCAGCACTTTAGAGTTGCATTATTGTTCTTGAATCTACCAAGAGTTAATTTTTGTGAGCATTTTTGGTAAAAGGTATGAAATTCTGGAGGATTGATACTTTGGGATATTCACTTTGTCGCTTTGAAAATGTGTGGAAGTGCTAACCCTTTTCCTCTGACCACAATTTTGAGGAGCAAAAATAAGTCTTTTCTTCCTTTGTATTTTATGTTCTGTAATTTTTAATATATTACTTTGCAATTAGTAATTACACAATTACATTGCTTCCTTTAAAACATTAGAATATGAAATTAATTTATTAAATTCATTGTCTTTGTCCTAAATACATGATTTTTTTTTTGTATTGCAGATTAACTAAACTCCAAATATTAGAGCTTAGAGAAAACCAGTTAAAAATGTTGCCTAAGTAAGTAAAGGTGCTATTCTTTAAAAAACTTAATTTATAATTTTTAATGATTAAGTCTTTAAAAATGTAAATTTTTATTACCTAAAATGTGGTGCAAATTATTTGTAAATCCTGACTGTGTGGTCATCATATTTAATTAATGGTGTTAAAATATTAAAATGTATGTGTCTGTTGTTGGTGCTTAACGTGGTACTGTGTTGGTAATGATTTATAGCTGTCTGAAATGCAGTCTTGTGTGTGACATAAAAGTCAAAATAATAAATATGTAAAGCCCACCTCAATACTGAATAGAAATCAGAAATCCCAGGTTCGTCTACTAAAGTTCATACACATAGTGCTCATTAGAAAGATCCATAGGATCTTCATGTGAAGCCTGGTAACGGTAGAACTTGATTGTCTGGCTATGTAGTGTATTGTAAATTAGAAATGCGATGATTGGTTCCCTAATGATAAGCTAACAACAAGAGATGGCAATCCAGGAGCAAAAAAAAAGATTTAATTATAAAAGAAACAGGTCTACAAACTCGAAATTCACTGTAGTCTGTGGCCTTTTATTGACCAAATATCTTAAAACACTGTGAATGCATTGCTATAGTGTTACATTTTAAGGGTTGGCAAACTACAGTCTATGATTAAATCTGGCCCACTGTCAATTTTTGTAAACAAGTTTCGTTGGAACACAGCCACATACATTCATGTACATATTGTCTGTGGCTACTTTTGCTTTACAGTGATAAAGTAGTTGTCACTACTGTATGCATCTGTTGTTGGTGTTAGAGTGGTTATCACTGCTCTATCACTGTAGGCCCTAAAATTTTTTAGGTGTACAGGACCTAAAATATTTACTGTCTGGCCCTTTACAGAAAAAATTTGCCAACTCATGTTGAAATCGCATCATCAAGATTTGCCCACCCAGCCTGGGCAACAAAGCGAGACCCCCATCTCTATAGAAAATTAAAAAATTAGCCGGGCACAGCAGCATGTAACTATAGTCCCAGCTACTCTGGAGGCTGAGGAGTGAGGATCGCTTGAGTCCAAGAGTTTGCACTTGTAGTGTGCAATGATTGTACCACTGCATTCCAGCATAAGAACAGAGTGAGACCCTGGCTCAAAACAAACAAACAAGCAAACTTCTCACCTCTTGAGAAGGAAAACATCTCCAGTTACCCCAGGAGTTGTTCTGTTTACTCAGCTTCTATGACACATTTATATCTGTTACAGTATTTGCTGGATAATGTTAATGTATCTGTTTTTATTATATGTCACTCTCTTCTTCCCTGACCAGCATATAACCTGCATGTATGTGCATGTGTATCTTCCCCTTGGTTTCCCTTGATTATCTGTGAGGACAGAGACTGTGTCTGTTTTTTATTCCAAAAGACAGTGTTTTGAGTAATTGTTCAATGCATGGATGAATGTTTATAGTGATGATTGTGAGTATAAGTTAAAGTCAAATTATCCATATTAAAATTCAAAAAGATATGTATACATTACAGATTTGATACTCTCAGTGATAGTTCCTTAGCTAAAAATGTGACTGGTTTCTAAGATATTTGAATAACAAGATGTAAATTGTTTACTGTGATAGCTAAGCCTATAATTACTATGTGATATCATAGGCAATTAACTGATTTTAACACCTTTTAGAGATTCAAATTAGACTCTCAGTGAATTTGCAAATATTCTTTTCTCCTTTTAAGATATGATTGTAGCCTTTTTAATACGTTTTTATTGAGGTAAAATATGTGTAAAATTTACTGTCTTTACCATTTTTATGTGTACAGTTCAGTGGTAATAAATACATTTATATTCTTTCCCCTTCATTCTTTCCTCCCCACTACCCTCCTCAGCCTCTGCTAATCACCATTCTACTCTTATCTTCATGAGATCTTTTTTTTTTTTTTTTGAGACGGAGTCTCTCTCTGTCGCCCAGGCTTGACTGCAGTGGCATGATCTCGGTTCACTGCACCCTCCGCCCCCCAAGTTAAGGCAATTCTTGTTTCTCAGCCTCCAGAGTGGCTGGGACTATAAGCATGTACCACCACGTCTGGCTAATTTTTTGTATTTTTAGTAGAGACGGGGTTTTGCTGTGTTGGTCAGACTGGTCTCGAACTCCTGGCCTCAAATGACCCGCCCTCCTCGGCTTCCCAGAGTGCTGGGATTACAGGCGTGAGCCACCACACCCGGCTTGGGATCTTTTTTTAGCTCGCACATGTGAATGAGTACATGCAATATTTATCTGTCTCTGCTTGGCTTATTTCACTTAATGTAATGACCTCCTGATCAACCCATGTTACTGCAGGCAGCCTCTTTTATGGCTGAATAATATTCCATTGTGTATATGTACCATACTTTATCCATTCTTCTGTTGACGGTTATTTAAATTGATTCCATATTTTGGCTATTGTGAATAGTGCTGCCATAGACATAGGAGTTCAGATAACCCTTCAGTGTACTGATTTCCTTTCTTTTGTATATATACCCAATAGTGGAATTGCTGGATTATGTGATAGTTCTATTTTTAATTTTTTTTAGGAACTTCTATACTGTTCTCCATAGTGGCTATATTAATTTATATTCCCACCAACAGTGTTCAGAGATTCCTCTTTGTTCCCATCCTTGCTAGTTATTGCCTGTCTTTTTTGATATAAGCCATTTTAACTAGGGCAAGATGATATTTCATTGTAGTTTTCTCTGATTAGTGATGATCATTTTTTCATATGCCTGTTTGTCATTTGCACGTCTTCTTTTGAGAAATGTCTATTCAGATCTCTGGTGCATTTTACAATAGAATTTTTTTTTTTTTTTTTGCTATTGATTTGTTGAAGCTTCTTATATATTCTAATTATTAATTCCTGTCAGATGGATACTTTGCAAATATTTCTCCCATTCTGTGGTTTGTTCATTTTGTTGATTGTTTCCTGTGCAGTTTTTTAGCTTGCTGTAATCCCATTTGTCTATTTTTGTTGCTTTTATTGCCTGTGGTTTTGAGGTCTTACACAAAAAAATCTTTGCCCAAACCAGTATCCTTGATATTTATATTGAGAATTAGCATTCTCCAGTGTTTTCTTCTGGTAGCTTCATAGTTTCAGGTGTTAGATTTAAGTCTTTGTTCCATTGTGGTTTAATTTGTGTGTATGGTGAGAGATAGAGGTCTAGTTTTATTTTTCTGCATATAGTTATCAAGTTTCCCAGCATCAATTATTGAAGAAACTGTCTTTTCCCCATTTTATCTTCTTGGCGCCTTTTTCTAGGATGACTTGGCTGTAAATGCATGGATTTATGTCTGGGTTCTCAATTCCTTTCCATTGGTCTGTGTGCCTATATACCATGCTGTTTTGATTACTATGGCTTTGTAGTACAATTTGAAGTCTAGTAGTGTGATGCCTTCAACTTTGTTCTTTTTGCTTAGCATCACTGTGGTTATTTGGAGTCTTTTGTTGTGGTTCTGTATACATTTTAGGATTTTAAAAATATTTCTGTTAAGAATGTCAGTGTTTTGATAGGGATGACATTGAATCTGTACATTGCTTTGGATAGTATTGTCGTTTTAATTATCCTAATCCATGAGCATGGAGTATCTTTCCATTTTTTTGTGTCCTCTTTAATTTCTTACATCAGAGTTTTATAGTTTTTCTTGTATAGATCTTTCACGTCTTTACATTGATTCTTAGGTATGTTATATGTATATACCTAAGAATAAATTGATATATATAATATAATATATATTATATTATATAATATATATTATATATTATATATTATATTATATAATATATATTATATATTATATAATATATATTATATTATATAATATATATTATATATTATATAATATATATTATATTATATAATATATATTATATAATATATATTATATATACATACACACACACATATAGATTTTTTTTTATTTATTTTTTGTGTGTGTGATGAAGTCTTGCTCTGTCACCCAGGTTGGAGTGCAGTGGCATGATCTTGGCTCACTGCAAGCTCTATCTCCCGGGTCCACGCCATTCTCCTGCCTCAGCCTCCTGAGTAGCTGGGACTACAGGCGCCCGCCACTACTCCTGGCTAATTTTTGTATTTTTAGTAGAGACAGGGTTTCACCATGTTAGCCAGGATGGTCTCGATCTCCTGACCTCATGATGCGCCTGCCTTGGCCTCCCAAAGTGCTGGGATTACAGGCGTGAGCCAGTGCACCTGGCCGGTATGTCATATTTTTTGTAACTACTATAAATGGGAATGCTTTCTTGATTTTTCAGATTGTTTGCTGTTGGCATATGTAAATCCTCCTGATTTTCACATGCTGATTTTATATCCTTCAACTTTACTTAATTCGTTTATCAGTTCTAACAGTTTTTTGGTGAAGTCCTTAGATTTTTCTAGGTATAAGATACATGTTGTCTGTGAACAAGACTAATTTTGACTTCTTATTTTCCAATTTGGATGCTCTTTATTTCTTTCTCTTTCCTAATGGTTTTTGCTTGATTATAACTTTGAGACCTCACAAACAAGAGGATATAGTTTTAAGTATTACAAAGTCATGTGCATTTAGGTTATATGACTATATCAAAGATTAGAGCAATGGAAAGAGCTGTTGTTTTAGATATATAGTTAAGTGAAATTTAATGCTACCTAAAGAATACTGGAGGGCACAGTACTAAGAACACAAAAGATGTTTTACTTTTCCTTTGAGGAGAGGAGAAAGTGAAATGAGTTCAATACAAATGAATTTTAGAAACAGATGGGAGAAAATATGAGGGATATTGTTTATGTTTTCTCCTTGAGAGAGGCAGCTAGATCTTATTCTAGGATGCAGTTTTATTTCTGAGATTTCTAAAGTGTATGAGTATAGCCACAGTTGTCAGTATTAACTATAGAGAGTTGAGGTGGAGACTCTTTTTGACATGACAGTATATTTTCTTTTTTATTACATATCTGTATCACTCACGTTTTCCTAAAATTGTTTTAAAATATAAATTTTCCAGGATATCATCTGTAATTGAATTTTTCCAATGCACACCTTTTCATTTTTGTACCCTTTTCTAAAACTGTTATGCCATTGACATTATGTGCTCAATAGTTACATGTGAATTTTCTGTTATCTTGTCATTATAACAATACTGAAGCAAGAAATGTAAGATTATGTTTTGTTCTTTCAGTCTTCTCTTCCTCCTCACAATCTTCTTCACTTTTTGCAAATCTCCACCTGGTATAGTTATTTGAACATAGGAAATTATAATCATAGCATGTGATTTTATACATCTGGAGAAAGATCGTGGAAGCAACCTTTCGCTTGTTAATGAAGGAAGCTAGAACTTAAAGGTTTTCTGGGGAAAGATATGAGTAAGGAAGCAGAATTATGGTACCTGAGAATAGGCACTTAGTAAATCTAGGTGAAAGCAGTTTTATAAAAATTGGCATTATGAGATGAATTGAAGAGTTGATGACAGAATGGCATATTTAAAATGTAAAGGGAAAATTCGCTTCTAATGTAGACCAATGACAGTTTCATTACAATGATGGTGTTTGTTTTTATATTTTTGACTAAAAAGCTGGAGAAATGTTGCAACTGAGTTTTATTTTACTTATTACTAATTTTTGTTAAAATTCCAGAGAAGATAGAAATAGTCTGTGTTTTTCGTGCCGTAATTTGAAGTGCCTGTGGATTTTAAATGATACTCATTTTCAAAGTATTAACATATTAATGTAATATACTGATATTGTGATTATAACTATATTTTGCTCTCATTTTGTCATATCCTACAAAATCCTTAATACAGAATTTCTTATCTGGGTAACTGGTTACATCTCAATGTATTAAATAATAGGTGTTGTACAAAAATAGCCACTTAAGAGTGTAAATATTTGTTTGAATTAGTTTCAAAGGGTACCTTTGTAAAAGGAGAGAGAAAAGATAGAAGTGCAACATAGTTTATTTCATTACAAACTGGTTTGTACATCTTTCAAGTTCCTGTAATTTCAGAGAAGTGTTGATGTTAAGTTGGAAGTTAAGAATAGTATATTATTGCTTTTATTTAAAATAAATGTCAACTACTAATTTGTGATTCATATAAAACTTTATTTTGAATTGTATTGTATTTAATTTGAACATGTGGGGAGTAATACAACGTACTGTTAGCATTTTGAATATTAATTTTCGGAGTTACAGTTATCTTAAAGTCTTACAAATATATGAGCAGTTTTGAAAAAGAATTTTTGTAATTATGGTAGTAATTATTATACATCTGCCAACATTTATTAGCTGACTTGTACTATATGAAAATTCATTATGTGAAAAAATAGAAACTCATTATTTGTATTCTGGCTTGTGGGTTTAAATTTATTGCAATTGCTTCTTAAAAATAGAAATGAAAAGACCAATGAGAAGGCAAAATAAGATAATAACTGATAATTATTTTATCTAGAAATCTGACTTTTAAAATTTTTTAGAAAATTAATATTTTTATTTTGTCAACATGTGAAAGCCCATAAATAATTACCTATTCCATAAGAATGTTTTAGACTGTTTTGAAAGCTTCCATGTAATTGATATTTTTCTAGTTAATTTTTCATTACTCCATTATGAACAGAACTATGAATAGACTGACCCAGCTGGAAAGACTGGATTTGGGAAGTAACGAATTCACGGAAGTGGTAAGTTCTCATCAGTCTCACTTTCCCTAAGTTCTTATATTTAATGAAGAACAAAATATGAAAATTAATGTATTTCTCTTACAAATTGGATAAAGGTTTACTTTTTTTTCTTAGTTACAAGATATGAAATTTCTTAGCCAGAACTTTCCAGACAGATAGAAAAATTAACCAGACAGATGAACTTCTGACCACAAGTGAGCATAAAATGTAAAATCAATGAGAGGTCCATGGAAGAGATACTAAACAATTTTTAGCATAGGAAGCAGAAAATTTGAGTGATTATAAGTGGGAAACATCAGTCTGGAATGCAGCAGGTAAAAGTAGTTCTGAATCAGAGAGAGCTCCATGGGGTATTGCTTGTTAACTTATTCAGTAATAAGATACTTCTCTATAATGTTACTTAATAGCTAAGGGGAAAATCATTGAGTGAAACAACTGTTATTTTTGAAGTGGTAATGAGAACCTTTTTGTTTGTGCTTTGTATGCCAAGTGCGCTATGAAGCTGACTCTAAAAGGAAAGGAGTAGTGTTTAAGTAGCTTTTGTCTTTAGTGAGTTTTCCAAAAGAACTCAGAAAATAAGCTAGATTTTTTTTTTTTTGAAGAGGAACTCATCCAGCTGAGTATCATTATTAAACTTTTAAATTAGTTTACAAGTTTGTTGTTTAAAAGTGTGGTAGCTCTCAAATGATGGTTTTAAGCCTAGGAATTTCTCAAAACTGCTTGCTATAGTATTGCCCTGTGGGTATTATATTAATATTATAAATTTCAGCTGAGGTTTGAGGAGGAACATGGTACTTTGGAGTACCTCATTCTCTAAAATACATGCTGTGCTTCCCAAATTATTTATCTGTTACGTCCTTTCTCAATATTTGTTCTGTATGAATCCGTTTCCGTATTAACTATTTCAAAAATCTCGTTCATTTTAAGAATCCAACAAGCTTTCAAAATCGTCATTAGTTTTTGTACCATTTTGGTCTTCCAACATTATACACTTTTTAAAACTTACAGTAGAATTTAACAGTAATGCACAAAAGGAAATTTCTTTTAATCCAAGTTACATCTGGGATTCTTATCTATATTTATATGTTAACAGTAAATCTGATTGGCATGCCTTTTATATATGACTGTTAACTATGGTCATTAGATGTGATAGTACTCTGTGCCATCACATGATCATTGATTGCAGATGGCTTTGTGAGGTGATAGAAATAACTTTGAAGAGGGCAGACTTGAAGGGACAATGCCCAGGAGCAAATTTTGCCTGGATATGAAGGTCTGCCACAACACTTGGATTAATTTTGATGTCCTCAACACCATATTATAAAGAATTTTCTACCATGTAATTAGAAGTTTTTACTAGAGGTTTAAATTACAGTATATTTGTATCATGTAGTTATGACTTTGTCTATTTACCTTTCCCTGATTATGGACATTTAGGATGCACGTTGTCTTTTATCTCCTTCTTAATGAATGTCACCAGGGAACATTTGTAATTTTTCTGTTTTCTAAAAGCTGTATCTTCTTACTGATAATGCATGAGTGCATATTTTTATTGTATACTTCTAAGCAGTGAGTCCTATTTTTTATTTCTTTACAAATTATATAAAAACTTGCCCCTGTTGTGTAATCCAAAGCTTAAATGTGTTTTTTGTAATCTACTGCTATGGCATGTCTCTTTGATTTCTCCATTAATAATTTTCTATAATAATTTTACTGTAGTAACTATAATGCAGTAGAAAGGCTTACATCCTGGCTCTTCTTTTTTATTTTTCCTTCTCCCTGCTCCTTTTATTTAATGATTTGAAACTAAAGGTTATTAGAAATTCCCAGGGCTTCTTTTGCCAGATAAAGACATTCATAAAAATTAATTGAATTACTGCTATCCCCTACCCTAATCCCAACAGCCTGAAGTACTTGAGCAACTAAGTGGATTGAAAGAGTTTTGGATGGATGCTAATAGACTGACTTTTATTCCAGGGGTATGTATATGAGATTTTAAATGGCATCACTTATTTCTGGCTCTCCTTTGCAGTTTTGTGAATTGTACCTTTTATAATTACTTTTAATTAATAAAAAAATTGAATTATTCTTTATTAAACAGAAGCAAATTACTTTTTTTCATGAGCACATTCTTGATTATAATCTAAGAATTCTCATAATAAACATTTGTATGTCTCCTTTTAATACTGTTGAGTGTGTCCTTTCCAATGGTATCACTTGAACTTACGTCCCAATTTGCTTTGCCCAAGGAATTGGTAAACTAGGATATTTTTCATGAACTTTCTGAATTTTTTTTTTTTTTTTTTTTGAGACAGAGTCTCGCTCTGTTGCCCAGGCTGGAGTGCAGTGGTGCGATCTCGGCTCACTGCGAGCTCCGCCTCCTGGGTTCACACCATTCTCCTGCCTCAGCCTCCTGAGTAGCTGGGACTACAGGTGACCACCACCATGCCCAGCTAATTTTTTTTTATTTTTTAGTGGAGACGGGATTTCACCGTGTTAGCCAGGATGGTCTCGATCTCCTGACCTCATTATCCGCCTGCCTCGGCCTACCAAAGTGCTGGGATTACAGGCGTGAGCCACCGCGCCCAGCCGAACTTTCTGTTTTAACAACTGACAAATTGTTTACTCCCATAAAAAAAACCACAAGAATCCCCATATATGCTATTTCCTTAGGAGGTAATGGATACCTGAATTCCCAAAGAATATGTCCTTTGTCACTTCTGCTATGCTACAATTAGTAGAACATCTTAGCTATATTACTGAATACATTTCTAATGGCATTTAAAAAACTACCTGGGAGTCTTCTTTCTTGTATTAGCATTTAATTTTGAATTAAAACTTGGTATCAAGTTTATTCCCTAAACTTTTTACAAATTACTAATGTTAATAGAGTCATTAGATTTTCTTTTTTTACTTATAGTTTATTGGTAGTTTGAAACAGCTCACATATTTGGATGTTTCTAAAAATAATATTGAAATGGTTGAAGAAGGAATTTCAACATGTGAAAACCTTCAAGACCTCCTATTATCAAGCAATTCACTTCAGCAGCTTCCTGAGACTATTGGTTTGTATTGCTTTCAAATTCATGTAATTTTTATTAAAATAAATTCGAGACTTCCACATAATCTCAAATTTCACTTGTTATGAGGTAGTTATACTTCGTTACCACAGGAACGGATTTTATTTGAATTTTTCCTGGTGTGATCAGTTGTACAGTTTGCTCCTTTGTTGACATTACTGTTTTTTATTTACTCTAAGGTAATCTCATTTTTATTTCTAATATATTTAAATTCTTTAAAATAAGTTAACTTATGCAAATTTGGCTTAACTGTTAGCTTTTATTGTCATAGCTTTTATTTTGGTAACTTTTTTCAGTCCTGTTTCATTACAGACACTCAGACAAGAAAACAGATCAGTTGAACAGATCATGAGAGATCTATGATTGAGTCTGTGTAGTTGCTTGTTCAATGATATGTCAATGGAATTGAATTATTTTGATGAAAGGACCCAAAACTTCAATCTTGACATCTTTTTGATGTTTTAATTTAAAAACCAAAAATATTTCTCAGTTAAATCACGTAGTGGTTTTAGCTAAAACTACATTTTTGTAAGTTTGTTACGATTCTACTCTTAGTCAACACTTTTTAAACTTAAAAAATATTTTACTGTTTTAGTATTTAGTATATATGGAATAGTTTTTTATATACCTGTTATGAACTACCTTCATACTACCATTTCTTTAGTCTATTAATTTAACAAGTTTGTATTGTCTGTCTTTTCTGTGCCATGACATTGTTTTTAGAAGCAGAGCTACAACAGTGAACAACGAAGACAAAAAAGTTCCTACTATCAGTATATTTTAGTGGGAGTTAATAAACAAATGTACACTATGTTAAATAGTGATGTGGATGAAGATTGAAAGGACAGGATGAGGGAATAGAACATTGGGATTGGGAGTGGTATCTCTTTTAGATACGTTTGTTAGGAAAGTTGTTTCTAATTCTTGTCAGATGTAGTATGTCTCACACTGACTGTTGGTGGACTTGCTTCTATTTTAAGCTGAAAAATTGTATGTTGTTTCTTCCCTCATTAGGTTCGTTGAAGAATATAACAACGCTTAAAATAGATGAAAACCAGTTAATGTATCTGCCAGACTCTATAGGAGGGTAAGTTTTTTGTGAATGTATACACCCTCGAAGATTTTACTTTCAGTTCAGCATGCCATACATATTTTCAGGTATTTGCATAAATGACCTAAAGATTTTGTAAACATTTAAGTAATTAGTATACAGGTTGAGTGTGTTTATGATAGACAAACCTACTTATTGGTGAAGTTTAGCTTTGTGAAATGGTTTCACTAGGTTTTCAAAGTCAAGTTCAAATGTTTATATGTTCTGAAATTTTGGATTATATATAGGAAATCTTTAACAAATAATATATATTTCTTTTTTTAAATTAAAGGTTAATATCAGTAGAAGAACTGGATTGTAGTTTCAATGAAGTTGAAGCTTTGCCTTCATCTATTGGGCAGCTTACTAACTTAAGAACTTTTGCTGCTGATCATAATTACTTACAGCAGTTGCCCCCAGAGGTAATGTATTTTAGATTTGTTTAGATTTTTGTCTTTTCATTTTTTTCTGATTATCTTCATTATAGCTATTTAGTGTGGCTTCATTTATTTTCTTTCTAAAATAGTTTTCAAGTTATTTATTTTCTGAATAATTAGCTATGTTAATTTAGAAGAGGTTCTTAAATGCTTTCTTATGTACATAAAAATTAATTAAAAAGAAAGTCTAGTCATTATTTCTTCTATAAATGTGAAGTATTTTTCATAACTTTCAAAAATGATGTTTTTTATATGTTGATCAACCTGTAGGCCAAATTTTTTGATACTCAGTTTATATTTCTCTTTCAGATTGGAAGCTGGAAAAATATAACTGTGCTGTTTCTCCATTCCAATAAACTTGAGACACTTCCAGAGGAAATGGGTGATATGCAAAAATTAAAAGTCATTAATTTAAGTGATAATAGGTTCGTAATACTATATTCATCAGTTGGTTTATAGGAGACATTGGTTAGATGAAATTAAGTTTCATATGATATATAATAGAATAGCTAGTGCTTGTTGCTCTTTAAATATACATAGTAAGTTCTCAGTGTTATTGATAGGCTCTTGGAAAGTGTGACTTTCAGTGAAACAACATACAATGAAATCACTTCTTTCGTTCATCAGTGTTATAAGAAAATGACATTATTTGAGAACCTGCCATACACAGTTTTGCTAAAAGTTTTGGTTTCCAAGAACCTATCAATAACTTAAATGAGGACTTAACTGTATATATTTTTTTCTTTAAATACAAAGAGTGGTCTTATTTTATCTGATGTTAATTTATCATACGGTGGTTGTTACTGTTCATTTTGGGTTGACTTAGCTATATAGTCTTTATTCTCTTCTTACAGTTACCTTTTATTTCTGAAGTCACATCTTCACCTGAATATTGCTATTTAACAAAACAATTTTGGAATGTATCTAGTCTGTTGCTAATATTTTCCTAGGCAGAGATCTGGTTTCAACAAAGCCAAGGTGCAGAGTAAATTGATCACTAGGGTTGTAAATTGGAACAATGTTTAAGTTAAAAACAGAATGTCCATACTTTTTCGTGAGGTAAACATACTAATGATGATTAAACAGCATTTGTAGAGTGTTTTCACTTTTTGCTTTCATAGTGTCTTGTGAAGTCTTCAAAACAGCTCTATGAAATAGTATAATAGTATTCCCATTTTATGTAGGAGGGTTTTAAGACTCAGATTTAAGGTGACTCACGTAGCTTGTAAGGTAGAGCTTTAATTTAAACTCAATTTTCTGACTAATTATGATATTCTAACTTCTGTTTTATTTAAAAGAACCACTGCTTTCTTAAGTCACGTTTCAGCCTTTAATTCCTACGGCCCACAGTGGGTTGCTGAAAGAAAGGCACGGAAGACTAGTTAGGTATAAGATAGCAAGGCTGAAGTAGATAATTCTCTCTTAAATAAGATATTTTCATTTAGTATTCTAATGAGTATTTATAGTTGACCCTTGTATTTGTGGGTTCTGCAAGTGTGGATTCAAACAACTTCAGATCAGAAATATTTGGAAAAAAATTGTGTCAGTACTGAACGTGTACCAACTTTCCCATTGTTATTCCCTAAACAATACAGTATACCTACTATTTACATAGCATTTATATTTTAATAGGTATTATAAGTACTCTAGAAATGATTTAAAATATATGGGGGGATGTGCATAGGTTATATGCAAATACTATACAATTTTATATAAGGGATTTGAGCATCTGCAGATTTTGGTATCTGAGGGAGATCCTGGGACCAGTCTTCCACAGATACTGAGGAATGACTGTACTTTGTTTTTAATCATTATCATCTTAGGGTAGTCTTCTAGATTATGTAACTGCTGGCTCACAAATAGAGAGCAGTGCAGTTTTTATAGCAAACTATCACTAAGAGTGTTTCCTATAACAGTTTGTTCTCCCTAAGTACAAATAAACCAAAGCAATGTTATGAGACATTCCTTAATGTGTTCTTTTCTCTAAGGCAGGGACAATTAATTTTTCAACAGATTTTTAAGGTTATTCTATTATCCATTTTCTTACCAGGTGAATTGATTCAATTGAAGAATTATATTTTTGAAACTAATTCTTATAAAACTAGATATTTTGTTTTATGTCCTATACGAAGAATTATATTGGACTTTTCTCGATTTTTTTTTCTCCTATTTTCATGTGCAACTATATAGCATTTTTCAGAAAACCTTTAGGTTGAACCCTCATTCATTTTAAATCTTCTCATTTTAAAGTTTAATTTTTGTTTGTATTTTTTTCCTACAGATTAAAGAATTTACCCTTTAGCTTTACAAAGCTACAGCAATTGACAGCTATGTGGCTCTCAGATAATCAGGTGGGCATTCTGATTTTATAAGTTAATGGAGTTCTTATTTGTGTTATATAGTTTTGCACTCCGATTTACATAGGGTCATTTAAGAGCAGCTATACATGTGGTACACATGTAAACATATCTTTTATATAAGAAAAATCTCAAAATATTTAGAAGCAGATACTTTTTATAAAATAGGTGTAGATTTATAAGTAATGAATTATGTTGGACTTGCCTAATTTCTCCTAAATCTGTTAAAATATTGAGCGATTAGGAAATCAGACTCAAACTCTGAATTTAATAGCATTATCTCATACACTTGCCTATTTTATAGTGAGAACACTTAAAGTCTACTCGGCAATTTCAAGACTATAACAGTGTTATTAACTGTAGTCACCATGTTGTACAGTAGAGCTCTTGAACTTATTCCTCCTAACTTAAATTTTGTACCCTTTGACCAATATATCCCAATCCATGTTCCAGCCCACCCCGCCAGCCCCAGAATCCACCATTTTACTCTTAGTTTCTATGAGTTTATCTTTTTTAGATTCCTCATATAAGTGAAGACATGTGAAGTTTATCTTCTTGTTCCTGCTTATTTCACTTAACATAATGTCCTCTAGGTTCATCCATGTTGTTGCAAGTGACAGGATTTCCTTCTTTTTTAAGGCTGAATAGTATTCCATTGTGATTGTATGTGTATTTGTGTACACACACTACATTTTCTTTGTTCATTCATCCATTCATGGGCTCTTAGGCTGATTTGCTATTGTGAATTCTGCTGCAGTGAACATGGGAGTGCAGACATCTCTTCAACATACTGATTTTATTTCTTTTGGATATATATCCAGTAGTGAGATTGCTGGATTATATGATAGTTCCATTTTAAATATTTTGAGGAACCTCCATAATATATTCCCACCAACAGTGTGTAAGGATTCCTTGTAAGTTTTTCTAACAAAATAGAATGTACAATTTACTGATCTTTTGAATTAAAAAATTAATGCTTATTATTTGATGTTGAGCAATATTTTATAATAATTTATTTAAAGCTGTATTTTCCCAGTGTTGGGTACACTGGTCTCATATGATACTCATGAACTCCGCAGCCAAATTTTCTTGGGAAACTATATTATATTCTAATTCTGGATTATATTAACAGCCCTGAGGTGTTAATACAGTAAAGAAACCCGCAAGGATTCTTCATAGTTTTTAACTGGGTACCCTTTTCTGTTCTGTTCTGTTCTGTTCTGTCCTGTCCTGTCCTGTCCTGTCCTGTCTTGTCCTGTCCTTTTCTTTTTTTTGAGACAGAGTCTCGCTCTGCCGCCAGGCTGGAGTGCAGTGACGTGACCTCAGCTCACTGCAACCTCCACCTCCTGGGTTCAAGCGATTCTCTTGCCTCAGCCTCCCGAGTAGCTGGGACTACAGGCATGTGCCGCCACTCCCAGCTAATTTTTTTATTTTTAGTAGAAACAGGGCCAGGATGGTCTCGATCTCTTGACCTCATGATCCGCTTGTGTTGGCCTCCCAAAAGTGCTGGGATTACAGGCGTGAGCCACCACACCCTGCCTTGGGGTCCTGTTTCTTACCTAGCCATTACTAATATCCCAGAAGCCTTAAATTTATGTTAATCCATGGTTATGAATAAGACATTATTTACCTGCTTTGCAAATTTAGAGAGGAAATATTAAAATGATACATTGCCTTTATTAGAGTTTTGTTTTTGTTTTTGTTTTTTGACAGAGTCTTGCTCTGTCACCCAGGCTGGAGTGCAGTGGCATGATCTTGGCTCACTGCAACCTCTGTGCCCCCGGGCTCAAGCAATTCTCCTGCCTCAGCCTCCTGAGTAGCTGGGATTACAGGTGTATGCCACCACGCCCGGCTAATTTTTGTATTTTTTTTAGTAGAGATGGGGTTTCACCATGTTGGCCAGGCTGGTCTGGAACTCCTGACCTCAGGTAATCCGCCTGCTTCGGCCTCCCAAAGTGCTGGGATTACAGGTGTGAGCCACCACGCCCAGCTTTACTGGAGCTTTTTAACACAGGCAATTACCGTATCTGTTATATGTGGAACTGATTTCTCTTAATTGAATAGTATATGTTTAAACGATTTGAAATTTTGCGACTAGATTCAGAAAAATTTGCTGGACCCCATCTTATGCCATTTACTAACTTCACAATGAATGAGACATACCTCCTGGTCTCGAGGAACTCTTAGACTAATTCTATTAGTACAGTAGCACCTTTTTTTTTTTTTTTTTTGCGGCGGGGTCTTACTCTGTCATCTAGGCTGGAATACAGTGGTATAATTAAGACTCACTGGAATCTTCACCTCCTGGGCTCAAGCAATCCTCCCACCTCAGCTTCCCAAGTAGCTGGGACCACAGGTACATGTCACCATGCCCAGCTAAATTTTTTTTTTTAACGTTTTTAGTAGCGACAAGATCTCATGATATTGCCCAGGCTGGTCTTGAACTCCTGGACTCAAGCCATCCCCCTGCTTCAGCCTCCCACAGTGCCGGGACTACAGGTGTTAACCACCATGCCTGGCCTGCAGTAGCACTTCTGTGGATAAATTAATGCCAGCAAATTATACCAGATGGTTCATTTTAATGAAATTAACCAAGTATCTGCTACGGTTTCTTCATATTTATAGTGTTCTCTCATTCTATTCTCACTCTCCACTTGGTTTAAAACAAAAATTGTATGGTAGGAGTCTTTGTTCTTCAAAGTTTGACAGAATATTGAGTAAAACAAATCAGATATACCTAGAAAATTTCCCTTACCCTTACCATATGAAGCAATAATTTTGCTATGAAAGAATGACATGTAGAGGAGAAGGTATACAGAGGTTTGGTTGTGAATTATAAAAGTAAATTGTTCTACTATTTAATGTTTATGAAAATAAATTGCTCAGCTATGTAGAACAGTACATGCAGTAATATAATTTTCATGAGCTGCTGAAGGCATGAGCAGAACAATTATTTATTAATTTATTCCCTCATCCATTTTGTGATTCTCAGGAACCATTTATTGAACAACTGCTTTGTGCCAGGCAATTTAAGGTGGGAACAATATTTAGAAAGTTACTTTAATACAATGTGGTTAAAAGACTTAATAGGACTAAGCTTTAGGATCAAAGATGGGGAAGATAACCAAGGGATGTAAAGGCAAATTTCTCAGAGGAGGAAATGCCTGCAGTGCCTGAATTATCTCTCAAAAGAGGAACGGGGCTGGGTATGGTGGTTCACACCTCTGATCCCAGAGCTTTGGGAAGCTGAGGTGGGAGGATCTTTTGAGGCCCGAGTTTGAGACCAACCTGGGAAACATAGCAAGATTCCGTCTCTGCAAATAAATTAAAACATTAGCCAGGTGGGGTAGCACATGCCTGTAGTCCAGGCTACTCAGGAGGCTGAGGCTGGAGGATCCTTTGAGCCCAGGAGTTCTAGGTTATAGTGAGCTATGAGCATGCCACTATACTCCAGCATGGGCAACAGAGCAAGATTCTATCTCCAAGATAGTTTTTTTAAATAAAAAAGAGGAATAGGATTTTTGTCTATTTTTTACCCCTTAAGGTGGGGTTTTCCTGTGTTGCCCAGTCTGATCTCAAACTTCCAGTCTCAAGTGATCTTCCCACCCCAGCCTCCTGAGTATCTGGGATTATAGGCCTGCACCACCATGACCAACTAGACATAAGATTTAAAGAAAAAAAAAGAGAACAGTGTTCTGGTTTGGAAGAATATCATGAGCATAAGCATTTAGGTGCAAAGCAGCATAGTATATTCCATAACTCTACAAGCAGATCATTGTGACAAGAGTGTAACAGTGAGACGGAAAAGGTAGAAAACGAGGCTACTAAGGCAGATAGAGATCAGTTGGTGGAGGATCTTCTATGCCATGCAGAGGAACCTGTATTATATCTCAAGGATGGCAAATAAGATTTTTTAAAATCTTGTACTCTTATCAATTATGAGTGGCTTCCTGAAAAATTGTGTTGCAGATTCTGACTTATGATCAAATTCAAGCTAGTGGAAAATTGCTGTGATTTGGGTGGCTGTGTAGTTTATTGTCCCTAATAGGACACTTTCGGGGGAGTGAAAGGGGCACCATTGATAATTACATGAGAACAACATGTATAAGTTGTGTCTGTCTCAGGCAAAATGGACATTTGTTCATTCTAGTCATGATCAATTATTCATATCTGCCATCAGTATAAAAGGAAGAAGTGATTTTTATGATAGATAATACGGAAACCAGTGTAACATTGAACAGGCAAATAGTATGATCACACTGATATTTTAGAAAGGCCTTTTTGGCTGCATGGTGGAAGATGGATTCATCAGGGGTTAGTGCCAAGCATGAAGGTAGGGGAGACTGAATTGGAGGACATTGTCATACTCTAGGCAACAGAACACGTTGCCTTGAACTAAAGTAATGAAACAGAACTGGGGGAAGAGCAGGTATTTTTGAGGAATAGTTTAAAAGATTGCATCAATAGAGCATGAAGCAATGCATGTATGTGAGAAGAGAGTAAAAGCAAAGATGAGGGTCAAAGATTTGGCTTCAGTGACTAGGTGGATAATACTGCCACAACCAAGAAAAGTAACCACAAATGAAAGAAATATGTTTATGGGAAGATGCTAAGTTCTAGTTAAACATGTTGAGTTAGAAGTATCTTTGGTATATCCAAGTTAGCCATGCATAGAACACGCTGGTGACCATGAACCTCCTGACTTCATTTTCTTCTGTATGGTTTCTGTGCTCTTGGTTTCTCTATTTAAAAATTTCTAACCTTCAGAAGCTTCTCAAAATTGCTCCTGAAGGCTTCATTTTCTTTTTTCAGTACTATTATAGGTTTATTCTTTGTGCTTATTTGTAAAAATATATTCACTTTATTTTAAAAGATTTGTGGCACAAGAAGAAATACACATTTGTTTCAGCCCATGATCGTAATTAACTTTTTCTAGGGAATGGTGTCATAGCTTTTGTTGTTTCTCAAAAGGAATTATATAAAATAACTTTTAAAATGTTAGTGATGCATGATGAATCCTGAGGAACCCCAACATTTAAATGGCAGTAGACTAAGAGGCTTAAAGAGAGTAGCCATAGAAGTAGAAGGAGAACTGGATGATGATGGACTCAAGTTAAGAGTGAAGAAGGAAGAGTTAAGACTGGCCTGAAGGAAGAAGTTGTTAATAGGATAAATGCTGTTGAGAAGTCAGTTCAGATTATATCTGAAAAATATCCATTATATTTGGCAGCTAGCTAAAGTAATTATAGAGGTATATGGCAAAACCCAGATTGAAGGAGTTTAAGGAATAAATAGATGATGAAATGGAATCACATAATGTTGATTACTCTTTAAGAAGGTTGGATGAGAAGGAAATGGAATGGAACATAAAGAAATTGATAGCTAGCAGCAGGAAAAGCGCAGGGATCCTTTAATATTGCAGAGCATGTTTACAGGTTGTTGGAAAGAAGCTGTGTGAGTAAGATTAAGAATATGAGGGTCTGGTGCGGTGGTTCATGCCTGTAGTCCCAACACTTTGGGAGGCCGAGGCGGGTGGATCACCTGAGGTCAGGAATTCAAGACCAGCCTGACCAATATGGGGAAATCCCGTCTCTACTGAAAATACAAAAATTAGCCGGGCGTGGTGGCGTGTGCCTGTAGCCCCAGCTACTCGGGAGGCTGAGACAGGAGAATTGATTGAACCCAGGAGGCGGACGTTGCAGTGAGCCGAGATCACTCCACTGCACTCCACACTGTAGCCTGGGTGACAGAGCGAGACTTTGTCTCAAAAAAAAAAAAAAAGAATATGAGAAGCAGTTGGATAATGGATGGAAACTGATGGAAAAGCTATGACAGGAATTCTTAACCTGTTGGAGAGAGCTTGGGTATGACGTTTGTGAAAGGGAGGAGAGGAAATAGTGTACATTATGATACTCTTAGAATGTAGAATTTTCCATACTCATAGCTGTTTTTTTTTTTAAGACAGAGTCTCACTCTGTCGCCCAGGCTGGGGTGCAGTGGCTCCATCTTGGCTCTCTGCAACCTCTGCCTCCTGGGTCCAGGCAATTTTCCTGCCTCAGCCTCTTGAGTAGTTGGGACTAAAGGCACTTATCACCACACCCAGCTTTTTGTATTTTTAGTAGAGACGGAGTTTCACCATGTTGGCCAGGCTGTTATTGAACTCCTGACTTCATGTGATCCACCCACCTCGGCCTCCCAAAGTGCTGGGATTACAGGCGTGAGCCACCAAGCACAACCTCATAGCTGTTCTTGAATCCTTTTTTTTTTTTTTAAGGAAGATATTTTCAGAACACAGTTTAGGAAACATAGAAGGATTTTCAGGTAACATGTAGAGCCTAGTTGAAGTATTATTAGTATCAGTACACAAATATGAGTACAAATTAATCACTCCACAAGTTTGTGGTGATACTAATTTGCTCAGCAATGTAATATAGAGAAAGCACACAACTGGAAGGATTTTGGGCTGTAGTTTTGCCAAGACAGGTGCAAGAAAAGAATAATGCAGCAAAGAGGTCTTGGTTTGTGGCAAGAAAGTGGTTTAAATAAGATACAGTGTGGTACAAAAGGGGAGTCAAAGACAGGAGTAAATGGTGGGAAGAATGTCAAAAGGTCAAAGGAATAGTAGTCTTGCTGAGGGTGATCAGCAAGTACTGTGAGTGCAGTGGAGTGGGAGGGCTGCATGATGTCTGTGTTACCATACTCTGCTGGTTGTCCTTTTACCTGACTGCTCCTCAGTCTCCTTTTCAGACATATTTGTTCTGCCTGTGCCTTACATGTTTGTGCTTCTCATGGTTACCCTAGGCTCTGCTTTAATTTCTCCCTACTTTCTCCTGAAATTGCTATCTGTATCCTCATTATTCTTAACAATATCTTCAGCCCAGTTCTTGTGCCAGAGCTTCACATTCATATAGCTCAATTCCTACTTAACATTGCCACCTACATGTCTCAAATTCAGCAAGCCCAAAATTGAGTATACCACGTTCTGCCCCAAATATATTTCCCCCACACCCCTCAGCTTCTTTAGCTTGGTAAATAATACTTGATGGAGGCAGAGGCCTGGAAATGCAACCCTTAACTACTGTTTTTCCCTGTACTTCAGTCCAGTTGATAGACAAGCCCTATTGAATCTTAAACATCCTAGTGTTTGTGTATTTTGCTTTATCCCTACTACCACTTCCCTTAAATACTGTTCACTGTCATCTTTCACTTAGACCTGCACTGTCCAGTACCATAGCCACTAGTGTCAGGTGACTGGTCCAAATTGAGATTTGGTGTGAGTGTAAGGTACACACTGGTATTTGTAGCCTTAGTATGAACAGATAATATATATGGTCATATTCCTAATTTTTTTCGATTATATGTTAAAATGATATTTTGAATATGTAAAGTTAAATGCATTATCAAAATTTCATCTTTTTTGCCATTTTATTATATGTGGCTACTAAAAAATTATAAGTAATCAGACTGGGCGTGGTGGCTTACACCTGTAATCCTAGCACTTTGAGAAGTCAAGGCAGGAGGCTTGCTTGAGGCCGGGAGTTTGAGACCTGCCTGGGTGACATAACAAGATCCCATCTCTTAGAAAAAGAAATAGCCAGGCACAGTGGCACATACCTGTAGTACCAGCTCCTTGGGAGGCTGAGGCGGGAGGATTGCTTGAGCCCAGAAGTTCTAGGTTACAATGAGCTATGATCATGCCACTGCACTCCAGCCTCCAGCCTGGGTGACAGAACAAGATTCTCTTAAAAAGAAAAGAAAAAGAAAATTATAAATAATCTGTGGTACTCATTTTTGTCTTACCTTACAGTGCTTTCGAACAGTGCTGACAGACTGTTGAGGTAGCTTCCTAATAGGTCTCTGCCTCCAGTGTTGCTACCAGTTCCAATCCCTTATTACCCATTCTGAACCACATTGTGATTTGAGTGATTCTTTAATCTGATCCCAGCACTATCCTACTTAAAACCTTTTCATTGTTTCTTTTTTCTTTATGTCATATGCCTCAAGAGCCTGCTCATCTTGTGGCTTCATCTCTACCCCATACACATTCATTCTCATTTCTCTAAATCAGTTCTGCTTTCTTGGAACATTCTTCCTTCTCTTTCTTACCTGGCTTCTTACCTTCTTATCCTCACCTTAGACTTTCTTTCAGGAATGCTTTGCTAATCATTCAAGATAGTGGTAAGTGAATTTCTCCTCCTGTATGTTCTTCTTGCACACTGTACCCTGTCTACCCTGTAATTTCACTTGGAATTACAGTAGCAGTTGCCTATTTTGTTACCTGTATTCTTCCTCTCATAAACTCTACAGTAAAGTCAGTAAAGATACATGCTTTGCTCACCACTCTGTACACAGGACCTGTCATAGTGCTTTGCAATATAAAAGGCTCTTAGGAAATATTCATTGAATGAGTGATCTTTATATTTCAGAGAAGAATATTTTAGGAATTATGGCATAGTAATAGAATATGTGAAATGAAATCGGATTAAAGATCTCTGAAGTTAGGTGTTCAGGGAACTGAGAGGCCAGATATACTGTTCTCATTCCTTTTTCTGTCTGTGCCTCATAAATAACAGGTGACTAGTTTTCTTATTACATCTTTGTTGACATGTAATTCATGTACCATACAGTGAACCCCTTTTAAAGGATACAATTCAGTGGTTTTTAGTATAGTCACAGAGTTGTGCAACAATTACAACAGTTTTAGAAGATTTTCAGGGTGATGAGTTTTTAAAAGCCTCCCATATAATTTTTATATGCTCATCTAAGGGGGCTTATTTTTTTCTTCTCACAAATTGTTCATCTGCTAAGAAGCCAAAAGTATGGAAATGTCATATGTGTTTTGTATATGTTGAATTACTCGTGACTTTGGAAAAATTTGGTGTAAAAGAGCCAGGAATAGATGAATACCACCAAGAGGCCAGTAGATAATAGGACAGGAGATTGACTATGGAAGGTATGGGTTATATGCCTCAAAGGAAAAGGAATTTAAATCTGAGGATAAGGGAGGAATGATGTCACAGCATTGTAAGCGCTACCCTCACCTCCTGACTTGGGGTGGATGAGGTAGGAGAGAATAAAACACCTGTATTTGAGGCCTGAGAGAAGCACTGTCTTTGGGAAGGGAGTAGAGCTACCGTTTCCATTATCTGAGAGTTAAGGAAATTGTTCAGGAATTTGAAATGTAGGGCAGATTTTGTTTGCTGAGGAACAGAAAGGAATGTTTAAATGGGAGTAAGATTACAGGATGGAATTAACTAGCTGGAAGGTTTTCATAGGAGTAGGTGCAAAGAATTAAGTAATAGGGTGACATGTGAGGGGAGAATTGGGTAGTTCTCTGTCCGTCTGGAGTCAGCCAAGGCTTTTATTGGTAGGATTTTAGGTGAATAGCAAAAAGAATTAGTTATATTAAAAAATAGATGGATAACATTTGTTGACTAGTTAGGGAAAAAATCATAAGAAAAAAGAAGGTCCAAATTTCCTGGGGGACTCCACCACCGAGTGACTTACTGGTGTCATTACTGTAGACAGGATACACAAGAGGAAGAAAAAGAAGCAGCTGATTGTTTTCATCATTCTCTTTTCAGCTGCTAACTAGAATAAACATTTAGATAACCAGACTAACTGTTCCACATTTTTTCCAAAAGCATCTTAGTGAAGGGGAATACTAGAGAGGGCAAAATAATATACAATGGAAAGGCTTATTTTATAACTGTATTAAATATATCACTGTGTTAATAAGTAACGGACTATGGATAAACTTAGTATATGAAATCTTTTAAAACGATATTTCAGTAGCTTGATTTACTTGCTTTATACTAAAAACTACATTTGTTGGATTTTAATATGGTTTCAAATCAATGCCTAAAGTGTTATCAAATCAATGCCTAAAGTGTTATTGTGTATAGTTAGATTTGTTTGTAACCTGCACATTGATACTTTATAGAAAAAGTGGTGTGTACTTATGCAGAGGAATTGCTGAATATATATTTGCTTTAGGGTTATTGAAAATTAAGCATTTATTTTCCTTCTCTAGTCCAAACCCCTGATACCTCTTCAAAAAGAAACTGATTCAGAGACCCAGAAAATGGTGCTTACCAACTACATGTTCCCTCAACAGCCAAGGACTGAGGATGGTAGGAATTTCATAATCGATTTTCTTGTTAAAAACAAATACTAATTTAAAAGGTGTGAAGTGAACTTTAAGTCTCAGAGACTTTTACCAGTTTGATGGGACTTCAGAGAATTGACCAAAACAGTTTGTTTCGAAATAATGGAAAAATAGGGCACGATTTCAGGGGTTGAATTTAGAAGTATAAGTGTAGCATATGCTTCCTTAAATGATTCCTTTAAATTAAACCGCAGTGTTAAAATTGATAACTTAAAAACATTTAGCTGTATGCTAGGAATACATGTTAAGTGTTATGTGATAAGAATTATTAAACCAAGAAATATTTTCTTCACCTGTGAACTTAATATTACACTTGGATCTACACACTGGATCAGGATAATCTGTTGAACTCTGACTATAAATACTACTCTTAAATTCTTTTCTTTATTTTGCCCGACAAGGGGGAGTATACCTTTTACTACTGGGCACAGATGTTTTTATAGATTATGGTATGACGACCTTTTAGACTAACGAGCAAATTGTTTTTAGTATATGTTGTACTCTCTGCGTGTGTGTGTGTGTGTGTGTTTATTGTGTTACACTTAAAGTAACTATTTTTTATGTATCTTCTTTCTGACACCAGTGAAAATCTCTGTGGTTTGAAATTATTTATAAATTAATTCTTAGTACATAGAAACACTGAAGAAAAAATGTAAATCAGTCATTTCAATCATAAGTCTTAATTTATAAATTATACCACGGGCAAGTTAAATAGGTTCTTGAACTTCAGTTTCCTTATCTTGAAATGATGATAATAGTTCTTTTGGAGCACAGCCACATTCATTCACTACAAAACACTCTGGAACCAAGCATTTCACATAAGGGATGCTTAACTTACGCTAGTATTCTGTCCTCTCATGTAAAAGAACAATTATCTAGTATATTGCATAGCTGATTATAACATTATTTAGAGGATGCTTACCCTTACTTCCTATTTTCCAGAAATCATCTTCAGAGACAAAGAAAAGTAGGAAATTGAGACATAAGTTTCAGTGAGTAAGACAAACAAAAAACTTAGCTATTGATGCATTCAAGTATTTGCTGTAATTCCCCACATGGCACTGCTTACAGCATAAGCAGGGTTTGCACTTCTATTTTTAACTTAATTTCTAATTCATGAAATTATTGTTCACATAAAACAGTAATCACTATTGACAGCTTAATATTAAGTATACTATATTTTGTTATGGAAACATACTTCCATATTTTATTGTATTGCTTAATTTGGAGATTATGGGTGAATTTAAATACATGGAAGAGAGGTTGTTTGTAAACCTATTCTCAAAGCTTTAACTATAGAACCTCCAGTGAATGAAGCTCTTTACATTAGTTATCTCACAAATCTTCTAATCGGATTAGAAAGCTGAATAGGTTTTGCTACATCTAAATACAAGTCATCAGATTTACCCATGAAATAATAACTTATCAAAGCAAGTCTTTTATTGCTTCTGGCAGAGAGCAAGAAATAGTTATCCTATAGAAGGTAAAGAGTTTTCTAATAGTTTAGCACTAGTTCTGGAATACAAGAGTATTTCAAAGCTAAACCTGCTATAACAATGCAAGAATAATAGCCAATTTGAGTCAGACACAATGCTAAGCACTTTACGTATCCGTAACTTCTCATCTTTACAATAATCCTCCAAAATAGATGCTATTATCATTAGTTGCTTCTCACAAAGCTTAAAATATTTATTTGACCCTTTATAGAAAAAGTTTACTCATCCCGCCTCTAAACTGTCCGAATCATAGGTATATTCTTGCCTTGATTTCTTCTCATGCTGGTTTCTACTTTAATAATTCAAATCTACCTTGCCTTCTTTTTCTATTCTATCATTGAAATTTATTCCTTTCCTGTTTAATTTGAAAAGAGATCACAATTCAGGTAAAACATTTATTTCTGATAGGAAGAATAGAAGTAGCAAAATCTTGCCACTACTAAATTTTGATTTTGAGATTTGTTTTAGAATGGAAGAGTTTCTAATAGAAAAGTTTGAAATACAGTATCAATTATGATATTCTGGGTCATCTTAGAGTTCATGTGTCACCTAAAGTATCCCATGGGTATTATAAACACAGCACTAAACAAGGTGAATGAATTTCCTTTCACCTATAAGAAAGGCTTTTGTCTTTATCCCAGTGCCTCCAAGAAATAGATGAGTCAAAAAATATTATGTGTTTGGGTTTGGGTTTTATACCAATTTGAGAGAATTAGGCACTGTTCACACTTAATTAATTCTATTTTTCATCCCACCTTTGTGACAGGTATCGTGCTAGAGCTAAGTAAAGGCAAAAATTCTTGCCTTCAAGATTCTGAAGGTGGGAAGATTAAAAAAAAAAAGAGGAAAAAAAGAAAGATTCTAAAGGTAGATAGTGATGAATAAATATGCAAGAGCAGGGGTGAGATCTTGGGCCTAGGTAGAGGAATCAGTCTTAATCAGAGAGAAAGGGAAGTATGCCTTCATATAACAATACATTTGTAGCTAAGAAAGCAGGATATTAGTGGAAATATGAGTCTGAGGGTTTTTATTGCATTTCTTTTTACATTGAAGTGAAAGTTGCCTCTGGAAGTTGGGGTAAGGGCATTTCAGGAAGTGGTAGTGATTAATGTATCATAAAATCTAAGCTTAATAGAGAAGGAAGTAAAACCTAGAGTGATTTTACAAGGAGCAAAAGAAAGGTAGTTAAGGAACCAAAAGTTTACCAGCAATAATAAGGAATTGAGTGATTTGGAAGAACAGGTGTAGTGGTCAAAGAGGTGGAAAAGTCCTGGGTATGACTATGGTTGTGAATCATTTAGCTGATGTGCATAGGGACATTGGGATTGAGGACATCAAGGAATTATAAAGTTGTAGTGTTGGGGTGGTGGGCTTATCATCCCACATTGACATCATTCAGGATATTAGCAGGTCTTAGGTGGAGAGAAAATCTGTAGCTAAAATATTAGAGTCCTCAGTAAGTCTATACCTGGGTGATCAGTTTGAGTAGCCTCTAGAATGGATAGAAAGGGATATTACCTGATATCCTGAATCTTCAAAGATGTGAGATTTATACTAAAGAGTAGAAAGTGTAAGTGACGAGAATTTGACAAGAATGAGAAGCATGGTATAAGTTAACTTACCTTGGGCTTCTGAATAAATTCTGGTGTAAAGTTGCTTTAGAAATAATCTAACACTAATTGGAATCTCTGGGCCAAGCTGGTGATTGAAATTACTGCCCTGGAACAAGGGAGAGGGAATTATATGAATTAAAAAATAGACTTTGTTGGAAACTGCTGGGCTGTCCTTGCCTTTCCAATCATACCACAAAAGTATGTCAGTAGGAATTTGAATCACATTCCACATTTGTTTTGAACAAAAACAAATACACTACTTCATTGAGTACGTGTTAAGCAATTTAAAAAAGCAATTATAAGGGAAAAAAAATCTTGAATGGAGTAATGAAAACAAAGAAAAGGCTAAATCAAAGAATTTCATTCCCATTGGTAAGATTTGGTTTCATGACATCCTTAATTTGGGTATGAGATTTTAAAAGGTTAAGCAAGCCCCAAATAAGGGCTTAATAAAAATGATAATTAGAAGTTTTTGTATTATGTTATTTTTGCAGAAATATTCGAATTGACCATATTTGGGTATTCCAGGAGTTTCTGGGGTTCTTTAAAGCTCATTTTGGGTACTTGTAATCTCTCTGTTTTGAGTAAAGGATAGTCATTTTCTTTTAAATTTGTGATTTTATTTTGTATTGCACAACTATGGAATGATATAAATAGTTGAATGAATTAATTTTTAAGCCTTATGTATTTTTTAGATGCCTAATAATAACAAAAAACTGACAGTTGTTTAATCTTTGCTTTTGATATTACAGGTTGAGTATCTCTTATCCAAAATGCTTGAGACCAGAAGTGTTTCAGGTTTTGATTTTTTTTTGACTTCGGAATATTTGCAGAATTCATATCAGTTGAGCCTCCCTAACCCAAAATTCAAACTATGCCAAAATCCAAACCTTTTGGAGTGCTGACACAATGCTCAAAGGAAATGCTCATTAGAATTTTTTGCATTTTGGATTTTTTGGATTAGGGATGTTCACCCTATATATCTGATAGAATATATAAGTGTTGGGTTTACCTTAAAATTTCCATTATTTTTACATTTTGATATAGAAAATATATTGTAAGAACTTAGTATATAATCCATATTATGTATAATGTTTAATACAGTGATGAAATTGCATTTCTACCATAGCACCTTTTAGAGCACTGCCCAAAACCATATATCTATGGTATTTTAATTGGTAGATTCTCTTCAGGAACCCTTCTGGTAAGAAAACAAGACGAATCAGCTTCAGGGAAGAAAGGATATGTGATTGACATTGTAAAGAAATCTTACATGGACATTATAAAGAATCGGCCAACGCATTAGGATTTCTAATTTCTTGCATTGACCATTCTTAACTATTTTAGACTTATTGTAGTGAACATAACTCATACAGAAATTATGAGCAAGTGATAGTTTTCCATAATTACAGTAAAATATAGTAGGTTTTTGTTTTTTACTTTTCTCTAGTTATGTTTATATCAGATAATGAAAGTTTTAACCCTTCATTGTGGGAGGAACAGAGGAAACAGCGGGCTCAAGTTGCATTTGAATGTGATGAAGACAAAGATGAAAGGGAGGCACCTCCCAGGGTGAGTCTGTTCTTTATTCTTTAAAATTTGAAACAAGTCTGCTGATATTTAAGTTGGTATTATATATACTATGATGTCTGGGGATATAACAAAGTATTGAATTTATTCCTTGTCCTCAAGGCACTTGAAGTGTTATTGATTCCAAATATTTCAGACATGAAAGAATTTGGGAACAATATAAAACTATGTGATTTAAAGCTAAATTTCATAGTATATATAAATATAAGAGGAAAACGTTATTATAGGCTAGAGAAATTAACCAGCACTTTATTTCAAATTAGTACCCTTTATGTTTAACTTCAGTTTAGCTGACTCTCCCCCCACCATATTCGTAATGATTATTTTCTCCCCTTTCCCTTTCTTTAATGATTTATTTTTATAAATCTTAGAGATAAAGAACTCTTTGTTATGAACATTTTGTTTCTTTATGGAATTGAAAACATGTCACAGTGATAGGAGTAGTAAATACATATTTTTTAGTTACTTAATGAATGTAATTATTTGCCCCTTATACAAACTTAGCTGAATCTCAGAAAATGACAGGCTGACCTTGGAAAAATATGGCTCTTGGTATGTGAGACATAAATATACGAATATCTGAATTTTATATATACGTAGATGAATAGCTGAAAAATGTGTATCTGTTTCAAAGCTAAGTGACACAATTTTTGGCAATATTCATACTATATATCTCTAAATGGAAATATTTGAGTCTGATAAAACTTTTAAAACATTGAAATTTACTGCAAAGTCTTATTTTGTCATAAAACCATATTTTTATCAAGCCTAAAATGCCTTCAAAGCCTATCATCTGTCTTCACAGTTATCCCTATGAGCTTGATATCTAATGTAATTCAGATGGGTTACAGATTAAATTTTGTTTGAGATTGACATTAGAAATATTTGTACTTCATATTTTACTTATTTTATTTCTCTAGGAGGGAAATTTAAAAAGATATCCAACACCATACCCAGATGAGCTTAAGAATATGGTCAAAACTGTTCAAACCATTGTACATAGATTAAAAGATGAAGAGACCAATGAAGACTCAGGAAGAGATTTGAAACCACATGAAGATCAACAAGATATAAATAAAGATGTGGGTGTGAAGGTTAGAAAATTCAAAAGGATTAACCAAAGCCTATTTCAAGTTCTTATTTTTAAATGACAGTTGATATAGTGCCCCTTTTCATGTACTCTGAATGTGCAGTCATGCACCACAGAATGATATTTCGGTCGACATGCTCACATACATATGATGGTGGTCCTATAAGAGTATAAGGGGCTGGGCGTGGTGGCTCACACCTCTAATCCCAGCACTTTGGGAGGCCAAGGCAAGCAGATCACTTGAGGTCAGGAGTTTGAGACCAGCCTGGCTAACATGGTGAAACCCCATCTCAACTAAAAGTACAAAAATTAGCTGGGCGTGGTGGTGGGCACCAGTAATCCCAGCTACTTGGGAGGCTGAGGCAGGAGAATCGCTTGAACCCAGGAGGCGGGGGTTGCAGTGAGCCGAGATCGTACCACTGTGCTCCAGCCTGGGTGACAGAGTGACACTCTGTCTCAAAAACAAAAAATAAGAGTATAAGGGAGATGGCTGGCCATGGTGGCTCACTCCTGTTATCCCAGCACTTTGGGAGGCCGAGGTGGGATGGTCACTTACACCGAGGATTTGAGAACAGCCTGATGAAGATGGTGAGACTGTTTATACAGAAAGTTTAAAAAAAAAAATTAGCTGGGCTTGGTGATGTGTGCCTGTTGACCTAGCTATTTGGGAGGCTTAAGCAGGAGAGTCACTGGAGGCCAGGAGTTCAAGACCAGCATGGGCAACATAGCAAGACAACCTGTCTCTACAAAAAATTTTAAAAATTATCTGGGCATGGTGGCATGCTCCTGTAGTCCTAGCTACTTGGGAGACTTGAGGTGAGAGGATCCCTTGAGCCTAGGAGTTCAAGGCTGCAGTGAGCTATGATCATGCCACAGCACTCCGGCATGGGTGACAGAGCGAGACCCTGTCTCAAAAAAAGAAAAAATGTGTAATGGAGCTGAAAAACTCCTATTGCCTAATGATGTCATAACACAACTTTCCTATAGTCAGATATGTTTGCATACACAAATACTTTCTATTGTGTTAGAATTGCCTATAGTGTTCAGTACAGTAACATGTTATACAGGTTTGTAGCCTTGGGGCCATAGGCTATATTACATATAGCCTATATGTAATATAGTATATGTATATGTATATGTATGTATATACATATAGTGTATGTATATGTAATATTACATATAGCCTATGTGTGTAGTAAGCTATACTGTCTAGGTTTGTGTAAGTACACTCTGTGATGTTCACAGAGGAAAAAAATCACCTAATAAATTTCTCTGAACATACCACTGTTGTTAAGTGCCACGTGACTGCACTTGCAAATTTAAGGTTTTGTTCTCAGCTACCTGAACTGGGAAACAAATAATCAGTGAAGTCCATAATTACTATCATTACCACTCTGGCTATAGAATGTCCAATTGACAGTGTATTGTCAGCATAGCCTTTAAAAAAATCATTGTCTGAACAAAGAAGATAATGAATGCCAGAAAAATTATTATTATGGAAATTTTTCCCCCTGTTAATATTGGTCCATTTTACCTAATTCTCATTTTAAATGTAATTGCAATGACAGACAGTTGGCATTTCCTTGCGATGTTTCAGAAACTTTCACAAATCCCTAAATCGTCTGTATATTCCTTTAGGACTTTGCCACACACACATTATTGTATCACAGAAACAAAAGTTTTACCATGTCATTAGAGTTACTGTACAGTCCACAATGAGCAGAAAACAATTTTAACCATCCGGAGTTGAGTTTGCTGAGCTAAGTGACTCAGTTGTCCACACTTACAAGCCTTGGCAGCTTCTAAGAGGAAAGTAACCTTGGCTAACTTTTAAATTTTAATGTGGCTCATGGATCTTTGGGGGCCACGTGCTCCTAAAATGAGCATTTTATCTGTGAGTGTCACAGGTTTCTATGTTTAAAGTTTTCATGTTTGAGATTAGTCCAGAATTGGAAGTTGGCAAATTGCTTACAAATTTTTATCTGAACTTTTAAAATAGATATAAAACTTAAAGAATATGAGCTCTTTATCTTTTCTTTTACTTAGACCTCAGAAAGTACTACTACAGTAAAAAGCAAAGTTGATGAAAGAGAAAAATATATGATAGGAAACTCTGTACAGAAGATCAGTGAACCTGAAGCTGAGATTAGTCCTGGGAGTTTACCAGTGACTGCAAATATGAAAGCCTCTGAGAACTTGAAGCATATTGTTAACCATGATGATGTTTTTGAGGTATGATTTTATGATTATTCTGGAGCAACTATAAGAACTTTCAATTTAATATTTTATTGTTGCTAAATAAAGACCTGATACTGATTGTAGAAAATATGTTAATGCATTCATCATTGAGAAATTTCATATCTGCAAAAATATCACTCACTTGTCACTTTAAACTTACAAATTATTATGCCCTTTGTATTCAGATGTTTATGCGAATTAGATTATAGATAGTCTAGGCTACTGTAAAATACATAATTGCTTTTATTTCTGTAACTTAAAAATGAAAAGACTACTATAGGCATACCCAATTATTTAACTTATTTATGCATTTATCCTTGAAAGTGAAAGATTTTTTGGTTGAATGTCTGAGACAGTTTTTAGATGTGGAGTTTCTTCTAGTGGATAAATAAAAGCTGGAACTTTTTTTAAAAAACAGCTTTATTGAGATATAACTCACATATCATACAAATCACTTATTTAAAGTATTCAATTCAGTGGCCTTTAGTATATTTACCAAATTGTGCAGCCATTACTACAGTGACTTTTAGAACATGTTTCTCACCCCAGAAAGAAATTCCATACTCTTTACCTGTTACTCCTCACTCTTTATCCCCTTTGGCCCTAGGCAACCAAAAATCTACTTTATATGCCTCTGTAAATTTGCCTATTCTTGACATTTCATTTAAGTGGAATCATACAATATGTGGTCTTTTGTGCCTGGTCTGTTTCACCTAGCATAATGTGTTCAAGTTTTTGTATGTTATAGCATATATCAACACAGCATCCATTTTTATGACCGAATAATACTACATTGTGTATATCCACCCTTTGTTCATCCATTCTTCAATTAATGGACATTTTAATTATTTCCACTTTTTGGCTGTAATGAATAAGTCTGCAGTGAATTTTTGTGTACAGGTTTTTGTGTGGATATATATTTTCATGAATGAAAAATGATTGCACCATTTTATATTCCCTTCATACACTGCTAGTGGTAATGTAAAATGGTGAAGCTGTAACTTTTTAATATGAATATCTGAAGTGTTTCTGATTTATAGCTGCATTGTTCACTGCAGTACATACTAGCTACAAGTGGCTATTTAAGTTAATACATCTTCATCCCTAAAATTTCAAAATGCATTCAAGCACACCATCTCTTTTCCTGGTTATCCTGTGAGCTGTCATTTACAACAGGAATAATTTTTTAAAAAAAGGATGGTTAATATCACTCAATACGCTATGGTATGCACTGAAGCTAATGTCACAGGCTGTGAAAAAATTATTAGGTTTGTTACAGTGAACTTATGACTCATTTAGTGTAATTTCTATGTGTAAGGCACTGTGTTTAGAGCTAAGGTGGCAGAATGGATAAGTGGATATAGGGATTTAAATGAATGCAAATATATATAATTAAGGATAGACTGTGCTAAGTGTGTTAGAAATGTACTAAGTGTTAAAGAAATTTAGGAGGAAGATTTATGGCTGCCTTGAGAAGGGGGCATTTCACCTGTGTTTTGGAAAATTTTAATTCGCAGATACAGGAGAATGGAATGAAATGGGGAAGGAATGATGAGAGTGAAAGAATGGCATTTGGAACATATGGAAAATAACATTTTATGTTACTGAATAACATAAAATGTTATGTTATTAACATTTTATGTTACTGAATAAGTCAGAGACAATATTATGAAATAAGATCAGTAGAGTAGACAGGGCCCTGATTACGAGGCTCTGAAAAGCCAAGCTAAGAAGTTTGAACTTAATGTTCTGTAGTGTTGAGGAGCCACTAAAGGCTTTTAATAGAGTGTTACTCTAATTCATAGAGCTATATATGGTTGAAAGTTACTATAGTTGTAAGAATATTATAGGAGATGCAGCACGTGAACATCTCAGTATAAAAAAGGGAATAGAGGAGCAGTATCCTAATGTTTGATTAGGATAATGGTGCCATGAAAAGGATAGAGGTACAAATTGTACAAACAGTCTTGGAAGGACTGGTTGTTATTTTATTGCCGTATCTTGAAAAGGTTTAATATGTGTTTATAATATTTGTTTTCCCTTTAAAGTCTTATGACTTAATATTTATTTATTTAAAGAAACAAAAATTTAATTTTTATCCCCCTCACCCCCTTTTCACTAGGAATCTGAAGAACTTTCTTCTGATGAAGAGATGAAAATGGCGGAGATGCGACCACCATTAATTGAAACCTCTATTAACCAGCCAAAAGTCGTAGCACTTAGTAATAACAAAAAAGGTTAGATGTTAAAGGAAAGTGCTAAGAATAGAAATTGCCTCAATAAATTTATAAATTTTTTTGAAATAAATTTCATTGAATATTATGTTATTTGATACATTTTAGAAACAAATTTTTAGACATGGCTTTCTGAAAGGTTCTCTTTCCTTCTCTCTCATTTTTAGGGAAAGTCCTTGATAGTCTTTTCTTTCTCCTCATGCAAATTTACTTATAAAGGCATGGACTTTACCGACAGATAAACTTGGATTGTTCATTTCTGCCACTTATCTGCTGTGTAATCCTTGAGTTAATTTTATCCATGTGTACATATCTGATTTGACATACAATGAGGCTAATGAAGGATTTTTGCATCAAATAGGCTAGATAATGTATCTTTTAGCACAGTACCTTATGTATAGTAGGTGCTCGTTATTTTATTGATTGTATCACAAAACATTTTTTTACACTCCGTCCAACCTCTGCCAGCCATTCTTTCATATAAGACAATCTTAGACTCTTAGAGATCTTGAAGGATATGTATCCTTTCCCTCACCCCTCCCCTCTAGCACCTGAGTATCTTTACATCATCTTCCTCAAATGTTTAGCCGTTTGTCTTTATGGCATCAATGATACTTATTATCAAGGTGGCCCTTGGATAGCTTGGGTTCATTTTGTAGTAGTGATACCTAGAATTTGTTGAGCACTAATTGCTTAGGTACTATACTAAATATTTTACGTGTTATTATCTAATTGTCACAATAACCCCCATGATGAGGTGGAAGTGGAGTGTATCTAAGAAAGAACTTAACAACCATCTATTTTAATGGTTAAGTTAAGAGCTCAAAACCTAAATACACTGAGATCAAAGTTAGAGTCCATTTGCTACTGTTAACTGTAAATACAATCCGGACTACTTGAGCTGTGCTCCTAAGATCTCAGAACATCAAAGATATCCTTAATTCATATAATCATCTATGGATATGTCTATATACACTATTTCTGTGATTTGGCTAGAATTCAGTTAGTTAAAAAAAAATTTGTAGCACTACTTTAAAAAAATACTACTTGTTATACTACCTATTATAGAATATGAACACTTGTCTGTTTCTGTTCATGTAATTGCTACACACACAACCACCTTACATACTGAGAGTTTACCATTCATAAACAAGTTTATGAAATGTTTTAAAAACATTAAGAAAGAGCTGACCTTTGAAAATTCCTTGATTTGTTTGGTGATTATATGTTTGTGGATTGAATTGCTTATTTTTATTAGAGTAGATGGGAAAAAATTCCATATATGTATGAAATAATTTCTTGCCCAGTTGAGTTCAGAAAGGTTGTAAATGAATTTTCATTATCAGTTTTTCAAATTGTAAATGGGTGAAAAGTATATTCATTGAAATTAACTGACCTTAGAAAACAGTACATAATAATATCACCTTGTCAGTAACTAAATCGAATTCTTTTTTTTTTTTTTTTTTTTTTTTTTTTTTTTTTTTGAGACGGAGTCTCGCTCTGTCGCCCAGGCTGGAGTGCAGTGGCGGGATCTCGGCTCACTGCAAGCTCCGCCTCCCGGGTTCACGCCATTCTCCTGCCTCAGCCTCCCAAGTAGCTGGGACTACAGGCGCCCGCCACTACGCCCGGCTAATTTTTTTGTATTTTTAGTAGAGACGGGGTTTCACCGTTTTAGCCGGGATGGCCTCGATCTCCTGACCTCGTGATCCGCCCGCCTCGGCCTCCCAAAGTGCTGGGATTACAGGCGTGAGCCACCGCGCCCGGCCTAAATCGAATTCTTAATAACCCCAGCATTGGTTACTTTTTGAAAAATTATATCACCATCTAAAAATTATTTAATCTTTGTATTAGGACTGAATTTTCAGGGGTGCTTCCAATTATCAATATAATTTATTACCTCATATATAGAACCAGGATGGTATAATTGCCATTTGTCATCACTGAAAAGAATTTCACACAATTCTTGGGGAATTTATCATTAATCTTAAATTTGTTTTGTTTCAGATGATACAAAGGAAACAGATTCTTTATCAGATGAAGTTACACACAATAGCAATCAGAATAACAGCAATTGTTCTTCTCCATCTCGGATGTCTGATTCAGTTTCTCTTAATACTGATAGTAGTCAAGACACCTCACTCTGCTCTCCAGTGAAACAAACTCATATTGATATTAATTCCAAAATCAGGTGTGTGAACCTCTTTTACAGTTTTTTATTTATACAATAAATAGAAGTAGTAAGGCAGATAACAAATACATAAATATATAGGGTTTAATAAATATTATAGAAGTGGTTCCAGTAATATGTTTTATTTCCCCATTTTTATTGCTGATTTTCCATTTAGTTTTTATACATTTCCATCTTAAATTAGATTTTTAAATGGGGAAGAATAGACTAGATTCTCAATCTCTGGTTAAAAAGTTGAATATTTATATATTTTTAGATATGGCAACATAAACAGCATATTTGAGGTAATTTAAGTTGAAAGGAGTATTTTTATAGTTAGAAATGCAGAATCATTTTGAGGGGCTGCCATTAAAGGGTTCATTCAGATACTCTTGACTGGTGGTGTATATTTGGCTTAGGCTTAATTTTGTAGGACACACTCACTGAGAGAGAGATAAATGTTAATTTGTATAGCCTGGAATTTAGCTGAAGTCTAAAACACATTTTATTATTTAGGCTCTTGAGAAATTGGTTGTCTATAATGTTGGCAGTGGGTTTGAAAAGAAAAAAAAAGAAGAAATTTGGTTATCAGAGTAAGGCCCTGCCATTCTACCATAGTGTTACTCTATCAGCTAAACTCTGTTAGAAAGATGGGGATTGGCTGGGCTGAGCATGGTGGCTTAAACGTGTAATCCCAGCACTTCAGGAGGCTGCGGCAGGTGGATGGCTTGAGCCCAGGAGTTCGAGACCAGCCTTGGCAACATGGTGAAACCCCATCTCTACCAAAAAAAGTACAAAAGTTGGCCATGTGTGGTGGCATGTGCCTGTAGTCCCAGCTACCTGGGAGGCTGAGGTGGGAGGATTGCTTGAGCCCAGGAGGCGGAAGTTGCAGTGAGCTGTGATCACCCCACTGCATTCCAGCCTGGGTGACAGAGCTAGGCCTTGTCTCAAAAAAAAAAAAAAGAGACAGATTGGGGTTGGCTGGATGTGGTGGAATGCCTGTAATCCGAGCACTTTGGGAGGCTAAGATGATAGATTGCTTGAGTACAGGAGTTCAAGACCAGCTTGGGCAACATGGTGAAACCATGTCTCTACAAAAAAATTGGCCAGGTATGTTGGCACATGCCTGTAGTCCCAGCTACTCGAGAGGCCAAGGTGGGAGGTTAACTTGAGCTTGCGAGGTTTAGGCCTCAGTGAGTCATGATCAGGCTACTGCACTCCAGCATGGGTAACAGAATTGAGACCCGGTCTCAAAAAAAAAAAAAAAAAGATCGGGGTTACTACTAAACCAAAAGTTTAATGTGTGGATATTTTTAATAGTCATTTAGAGTTGTTCTTAAATTTCAGGCATATTTAAGTAAAATTTGTATATATTAATGCGTGTTGTTGGAAAAGGGAGGTGAATTTTATGCCTGAAAATGAGTTTAGGTACTGTGTAATTATAATCACAATCAATCATTTATTTCTATTCTTTGAATTTGAAGCTATGAGCTGCTGTTTAAAATACTAATTTTTATAACCTCCTAGATATTATCGTATTAATTTGTTGAATAATAAAATTTTATTTATTGTTGGGAAAGCGGTATGATATTTTCTAAATCCTGCTTTTAATATAATGAAATAAAGCCTAAGCAAGGAATACAGCAACACCTTTTTGTGCTGTATTTCTAGTAATGAAAGTTATCTTTTTTGTAATGGGAAGACCAGTATTAGGGAATTTTTGTGGAAACATAACTTGAATATGTATACAAGAGGACACAAATACTTAATATCACAGGTAGAAATAAAATATTTTGTATAATTTTGGAATGACACATTTAAAAGTATTTACCAAATACAGCTAGCTACTTAGAAGAGTGATTAGACTTCATTTATCTTTCTATGCCTTTTACATATTTGATGTTAAACTTTGGACAATTATTCAGTTCTTTGCTTTGTACAATTTTCTTACCTATATATTTGAATGTAATAACAACTGTGTACTTCGTTAACTATGGTTAATTTGGTTAATAATGTAAGGCTTCAAAATTAACTGTAAAAATGTCCTTTGCTCTTTACTCCACTATTCATGTTACTAGGTTTCTCTCCATATATCTGCCCTCCCTCAAGCATTTTGTTTTTTTAGCACATTCATGAAAAGATGCAGCAAACATTAAAATTTTATTCATAGTTCAGCCCTTTAAATTATTTTGTGACAAATCAGATTGAGTGTATTGATGAAAATTAATCTTGGTATTATCTATGAATTTTAATTGTATTACTTGTCTCCAACTGAATATAAAGCTCTTTTAACTATTAAGATAATATTTTAAAATTACATGCTTGATAATAAATGCCTTTTGTCTTTGACTTTTATTAACTTTTTTAACTTGTCTACCTACACAATTTATTTATTAATGTTCCCTGTTACTAAGAAAACTCGGCTTTATTATGTTTTTCATAAAATTATCTTTATTTTAGGCAAGAAGATGAAAATTTTAACAGCCTTTTACAAAATGGAGATATTTTAAACAGTTCAACAGAGGAAAAGTTCAAAGCTCATGATAAAAAAGATTTTAACTTACCTGAATATGATTTGAATGTTGAAGAGCGATTAGTTCTAATTGAGAAAAGTGTTGACTCAACAGCCACAGCTGATGACACTCACAAATTAGATCATATCAATATGAATCTTAATAAACTTATAACTAATGATACATTTCAACCAGAGATCATGGAAAGATCAAAAACACAGGATATTGTGCTTGGAACAAGCTTTTTAAGCATTAATTCTAAAGAGGAAACTGAGCACTTGGAAAATGGAAACAAGTATCCTAATTTGGAATCCGTAAATAAGGTAAATGGACATTCTGAGGAAACTTCCCAGTCTCCTAATAGGACTGAACCACATGACAGTGATTGTTCTGTTGACTTAGGTATTTCCAAAAGCACTGAAGATCTCTCCCCTCAGAAAAGTGGTCCAGTTGGATCTGTTGTGAAATCTCATAGCATAACTAATATGGAGATTGGAGGGCTAAAAATCTATGATATTCTTAGTGATAATGGACCTCAGCAGCCAAGTACAACCGTTAAAATCACATCTGCTGTTGATGGAAAAAATATAGTCAGGAGCAAGTCTGCCACACTGTTGTATGATCAACCATTGCAGGTATTTACTGGTTCTTCCTCATCTTCTGATTTAATATCAGGAACAAAGGCAATTTTCAAGTTTGATTCAAATCATAATCCCGAAGAGCCAAATATAATAAGAGGCCCCACAAGTGGCCCACAATCTGCACCTCAAATATATGGTCCTCCACAGTATAATATCCAATACAGTAGCAGTGCTGCAGTCAAAGACACTTTGTGGCACTCCAAACAAAATCCCCAAATAGACCATGCCAGTTTTCCTCCTCAGCTCCTTCCTAGATCAGAGAGCACAGAAAATCAAAGTTATGCTAAACATTCTGCCAATATGAATTTCTCTAATCATAACAATGTTCGAGCTAATACTGCATACCATTTACATCAGAGACTTGGCCCAGCAAGACATGGGGAAATGTGGGCCATCTCACCAAACGACCGACTTATTCCTGCAGTAACTCGAAGTACAATCCAGCGACAAAGTAGTGTGTCCTCCACAGCCTCTGTAAATCTTGGTGATCCAGGCTCTACAAGGCGGGCTCAGATTCCTGAAGGAGATTATTTATCATACAGAGAGTTCCACTCAGCGGGAAGAACTCCTCCAATGATGCCAGGATCACAGAGACCCCTTTCTGCACGAACATACAGCATAGATGGTCCAAATGCATCAAGACCTCAGAGTGCTCGACCCTCTATTAATGAAATACCAGAGAGAACTATGTCAGTTAGTGATTTCAATTATTCACGGACTAGTCCTTCAAAAAGACCAAATGCAAGGGTTGGTTCTGAGCATTCTTTATTAGATCCTCCAGGAAAAAGTAAAGTTCCTCGTGACTGGAGAGAACAAGTACTTCGACATATTGAAGCCAAAAAGTTAGAAAAGGTAATTGAACATGAGTTTTTCATTATTTTCTTTATGAACTTAATTATTTTCCTTAAAAATGATGAAACAAGATTCTCTGAATTACTGATTATCTCTTTATATTCTAGGTGTTTTTCTCTGGTACTGGGAATAGAGTTCCAAATTTAAACTCAGCCAGGACAATTGGGATGATAATGTGTGTTTCTATCCTCTCCTTCACTCCCCACTGTTTCTAACAAAAATGTATTAATTTTATATGTTTATGTGTCTGTCTCTTTGAGATTGTGCACACATACTAAAAATACACGTACCTCTGTTCAGCATTTTCTGAACTTTGCTATTAATAATTGTTGATTATCTAAATTTAAAAAATAGTTTACTATATAGTTAAGACAATAACAAAAAATGTATTGCAAATGTAAATATTTCATCTAATATTTTTTCCCCAGTCCACAGTATATGAACTAACATTGTCACTGACACAGATGGCTTCTGGCATGGCATTTATTCTTAACTTTTCTGAATTTCTACATTTCTGACCTACTTAAACTCAGTTAAGTGTTTCTGTGGCTCTAGTGTTGCTTAGCAATAGTTGATTAAATAACTAATGCTCGTGTTCAATTTATAATTTTATGTGTAGATGTTCATCTTTTGAAAGGAGTTAAAAATGTAGATACAGATATATATCCTTGTAAAACCAATATGAATGCCATAGTCATATGGCCCAAGTGTACAAGACATGATTTTTCTTTAAGATTTAACTTTATACTTACTCACTAGATTTTACCCAAGCATTATCTTTCTTTCTTTATTAAATATAAAATGTGTTCTTAAAAACAGGTGAACATACAACTTCAATTAGCCATTTTTAAAAATTCCTTAAATAAAATTTTCAGAAATGCCTAAAATATATTAGTACCTCATATCAGTTTACATGAAATCTCAGCCTATAATTGTTCTTTTTAGTGCAGTCCTCAACTTTAAATGAACTTTAAATAGGTAAATATCCACAAGCATTAGGCTACTTCATTCTCATCTATGCATTTTATTTCATCTAGTAACTCTGTACACACTGTTGAGGCTATTTGAACTTTTGTGCTTTTTCTAAGGCACTTGGAAATTTCTTAAGCAGAAGAGTAACATAGGTGTGTTTTATAAATAAATTTCTGGTGACGTTGTGGAACTAGATTTTAGAGGAAGAGGCTGTAGTCAAAGAGATTGAGTTATGATGCCGTTTAGTAATCTAGATAAGAAATGAAATGTGAACTTTTATCAGTGCAGTTAAGACAAATGAGTTCAAGAGAGAGCTCTGAAATAGACTTTTAACAAGAGTTTACTTCTGATTGAATATTCCTGTAATCAATCAGAAAGGAAAAGGGATAAAGCTTGAGATTGTGCCTTAAATAACTGGTTGTTGGGAATGTCTTTGGCTATTAGTGGACATAGAGGAGGAGTAGGAGATTTGGAAGAAGAGATGAGTTTGGTTTTTATGTTCTGTGTAGTTTTCATCTTATATGGCTGTTTTCCTACTCCTGTCTGACAGATATACCTGGATTTCAGTACATAAGAAGCAAGTAGTAACTATCTCATTGTTCAGTGTGCCAATCCGCTTTTTTTTTTAATTGCCTGAAATATTTACATATTTTGAAATTCACGGTACGGGTTCTTGAAGAGTATATGACAGTAGTTTCCTAGTTGTTTTCACTAGTAATTTAGAGGTGTGAATTAGTTGATTGAAACTAAAGAGAAGCCTTATGAGAAAAGAAACAGGGCAAACTGTGTCTGAACACAAATCTGCACCTGATAACTCCCATTTTCAAGGATATCATACTTTGAAGTTACGAGGGGTGCTTGTTCTCTCATCATTTGCTTGCCCAGACTCCTGCCTTCCAGACCACTAGTTGACTACACTGTAGTATCTTCTAGCTCATCAGTTGGGAAGCATTTCTAGCAAATACCAAAGTATATATCCTGCCGTTACCATAACTCTACTGCATTCCTTTTAGGATATTTTATTCTCCATGTCTTTCTTAAATGTATGCTGTGTTTGCCTGTTTCAGTTCTTAAAAAGTATTCACATGTGAGACTGCTTTTACCTAACATACGTGAAACTTTTATCTTAAATGGATTCATGTTTTATAAACCACATTTTTAAAAGAATTTAAATTTTTAAAGAATTACTTTCAAAAAAATTTTTTAAAAAGCATTTAGAGAGAATTTTAGTCTTAACAGTTCCGAATCCTAGCTGTGCTGCTCAGTTAGCTACTTGGACAAATAACTTTGACTTTCCTTACCTTGGTGGATTCATGTGTATGTTAGGTGCAATGAAAGGAACTACTAGGATTGTTTAAAAATTAGATGGGTTAATACATGCAAAGCACTTAGAAGGGTACCTGACACATATAACTAACTGCTAAATAAGTGTTTATTGCTATTATCTTCATCCTCATCATCACCATCTTTTAAATACAAAGAAATTATCAGCTGATTAAAGTTATTTTTTTAAAACAGCAGAATATTGTGCAATAGGTTATTTTATGATGGTAAAATAATTATTTTTCTTAAAAATTTATAGTTCATAATTTTAAAATATAAACAGATTTCATACATCAAAGATTAAGGCTTTTTTTATTATTATACTTTAAGTTTTAGGATACATGTGCACAACGTGCAGGTTTGTTTCATATGTATACATGTGCCATGTTGGTGTGCTGCACCCATTAACTCGTCATTTAGCATTAGGTATATCTCCTAATGCTATCCCTCCCCCCTCCCCCGACCCCACAACAGTCCCCAGTGTGTGATGTTCCCCTTCCTGTGTCCATCTGTTCTCATTGTTCAATTTCCACCTGTGAGTGAGAACATGCGGTGTTTGGTTTTTCGTCCTTGTGATAGTTTGCTGAGAATGATGGTTTCCAGCTTCATCCATGTCCCTACAAAGGACATGAACTTATCATTTTTTATGGCTGCATAGTATTCACATTTTCTTAATCCAGTCTATCATTGTTGGACATTTGCGTTGGTTCCAAGTCTTTGCTATTGTGAAGAGTGCCACAATAAACATACGTGTGCATGTGTCTTAATAGCAGCATGATTTATAATCCTTTAGGTATATACCCAGTAATGGGATTGCTGGGTCAAATGGTATTTCTAGTTCTAGATCCCTGAGGAATCGCCACACTGACTTCCACAATGGTTGAACTAGTTTACAGTCCCACCAACAGTGTAAAAGTGTTCCTATTTCTCCACATCCTCTCCAGCACCTGTTGTTTCCTGACTTTTTAATGATTGCCATTCTAACTGGTGTGAGATGGTATCTATCTCATTGTGGTTTTGATTTGTATTTCTCTGATGGCCAGTGATGATGAGCACTTTTTCATGTGTTTTTTGGCTGCATAAGTGTCTTCTTTTGAGAAGTGTCTGTTCATATGCTTTGCCTACTTTTTGATGGGGTTGTTTTTTTCTTGTAAATTTGTTTGAGTTCATTGTAGATTCTGGATATTAGCCCTTTGTCAGATGAGTAGGTTGCAAAAATTTTCTCCCGTTCTGTAGGTTGCCTGTTCACTCTGATGGTGGTTTCTTTTGCTGTGCAGAAGCTCTTTAGTTTAATTAGATCCCATTTGTCAATTTTGGCTTTTGTTGCCATTGCTTTTGGTGTTTTAGACATGAAGTCCTTGCCCATGCCTATGTCCTGAATGGTATTGCCTAGGTTTTCTTCTAGGGTTTTTATGGTTTTAGGTCTAACGTTTAAGTCTTTAATGCATCTTGAATTAATTTTAGTATAAGGTGTAAGGAAGGGATCCAGTTTCAGCTTTCTCCATATGGCTAGCCAGTTTTCCCAGCACCATTTATTAAATAGGGAATCCTTTCCCCATTTCTTGTTTTTGTCAGGTTTGTCAAAGATCAGATAGTTGTAGATATGCGGCATTATTTCTGAGGGCTCTGTTCTGTTCCATTGGTCTATATCCCTGTTTTGGTACCAGTACCGTGCCGTTTTGGTTACTGTAGCCTTGTAGTGTAGTTTGAAGTCAGGTAGCGTGATGCCTCCAGCTTTGTTTTTTTTGGCTTAGGATTGTCTTGGCAATGCAGGCTCTTTTTTGGTTCCATATGAACTTTAAAGTAGTTTTTTCCAATTCTGTGAAGAGAGTCATTGGTAGCTTGATGGGGATGGCATTGAATCTATAAATTACCTTGGGCAGTATGGCCATTTTCATGATATTGATTCTTCCTACCCATGAGTATGAGATGTTCTTCCATTTGTTTGTATCCTCTTTTATTTCATTGAGCAGTGGTTTGTAGTTCTCCTTGAAGAGGTCCTTCACATCCCTTGTAAGTTGGATTCCTAGGTGTTTTATTCTCTTTGAAGCAATTGTGAATGGGAGTTCACTCATGATTTGGCTCTCTGTTTGTCTGTTATTGGTGTATAAGGATGCTTGTGATTTTTACACATTGATTTTATATCCTGAGACTTTGCTGAAGTTGCTTATCAGCTTAAGGAGATTTTGGGCTGAGATGATAGGGTTTTCTAGATATACAATCATGTCATGTGCAAACAGGGACAATTTGACTTCCTCTTTTCCTAATTGAATACCCTTTATTTCCTTCTCCTGCCTGATTACCCTGGCCAGAATTTCCAACACTATGTTGAATAGGAGTGGTGAGAGAGGGCATCCCTGTCTTGTGCCAGTTTTCAAAGGGAATGCTTCCAGTTTTTGTCCATTCAGTATGATATTGGCTGTGGGTTTGTCATAGACAGCTCTTACTATTTTGAGATACGTCCCATCAGTACCTAATTTATTGAGAGTTTTTACCATGAAGGGTTGTTGAATTTTGTCAAAGGCTTTTTCTGCACCTATTGAGATAATGATGTGGTTTTTGTCTTTGGTTCTGTTTATATGCTGGATTACGTTTATTGATTTTCATATGTTGAACCAGCCTTGCATCCCAGGGATGAAGCCCACTTGATCATGGTGGATAAGCTTTTTGATGTGTTGCTGGATTCAGTTTGCCAGTATTTTATTGAGGATTTTTGCATCAATGTTCATCAAGGATATTGGTCTAAAATTCTCTTTTTTGGTTGTGTCTCTGCCTGGCTTTCGTATCAGGATGATGCTGGCCTCATAAAATGAGTTAGGGAGGATTCCCTCTTTTTCTGTTGACTGGAATAGTTTCAGAAGGAATGGTACCAGCTCCTCCTTGTAACTCTGGTAGAATTCAGCTGTGAATCCATGTGGTCCTGGACTTTTTTTGGTTGGTAAGCTATTAATTATTGCCTCAATTTCAGAGCCTGTTATTGGTCTATTCAGAGATTCAACTTCTTCCTGGTTTAGTCTTGGGAGAGTGTTATGTGTCAAGGAATTTATCCATTTCTTCTAGATTTTCTAGTTTATTTGCGTAGAGGTGTTTTTAGTTTTCTCTGATGGTAGTTTGTATTTCTGTGGGATTGGTGGTGATATGCCCTTTGTCATTTTTTATTGCGTCTGTTTGATTCTTCTCTCTTTTCTTCTTTATTAGTCTTGCTAGCAGTCTATCAATTCTGTTGATCCTTTCAAAAAACCAGCTCCTGGATTCATTAATTTTTTGAAGGGTTTTTTGTGTCTCTATCTCCTTCAGTTCTGCTCTGATCTTAGTTATTTCTTGTCTTCTGCTAGTTTTTGAATGTGTTTGCTCTTGCTTCTCTAGTGCTTTTAATTGTGATGTTAGGGTGTCAATTTTAGATCTTTCCTGCTTTCTCTTGTGGGCATTTAGTGCTATAAATTTCCTTCTACACACTGCTTTGAATGTGTCCCAGAGATTCTGGTATGTTGTGTCTTTATTCTCATTGGTTTCAAAGAACATCTTTTTTTTCTACCTTCATTTCGTTAGGTACCCAGTAGTCATTCAGGAGCAGGTTGTGCAGTTTCGATGTAGTTGAGCGGTTTTGAGTGAGTTTCTTAATCCTGAGTTCTAGTTTGATTGCACTGTGGTCTGAGAGACAGTTTGTTATAATTTCTGTTCTTTTATATTTGCTGAGGAGTGCTTGCTTTACTTCCAACTGTGTGGTCAATTTTGGAATAGGTGTGGTGTGGTGCTGAAAAGAATGTATATTCTGTTGATTTGGGGTGGAGAGTTCTGTAGATGTCTGTTAGGTCTGCTTGGTGCAGAGCTGAGTTGAGTTCCTGGATATCCTTGTTAACTTTCTGTCTTGTTGATCTGTCTAATGTTGACAGTGGGGTGTTAAAGTCTCCCATTATTATTGTGTGGGAGCCTAAGTCTCTTTGTAGGTCCCTAAGGACTTGCTTTATGAATCTGGGTGCTCCTGTATTGGGTGCATATATATTTAGGATAGTTAGTTCTTGTTGAATTGATCCCTTTACCATTATGTAATGGCCTTCTTTGACTCTTTTGATCTTTGTTGGTTTAAAGTCTGTTTTATCGGAGACTAGGATTGCAACCCCTGCCTTTTTTTTGTTTTCCATTTGCTTGGTAGATCTTCCTCCATCCGTTTGTTTTGAGCCTATGTGTGTCCTTGCATGTGAGATGGGTTTCCTGAATACAGCACACTGATGGGTCTTGCCTCTTTATCCAATTTGCCAGTCTGTGCCTTTTAATTGGAGCATTTAGCCCATTTACATTTAAGGTTAGTAGTGTTATGTGTGAATTTGATCCTGTCATTATGATGTTAGCTGGTTATTTTGCTCATTAGTTGATGCAGTTTCTTCCTAGCCTTGATGGTCTTTACAATTTGGCATGTTTTTGCAGTGGCTGGTACCGGTTGTTCCTTTCCATGTTTAGTGCTTCCTTCAGGAGCTCTTTTAGGGCAGGCCTGGTGGTGACAAAATCTCTCAGCATTTGCTTGTCTGTAAGGTATTTTATTTCTCCTTCACTTATGAAGCTTAGTTTGGCTGGATATGAAATTCTGGGTTGAAAATTCTTTTCTTTAAGAATGTTGGATATTGGCCCCCACTCTCTTCTGGCTTGTAGAGTTTCTGCCAAGAGATCAGCTGTTAGTCTGATGGGCTTCCCTTTTTGGGTAACCCAACCTTTCTCTCTGGCTGCCCTTAACATTTTTTCCTTCATTTCAACTTTGGTGAATCTGACAATTATGTGTCTTGGAGTTGCTCTTCTCGAGGAGTATCTTTGTGGCGTTCTCTGTATTTCCTGAATTTGAATGTTGGCTTGCCTTGCTAGATTTGGTTAGTTCTCCTGGATAATATCCTGCAGTGTTTTCCAACTTGGTTCCATTCTCCCCGTCACTTTCAGGTACACCAGTGAGACGTAGATTTGGTCTTTTCACATAGTCCCATATTTCTTGGAGGCTTTGTTCGTTTCTTTTTATTCTTTTTTCTCTAAACTTCTCTTCACGCTTCATTTCATTCATTTCGTCTTCCATCGCTGATACCCTTTCTTCCAGTTGATCGCATCAGTTACTGAGGCTTGTGCATTCGTCACATAGTTCTCGTGCTGTGGTTTTCAGCTCCATCGGGTCCTTTAAGGACTTCTCTGCATTGGTTATTCTAGTTATCCATTAGTCTAATTTTTTTTCAAAGTTTTTAACTTCTTTGCCATTGGTTTGAACTTCCTCCTTTAGCTCGGAGTAGTTTGATCTTCTGAAGCCTTCCTCTCTCAACTCATCAAAGTCATTCTCCGTCCAGCTTTGTTCCGTTGCTGGTGAGGAGCTGCGTTCCTCTGGAGGAGGAGAGGTGTTCTGATTTGTAGTTTCTGGTTTTTCTGCTCTGTTTTTTCCCCATCTTTGTGGTTTTATCTACCTTTGGTCTTTGATGATGGTGATGTACAGATGGGTTTTTGGTGTGGATGTCCTTTCTGTTTGTTAGTTTTCCTTCTAATAGTCACAACCCTCAGCTGCAGGTCTGTTGGAGTTGACTGGAGGTCCACTCCAGACCCTGTTTGCCTGGGTATCAGCAGCACTGGCTGCAGAACAGCGGATATTGGTGAACCGCAAATGCTGCTGCCTGATCATTCCTCTGGAAGTTTTGTCTCAGAGGAGTACCTGGCCGTGTGAGGTGTCAGTCTGCCCCTACTGGGGGGTGCCTCCCAGTTAGGCTACTTGAGGGTCAGGGACCCACTTGAGGAGGCAGTCTGCCTGTTCTCAGATCTCAAGCTGCGTGCTGGGAGAACCACTACTCTCTTCAAAACTGTCAGACAGGGACATTTAAGTCTGCAGAGGTTATTGCTGTCTTTTGTTTGTCTGTGCCCTGCCCCCAGAGGTGGAGCCTACCGAGGCACGCAGGCCTCCTTGAGCTGTGGTGGGCTTCACCCAGTTCGAGCTTCCCAGCTGCTTTGGTTACCTACTCAAGCCTGGGCAATGGCGGGTGCCCCTCCCCCAGCCTCGCTGTGGCCTTGCAGTTTGATCTCAGACTGCTGTGCTAGCAATGAGCGAGGCTCCATGGGCGTAGGACCCTCCGAGCCAGTTGCGGGATATAATCTCCTGGTGTGCGGTTTGTTAAGCCCGTTGGAAAAGCGCAGTATTAGGGCAGGAGTGACCCGATTTTCCAGGTGCCATCTGTCACCCCTTCCTTTGACTAGGAAAGGGAATTCCTTGACCCCTTGTGTTTTCCAGGTGAGGCGATGCCTCACCCTGCTTCGGCTCAGGCATGGTGTGCTGCACCCACTGTTCTGCACCCACTGTCCGGCACTCCCCAGTGAGATGAACCCGGTACCTCAGTTGGAAGTGCAGAAAACACCCGTCTTCTGCGTCGCTCACGCTGGGAGCTGTAGACTGGACCTGTTCCTATTCGGCCATCTTGGCTCCTCCCAATTTCTCGATTAAGACATTTTTAAAAAGTGAAGATAGTCTCTGTATGTTTAGCTTGTAAAAATTTGTTTTAAATACCTATTTATCAAGGATGATGATCTTGAATAATTTTCTGTTAAATATACTTATCTGTCAGAAACAATACCAATAAAATGTCAATAGAGACATTCGTATTTATATACACACTTATATACGTACACACATAAAACTAACAAAAATAGAAATTTCAATGGAAATTTGGTATTTTCTTCATGATTTCATTATTAATCATCTCTTCTTCAGAAAATATAGTTCAGAAGATTATTTCATAGTTTAGGTAATAACTGGTTCAAAAGATGAAATGTTAATGTACTGCTAGTAATTATCTGTCGGTGAGATTTGGGGACTTTTTGATACATTTCTAAAATGTTTTCATTTTGAAAGATAAAATGGTAATGATAAATGCAATAGTAATCACAGAAGATGGGATTATTCAACAAACAGTGCTTTTTGAAAAACTTACAATTTTGATAAATAGGATTAAGATTAATAGATTAAGGTAAAAGTTATATATCAAGAAGGAATTCTGAAAGCAGAGACAAGGAGTTCAACCTGGTTGAATTAAAGATGTATTTTGAGAACATTTGATAATAAAGTATGAATATTAGAAAGTCATAATATATAAAGTTTATTTGGTATTTACAAAGTGCCAGAAACTACTATCACTGTACAGTTACCTTGCTATACAAATATTTCTCAATTTTCACATGAGTCCTGTGTGATATTTTTATTATCTCATTTTACCATAAGGAAATTTAGGCACAGAAGAGTTAAGTAATTTTCCCAGGATGATATGTGTTACGTAGTGTAGAGGAATGACTTTAAAAGCCTATCAGAAGAATTTCAAGTTGACACAATAAACAAAAGAGAGCCACTATTATTTCCTGAGCATATAGAGTATTTTAGGATATCTTAGGCAAAAGTGTTCAGGATGAATTGATAAGAAGTAGCTTAGGAAACAGTTTCAATAATAAAACAGCCAAATGAGAGATACTTGAGCTGGGGTTTTGGCTCTCGTGGTGATGAGTCTGAAAAACACTTGGGTTAAAATTGTTTAGTTTTAGGGATGGAATGAGAAAAAAGATTGAAGAGGTAGCCAAGGTTTCTGATTTGAGATATTTGGTCATTAACCTTATTTAATTAATTAATTTTTTAAATAGAGACAGGGTCTCACTATGTTGCCCAGGCTGGTCTCAAACTCCTGGCCTCAAGCAATCCTCTTGCTTCAGCCTCTCAAAGTGCTGTGATTACAGATGTGAGCCACCATGCCCTGCCAAATCAATATTTTTTTAAAGTTCTGGTAGTTAAGGAAATGAAGTCTTTAAAGCATTGTGGTATAGTATAAAAGTTTGGCAAAAAATAGCTTAGTTGGTTTTGAATATATTGAATTTGATGTGATGACTGTGTGCAAGTAACATGGAACACAATACGATACTAGGTTTAGTGATGCAAATTTGAGATACAAACCATGTGAATGAGTGAATTTTCCTAGGCAGTAATTATGTGGGATAAGAAAAAAGTGTGTTTTTAAGAGACTGAAAAGATACATTGTTTTAAGTAATGTTAAATTGCTAAGATTGCTAGACATACTTATTATTTCAAAGAGCAGCCCATTCCAATTCAGTGATATGTACACCCTTAAGATTTCTTCACCATCTTTCATCTTTTCCCCTCTTACCCACCATTAACTGCTAGAAATTTATTATTTTAAGGCAGGATGGTTTGAATAACCAAACATTTGTACCTAGATTTTACCTTTGTTCTTCCTTTAACCTAGGTAAGTGGTTTTCAAACTTTACTATATGGGGTCTATAAATAAAACTGTACATTCCGAGTGATTTCAGAGATTTTCAGATTAATTTTGACCTGTGTGTGTGTGTGTGTGTGTGTGTGTGTGTGTGTGTGTGTGTGTGTGTGTGTGTGTGTGTGTGTGTGTTTTGCTTTGTATGTGAACCAGCATCCATTTATTTGTTATCCCATTTTCCAGTAAGGAAATTCAGGCGCAGAATAATTAAGTAATTTTCCCAGGATGATATATATGTTATGTGAAGGAGGGGGAACAACTTTAAAAGCTGGTCTGAAGAATTTCAAGTTGACACAATAAATAAGGTGAAGCCACTGTTACTTCCTGAGCAGATATAGTACTTTAGGTTATATAATGTTAGATGTGGTTCTTTTGAGTTGTCTGAGAGTTTAATGTGATTCTACCACCAGCCTCCTAAAAATAATTTTATTCAGTAAAAATAATCCTTAATATTGAAGCATAATTTGAGTAATTTGCCAGTGAAAATTAACTCTTTATTTCTGCAAGTCTCTCGTGGGGATGCTTTCTTTTCCTATGTTCAAAACATTCTAAAATCATGTAATTCTGAAAATTGTCCCTGTTTTATTTATATAACAACTTTGTGCTACTTTGATGCTTATTCATTAGATGGTGTAATCAGAATGTATGGGCGTTAGAAGCAGATTGAAAGTGCTACATAAATATATTACTAATTAACTACTTTAATAGCAGCAGGATTTAGACTCCAAACTTCATTGATTCAAAGTGGTAGAAGATGATGGAGGATCTCTATTCACTCCCCTACACCCACCATCTTAATTCTAATGGCAAAGTAGACATTTAAAAATTTTACCCTGGGGGCTTTCACAGTGCCTGCCCTACCTCATGAGGTCAGTTCCCAAATTAAAATTTGCTACTTTACTCAGCTGAGAGTTAGTAGTAATAATCTATTGAAGCTTAAGTAGTTTTTAAACCTTTTAATAGTCACCCCTCTTAACCTCCCACTGCCAAAAATAAAAAAAAAAAAACAAAAAAAACTGTACCTGGAATTCAAAGATACAAAGTAGATGTCACCTTGAAAATTTCAAGATTTATTTAATTAATAAGCAAAATTTGAAAAGGAATAAGAACTTTTTATTTCAGAGGTGAATGGTTACTATCAGCATTTACTAACATTCCTTATGAGAACTCAGATATTAAGCATTCCAAACCATAATATGATTAACACAACATGGTAAGTGTTACGTTCACTCGTTATTATACAACTATCAGTATGTAATGAACAACATTGCCCAGGACATTATGCCTAGCATTTAATTGAGCACTCTACAATGTGTTGTGACAGGAAGCAGTTTTACGTGGATGTCTGCACAAACCTGAATTTAAAACCAGACCTGTTTTGAGCTTCAGCTTTATTCATCAGTAAAATATTTACAGTAAGCTCATGTGTTTGGAGATGACAGAGAAAGCTTTGCTACAAGATCTGTCTAAAGGGTTAATCAGGCCACTTGAGTCAATAACACATTAAAGCTCTCTGCACAGCAAATGTGTGTGTCTGTTATTTATGTATGTATGAATGATTTCTTTGTTTTTTTTTATTCCAGTCAAATGTTTATGAAACCTCCAGATTGCCTCGTTAAATCCTTAACCTTGGTGAAATGGTTTGGGAAAATGCAGGTCTGGGCTATAAGTTTAGCTTTTTCTTTAGTCACTACTTTAGATTTCACAGAATAACTGGAAGTGTACATGGTAATTTTATAGATCTTTTTCTTTATGGAATCCTGTATTTCTTGGCATTAGACGTCAACTTCAGATTTTGAGAAGGAATGTATTTGCTAAGAGTAATACAGAAATGCTTGTTATGATATTTCTGTATTAATAACAAGCCATGCTCAAAATGTGGTTTCATCCAGTTTGACCATTAAGCCCTCAGCACTCAGGGACATGACTAAAGGCACTCACATGGAAGAACGGCAGTTCATAACACTGGGAATAAACAAGTGGAACAGCGGGAATCAGGCAGTGTGTTTATTGAGGTACATCTTCAGGCAGTACTGGGATTAGCAATTAGGTATTCATATGAATTCAGTTTGTGAGAGGATTCCATCAATGGCTCTTCAAATTTAAGCAGCAAAGGCCACCACTAACTCCTAAAATATAGTGATCTTTAATACCAGTTTATTTGAATGGGGAAAATTTGCCACACATTTTCTCGTTTTCTTCTTCTTGTAATTTTAGAGCAGCAGGAGCATTTTAAAAGTTATACTCACCAAGCCTGGGCAAGGTGGTGAGACCCTGTCTACATGAAAAATAAAAAAACTAGCCAGGCATGGTGGTGCACACCTGTGGTCCCAGCTACTCAGGAGCCTGAGGCAGGAGGATGGCTTGAGCCCAGGAATTTGAGGCCAGCCTGGGTAACATAGCAAGACCCATGTCTCTTTAAAAAATAAAATTAAAAAGGGTATATCATAAATTCGCGTATGTTAAAACTATTCTCTAATGCAAGATATTTTTCTAAACATTTAGAAATTGAAATGTGGTCCGGCACAGTGGCTCATACCTGTAATCCCAGCAGTTTAGGGGGCTGAGGCAAAAGGATTGCTTGAAGGAAGGAGTTTGAGACCACCCTGGACAAGTGTAGTGAGACCTCGTCTCTACAAAAATAATAATAATAATAATAATAACAACAACTAGCCAGGTGTGGTAATGAGGACCTGTAGTCCTGTCTACTCAGGAGGCAAGATCTTTGAGCCCAGGAGTTTGAAGCTGCAGTGAGCCAGGAGCTTGCTATTGTACTCCGGACTGGGAGTCTACCTCTTAAAAAAAAAAAAAATTTTTGAAGTGGTATTTTTTGCAAATATATTTTGTGTTATGTATATTTAAACACTCAGTTTGTTTAATATGTTAGAATTTGCATAAAATGAAGTAGATTCTCTAAAAATTCATTTGACTTAGAATTACTGGGTGTTGGTAAAATTTATCTTTATATAGAGAAATTAATTTCTGTTCTGTATATGACTTTAGATACACATACATCAGCATATGGCGTCAACTCCTATTTTCTGACATATATATCTAAGATGTGTTAGGAGTAAAGGAAATAGCATTCTAAAAGCAGTTATATGTCTGTACTTTCTTCCTTTGCTTAAACATGTGAATGGTTGTATTTACGTGTAATTTGTGTATATGTATATGTTGTCATATAAATACATGGTAAATGGTTCCAATTTCTTTCACTAATGAAAATTAGTGTTGCATGATACTTCTCTGGTTTTGGGGTTACTTGTAAATAAGTCTACGTATATAACATGTCTCGTGGATTTTGCATGCTACACTAATCTCTGTTAAATCTATCCCCTCTTTATTCAGAGCATGCTGTCAAGGTCCTTTAATTCCAATTTTACTACTGTAAGCAGTTTTCACTGTGGCAGCTCTAGGGATCTGCATGGCAGCCAGGGCAGTCTTGCCTTGAGTGTTGCAGACAGAAGAGGTTCTGGTGGGCACATTTTTCGAGTGAGTACCTACACTAGACCAATACTTTTAGCTTGTAGAAGAGAAAACCCCAAATTTTAAGTGTTTTAATGTTTCCAGGAAAAAAAATGTTTACTCTGGGTTAGAAACCTTGATTTCCTCTGAGTTCTTCCATGGCTTAGTTCTAAATCTTTCTTCAGAGCTGATAAATTCATTATCTCCTGAGTTTCTTTGGTCATAAACTAATGATGTAGTCAGCCCTTGTTTATGCAAAAAAGTGAACAATAGGAATAACTGAGAGATCTTCAAAAACTATTCTTTGTAGTATGTTTTCTCTTAATATTAAACTTTTCTATTCCTAAGGATTTTAAGGCTATGCTATATGTAATCCATAGACCTGTTACAGGGAGGAATAATTTTAACTCCAGTGACTGAGAATTGACTGAGAGAAAGCACTACCCTGAACTAATGTTAATCATAATTCACTGAGCATGATTAACTGTGAGACTGGAGAAATTGTAATAAGTGTCAGTGAAAAGACAAAGCACAAATCCTTTCTTACTCACATTTTACTAAACATTTCCTTAGTAGTGAAGAAGAAAGGTTTATGATTTTAACCAAAATTCAGTGTGGGGGATAAAAAGGCAGAGAAAGAAAGAACAACTCTGGCATGGCCCTGTTTTAAGATTTTTTTCCCATAACAACTTGAAGTAGTAGCATGGTCTCTAGAATATTTCCTTCCGCCCCTCTCCTTCAATCCCGAAAAGACTGTTTTGTCTCTAATAACCCTGTTTTATCCCCTCCCCATAGTTTCCTTGTGAAGTATTTGCTTACTTCTGGGTCCTTTACTTCTACCTGAGCGATGGTATCCCCCATTTTAATATATCCCTGGCTTTCTTCTGGTGTTACAGAATAGGAGCAATCTCCTGGATTCTCTTGGCTCTGGCTGTACCTGACCTAGACGTATGCTGTCCTCTGTCACCTGCCACCATGTGATTCCTATGCTGTTAAGAGTGGCAGCAGTTACGTTGAAACCTCCCAATTTTATTTATTTATTTATTCATTTATTTATTTATTTATTTTGAGGCGGGGTTTTGTTCTTGTTGCCCAGGCTGGAGTGCAATGGCGCGATCTCAGCTCACTGCAACCTCCGCCTCCCGAGTTCAAGCGATTCTCCTGCCTCATCCTCCCAAGTAGCTGGGATTACAGGTGCGCACCACCACACCCGGCTAATTTTTGCATTTTTAGTAGAGACGGGGTTTCACTATGTTGGCCAGAGGTCTTGAACTCCTGACCTCAGATGATCTGCCCGCCTCAGCCTCACAAAGTGTTGGGATTACAGGCATGAGCCACCGCGCCCAGCTAGGAACCTCCCAATTTAAAAGATGAGAGAGAAGGGTGATAACTATCAGTCTCTCATTCCAAGAGTCCCTGGGGGTAAAGATCAGTGGCTTTTATTAACTCAGGGGTAATCTTTGCCATTTATAGTCACCTGGAGCAATTGTATTTTCCACATTCTTTTATAGTAACATTTTGTGCTTGTTTTTTTTTAATTTGGAGCCTTTGAATACATTGAATTTTACTTCTACATTCATGGTGTGCTTGTTCTTTTAAAAAGTAGATAAACATAGTTATACATTCACACTTGAGTTAAAATTTCAAGCTGAGAGCTAAATTCATTTATGTATTCTAAAAGCACATCTCAAAAAGGGAGAAGGAAAATAAAGTATTCATTGCATAAATACACAAAATTAGATCACGTCTAAAAATTCTAAGCCATGGTTTGAACTAACTGCACATGATAGATGTGTTGCGGATATAATTTCTAAGATTAAATTCGAAATCCTTAACTCTATATGTATGCTGTAGTATGTCATAACAAAGTAGATTTTAGATTAATTTTTCAATATGATGATGTAGTTTGCATTTCTATGTTGCTAGCCGTAAACTGTTTTGAATGTAACAATAGTGCTATTTATCACAATCTGTTTTGTTTTCTAAAATATATATAGGGATGTGTTTAGAACTAAAATTGAAGTGAAAAACATATGTGTCTTGCTTCCTGGCATATTTATAATAATAAAATATTCAGGGGCCCTGTGCAGTGGTTCACACCTGTAATCCCAGCACTTTGGGAGGCCGAGGCAGGAGGATCACTTGAGCCCAGGAATTTGACACCAGCCAGGGCAATGTAGGGAGACCCTGCCTCTTCCCCCTCCCCGCCTACAAAAATTAGAAAATTAGCCAGGCATGGTGACACCACAACTGTTATCCCAGCTACTCAGAAGACTGAGGTGGGAGGATTGCTTGAGTCCAGGAAGTCGAGGCTGCGGTGAGCCTTGATCACACCACTGCACTACAGCCTAGGTGGCAAAGTGAGACTCTCTCCAAAAAGAAAGAAAGAAAGAAAGAAATATTCAGGGGTAATGAGATTGAGTCTTATTTTTCCCCTAAAGCTATCAGCTTGGTAAACTATAATACAGGGATATTATTTGGCCTATAAAGATATTAACCAGTTAATTGGTTTTAATAGCATTTCTCCATATCAGTACTTCTGAAACTATTGAACTCATATCAATGTGGCAGAATTAAGCTAAAGCAAATTTTATATTCATTTCACACCCCAATCTTATCCCAATAAAATAAGTTTTGTAAGACTATAAGTGTATTGGTTCTGCTTGTCATTAAAATTTAGGGGAAAAAAATCCCATGGGGTACTGTTCTATTGAAAGAACAGCAGTTAATTTTTTTTTTTTTTTTTTTACCAAAAATCTTTTTATAGTGCTCAACATGAGTGTGTTTTAGTTGGTCTTAAAATTTGAGACTCTAAACTTTGATTAATAACTATATTTGTTGTTCAAAGGTATTAAAAGCTAGGTATTACTGTAAGTAAAACTAAAAGGAAAAAATAACATGCAAAATTCATCTTCTACATGTGTGTATTGTACATAAGTAGATTAACAATATGTTTTCATATAAGCTTTTCATACATACAAAAATATCTTGCTATGTACCTTTGGAAGAAGTGAAAGATACTAATTGATGGCAGTAATGATGGCAGTGTTTGATTTGGGTCTTCATCTTTGCACTATTTGGCAATATTTTTTCCTAATCTTCTCTCAAGTGTCATCCTCTTGGTTTCACATCTTAAAGAACATTATTTGTTTACTTTTTATTTCCTGCTCATTAGAAGCATCCCCAGACATCCAGTTCAGGAGATCCTTGTCAAGATGGTATATTCATTTCAGGACAGCAGAACTACTCATCAGCCACACTTAGTCACAAAGATGTTCCTCCAGACAGCTTGATGAAAGTGGGTGCTCGGGAAAACAAAATGTAGTATCTGTGAGCTTTCTATATTTTGCAGCTTTTGGACTAGATATTATATGTGCTTTAGATGAAAATACTTTTTTGAGGGCTTTCCCCCCTTTATTAGTAAGGATTTTTAAAATATCAGAAATACAAAATAGAATTTGACCCTGTCTACTATTTCTCAGTTCATTTCATGATTTTTCTACCCTGGAGAATTATTTTATTTTTGCATTTAGATTTCTGTTATATAGTACCACCTATTTATTTTTTCATTTGAATCAAGGCCTTTTTGGTATTCCTGATAGTAAAACTATTTGGAGAATTGAAAATGAACTTGTGTTAAACTCTTCATTCTAGGATCTTTTACTATTACTAAAGTCAAATGTAATTACTTCAAATGATAATTAGAAATCATCTTGAAAGACTTTTGTATATGGTAGAATAGATGATGGTTGTGTTTTTAGTACTTTTGTTGCAATTATCTATGTATGGCCAGTGCCAGACAGATAATTTTTTACTATCCTCCCTCAACTATTTTTTCTTATTTTCTTAACTGATTCCATGCCTCTAGTATGACCAGATATAATTATGAAGCATAGTTATTTATTACATAAAACTTCTATGTTGCTCTTCAGAGTAGCTACCTGGTCATCTAATATATAAGTTCATAAGTCATCTAATACTTAAGTTCATCTAATATATAAGTTCTTAAGTTTCTATTATTTTACCCTCTTTTAATTGAGCTTTGTCATCCAGTTTTTTCTCATTACATATATTTTGTGGCTTAGGGTTACTGAGTTTAATACTTTCTAATTTCCTGAGCCATCTGCTAATTGTAGCTTAATATATTCCATGTGTATGTTTAACACTGATGTAGGCAAGACCAAATATTTGGTGTCAGGGAGTCTTAAGGTCAGTAGTAATTGTCACCTGGATTTTACCCAGGAGAAAGATACTGAATTTGCATGTAGGAATAAATGGTATAAACGTAGAGAAAATCATGGGCTATCTGCAGAATTGTATGTAAGTAATAAAGCAACAGCAGAACCAGTTAATTACTCATGGGCAAATCAGTTGCATTAAATCTACAGTGATCAAGTAATAAACAGGTTTTTTTCCTCCAGAAATGTAGGGCTAATATAGCCCTTCATTTTCCTTCTCTCCAACCAATATAAGATTTGTCAGTAACATCCTTGTGTCCTATCACAGAATACCCATGTGTGTTCCTAGACTTCAGAATTTAACTAAGTTCTCAAGTATAACACAGTTTAACAGTGAAATAGAATGCCTTTTTTAAAAATACAAATCTATACCAAAGCTAAACTACTTTATATCTTTCAGCAAGGTTCACCAAGAAAAGCATGCAGTTCTGAAAGTGTTGCCATATCTTTCTGCAAACTTTTCTATTTGGGTTAATTTAGGGAACTGGACCTCAACTATTTCCCTCATAGTTTTCCCATAATTTCCTTGTCTATGAGATTTTCTGTCTGTTAATAACCAACAAGGAAATTATAAGTTAATAGCTGAACCATATTTTTCTACACAAAAATCTTTTTATATGCAAATATTTGTAATATGACTGTAACCTCTTTTTTGTTGTTGTTTAGAGATGGAGTCTCGCTCTGTCACCCAGGCTAGGGTGCAGTGGCATGCTCATAGCTCACTGCAGCCTCAAACTACTGGGCTCAAATGATCCTCCTACTTGAGCCTCCCAAGGAGCTGGGACTACAGGTGTGCACCACCATGCCCAGCTAATTTTTTTTTTTTTTTTTTTTTTTTTTTAGAGATGGGGTCTTGCTGTTTTGCCCAGGCTGATCTTGAACTCCTGGCCTGAAGCAATCCTCCTGTATAGGCCTCCCAAAATGCTGGGATTATAGGCATGAGCTACTGCACCCTGCCTCTTGTTTTTAAGATAGATTCCTCATGCTAACAGAATAAGCTATTAGCCACATTTCTACAAAGGTGATTTTAAGTCAGGTTTATTCTCTAAAAATGAGAGGCATTAAAACAAAGATAGTTCTCTAACAACAACAAACTAATAATTTAAATTTTTTTGCTGTTTACTTTATGAATAGGGTAGAATGTCAACATTTAATTTTTATGGCTAATAGTCTATGGAATTAATAATAAGAGATTATAAACGTTGCTAACATACACACAAGGAATAAATCAGTTTTCTACATAGATAGCTGAATTGACTTGTTAATTTTGGAAAAGAAGGAATAAAAGCAGAAAAATAAATTTGGAAAGAATTTTACCACAAAATTAGTTTTTTTCTGAAGAAAAACGTCAGCAAATGTACCTTTTGTGTATGTGTGTTTGATTTAGTATGGGAAAAGATATGCATCTCATAGACTGGCTTAAATTTTAAAATTTTGGTATACTATGTGCCATTTTAACATTTGGTTATTATAAGATAGATACATCTAAGAAAATACAAGTGTAGCTCACAAAAAAGCAAGTAATTTAAAATGTAGATATGATGTACTTCCATTTGAAAGCTTAAAAAAGTGAGTGTAACAACAAGCACTCAGGAAACTTTAGAATTAAGACATTAATAGCTTATTTCTTTTAAGTTTTAAAATTATAGAAAAATAGTAAGTGGCATGGTATTGTTTGACTTAATTAGAATGTGAAAACTCTAGTGCTTTTGTAATGCTCCAAGAAGAAATCCAAATATTTGAAATAAGACATTATTATTGGTCATTTTAAGATACTTCATGTTTTTCTTAGATGCCTTTGAGTAATGGACAGATGGGCCAGCCTCTCAGGCCTCAGGCAAATTATAGTCAAATACATCACCCCCCTCAGGCATCTGTGGCAAGGCATCCCTCTAGAGAACAACTAATTGATTACTTGATGCTGAAAGTGGCCCACCAGCCTCCATATACACAGCCCCATTGTTCTCCTAGACAAGGCCATGAACTGGCAAAACAAGAGGTAAGAATAATCAAGACTATTTGAAATATGGGACTAAGCTTTTTATGTATTTTTATAGGTTACTTAATTATTAGTAAATCCATACAGAATATTAACGTAGTTATTACCATTTAAAGTTTTATTTTTATGTTACGTTTATAAGGCGTTAAACTTGGTAATTTTTATTTGACTTTGTGATCATGTAACATAGGATTTAGTATTTTGGGCATGATTTATTTATTCTGATACAGTTTCTTTACCAAAACTGGTTGATACTACAGTAGTCAGACATTCCTTAAGAATATAAATAGGAGACCATTAAGCTGAAATTGTTCTGTGACACTTAAAATCTTAATTCCTTAGATTTTGAAATTTGACTACAGACTTCAAACTACTTTGAGTATTTAATCTTAAAAAGTACTTTAAAAGTCAGCGAGCTACACATTCTTATATCTTGATAGTTATTAATAAAATGATAATATTAGAAAGGTAGAGATCAAATGCTTTATTCATTTTGGTTGTGTCTCTGGTGAAAGGGAGTGTTTTATAACACAGTTTTAATTCTTGCATCTTTTTTTTTAGCTTGGTTATAAAAACTCTCAATTGGTCATGTTTTAAAATCCCAACTCCTTTGAAGCCTTTAAACAGATTTGATAAATAAAGAGTTAGTATCATAAAACCACCAGTGGATCTTTTAGATATCTTATGTAACAAGCCACTAAACAGAGATACTGTGTAATTTAGATGTCCCACAAGTGGAAACTGATAATAATATACATGTTTTGTGTTTATGTACTATGTCATATAAAATCTGTGACGTCTAAAAAGTAAAACAGGGTCAATATTAATTGATTCCTTATCCTCATAAGACAAGCAATAAAATTAGGAGCTATGCTTTATATAATCCCAGCTCTGCCTTTAACTCACTAACTCATTAACATAATATTCTATGTTGTATTTCACTTCATCTGACCAAATATTTATTTTTGATGAATTCTTATGTTTATGTTTGCTTGGACTTAACCAATCAGTATTTAAATATGGATGTTGTTGCATTATAACTTTTTCTGAAATAGTAAGTTTCCTTTATTTTCATATTAACTCAGATTCGAGTGAGGGTTGAAAAGGATCCAGAACTTGGATTTAGCATATCAGGTGGTGTCGGGGGTAGAGGAAACCCATTCAGACCTGATGATGATGTAAGTTTTCTTTGTATATTCTTGAAACACCTATAAAGTTTTATTTACCGATTGAATACTTAAATGTAAGTGAAAATCTAATAGATGTTTATGTAAATCTAGGTAGACATCACCTGGATTCCCCACTCTATTGCTTACCTTTTTGTTTTGTAATTTGATCAGTTCAAGTTAAAACAATTTAACCAAAAACTATGAATGTTTATGATATAATGAAATGATTTTTAACTTTCTTATTGCTTTTTCACACACCTATAAAAGTAATTTTATTACTCTCAAGAGAAATCACTAAAGTCAGAATTACTAGAGGTAAAAATAACTAGTTTGTTACAGTATTACTCAGAGAAGTCAGGGAGAAAACTTGTACCATGATTCAAATATTTGCATGGTGTGGAGGAAAAATTGCTCCTTGGTACTCTGTTATTTATACATACTGTTTTTAGTTAAATAATTTTTTTTGTTGTTAAAGGGTATATTTGTAACAAGGGTACAACCTGAAGGACCAGCATCAAAATTACTGCAGCCAGGTGATAAAATTATTCAGGTAATTAAAATAAATCTTTTTTTTTTTCATTTTATAACACTCTAATGTTTTCACAGTTTAAAATGTTTTCACTTTAACTTTGAAAATTGTGGGTGGGAGGCTGAGGCAGGAGAATGGCGTGAACCCGGGAGGCGGCACTTGCAGCGAGCCGAGATCGCGCCACTGTACTCCAGCCTGGGCGACAGAGCGAGACTCTGTCTCAAAAAAAAAAAAAAAAAAAGTTTGATACATCATAGGATTTTGTTTAAGCTCAGGAATGTTAATTTTTACTAATTTGAGGGGGATTAGAGTACCACTTCTTGGATGTGGGCTATTGTCCTTTCAGAAATGGAGAAGAAAAATTTTAAATCTGCGAAACTCATTTTTTCCTGTCCCCTCCTTTTCTTTGTTCATTCAGCTACTCATTTTACCTAAACACTTACAGTCTTAGAAGGAAGACAAACCTAGGACACAAGTATAGCTCTCATTTTCTACCCCTACTGTCACCGTTCTTAGCTGAGAACTAAAGAACTTAAAAAATAATCCTCAAACCAAAAAAAAAGGGAGAGAGAGACATTAATGTCTAATAGCTGAAAGTACAGATTCTGAAAGCCAGACTGCCTGAGTTTAAATTCTGGTCCCAACACTTTCTAAAAATAAAACTAATTAAAAAAAATTTTTTTTGAATAATTTTAAGCTTAGAAAAAAGCCACAAAAATACTACAACAAACACCAGTATTACATCAATTGGTCACCAGTCGTTCATAATTTGCTACATTGTCTTTATCATTTATTCTCCTCTTTCTTCTCTTTTTCTCCCTCCCTCCCTCTACACACACACACACACACACACACACACACACACATACACACACACACACAGTCACACTCACTCATACAGTTATACACATTTATTTTTCTGAACCATTTGGGTTTCAATTTGTGACTGAGCAAGTTACTTTGCCTCTCCATGCCTGGGCTTTCTCTTCTCTAAAATAAGATAGTGAAAGAATCTTTTTTGAGCATTATGAGAATCAAAGGATCTAATTCATATTACACCCTTAGAATTGTGTGTTTGGTACACAGTAGAACCTCAGTAAATATTAAGCTTAATTGTAAGAAATATGGTGGTCTTGATGTGATGGCTCCAAGACAATGGGAAGAGTAGCCCTTGCCCCCTGCTACGCTACAGTTTGGTCACCTCAGATACACATTAGCATTATACGACACCATGTCTGACATTATTTCTTAAGTAAGTGATTTCTAACATTGGGCTGCTACATAAGAATTGGCTGAGAAGTTGGACAAAATACACATTTTTAGACCCCATCTTCAGAGACTTTATTCCTTGGTTTGGGTAGGGCCTGTGAATCTGTATGTTATTTTAAGTTGCCAAAGTGATTCTTATTTTCTTCCAAGTTTGTGAACTACTTGGCAGAAATGCAAATAAATAACTATAAAATGTTTTTCCTAAAAGCATTTTTCCTCTTCTAGGCTAATGGCTACAGTTTTATAAATATTGAACATGGACAAGCAGTGTCCTTGCTAAAAACTTTCCAGAATACAGTTGAACTCATCATTGTACGAGAAGTTTCCTCATAAGCACTGTGGACAAAAAAAGCGGGGAAGACAGCAAGATTTATTGGAAGATACTTACAGGGGAAATTAATATTTTGACTATTTTTATATATAAAGAAGAACTCAAAAAATTATGTTCAAATTTGTACATTAATGAAATAATGGAACTTGTGGTTAGAGGGAAAGAACCACTGTACAGAATATAAAGGAGACTGTTGAATTCATACCATATAAAACTTGTTAGGTTTTTAAACATAGCAATCAAGGCTACAAAAACAAACCTGTGTTGTTTTTGTATAGATTGTAGGTTTATTTTTGGATTTCATATACATGACTGAACTGTGTGCAAGGCAATAGTTAGCCTTGATTTTAGCCCAGAGACAGATGGCAGAGCTATCTCTCTCATAGCTTTTATGCCCTTATTTTTATTCAACTGGTATTAATGTTTTTCTCCTGAAACTACTTTTTTTGATGTGGGCAAGAGATTTGAAGTGTTGGCTTTTGCTATGTGCATATTGAATTGAAGAGTGAGTAGGTGAAGGTGGTGCTGGTGGGTTCACTTTCCAAGGCCAGACTAAAACAGTTATTTTCTATAAAAATCTGGAAGCAAAGAATGGGGATGGGGAGAGCTACGTGGTAGTATGTTTTTATTAGGAGAATAATGCAATAAAATATGTAATGTCTTTTTTATAAAGCAAAAAAGACAATAATTGCATTTATGAGCTCGGCAGGATCTGTTCTTGTCATAGCCATTGACTATACATTTGCTACTGGTGATTCAGTTTTTAATTTTTTAGTCACAGGAAATTTTTAACTCTACTGTAGATGCATGTCCATGCATTTTCTGTGTTATGGAAATCCACTGATTTTTTTTTTTTTTTCAAATGGTGGTACTTGCAATCTGTTTTATAATTAGTGCTCCATTTAAATCTAATTTATAATTTTTATTTTAAGCAGCAAATGAAACAAAAATGGCCAGTTTTAAGATTGTGTTGCCTGTAACACAAAATGTTACGAAGGTTTAGGAAAGCCTCTTTGATTTTTGTTTGGCCTTGCATTGCCTTGGTAAAGTAAAAGGAAACAGTACACTTGGAGCTAGGAAACCAAAGCAAGCTTTGTGAAACTGGCACAGTGATAGAGAATTGCTGTGGAGAGTTATAGAGCAAAGGGATGGGTCCTTGAGGCCTGCCAGTGTGTAAAGGTGTTCAAATAAAGGGCTGTTTCTACAGGTAACATTAAATGTGAACTCAACACTTCCAGAGTCTTTAAAGGGTTTCTATGTGTATCAGTGTAATAGTGTTTTACCACCAACTGCCTTTCTTTGTTCCTAGTTACTGTAACAAATATTTGATGATAGAGGTTTATTAATTTTGTTTATCCAGACCATTAATTTTATTTGTTTTTGTTCTATGTAATCAAATAAAATTTGAGTAACATGTAATGGTAAGGATTAATGCATGGTTATTTGGACCAGAAAAAAGTGCCATAGAAGACCAATAACTGTTTAGTTGAGGCTAGTCTGGAACCTTTCATTAGAGCAATATTTGGTTATTGCACTTCATTTTTATTTACTAAGAAATGCAATTTGGGAATTTTTAATCTGTTATGCTTTGTTTATCAACCTTGATTTTAATTAAGACTTTTATAAGACTAGCTTAAAACACCAACCAACATTATTTTTGCAAAAGTGAGTTGGACTCACTTTCCATTCTTGCTAGTCAGAGTAAGTAGGCAGCACTTTTAAAAATATGTGAACTCAAATATTGCACTTCTTTCAAGATGTTATCAATTGGTTATTGTACTGTATAGTTTTAATAATTTTGATTGAAACCCTTTAACAACTCTTTGTAAATTTTAACTCATTTTAGTTGATTTTCAGTACTATTTACATAGGAATTGATTTTTATGGATATAGTAGAAGAAATGTGCTGTATTTTGATAAAATTCACTTATTGTATGTGTGTTGTAATCTAAAAAAAAAAAGAATGACAAACAGCTTCTTTAAGACAAGTCTCGGTGTTCCCTTTATTCTTAGTTTGTTTTTAAATATTAATTTTGGCATTCTAAAATAGCTAACATTTCTTTTATTGATTTCAGATTTTCACAGGCACATTCTACTTTTAATCAGAAATATATTTAATAAGTATAATTGTGAAGTTTTCAACTACTTTACCTTGAACCACATATACCAATTATAATTTTGGAAAAGGAATTAAGCCTCACGGAACAATGGATCTTCAGCAAACCTTAACTTCATTGTCTGCACATTACATTGAAGTATTATAAATGCAACAGATGTTATATGCACTGGCATTTTATCCTACTCTAGTTAGTTAAAATTTTATAGTATTCTTGCAACACATAAAGTTGCGTAAGAAACTTTACCAAGAGGAGTATTATAGCCAAGTTTTCTTTGAAAGTATTGGAAAACTAAAATTAAATGACAAGGACTTTGAATTAGAATTTTGCTGTAATAAAGTTTCAAAATTTGAATAAAATAATTAAATTTTTTGAGGAAGTGGAGAAGACATTTTTAGTTTATATATTGTTGAGTAAATTGTAGTTAAGGCCTATACCCATAACTAACTTTAGTAAGTATTATATAGCAATTCATCAAAACCACAACTGTCTTTTAGTGATTTTGTCTTTAAGAGTAATTTCTTACTCTAACCAGTAAAAAAATAATACTGATCAGAGTAATTTATACGGCATACAATAGTTGATACAATCTAAAGATTTATGCTAATTAAGGAATTATCACTTCATCTGAATCAATGAAATTCTAAAATTCCCTACATATTTATTTTGTAAATATTCTTCTGACCTCTTTGGACTGGATATGAAGATATATATATATACACTTAATTCTTTTAAACACAAAACTTGCCATAAGCAGAACCAAACTTTTAAGTATTAATTTGCTGCACTTAAAAAATCCCATTAGCAGCTATGTAATATTTTTATCAACCAACATTTATTCATTCCAAATTTTTGTATATATCTAGATGAAGTAACACATAGAGGATAGATAACAAACTAATGATGTTTAAACTGGTTTATTTACAAAATTCGGGGTTAGAGAAATTCTCATGAAAAATATACAATTTTTTTTTAGCATTAAAACCCTGTATATCTAGGTGTGGAAGAAGTGTAGTTTATCTCAAATTATTATTATTTACTTCTAAAGGGAGGCATTAAGATGGGAAATGTTTCTCTGATGGAGATTGACGTGTGAAATCTATTTGGAAGGGTATTTTTTTCACTCAGTCTGTTGCATTCTTACAGCCTTCTGTTTTAATGTTCAGTGAATAGGTTTCTTATGAAATGGACATTGAAATAAAAATTATGATTCAAGAGCATTAATTGATGAACAAGTGAACAAGATGCCTCTTTAAAAAAAAAAAAGAAAAAGTAATCTAGACAGGCAGCCAACTCAGACCTTTGGGTATTCCTTTGTTTCTAAATAAGGACCTTCAGAAAAAGTTGACCATATTCTACCTAAAGCTGCTAATTCTTTACAGAATTCATAAGCCCAGGGGATAGTAAGTAGTCATTTAGTTTTGGAAAGTTCTTAAGAGAATGCTATCTTCTACAGTCTCATGAAGCAGTTTTTCAAGATTAGAATCTGTGGTCAGCTATAACGTACAGTCCTAATATCCAACCACCTGAGAAGCTCATCCTAAGCTGAGAAAGCCTAAAATGTTAGAGAATGTTTAGAGAAAACACCTGAAATTTTTTTTAAGAGAACAACCTAGGTTTTATTGTAGAGAACAATCAAAATACTCCTGAACCTTTCTATAGAATCTTTAGGAGAGAGGCTGACAAAAAGAATCCTTCTGTTACAACTTTCTTTTCTAATGTAACAACCAGGGACAATGGTGATCTGTCACGCATCTGCCCATCTAGCTTCTCAATCGGCCCACGGTTTTATTTCAGGATAAAATTTGAGAAACTAGTATCACTGGGGAAGGAAGAAACCTAAGCTGTAAAATTATGCTTTTCCCCTCAAGGGATTCAATAAAGCTTATTTTTCATGAAAACAAGCCTATAAATACTGACTTTCCTTAAACCTAATCAAATTGTGTTCCTCCAAGGTATAGCTTTAGAAGGATCTTCTTTCAGTTGCTCTTTCAAACTTTTCCTTGTTAGAAAAGAAAAACTAATACAAATTGTTAAAAAATTAAAGCATGAGCAGAGAGCATGGATTTTAGATGATTTTAAGTTTCCTCATCTTCATGAAAAGAAGAACCTAATACTCTGAGAAGTAATGCCTGTCCAGAATGCACACTAAACATCTCATATTTGGATCATCCTTCACTGCAGCATCCCTCAAAGGAACATTCATTCTCCCAAGAACAAGAGGAATTGTTTGCAGATAAATTATTCAAGGTAGCAAAATGGAGCATGCTTCAATCTCCTCATCCTGTCCACATACCTACAAAGGACAGAAAAGATTATTAATACTATGATAGGCAAGAGTGTTATGTAATAATAATATTACCAGTTTTGTAAAAAAAAAAAGGGAGTACACTGGATCCATAATTTTTTTTTTTTTTTTTTTTTTTTTGAGACGGAGTCTGGCTCTGTCGCCCAGGCTGGAGTGCAGTGGTGCAATCTTGGCTCACTGCAAGCTCCGCCTCCCGGGTTCATGCCATTCTCCTGCCTCAGCCTCCGGAGTAGCTGGGACTACAGGCGCCCGCCACTATGCCCAGCTAAATTTTTGTATTTTTAGTAGAGACGAGGTTTCACTGTGTTAGCCAGGATGGTCTCGATCTCCTGACCTCGTGATCCACCCGCCTCGGCCTCCCAAAGTGCTGGGATTACAGGCTTGAGCCACTGCGCCCGGCCCATAATTTTTGAGAAATTCTTTAAAGGCTAGTGCCAGAGAATTCTACCATGAGATGTGTATTTTGCTTCAGATGCCTCAGAAGACAATATAAAGGACCAAGAATGATGGTGATACTGCATCATAAGGAATTGATTTAGTTCAACCACCTTTTATATGCCAAGCTGTGTGCAGAAAGGACATCTGGTTCAAAGCAGGAGCAATGAGTGCGGATACCTAGATTAAGAAGGAAAACCAGTATAGCCCTTTTGAGCTAGCATGATCTGACCATTGGCATGTTCCTTTTGCCCACCGTGAGTGCAGATAGTGACACCATGAGAATCACCAAACAGAAGTACCAGTGTCTAAAGAAATCAATATGTAAAATGATATCTTCTGAGGGATAAAGGATATTGAGTTTAGAAAACAAGCTGTTAATGAAAGGATTTAGATGTCTTTATAATGTAAAATAGAACTGTCAAAAGTAAATTCAACAGCTGGGCTGGAGAGTAGTAAGGAGACATCCAAGGGCAAATTAAAAAGCTCTTTGGGTTTAGATTGCATAGAAAGTAATGCAAATGAACTAAGAAATAATGTGAAAAGAGACATGGAAGAGAAGTCCTCATGTTCCAACGTGAATCCTTCAAAGGAAACAATGAAGGGGAAAAAATAAGCTTTCCTAGAGCTGAAGCACAGCATAGGTTCTCAGACTGAATGAGTCCATTTAGTACCAAGCAAAACTATAAACATACACTTCTAGATACATCTTCATGAAATTTTAGAGTAGGTGTAAACATCACTGGCGAGGCATGGTGGCTCACACCTGTAATCCCACATTTTGGGAGGCCAAAGTGGACTGATCGCTTGAGTCCAGGAGTTCAAGACCAGCTTGGGCAACAGGGTGAAACCCTGTTTCTAGAAAAAATACAAAAATTAGCTAGGTGTGGTGGTGCATGCCTGTAGTTCCAGCTACTTGGGAGGGTAATATGGGAGGATCACTCGTGCCAGGAGACGGAGGTTGCAGTGAGCCGAGATTGTGCCACTGCAGTCCAGCCTAGGCAACAAAGTGAGGCTCTGCCTCAAAAAAAAAAAAAAAAAAAGAACATCTTAAAAGGTTCCAAAATGTAAAGGAAATGATTACAAAGTGAACAGGATGAGATTGACATTGGAACTTTCACCAGTGATTTGGATACAAGAAGACAGTAAAGCAATACATCCAAAATTTGAAAGTTATTCAAGTTGGAGGGCAAAATAATGACACTTTCAGGAATTCAGGGATTCAAAACTTACCTCCCCATAAGAAGTACCAGGGAATACTCCAATGAAATGAAAAATAAATCTTAAAAGTAGATCTGAAATCTAAGAAATAATATTGACCAAAACCATGTAGTGGAGCAGAAATAAGTGCAATTAGCGGTGATGGTAAAATAAGAATGGAAGTAAAATACTAGATGGTTTCTGCAAGTGAGACAAGAATCCAACTTAAAAATTTATTTTTATAGAGACAGAATATCACTATATTGCCCAGGTTGGTTTCGAACTCCTAGCCTCAAACAATCCTCTCACTTTTCTCCCAAAGTGCTGGGATTACAGGTGTGAGCCACTATGCCCAGTCAAATAAATGGCTTTTTCTTTTTCTTTTTCTTTTTTTGAGACGGAGTTTTTCTCTTGTTGCCCAGACTGGAGTGCAATGGTGCGATCTTGGCTCACTGCAACCTCCACCTCCTGGGTTCAAGTGATTCTCCTACTTCAGCCTCCTGAGTAGATGGGATTACAGGCATGCGCCCACACGCCCAGCTAATTTTGTTATTTTTAGTAGAGATGAGATTTCTCCATATTGGTTAGGCTGGTCTTGAACTCCCGACCTCAGGTGATCTGCCTGCCTCGGCCCCCCAAAGTGCTGGGATTACAGGCATGAGCCACTGCACTCGGCCATAAATAACTTTTTCTAAAAGAAACTATAGATTGGTTAATTTTAAGTGCTTATAGAAAAATCTAAGTTGGAATTCTTGGGTGAATAGTAACTACAGAAACAATAAATATTTAGTGTTACATATGTTTTGTTTATATAAATAAATACAGTTTGACTCTACTGCATCTTATCTATCTTTCTAGTGATGGACACCTGTGATACTGCCAATTTCTCCACTTCACTGCTGCCATAGACAATGTAGTGGTAAGTATCCTAATTCATGTCATGTTATGGACCTGTGCAAAAATTTCTCTAGCATATATACCTAGGAATATAGTTGCTAAGTCACAGGGCTATTTAATTTCAGTAAATTCTGCTAAATTACTTTCTTAAAAATCTATACTAGTTTATATTCTCACTAGCTAGATGTGAAGATTCTCATTTCCTCACATATTTGCAAACAATATTATGTGACTTTCTAACTTTGACATATTTGGTAGCTATAACATTTTATTTTGGTATTGGTTTAAATTCCATTTTTCTGATTACTGGGGTATTTGACAACTACCCAGCTGTTAAGGTTTACAATTCTGTAAATTTCCTATTCTTTTTGCCCATTTGTCTCCTTTTTTTCCCATTTTCTGTAAAGACTAATTGGTAGCAGTTTTTTGTCTATTTTCTTTTCTTTCTTTCTTTTTTTTTTTTTTTCTTTGAGATGGAGTCTTACTCTGTCACCCAGGCTGGAGTACAGTACGGTGGTGTGATCTTAGATCACTGCAACCCCCACCTCTCGGGTTCAAGCAATTCTCCTGCCTCAACCTCCCAACTAGCTAGGCTTACAGGCACTCATCACCACTCCCAACTAATTTTTGTATTTTTAGTAGAGATGGGGTTTCACCGTGTTGGCCATGCTGGTCTTTAACTCCTGACCTCAGGTGATCTGCCCGCCTCGGCTTTCCAAAGTGCTGGGAGTACAGGCATGAGCCACTGTGCCTGGCCAGTTTATTGTCTATTTCAGTTATTACACTTGTCATTTGAAACATTCCAAGTATCTTCTCCCAGTCCATGGCCTGTTTCTCTTTCTCTTTGTTTATGGTATCTCTTGTTTGTTTGTTTAGAAAAAAAGATTAACATGGATAAGGACAAATCTATCATTTACGCTTCATGATTCTTAATTAAAAAAGTTTTCTTCATTCCTGAGTCACAAAGGTTCAAAGGCTTTCTCCCACATTTACTTCTATTAATTACTTAGATTTACTTAACATTTAGATCTTTTCTTCTTGAGTCTACCACTGAATATGATGTAAGGTAGAGATCTAGCTCCAAGTTTTCTCTTCTGATGGCTACTTTTTCCTATTAATCCGATGCAAACTTTATTGTATATCAATACAGTTGCATACCTGTGTATACGCAGGACTGTTTCTGAGCCCCCTATTATGTCCTTTGGTCTGTTTTTCTGTCCATGCCTCTGTGTCGTGTTTTCTTTTTCAGCAAAGTTTTAAGTTTTATAATGACCACTCATCATCTACATTCTTCTATCAACATTTTTCTATATTTGCTTTTATGTACCATGTTATTTTTATAACTAAAACTTTGTATCTATCTTAATATCTTATTAGCAGTGATCCTCAATCTTCACTATATATGAGAGTCAATTAGAGGGTTGGGGGGTCCCCACCCATATGGCTTTTAATTAACTAAGTATGAGTTGGAACCCAAGAATTTACATTTCTAGCAAGTTCTCAGGTAATGCTGATGCTTATGGTTTGAGGATAACAGAGAATCACCATCTTATAGGATGAGTCTTCTTAGCTCCTGGTTTTTCCATATACATTTCAGAGTAAGTTTTTTGGCATTTATTTTCTGGCCATGATGGATTTACCCTAACTCCTGAAATGAATAAAAACAGACAAAATATTTGAAACAATGATTTTCAAAATACTGGACATCAAGAAATGAAGGACCGTGGTCCCTGAAGGATGGAGAAAAAAAAGAGGTGAGCACTATGATTATCCCCAGATTACTACCTTGATAGAATTTCCAGGCCATGGAGCAGGAAGGGAGAACCCTGCAGAGCCTGGCACACTCCTTATGTTGAGGAAGTGGAACTAAGAGTTCAGAGAAACCAACGAAGGTACAGTTGACAAGGCAGAATAATGGAGAGAACAGGGCTGCACACAGAGAACCCCAAAGAACTGCATAGAGTTGCCTTTGTAAATTCACCCAAGTACTGCAGCACATTGTGTGAGTAAAGTGCCTAAGGCTAGGGAAAGAACTACCTGAAAGGATTAGAAGTAACAGTAACCTGCACTTGCAGTTAACAGTGCCCTGTGCCCACACACAATGGGTAATAATACCTATTCCTATCAGCAAGACTGGAAAACCTCATGATTCACAAGCATAGGGTAGAGTACACAAAATGATCTTGCATCAGTGGTGGGGAATAATTAACCCTTGATTAATATCTGCTTCAGTCCCATCTAATACATCTTAAAGGCAAGACCTGGAAGGATTACACTGTTTTCTTGTAATATAACTGTAAACCAGAATGAATCTCAAGAATACTTATAGGCATACAATAATGCCCAGAACCCACAACATAAAATTCACAATATCTGCCATCCAACAAAAAATTACCAAATATGCAAAGAAGCAGAAAAATATGACCCATAATGAGATAAATAGATCAAAACTGACCTCAAAGCTGACACAAATGTTAGAATTCAGATAATGGCATTAATATGGTTATAACTATATTCCAGATAATCATAAAGCTAAGAGACATGAAAGTTTTTTAAATGCAAATTAAATTTTTAGAAATGAAAACTACACTTGTAGAAGTGAATTCTACACTAGAAATGTGTGAGGTATGTAATACAATGAATAAGATTAACAGCAGATCACACAATGCAGAACAAAATATTACTAAATTTGAAGACAAAATAATAGGAACTCCAAAATGAAGCTTAGAGATTTTTAAAGAATTTTTAAAAATGAACAATAACTATAAATTATGGGTCAATTTCACTAATATATGTGTAATTACAGTTTCTGAAGGAGAGAAGAGGGGCCAGAAAGAAAAATAATAACTGAATATTTTCCAAATTTGATAAAAATTAAAAACACACAGGCCCAACAAACTCAACAAACGCTAAGCACAAGAAACATGTAGGAAACTATACCAAGGAGTATTATAATCAAATTACTCAAAACCAGTGATAAGGTGAAAACCTTAAAAGCAGCCAGAGGAAAAAGGACATGCAAGAAGAATAAAGACAAAGGTAATGGCAGACTTTTTGCCTGAAAGAATGCAAGTGAGAAGACAATATATTAACATCTTTAAACTAATGAAAGAAGAAAACTGTCAACCTAGAATTCTGTATGTACCAAAGACTATCTTTGAAAAAATAAAGAGAAAAAAAATTTTTTATGACATAAAAACTTGAAGAATTTATTACCATCAAGCTTACACTATAAGAAATATTAAAGGAAGTACTTTATGCAGAAAGAAAATGATATTAGATTGAAATCTGGATTTACACAAAGGAATGAAGAGCACCAGAATTGGTAATTACATGGGTAAACATTTTAAAAATTTTTTATTATTTAAATGTCTTCAATATATTACAAAGGTAATAGCAGATTTCTTGCCTGAAAGAATGCAAGTAAGAAGACAATATATTAACATCTTTAAACTAATGAAAGAAGAACACTGTCAACCTAGAATTCTGTATGTACCAAAGACTATCTTTGAAAAAATAAAGAGAAAAAAAATTTTTTATGACATAAAAAAACTTGAAGAATTTATCACCATCAAGCTCACACTATAAGAAATGTTAAAGGAAGTACTTTAGGCAGAAAGAAAATGATACTAGATTGAAATCTGGATTTACACAAAGGAATGAAGAGCACCAGAACTGGTAATTACATGGGTAAATATTTTTAAAATTTTTCATTATTTAAATATCTTCAAATCTTACCTGTTAGAACAAAAGTAACAATCAATGTAGGGTGGGATCTATAACATATGTAAATGTAAAATGACAGCAATAATACAAAGGTCAGGAGGGGAGAGATGTAAGTATATTATAAGGTTCTTACATGTGAAGTACTGCATCATTCAAAGGTAAACTGTGGTAAGTTAAACATACATACTGTAAACCATAAAAAACCACTAAAATAACAAAATCCAAAGAGTTATAGCTAATAATGTAACAAAGGAGATAAAATGAAATCATAAAATAATCCAAAAGAGGGCATATAGAGAGGAAAAAGTGAAGACAGCGACAATAGGGACAAAGGGATAACAAATAGTAAGATGGTAGATTTAAGCTTAACCATATCAAAAGTTGTATTAAATATAAATGGTCTAAAGATTTCAATTAAAAGGCAGTGACATCAGATAGACTTTCAACAAAGCAAGAGGCCAGGTGCGCTGGCTCATGCCTGTAATCCCAGCTCTGTGGGAGGTCAAGGCAGGTGAATCACTTGAGGCTCAGAGTTCAAAACCAGCCTGGCCAACAGGGTGGAACCCCACCTCTACTAAAAATACAAAAATTAGCTAGGTGTAGTCTCAGCTACTTGGGAGGCTGAGGCATGAGAATCGCTTGAACCTGGGAGGCAGTAAGCCAAAATTGTGCCTCTGAACTCCAGCCTGGGTGACAGAGTAAGACTCTGTCAAAAAAAAAAAAAAAAAAAAAAAAAGAGAAAAGAGAAGAAGCTAATTGAATCTAGCTCCAAGCCCTTGTCATCACTTTTAGTGTACTTGACTTTGATATATAGAATGAGACGTAGGTTGAGGTTCATTTTTTGGTGCCAGTACTATTTATTTAAAACATTGTTCTTTCCCTATTGAATTGCCATGGTGCTTTGTCAAATAAATTGGCCTTGTATGTACAGGTACATAGCTGAATTCTTTATGCTGTTTCATAGATCTATATCCCTATTTTTATGCCCAGTGCCACACTGTCCTGACTACTGAGATTTACAGTAAGTCTTGAAATTATGTAGAGTAATTCTTCCCAAATTTTCCTATTTTTTCAAAATTGTTTTGGTAATTCCAAGACCTTTACATTTCTGAATAAATTTTAGAATGAATTTATTAATTACAACACATAAAGCTTACTTGGATTTTACTTGGGATTACATTGAATCTGTTGATCAGTTTGGGGAGTATTAACTTCTTAATGATATTGGTTTTCCAATCCAAGAGCATGATATTACTTGAGGTCTTCTTTTATTTCTCTCAGCAATATTTTGTAGATTGTGGTGTACAGATCTCATACATTTTAATGAATGTGTCCCTAAGTAGTTCACATTTTGATGCTATTGCAAATGGTATGGTTTCTTAAATTTTAATTTCTGATTGTTCATTACTAACTGTAGAAATACAATTGATTTTTTTATATACAGATGCATCTTGACTTACAATAGGGGTTACATCTCAATAGACCCATCATAAGTGGAAAATGCCTTAATATACCTAACCTTCTGAACATCATAGCTTAGCCTAGCCTACTTTAAATGTGCTCAGAATGCTTACATTAGCCTATAATTGGGTAAAATTATCTAACACAAAGCCTATTTTATAATACAGTGTTGAATATTTCATGTAGTTTATTTAATACTGTACCGAGGTACAGTTTTTACTGAATATTTATTACTTTCACACCATTGTAAAGTCAGAAAATCATTAAGTTGAACCATCAAGTTGGAGACTTTATATTGACCTTGTATCTTGCGACTTAACTAAATGTATCAGTTCTAGTTTTTTTATAGACTATCATATTTCTTCCATTTTTCATCCTAATATATAATGCCTTTATGTTTCTTGCCTTACTGCATTGGCTGGACTATTTAGTCCAGTGTTGAATAGAAGTGATGAGAACATACTTGCCTTTTCCTGATTTTAAAAAGAAAGAATTCAGTCTTTTAATATTATGTTAGCTGCTGGTTTTTTGTTTTATTGTTTTTGATAGATGCCTCTGATCAGATTGTGGAAGTTCCTTTCTAGTCTTAGATTAAGAGTTTTACCATAGATGGATGTTGATATTTGTTCAATGCTTTATCTGTGTTCATTGAGACAATCATAGAGTTTTCTTTGTTAATGTGTTAATATGTTAAATTCCATTGATTAATTTTTGAAGGATAATCTTGCGTTATTGGGTTAATTCCTATGAGGTAATCACATATTGCCCATCTTATATGTTGCTAGATTTGGTTAATATTTTGGTAAAGAATTTTGTGTTTGTGTTCATGGAAGTTATTGTTGGAAGATGACTCTCTCTGAGTGTCTTTTTTTTCTGCACATCTTGTGAGGCACTGGTTACCTTTGATCTGAACTGTCTTTTCCAAAATCTTTGTAAGACATCTTGTAAGACAGAGATCGTGACTCTCTCTGAAGCAGAGGGCAGGTTTGTTTACTATTCAATATAATAAGGATTATGTTTTCCTTTGGGGCAAAGGTTAGCTTGGTTTGCTTGTAGCCCATTATACAAGCTTCAGATTTCCTAACCTTGGAGTTCTTCAGCTTTGATGCAAACCCACTGCATATGCACCATCAACCTGGGCTGCTCTGTGTCACTCCCATGGGTCCTGGGTTGGGGGAGGAGGAACCAACATATATATGAAACACATGATGCTTACTGTACTGTCAGTAATACAATCTTTTATCTCTGACTGAAGAGTCTTATGTCTTTTACCAGCATTAATGATATTATGGCAGTGTAAACTGTTGGCTTACAAGTAAGGTAAACTCCCAGACCCTTCACAGTTCTTGACAGTTTTTGGTGATAAAAATGGGATGCTGACAGAGACTTGACTTTCTGAAAAAGAAAGGGAAGGGTTCCAGTGGTGCAGGTAAGAGGAAATGAGAAAATTTTCTAGCATGTGATCTCGCCCAGTTGGTTGGAAGAAGGTGGTAGAAGGATCCCCTACCATCTTACCTGTTAGTGAATGTTTAGAGGCTGAGCAGCAAAGGTAGGATTGAAACAAGTCACCTGAATGGTGACTTAATGGTTGCTCACCTTCTTCCTGCAGGCTTTCACTGTATAGAAGATATCCTGTTGGTTGGAAAGAGAAGCCTTGGTGTCAATGGCCCTGAAGGCAGAATTATAGCACCTCCATCAGAAGGGATGGACTGATAAACCCTGAAAAAATTCAGGAGCCTGCCTGCTAAGTGTTTTGGAACTATGTGGCACATTAACAATGCTCAGTCTTCCTGGAAGTGAAGGAAGAGCTGTTGTCTCTTTAGCATCCCACCACAGAAACACAGGCCTAGCACCTTATTGGTCTCTATGGAGTCTAATATTAGAGATAGTATATGCCTTACTTGAGCATTACACTTTGTCCTTTATATAGACTATCCCACAAACCAGTTATTATAAGTGGTTCTGTGCATTATAAGTGGTTCTGTGATTGCTGTGAAGCCATCTGTGGCAACCTCTCTACCTAAAGACCCCCAAATCCTAATGACATTTTTGAACAATAAGTCTCAATGACTGAAGATTTTGCCAGTTGGAGTTTCTTGCAATGGGACGCTGCCCCCGAGGTTTTGAACTTGTCATCTCCTGTTGTGGGGAACACCTCTTGAAAAGCCGCTATTAGTTTGCTACCGGGGAATGACTGACCTATGGAGGCCTTGTGACTCTTTTGCCTGTACCAAATTATTCCTATTTAGAGACTCAATGACCTAGCAAGGTGGGAAGGGTCCAACATGCTCATTTGTCAAGTAGTAACGGTATATTTCAGGTGTACTTCCCACCTCCATTCTCACAATGGTCGTTCAGTCATTCCGTGGGTTGAATGGATATCATCCAGTTGGCGGCTTACACAAACAGGATAAATTGGATTCACTACCCTAAGGCAGCTCCTCCAAAATAAGGAGTAGACTTACTTATCTAAACTGGTCTGGGACTCCTTCATTGCATAAGCCAGCCAAGAAGCCACATTGGAGGCACTGTCAATCTGTGCCCCTCAACTGATATGTAAGTGCAACTTGGACAATTAACTTGCCTTCTTCCTGAAAACAATGTGACTTGCACTTTAGGGGTGGTAATGAGAGACCTGCAAATGTTTACGGAAACATCACCAGTAGATCATGTATCCCTCAAGTGATTGCAATTATCTCTTCAAAGTGCAAATATTGGATATTCAAGAGAACTTCCTGATGGGATGACTGACTTATTACATATGTGCAGCTGATGCAGGCAGTTATCCCCAATTAGAGTTATTCAATTAGAAAAGGTAATATTTCTTCTTGAATTTAGCTTACACTTTCAATGATATCACCTTGACCCTGGAGATATCCAGGTCAGCTTCAACTCAATGGCCAGGGTTATTATGGGTGATAGAATTGTCCTAGACTTCCACTTTGCAGGCCAGAGCAGTGTGGGCAATTGCTAATACAACTTGCTCTACCCATATTAATGTCTCAAGCCAAGTGAAAAGGTCAGCAGGATCTTAAGAGGAAAATCACCTGGCTTTCAAAGGTAAATCCTAGCAGTTTATGGGATTTGTTTAGCTGGTTGGGTCTAGGACCTTAGGGGGCATGGTTGAGTTTACTGTTACGTTATTGGTGTCATCCTATTGTTTGGAGTCTTCATTATCTTTCTTATCAAAGTGTTACTTTTAAGATATCTGATAAGAATCTGATTCAGATTCTTTGTTCCTTTATATGTAACAGATATTTCTGTAAGCTTTTAGAATTACTTGTTTACATTTCATGTAATTAAAAATTTTTATTTGATTGAATTCAGTCTTTCTATAATATGACTAGGAATGGGGTTTTTCTTTTTTATCTTGTGCTTTTAAAAATTTGTGCATTTTCAATCTGAATTCCTTTTATTTTTTGAAACTGGGCCTCCCTCCGTTTCCCAGAAGGAGTGTAGTGGCATGAACATGGCTCACTGCAGTCTCTACTTCCTGGGCTCCAGTGATCGTCCAGCCTCAGCTTCCCAAGTAGCTGGGACTACAGGTGCATGCCACCATGCCCAGCTAATTTTTTCTTTTTTTGGTAGAGAGAGAGTCTCACCAGGTTGCTGAGCCTGCTCTTTAACTCCTGGGCTCAAGCAATCCTCCTACCTCAGCCTCCCAAAGTGCTGGATTACAGGTGTAAGCCACTGCACCTGGCCCTGATTTCTCATTTTTAATTTTAGAAAATTCTGTCATTTTTCTTCCAATACTTGAAATTGTTCAAATACATCTAAGTGTCAGTAATCACATAATTGAGAAAGGTTTAATTCATCTCTTACCTTGGGTCTTTAAATATCCAAATATATCTTGTTTATAAGTGATACATGTTTAAAACAGCACAAGAAGATTGAAAATTAAAAGATGTCAAAAGATATACCTGGTAAATGTTGAATAAAAAAGTTTTATATTAATGTTAGTAGTACACCAAATAGAGTTCAAATATGAAGCTTAAAAAAATACAGAGAGAGTTCTTACTGATAAAAGGCTTATATAGTAATAGAGTATAACTAGAGAACCACTTTTTTTTTTTTTTTTTGAGATGAAATTTCACTCTGTCCTGCTCAGGCTGGAGTGCAGTGGTGGGATCTCGGCTCACTGCAGCCTCCCCCTCCCAGGTTCAAGTGATTCTCCTGTCTCAGCCTTCTGAGTAGCTGGGACTACAGGTGTGTGCCACCACACCCGGCTAATTTTGTATTTTTAGTAGAGACGGGGTTTCACCATGTTGGACAGGCTAGTCTCAAACTCCTGACCTCAGGTGATCCACCGCCTTGGCCTCCCAAAGTGCTGGGATTACAGGTGTGAGCCACCGCACGTGGCCGAGAACCACTTTAGATTTAGTGGCCAGGGAATGTTTCTCAGAGGAGGTGACATTTAAGTTGGGATCTAAGTTACAAGGAAGAATCAGTCTTGTGAGAATCAAGGGAAAGAGCATTCCAAACTGAGAGAAGAGTTAGTACAAAGGCCAGAAGCAAGTACAAGGGAAAGGAAGCAAACTGAGATTGGAGACATGAGAAGAGGCCAATCGGGTAGGGATTTGTAATTCAAATAAAAGAATCAATAGACTTTAGTAAAAAAGGACTATAGTTCAACTTCTATAAATCTGTATGTGGAAATTCTTATCCAACAGCCCAATATAGCTAAAGCTATAATGTAGATATCCATAAACAATAGAGATTGTATTGCAGCATTGTTTATAATAGTGAAGCTGAATCAATCAATAATTGATTGTATGAATTTAAATTACACATACACTATGAAAAGTATAACAATGATTTTAATTTTTTTTTTTTTTGAGATGGAGTTTCACTCTTGTTGCCCAGGCTGGAGTGCAATGGCACAATCTCAGCTCACTGCAACCTCCGAGGGCCTCCCGGGTTCAGGTGATTCTCCTGTCTCAGCCTCCCGAGTAGCTGGGATTACAGGTGCATGCCACCATTTCCAGCTAATGTTTGTATTTCTAATAGTGACAGGGTTTCATCATATTGGTCAGGCTGGTCTCGAACTCCTGACCTCAGGTGATCTGCCCACCTCAGCCTCCCAAAGTGCTGGGATTACAAGCATGAGCCACCACACCTGGCTAGTGATTTTAAATTTTAAAAAAACTTGGGAAGAGAGGAAAATAAAGAGATTTGGAAAGATGCATTGTTCATATTTCTCAGGAAATACTTGAGGGGGAAAGATGTGATGGGGCACTGTCAGATTTGCTCTTTATATCTCTGTATTATTTAGATTTTAAAGTAAATATCACAATCATGGAGCTATTAATATTTAATCAGAGTCTTAGTGAGAATTACAAAAGATAATGCATTATTAAAATGTTCATTTTTGGCTGGGCATGGTGGTCCACACTTGTAATTCTAACACTTTGGGAAGCCAAGGTGGGATGATCACTTGAGCCCAGGAGTTCGAGACCAGCATGGGCAACATAGTGCATCCTCGTCTCTATAAAAAAAAAAAAAAAAAAAGAAAATTTTATTTTTTTAGTTTCCTTGGGCCTCAGATTCTTTTATCCTGTAACTATAAAAATCCTGTACTTCTTATCATGTAGTTATAAAAATTTTATAATTAGTTATCATATAATTATAAAAATCCTATAGTTCATTTTATAAGAAATAACAAAAATAGAAGAATAATTTGACAAATTTGTTATAGTAAGAGACTTTAATATGCTTCTCTCAGAAATAGACCTGTCAAAGAGACAAAATATAAGCATTTCAGTAGCACAGTTTACAAGTTTGATCCTTAAAAACACCACATACACGTGTATGTATTATCTATCGAGAGAGAAGAGGAGGTGGATATTATACTCAATGAAACTGAAGAACATTAATTGATTTCAAATATGGAATATTTACCAGAAAAAATGACCCTATAGTAAAACACAAAATAACTTTCAATTTAGAAAGCTTACACAACATGCAGTAAAATGAGAAATAGGCAAGAAAAAATAAAAGAATCCATCTATCTAGACATTCTCAAACACCTTTGTAAACAGCTGTCTGCAATATAATAAAGTGGTTAAGTTTATAAGTTCTGAAATCATACACTTTGTGAATTCAAATAAAATTATTTTTTAGTTCTGTGGTCTAGAATAAGACATGTAGAGATTACATGACTTATACTTTCCTCATCTTTAATGTAGGGATAGTAATAGACTCTGCCTCATAAAATTGCTTTGAGGATTAAATTAAATAATGCATGCCTAAGGTTTTGGCCTGATTTCTGACTCAATAACTATTAGTTCCTGTTGTTGTTGTTGTTGAAATAAAAATTTAATTAGAAAAAAATTTTAGGCCAGGCACGGTGGCTCATGCCTGTAATCCCAACACTTTGGGAGGCCAAGGTGAGTAGATTGCCTGAGGTCAGGAGTTCAAGACCAGCCTGGCTAACATGGTGAAACCCCGTCTCTACTAAAAATACAACAACTAGCTGGACATGGTGGTGCATGCTTGTAGTCCCAGCTACTTGGGAGGCTGAGGCAGAAGAATCACTGGAACCCGGGAGGCAGAGGCTGTAGCGAGCCAAGATCGAGCCACTGCACTCCAGCCTGCGTGACAGAGCAAGACTCTATCTCAAAAAAAAAAAAAGAAAAGAAAAAAATTTTAAGTGACTTATACTGAGAGTGCTTCAGATCAAAACCCATGTAAAAAGAGACCCAAAGGAAAATTAATAGCTTTAAATGAATTTCTAAGAAAACAATATGTTAGAAAAAAGTATAATTTTAACTTGTGAAGTTTTATAAAGATTAAATAAGCACAATGAAGGGATTATTAAAGGTAAAATCAGAAATTATTAAAACAAGAAAAATATCCAGTAGAATTAGTCAATGATAAAGAATAAAAATTGGTTTCTAACAGACCATAAAGTAAGCAAACTTACACCAACCATGATCAAGTGAAGTAGATGGGGGAAGGAGAAGAAATATGTTTGAAATGACAAATAGCACAGAACTGTGTACTATGTAGCTCTTTATAGTACTAACTTTGAAACAAACAGCATAATTTCTAAAAAAAAAAAATACTAATTACCAAAATTACCTCAGAAAGAAGAAGAAATCCTAAAAGACTATAAAAGAAATTGAAAACAGAGTCAGATATTTAGCCTTTAAAAAAAAAGACACCAGGTCCAGTTGATTTAATGGGTGATTTTACTGAAATTTCAAAAATTCAATAATTCTAAGAAGCAGATTATTCCCAAATTATATAAATAATCCCAAATCCCAAAACATATAAAAGAATGGAAGACTACTTGGTTTGTTTTGCCTAGCTAAAATAACACTGGTTCTCAAATTTAACTATAATAACAAAAAAGAAAATAACTCAATCTCAGTAGTATACGCACCTGAAACATCCTAAATATAAGATGACAAATTGAACGCAATAGTGTCATAGGCAGAATAATGACCACCCCCTAAAGATGTGCATGTTCTAATCTGCTGAAAGTTTGAATATGTTAGGTTACACACCCAAGAGGAATTAAGGTTGCAGACATAATTAAGGTTGCTAATCAGATGACTTTAAGATATGGAGATTTTCATGGACTATTGGGGTAAGCCCAGTGTAATAAAAAGGGTCATTAATAAGTGGAAGAAGGAGGCAGAAGAGATAATCAAAGAGATGTTGGCATGAGAAGGATTTGAGTCAACTTCAAGATAGAGGAATGGGCCATGAATCAAAGGATGTGTGTGGCCTCTAGAAGCTGGAAAAAGCAAGGAAATAGATTCGCCTATAAAGCCTCCAGAAGAAATGCAACCCTGCCAATACCATAATTTTAGCCCAGTGAGACCTGTGCTAGACTTTTGACCAAGGTAAGATACTAAACTTAAGTTGTTTTAAGCCATTAAATTTGTGGCAATTTGTTATTAGCAGCAATAGAAAACTAATAAAGATTATGGTACCAGTAGTGGAGTGTTTGGCCAGCTACCTGGTGACAAGTTGATTGTAATGGACTACTTTCCATTGTGGAAGGGGAAGTACTGTATTCTTGCTGGAATAAACCCTCTGGATATGGATTTATTTCCCCTATGCACAATGCTTCTACCAAAGCTGCTATGTGTGAACTTACAGAATGCCTTGTCCACTTTCACAATACTCCATACAGCATTGCTTTTAATCAAGGAAGTAAATTCACAGCAAATGAATTGCAACAATGGTCCCAGACTCATGGAATTCATTGGTGTTAGCATATATCTCCATCACGCAGAAGAAGAAAGAGAAAAAGGGGGCAGATAACTTATTTGAAGAAATAAAGGCCAAAACCTATCCACATCTGAAGAGCAGGATAGATATACAAATTCAGGAGCTCAGATAACTCCAACTAAGATAAATCTAAAGAGACGTACACTGAGACATGTCATAATCAAAAGTCACAGACAAAGAGAAAATCTTGAAAGTAGCAACTATTAGTATATCAGCAGATTTCTCAACAGAAACCTTACAGGTTAGAAGGGAGTGGGGTGATATATTTAAAATAGTGGGGGAGAAAAAAGCTGCCATCCAAAAATACCATATCTGGCAAAACTATTCTTCAAAAAATAAAGGAGAAATTAAGATTTTTCCTAGATAAACAAAACCTGAAGTAGTTTATCACCACTTAACCTATCCTATAAGAAATGCTGAAGGGAGTTCTTCAAGGTGAATCAAAAAGATAATAAAGAGCAACACAAAACCATATGAAAATATTGAACTCCCTGGTAAAGGTAAATATATAGATAAATATAGAATCCTACAGTATTATAATGTAGGCATGTAAATCACTTTTAAATGTGGTAAAGAATTTAAAAACCCAAAGCATAAAAAGTAATTATAAAATTATGTTCATGAATATGCAATACAAAAAGGTAATTTGTATCATTAACAACGTTAAGTGGGGAGGGTAGAGATGTAAAAAAGTAGAGTTTTAATACATGGCTGAAGTTAGGCTGTTTTTAGTTTCAAATAGATTGTTAGAACTTTAAGATGTTTTATGTAATTGCAATGGTAACCACAAAGAAAACATTTATAGAATAATACACAAAGGGAAATGAGAAGGGAGTGAAAACATGTCAGTACAAAAAAAAAAATTAATGAAACACAAAAGAAAGCAGCAAGGGAAGAAAGGTGGGACAAAAAAAGCTGCAAGACACACAGAAAACAGTTTACAAAATGGCAATAGTAAGTTCTTCCCTATCAGTAATTACTTTAAATGTAAACGGATTAAACACATTAATTAAAAGACATAAATTGGCTGAATGGATATTAAAAAAACAAGATCCAACTATATGCTATCTACAAGAGACTCATTTTAAATCTATGGGCACATACAGGCTAAAAGTGAAAGGGTAAAAAAAGATACGCCGTGTAAACAGGAACCTAATGAGAACCATACTTAAAGCTTAAGACTTCAAATAGACTTTAAGATAAAAACTGTCAAAAGAGACAAAGAAGAACATTATATAATGATAAAAGTGTTAATTCACTAGAAACCATTATAAATGACTAGTTATAATTTTATTATAACTTTATTATTGATTATAAATTATTTATACTTATTATTATAAACATCTGCATCTAAGATTAGAGCTCCCAAATATATGAAGCAAACATTGACAGAAATTAGGGGAGAGGAAGAGGAAGGATCATGGCAGATGGGAGGCAGAACTAGATTGCAGCTCTGGACAGAACAGCACACGGAGGCTTGCACTGTGAATTTTAGCTCCAGATTGACTGCAAGAATAAACCAGCAACCCCGAGAGGATCCACAGACCCTCTGAAGGAAGCAGACTGCTCCTGCAGGACATGGGAGACACCACAAATGCTGTGAGTGCCCCAACCACGGAAGTGGGGAGACCCTCCTCTCCCAAACACACCCCCCAGCTGGAGAAGCTGTACGTCTGTTTGTGGGAGAAGTTCCCAATTTTACCTGGAGTGGAGTAAAGTTAGAGGGCTGAGCCAAGTGAAATACAGGGTTGGAGGAGGCAGCAGGGAGGCCCTGAGAGCTTGCTGTATACCCAAGCAGCTCATTGCTGCCTGGCACCGCAAGGATCCATCAGGAGGGAGGCCAGAAGAGCAGGGGGTAAAACTCCGTGGGGAGAAGGACTTCCCTAGCTGAACTTTGTAACAATTTGAACTGGGCGAGAAGCCTCCTGGCCAGAACTCAGGGGAGGACCTGAATCCAGCTTGCAAACTTCACCTGGGGTGGGTGGGAGGGGAAAGAATTAAAGCCCTTTTCTTTTGCAGCTGGGAGGCGGAAAGCCTCAGGCAAGTTTTCAAGCCTGACTCACCCTCTATGTGGAAACAGACTTGGGGCTGTTGCTGGGGGCAAGGTGGGAGTGAGATTCGCCCTTCAGTTTGTGTGGGAGCTGGGTGAGGCCTATGATTGCCAGCTTTCCTCCACTTCCCTGACAACCTGCATGACTCTGCAGAGGCAGCCATCATACTCCTGGTTACACAACTCCAGTGACCTGAGAATCTCATCCTCATCCCCCCACAGCAGCTGCAGCAAGACCCACCCAAGGAGAGCCTGAGCTCAGACATGCCTAGCCCCACCCCCACCTGATGGTCCTTCCCTACCCACCCTGGTAGTGGAAGACAAAGGACATATAATCTTTGGTGTTCTAGGGCCCCACCCACGACTGGTCCCTCTCCACACTACTATGGCTGATGCTTTCTGGAAAGCACCACCTCCTGGCAGGAGGCCAACCAGCACAAAAATAGAGCATTAAACCATAGAGCTAAGGACCCTCATGGAGTCCATTGCATCCTCTGCCACCTCCACTGGAACAGGCGCTGGTATCCATGGCTGAGAGACCCACAGATGGTTCACATCACAGGACTCTGTGCAGACAACCCCCAGTACCAGCCTGGAGCCAGGTAGACTCGCTGGGTGGCTAGACCCAGAGACAGACAACAATCACTGCAGTTTGGCTCACAGGAAGCCACATCCACAGGAAAAGGGGGAGAGTACTACATCAAGGGAACACCCTGTGGGACAAAGTAACCTGAAAAACAGCCTTCAGCCCTAGACTTTCCCTCTGACAAAGCCTACCCAAATGAGGAGGAACCAGAAGACCAACCCTGCTAATATGACAAAACAAGGCTCAACACCCCCCAAAAATTACACTAGTTTAAGCAGCAATGGATCCAAACCAAGAAGAAATCCCTGATTTACCTGAAAAAGAACTCAGGAGGTTAATTATTAAACTATTCAGGGAGGGGCCAGAGAATGGCAAAGCCCAATGCAAGGAAATCCAAAAAATGATGCAAGAAGTGAAGGGAGAGGCTGGGTGCAGTGGCTCACGCCTGTAATCCCAGCACTTTGGGAGGCCAAGGCGGGCAGGTCATGAGGTGAGGAGACTGAGACCATTTTGGCCAACATGGTGAAACCCTGCCTCTACTAAAATAAAAAAAAATTAGCTGGGCGTGGTGGTGTGTGCCAGCTACTCGGGAGGCTGAGGCAGGGGAATCATTTGAACCCGCAAGGTGGAGATTGCAGTGAGCCGAGATCATGCCACTGCACTCCAGCCTGGTGACAGAGCGAGATTCCGTCAAAAAAAAAAAAAAAAAAAAAAGTGAAAGGAAAAATATTTAACAAAATAGATAGGTTAAAGGAAAAACAATAAAAAATTCAGGAAACTTTGGACAGACTTTTAGAAATGCGAAATGCTCTGGAAAGTCTCAGCAATAGAATTGAACAAGTCCAGATAGAAGAAAGAAATTCAGAGCTCGAAGACAAGGTCTTTGAATCAACCCAATCCAACAAAGACAAAGAAAGGAGAATAAGAAAATATGAACAAAGCCTCCAACAAGTCTGGGATTATGTTAATCCAAGAAGTCTGGGATAATATTAAGAATAATCGGTGTTACTGAGGAAGAAGACAATTCTAAAAGCTTGGAAAACATCTTTGGTGGAATAATCGAGGAAAACTTCCCTGGCCTTGTTAGAGACCTAGACATACAAATACAAGAAGCACAAAGAATACCTGGGAAATTCATCGCAAAAAGATCTTCACCTAAACACATTGTCATCAGGTTATCCAAAGTTAAGACAAAGGAAAAAAGTCTTAAGAGCTGTGAAACAGAAGCACCAGGTAATCTATAAAGGAAAACCTGTCAGATTGACAGCAGATTTAACACCAGAAACCCTACAAGCTAGAAGGGATTTGGGTCCTATCTTTAGCCTCCTCAAACAAAATAATTATCAGCCAAGAATGTTGTATTTAGCAAAACTAAGCATCATATATGAAGGAAAGATACACTCGTTTACAGACAAATGCTGAGAGAATTCGCCATTACCAAGCCACCACTACAAGAACTGCTAAAAGGAGCTCTAAATCTTGAAACAAATCCTGGAAATACATCAAAACAGAATCTCCTTAAAGCATAAATCACACAGGACCTATAAAACAAAAATACAAGTTAAAAAACAAAAACAAAAAACAAAACCAAAGTAAACGGCATGATGAATGCAATGGCATTTCATGCAAATGGACACCAAAAACAAGCAGGGTTAGCTATTCTTGTATCAGATAAAACAGACTTAAAAGCAACAGCAGGTAAAAGAGACAAAGGACATAATATAATGGGAAAAGGCCTTGTCCAACAGGAAAATATCATAATCCTAAACATATATGCACTAACACTCCCAAATTTATAAAACAATTACTAATAGACATAAGAAATGAGATAGACAGCAACACCATAATAGTGGGGGACTTCAATACTCCACAGACAGCACTAGACAGACAATCAAAACAGAAAGTCAGCAAACAATGGATTTAAACTATACCCTTGAACAAATGGACTTAACAGATATATACAGAACATTTCATGTGACAACCACAGAATATACATTCTATTCAACAGTGCATGGAACTCTCTCCAAGATAGACCATAAGATAGGCCATAAAACGAGCCTCGATAAATTTAAGAAAATTTAAATTATATCAAGCACTAACCACAGTGGAATAAAACTGGAAATCAACTCCAAAAGGAACCTTCAAAACCATGCAAATACATGGAAATTAAATAACCTGCTCTTGAATGAGCATTGGCTCAAAAACAAAATCAAGATGGAAATTTAAAAATTATTTGAACTCAATAACAATAATGACACAACCTATCAAAACCTCTGGGATACAGCTAAGGCAGTGCTAAGAGGAAAGTTTATAGCCCTAAATGCCTACATCAAAAAGTCTGAAAGAGCACAAACAGACAATCTAAGGTCACACCTCAAGGAACTAGAGAAACAAGAACAAACCAAACCCAAACTCTGCAGAAGGAAGGGAGTAACCAAGATCAGAGCAGAACTAAATGAAATTGAAACAGAGAAACAAAAAAATACAAAAGATAAATGAAGCAAAAAGCTAGTTCTTTGAAAAGATACATAAAATTGATAGACCAGGCCAGGCACAGTGGCTCACACCTGTATCCCAGCACTTTGGGAGGCCGAGGTGGGTGGATCACGAGGTCAGGAGATCGAGACCATCCTGGCTAACATGGTGAAACCCCGTCTCTACTAAAAACACAAAACATTTGCTGGGCATGGTGGTGGTGGGTGCCTGTAGTCCCAGCTACTCGGGAGACTGAGGCAGGAGAATGGTGTGAGCCCAGGAGGTGGAGCTTGCAGTGAGCCAAGATTGTGACACTGCACTCCAGCCTGGGCAACAGAGTGAGACTCTGTCTAAAAAAAAAAAAAAAAAAAAAAAATTGATAGACCATTAGCAAGATTAACCAAGAAAAGAAGAGAGAAAATCCAAATAACCTCACTGAGAAACAAAACAGGAGATATTACAACTGACATCACTGAAATACAAAAGATCATTCAAGGCTACTATGAACACCTTTATGCACATAAACTAGAAAACCTAGAAGTGATGGATAAATTCCTGGAAAAATACAACCCTCCTACATTAAATCAGGAAGAATTAGATACCCTGAACAGACCAATAACAAGCAGTGAGATTGAAATGGTAATTTAAAAATTACCAACAAAAAAAAGTCCAGGACCAGATGGATTCACACCAGACATTCAAAGAATTAGTACCAATCATTTTAACACTATTCCACATGATAGAGAAAGAAGGAACCCTCCCTAATTCATTCTATGAAGCCATTATCACCCTAACACCAAAACAAGAAAGAAAAGAAAGAAAGAAAGAAAACAGACCAGAAAGAAAGAAAAAGAAAGAAAGAAAACAGACCTCAAATCAGCAACTTCATCTTACACCTTAAGAACTAGAAAAAGAATAAACTAAACCCAATGTTAGCAGAAGGAAAGAAATAATAAAGATTAGAACAGAGATAAACAAAATAGAGAACAGAAAAAAACAAATTAAGAGTTGATTTTTAAAACATCAACAAAATCGACAAACTCTTAGCTAAACTAAGTAAGGAAAAAAGACTCAAATAGTTGAAATTAGTAATGAAAGAGGGATTGTTACAACTGATATCACAGAAACAAAAAGGGTTATGAGACTACCATGAAAGAATTATATGCCAGCAGATGAGATATTCTAGGAGAAATGGATAAATTCCTAGAAATAAACAACTGTCTAAGACTAATCATAAAGAAATAAAAATATGAACAGATCTGTAACTAGTAAGGAAATTAAATTAGTAATCAAAAATTTCCCAAGAGAGGAGAGCCAAGGATCACTTGGTTTCACTAGAGAATTCCACCAAGCATTTAAGGAAGAATTAATACCACTCTCCTTCAAACTCTTCCAAAGAATTGAAGAGTAAGAAATACTTCCAAAGACAGTCTATGAGACCAACATTACCCTAATACCAAAACCAGACAAAAACAAAGAAAACACACACCAATATCCTTGGTGCAAAAATCCTAAACAAATACTAACAAGCCAAATTCAACAGCACATTAAAAGGATTATACACCATGAACAAGTGGTATTTATATCTGGAATTCAAGGATGGTTCAACTTATGAAAATAAATCAGGGCCGGGCATGGTGGCTCACGCCTGTAATCCCAGCACTTTGGGAGGCTGAGGCGGGTGGATCACAGGTCAGGAGTTCGAGACCAGCCTGGCCAACATGGTAAAACCCCATCTGTACTAAAAATACAAAAATTAGCCAGGCATGGTGGCATGTGCCTGTAGTCCCAGCTAGTCGGGAGGCTGAGACAGGATAATTGCTTGAACCCAGGAAGTGGAGGTTGCAAGGAGGTGAGCCAAGATTGTGCCATTGCACTCCAGCTTGGGTGACAAGAGTGAAACTCCGTCTAAAAAAAGAAAAAAAGGCTTCTGTTCCAAGATGGCCAAATAGGAACAGCTCCGGTCTGCAGCTCCCAGCGTGATCGACGCAGAAGACAGGTGATTTCTGCATTTCCAACTGAGGTACCTGTTTCATCTCATTGGAACTGGTCAGAAAGTGGGTGCAGCCCATGGAAGGTGAGCCGAAGCAGGGTGGGGCATCACCTCACCAAGGAAGAGCAAGGGGTCGGGGGATTTCCCTTTCCTAGTTAAGGGAAGCTGTGACAGACTGTACCGGGAAAATCGGGACACTGCCACCTAAATACTGCACTTTTCCAAAGGTCTTAGCAAATGGCACACCAGGAGATTATATTCCACGCCTGGCTCAGCAGGTCCCACACCCACAGAGTCTTGCTCACTGCTAATCCAAGATCAAACTGTGAGGCGGCAACCCTGGCTGGGGGAGGGGCATCTGCCATTGCTGAGGCTTGAGGAGGTAAACAAAGCAGCCGGGAAGCTCGAACTGGGTGGAGCCCACCGCAGCTCAACGAGGCCCACCTGCCTGTGTAGACTCCACCTCTGGGGGCAGGGCATAGCTGAACAAAAGGCAGCAGACAACTTCTGCAGACTTAAACGTCCCTGTCTGACAGCTCTGAAGAGAGCAGTGGTTCTCCCAGCATGGTGTTTGAGCTCTGAGAATGGATAGACTGCCCCCTCAAGTGGGTCCCTGACCCCTGTGTAGCCTAACTTGGAGACACCTCCCATTAGGGGTCAACTGACACCTCATACAACCGGGTGCCCCTCTGAGATGAAGCTTCCAGAGGAAGGATCAGGCAGCAATATTTGCTGTTCTGCAGCCTCTGCTGGTGATACCCAGTCAAACAGGGTCTGGAGTGGACCTCCAGCGAACTCCAACAGACCTGCAGCAGAGGGACCTGACTGTTGGAAGGAAAACTAACAAACACAAAGGAATAGCATCAACATCAACAAAAAGGACATCCACACCAAAACCCCATCTGTAGGTCACCATCATCAAAGACCAAAGGTAGATAAAACCACAAAGATGGGGAGAAACCAGAGCAGAAAAGCTGAAAGTTCTAAAAACCAGAGTGCCCCTTCTCCTCCAAAGGATTGCAGCTCCATGCTAGCAATGGAACAAAGCAAGATGGAGAATGACTTTGATGAGTTAACAGAAGAAGGCTTCAGAAAGTCAGTAATACCAAACTTCTCTGAGCTAAAGGAGGATGTTCGAACCCATAGCAAGGAAGCTAAAAACATTGAAAAAAAGATTAGACGAATGGCTAACTAGAATAAACAGTGTAGAGAAGACCTTAAATGACCTGATGGAGCTGAAAACCTTGGCACAAGAACTACGTGACACATGCACAAGCTTCAGTAGCCGATTTGATCAAGTGGAAGAAAGGATATCAGTGATTGAAGATCAAATTAATGAAATGAAGCGTGAATAGAAGTTTAGAGAAAAAGGAGTAAAAAGAAATGAACAAAGCCTCCAAGAAATATGGGACTATGTGAAAAGACCAAATCTACATTTGATTGGTGTACCTGAAAGTGACGGGGAGAATGGAACCAAGCTGGAAAACACTCTGCAGGATATTATCCAGGAGAACTTCCCCAACCTAGCAAGGCAGGCCAACATTCAAATTCAGGAAATACAGAGAACACCACAAACATACTCCTCAAGAAGAGCAGCTCCAAGACACATAATTGTCAGATTCACCAAGGTTGAAATGAAGGAAAAAATGCTAAGGGCAGCCAGAGAGAAAGGTTGGGTTGCCCACAAAGGGAAGCCCATCAGACTAACAGTGGGTCACTCGGCAGAAACCTTACAAGCCAGAAGAGAGAGGGGCCAGTATTCAACATTCTTAAAGAAAAGAATTTTCAACCCAGAATTTCATATGAGCCAAACTAAGCTTCATAAGTGAAGGAGAAATAAAATCCTTTACAGACAAGCAAATGCTGAGAGATTTTGTCACCACCAGGCCTGCCTTACAAGAGTAACTGAAGGAGGCACTAAACATGGAGAGGAACAACCAGTACCAGCCACTGCAAAAACATGCCAAATTGTAAAGACCATCAAGGCTAGGAAGAAACTGCATCAACTAACAGGCAAAAAAACCAGCTAACATCATAATGACAGGATCAAATTCACACATAACAATATTAACCTTAAATGTAAATGGGCTAAATGCCCCAATTAAAAGACACAGACTGGCAAATTGGATAAAGAGTCAAGACCCTTCAGTGTGCTGTATGCAGGAGACCAATCTCACATGCAGAGACACACATAGGCTCAAAATAAAGGGATGGAGGAAGATCTACCAAGCAAATGGAAGGCAAAAAAAAAGCAGGAGTTGCAATCCTAGTCTCTGATAAAATAGACTTTAAACCAACAAAAATGAAAAGAGACAAAGAAGACCATTACATAATGGTAAAGGAATCAATTCAACAAGAAGAGCTAACTATCCTAAATATATATGCACCCAATACAGGAGCACCCAGATTCTTAAAGCAAGTCCTGAAAGACCTAAAAAGAGACTTAGACTCCTACACAATAATAATGGGAGACTTTAACACCCCACTGTCAACATTAGACAGATCAACAAGACAGAAAGTTAACAAGGGTATCCAGGACTTGAACTCAGCTCTGCACCAAGCAGACCTAATAGACATCTACAGAACTCTCCATCCCAAATCAACAGAATATACATTCTTCTCAGCACCCCATTGCATTTATTCCAAAATTGACCACATATTTGGAAGTAAAGCACTCCTCAGCAAATGTAAAAGAACAGAAATCATAACAAACTGTCTCTCAGATCACAGTGCAATCAAACTAGAACTCAGGATTAAGAAACTCACTCAAAACCGCACAACTACATGGAAACTGAACAACCTGCTCCTGAATGAACTGGGTAAATAAAGAAATGAAGGCAGAAAAAAAAATATGTTATTTGAAACCAATGAGAACAAAGATACAATGTACCCGAATCTCTGGGACACATTTAAAGCAGTGTGTAGAGTGAAATTTGTAGCACTAAATGCCCACAAGAGAAAGCAGGAAAGATCTAAAATAGACACCCTAACATCACAATTAAAAGAACTAGAGAAGCAAGAGTAAACAAATTCAAAAGCTAGCAGAAGACAAGAAATAAATAAGATAAGAGCAGAACTGAAGGAGATAGAGACACACACACAAAAAAAACCCTTCAAAAACTCAATGAATCCAGGAACTGGTTTTTTGAAAAGATCAACAAAATTGGTAGACCACTAACAAGACTAACAAAGAAGAAAAGAGAGAAGAATCAAATAGATGCAATAAAAAATGATAAAGGGAATATCACCACCGATCCCACAGAAATACAAACTACCATCAGAGAACACTATAAACACCTCTATGTAAATAAACTAGAAAATCTAGAAGAAATGGATAAATTCCTGGACACATACACCCTCCCAAGACTAAACCAGGAAGAAGCTGAATTGCTGAATAGACCAATAACAGGCTCTGAAATTGAGGCAATAATTAATAGCCTACCAACCGAAAAAAGTCCAGGACCAGACGGATTCACAGCCGAATTCTACCAGAGGTACAAAGAGGAGCTGGTACCATTCCTTCTGAAACTATTCCAATCAATAGAAAAAGAGGGAATCCTCCCTAACTCATTTTATGAGGCCAGCATCATCCTGATACCAAAGCCTGGCAGAGACACAACCAAAAAAGAGAATTTTAGACCAATATCCCTGATGAACATAGATGCAAAAATCCTCAATAAAATACTGGCAAACTGAATCCAGCAACACATCAAAAAGCTTATCCACCAAGATCAAGTTGGCTTCATCCCTGGAATGCGAGGCTGGTTCAACATATGCAAATCAATAAACGTAATCCATCACATAAACAGAACCAAAGACAAAAACCACATGATTATCTCAATAGATGGAGGAAAGGCCTTCGACAAAATTCAACAGCCCTTCATGCTAAAAACTCTCAATAAACTGGGTATTGATGGAACATATCTCAAAAGAATAAGAGCTATTTTTGACAAACCCACAGCCAATATCATACTGAATGGGCAAAAACTGGAAGCATTCCCTTTGAAAACTGGCACAAGACAGGGATGCCCTCTCTCACCACTCCTATTCAACATAGTGTTGGAAGTTCTGGCCAGGGTAATCAGGCAAGAGAAAGAAATAAAGGGTATTCAATTCGGAAAAGAGGAAGTAAAATTGTCCCTATTTGCAGATGACATGACTGTATATTTAGAAAACCCCATCTTCTCAGCCCAAAATCTCCTTAAGCTGATAAGCAACTTCAGCAACGTCTCAGGATACAAAATCAATGTGCAAAAATCACAAGCATTTTTATACACCAATAACAGCCAAATCATGAGTGAACTCCCATTCACAATTGCTACAAAGAGAATAACATATCTAGGAATCCAACTTGCAAGGGATGTGAAGGACCTCTTCAAGGAGAACTACAAACCACTGCTCAATGAAATAAAAGAGGATACAAACAAATGGAAGAACATTCCATGCTCACAGATAGGAAGAATCCTATGGCCATACTGCCCAAGGTAATTTATAGATTTGATGCCATCCCCATCAAGCTACCAATGACTTTCTTCTCAGAATTGGAAAAAACTAATCTGAAGTTCATATGGAACCATATGAGCCCGCATTGCCAAGACAATCCTAAGCCAAAAGAACAAAGCTGGAGGCATCACGCTACCTGACTTCAAACTATACTACAAGGCGGCGGTAACCAAAACAGCATGGTACTGTTACCAAAACAGAGATATAGACCAATGGAACAGAACAGAGGCCTCAGAAATAACACCACATATCTAAAACCATCTGATCTTTGACAAACCTGACAAAAACAAGAAATGGGGAAAGGATTCCCTATTTAATAAATGATGCTGGGAAAACTGGCTAGCCATATGTAGAAAGCTGAAACTGGATCCCTTCCTTACACCTTATACAAAAAGTAATTCAAGATGGATTAAAGACTTAAATGTTAGACCTAAAACCATAAAAACCCTAGAAGAAAACCTAGGCAATACCATTCAGGACATAGGTATGGGCAAAGACTTCATGACTAAAACACTAAAAGCAATGGCAACAAAGGCCAAAATAGCCAAATGGGATCTAATTAAAGTAAAGAGCTTCTGCACAGCAAAAGAAACTACCATTAGAGTGAACAGGCAACCTACAGAATGGGAGAAAATTTTTACAATCTACCCATCTGACAAAGGGCTAATATCCAGAATCTACAATGAACTCAAACAAATTTATAAGAAAAAATCAACCCCATCAAAAAGTGGGCAAAGGATATGAACAGACACTTTTCAAAAGAAGACATTTATGCAGCCAACAGACACATGAAAAAATGTTCATCATCACTGGTCATCAGAGAAATGCAAATCAATACCACAATGAGATACCATCTCACACCAGTTAGAATGGCGATCATTAAAAAGTCAGGAAACAACAGGTGCTGGAGAGAATGTGGAGAAATAGGAACACTTTTACACTGTTGGTGGGAGTGTAAACTAGTTCAACCATTGTGGAAGACAGTGTGGCGATTCCTCAAGGATCTAGAACTAGAAATACCATTTGACCCAGCCATCCCATTACTGGGTATATAACCAAAGGATTATAAATCATGCTACTACAAAGACACATGAACATGTATGTTTATTGTGGCACTATTCACAATACCAAAGACTTGGAACCAACCGAAATCCCCATCAATGATAGACTGGATTAAGAAAATGTGGCACATATATATAATGGAATACTATGCAGCCATAAAAAAGGATGAGTTCATGTCCTTTGTAGTGACATGGATGAAGCTGGAAACCCATCATTCTGAGCAAACTATCGCAAGGAGAGAAAACCAAACACCTCATATTCTCACTCATAGGTGGGAATTGAACAATGAGAACATTTGGACACAGGGTGGGGGACATCACACACTGGGGCCTGTCGTGGGGTGGGGGCATGGGGGAGGGATAGTATTAGGAGAAATACCTAATGTAAATGACGAGCTAATGGGTGCAGCAAACCAACACGGCACACGTATATGTATGTAACAAACCTGCACGTTGTGCACATGTACCCTAGAACTTAAAGTATAATAAAAAAAAAAAGAAAAAAAGAAAATAATATACCACCTTAATGATATTAAAAACAAAAACCACATGATTATTGTAATCAATGCAGAAAAAGCATTTGACATCCTTTCATGATAAAAACACTTAATAACTAAGAACTGAAGGAAACTACCTCAATATAATAAAAGCCATATATGAAAATCCCATAGCTAACATCATACTCAACTGTAAAAGACTGAAAGCTTTTCCTCTAAGATCAGGAACAAGGCAAGAATAACCACTCTTGCCACTACTATTCAACATATAACTGGAAGTTCTAGCCAAAGCAATCAGACAAAAAAAAAAAAAAATCCAACTTGGAAAAGAAGTAAAATTCCCTCTGTTAGCAGATGACATAATCTTAGGTGTAAAATATCCTGATGATTACACAGACATCTGTGTGCACGCACACACACACACAAGCTGTTGCCACTACTAAACAGTTTCAGCAAAGTTGCAGTTTACAAAATCAACACACATAAATCAGTTGCATTTTTATCCACTAGCAATGAACAATCTGAAAAGGTAATTAAGAAAACAGTACTGTGTATTATAGCATCATAAACAATAAAATACTTAGAAATAAACTTGGCCAATGTGGAGAAAGACTTGTACACTGAAAAGGACAAAACATTGCCTAAAAAAAAAGGAAAAAAAGATACAAACGGAAAGACATCTCTTCTCATGGTTTGGAAGACTTAATATTAAATGTCCACACTGCCCAAGGGATCTACAGCTTCAATACAATCCCTATCAAAATCTCAGTGACATTTATTTGTAGAAATGGAACAAACCATCCTAAATTTTATATGCAATCTTAAGGGACCTTAAATAACCAAAACAGTCTTAAAGAAGAACAAAATTGCAGGACTCACACTTCCTGATTTCAAAAGATAACTACAAAGCAAGAATAAATAAGATGTGGGGTTGCTGAAGATAAACCAATAAAGATAGATACATAGACTAATAGAACAGAATAGAGAGCCCAGAAATAAGCCATTCCATATTTGGTCAAATGATTTTTTACAAGAGTGCCAATACTGCACAACAGAAAATGGACATTCTCTTCAACAAATGTGTTTCCACATGCAAAAGTATGAAGTTGCACCATTTCCTTACACCATATACAAAAGTTAAAATGAATTAAAGGCTTAAACTCTAGTAGTCCTAGAAAAAAACATAGGGGAAAAGCTTCAAGACATTGGATTTGGCAATGATTTCTTGGATATGACACCAAAAGCCCAGGCAACGAGGTCAACAATAGACAAATACGGCTGGGCATAGTGACTCACTATGTAATCCCAGCAGTTTTGGAGGCTGAGTCAGGAGCATCATTTCAGCTCAGGAGTTTGAGACCAGCCTACCAGCCTAGGCAACATGGTAAGACACCCATCTCTTAAAAAAAAAAAAATTACATCAACTTAAAAACTTCTGTGTTCAAAGGGAATAATCAATAAAATGGGCAACTTATGGGATGGGAGAAAATAATTACAAATCATATATCTGATAAGGGGTTAATATACATAATATATAAGGAACTTCTATAACTCAACAACATTATGACAATAACCAATTAGGCCAGGCGCAGTGCCTCACACCTGTAATCCCAGCACTTTGTGAGGCCAAGGCAGGAAGATTGCTGAAGACCAGCCTGGGCAACATAGAAAGACCCCGTCTCTACAAAAAAAAAAAAAAAAAAAAAATGTATAAGTAGCAGGGCATGGTCATGTATGCCTACATTTCCAGCTCCTTCAGAGGCTGAGGTGGGAGGATTGCTTGAGTCCAGGCATTCAAGGCTGCAGTGAGCTATAATACCATGCACTCCAGCCTGGGCGATAGAATGAGACCTTGACTCTTAAAAAAGAAAAAAATCAAATAACCCAATTAAAAATGGGCAAAGAACTTGAATAGACATTTCTCCAAAGAATATTTAGAAGTGAAAATAAATACATGAAAATATGCTCAACATCAATCATTGGGGAAATGCAAATATAAACCATAATGAGGTACTACCCCACACCCATCTGGATGGCCACTATCAAAAGAACAGAAAATAACAAGTGTTGGGGAGGATGCAGAGAAGTTGGGACCCTGGTGTACTGTTGGTAGAAATGTAAAAATTACCATATGATCCAGCAATCCCACTTCTTGATATATATCCAAAGGAATTCAAAGCGGGATCTCTAAGAAACATTTGCACATCAATATTCATCACAGCATTATTCACAATAGCTAAGAGATGGAAGCAACCCAAATGTGTCCATGGACAGATAAATGAATAAATGAAATGTGGTATGTACATACAATGGAATATTAGTCAGCCTTAAAATATAAGGAAATCCTGGAACATGTTACAACATGGATGAACCTTGAAGACATCATGCTAAGTGAAATAAGACAGTCACAAAAGGATAAATACTGTATGATTCCAGTCATTTTAAGTATCTAAAGTAGTCAAAATAATAGAAACATGAAGTTGAAAAGTGTTACCAGGGCCTGGGGGGTGGGGGTGGAAGGGGAATTAGTTTTGAGTGGATTTAGAGTTTCAGTGTTGCAAGATGAAAAAGTTCTAGAGATTTGTGGCACAACAACAATGTGAATGTACTTAGCACTAGTAAATATACACTTAACAATGGTTACGGCAATAAATTTAATGTTACGTGTTTTTTTGCCACAATTTTTTTAAAAAAAGAAAGTCAAACCTAAAGGCAGAACCTTATATTTATTACTATTGACTTTCACTTTGTAAGCTGGAGTTTATCATTCCCGTCTATTGATACCTTTCTAAATTCTTATTCTGCAAGTTGAGAAAGTTGCTATTCTAACTTTTTGCAATCCACAAATATGATATATATGCCTTCTATTTTTCATCTGGGTCACTAGAAAGTGCATTGAATTTTGTCCTTCATTCTATCCCTCGTTCATTCCAAAGGGATAAAGACACTCATAGGCCCTTCATTTTAACAAGAGCCTTACAGTAGATCTGATCTCATTATCTCTATGATGTAGACCCTGTTTGGATGGCAGATTCAAGTGGGATTTAGTTACATTTCAGAGGAAATCATAAGTTGACATTACTCTCAATGCCCTCTCTCCTGACACCCACATACCCATCTCTGCAGAGAAAGTCTACTTCTGTCTCCAGTTACTCCTTCTTCTGTATTCTTTTTCATTTAGTGTCCTTGTGAGCAGACACAGACTACCTAATTGTCTCCTCCCGAACTGTCTTGGATTCCAGATCTACCCTTTAGCTAGTACTGGCTGTGTGAACTTAGGCAAGTTCTTGAATGTTTCTGTGCCTCATTTCCCCATATATGAAATAGGAATAGTAATAGTACCTAGTTGATAGGATACTGGATGATAGTAATCATTCAACAAGTTACAAAAAAAAAAGGAAGAAAAATTCCCTTCATGATACATTTTTTTTTTTTTTTTTTTTTTTTAGATAGAGTCTTGCTCTGTGGCCCAGGCTGGAGTGCAATGGCACAATCTTGGCTCACTGCAACCTCTCCCTCCTGGGTTCAAGTGATTCTCCTGTCTCAGCCTCCTAAGTAGCTGGGATTATAGGTGTCCGCCACCACACCCAGCTAATTTCTGTATTTTTAGTAGAGATGGGGTTTCTCCATGTTGGTCAGGCTGGTCTCAAACTCTTGACCTCGTGATCCGCCCACCTCGGCCTCCCAAAGTGCTGGTATTACAGGCATGAGCCATCGCGCCTGGCCTCATGATACATTTTTACAGCTAGTACCACAGAGGAGAGAATAATAAAATGGAAAAAGCTACAGAAGCTAGAGAGAGAGAGAGAGCACGTAAGACAGAAAGAATGACTGAGTCCAGGTCTTCTCTGAAAGAAAGACTTGAAATAAGAGAGATGTTCTCCTGTTGACCTTGAAGAAGCAAACAGCCATCTTGTGAACCGCTTGTGGAAAGGGACAGTCTCTAGGAGCTGAGGGCCTTAGCTGTACAACTGCAAGGAAGTGAATTCTGCAAACAACCTGAATGAACTTGGAAGAGGACCTCAAACTCCAGATGAGAATGTGGCCCAGCCAATATCTTGACTGCAGCAGGTGGGACCTTGAGCAGTCTAGCCATGCCTAGACTTCTGACCCACAGAAACTGTGAGATTATATGTGTGTGTTGATGCTAAATTTATAGTCATAGTAATAGAAAATGAATACGACTAGCCATGGTTCAGTATCTACTTCCATTCCCTTTGACTCCTCTAAAACTACCCAACAGGGATAGTGCAGAGCCTAACTGAAAGCCTGAAACCCTGAACTTGGCTTTGTGCCTAGAACCACATTTCCAAAATCCCTCCTCCAGACCCCACTTTACTCCCTCAGATTAGACACCCTTGACTAACATAGACTCTGATAGATTTGTTAGCTAGAAGAGCACCTCCTTCCCTTCCATCAGACCTAACAGCATCCAGAATGCCATCTGGAAAGGGTGTGTTACAAGGAGGACCATTGCTGTCATGCAGAGTTTTATTCTGAGGATAACAGTGGGTGGCAGAAATGATCCGAATTATAGAAAGATTGATCTACTCTATGTAAATCAATTGGTGTGGCAGTGGCTGGAGTACAAAGCTTAGAGTTAGTGACATTGTTAGAATACTGTTGTTAACAACCCAGTATAGAAATGATATTGGCTCCAGCTAAGGTACTGGTAATGAGAGTTGAGAGAAGGGGATCTCTTCCTAGGTAAGGCATACCTAGAAAGTGTCAGGCAAATAAAATTCAGATAGTGTTGAAGATGACTTAGGGGTGACTTCCAAGGTTGTGTCTGGAGTCGAGGTGGTGGTGCTAATTGAAATCAAGAATAATGAATTCTGTGTTGCTCTTGCTTAATTTGGAGCATTTAGAAATGCCCACCTGGCACTCAGGAGAAAGGAGTGGGATAGAGAGAAAGATTTGGAGGCCCTCAGTTTATTGTTGTCATGATGATAACTGGATATGAAAAGATAGTCCTCATCATGCCATTTCTGAACTTTGAACTTTCCCATTCCTTGTTATTTAAAATTAACAACTTATTTATTCTCATACTGTCATGTATGTTAGTTTCCTTTCAAGAACTATGGGAAACTCTTGATGGAAGAGTCTTTTATATCCACTCTGGTGAATTAAGTATATAATAGGTAGTCAGCACTGTGAAAAGGACTGTTTGTATTTCTGCAATGGATTTTTTTTTTTTTTTAAGATGGAGTCTCACTCTGTCACCCAGGTTGGAGTGCAGTGGTGCAATCTCAGCTCACTGCAACTTCCGCCTACTTGGTTCAAGCGATTCTCCTGCTTCAGCCTCCTGAGTAGCTGGGACCATAGGCACACACAACCACGCCTGGCTAATTTTTGTATTTTTAGTAGAGATGTGGTTTCGCCATGTTGGGCAGGTTGGTCTTGCACTCCTGACCTCAGGTGATCCATCCGCTCGGCCTCCCAAAGTGCTGGGATTTCAGGCATGAGCCACCACGCCTAGCTTGCAGTGGAATTTTACATCTCACCTTCCTACCCCATACACACACACAGAGAGAAAAGAGGTCATGGTGTCAGATATATAAGGGAAGTTTGTTTGTGTAGGGTCTCTTAGGCCACTGTAAGGGCAACTTTGGCTTTTACTCTACAAGAGAGAGTATAAAAAGTGATAAAGGCCCTGAAGAGGTGTGCAGGAGGAAGAGCTATGGCATTCATAGGAAGCCTCATGCTGACTTGCAGCATAATCAACTTTGAAAACAGAAGATGTGGTATGTATATATTAAAATACTCGGCTGGGCACAGTGGCTCACGCCTCTAATCCCAGCACTTTGGGAGGCCGAGGCGGGCAGATCGAGGTCAAGAGGGATCATGAGGTCAAGAGATCGAGACCATCTTGGCCAACATGGTGAAACCACATCTCTACTAAAAATACAAAAATTAGGAGGGCATAGTGGTGCGCGCCTGTAGTCCCAGCTACTTGGCAGGCTGAGACAGGAGAATCACTTGAACCCTGGAGGCGGAGGTTGCAGTGGGCCGAGATCACGCCACTGCACTCCGGCCTGGTGACAGAGCAAGACTCTGTCTCAAAAAATACAAATAAAAAAATTAAATAAAGTACTCAACACTGGAGTTCAATAGATATTTGTGGATCAATGAATAAATTATGCGTGCGCTGTTCAGATTGTGATATACTGTCAGACAAAACAGCAGCGTTCTATGTTAGCAATATTTCTAGGCATGAACGTACATTCGCCGGAAAACTGACAAAGCAGACTGTCAAGAGTGAATCCTAAATTGGCTGCTTGGCCCCATAGGAGGTTATAGAGGGGCTGCTCTTGGCTTTAGGAAAAAGTAGTTAAGATATCTTCTGACGGGCAAATCCTGGACAGCACTTCTTTAATGGACTGAGGTATTATCAGCACTGTTTGCCAGAGCATTTGCCAGTTCCTGCTGCCAGCAGTCACGCTTGCCTAATGTTTGCCAAAAATTCCATCTGCTGTCTATCCTCAGTTTCTTCACAAGTCAATGGCATGTTCATTATCTTTAGGAACAAAGGCAAGAACATGTCTACTTTAATTATCCTATTTATGGTTTTTAAATGAACTGGATTTAACTGGTTAAGTTTTTCAAGTATTATTAATATTTATTGATATACCAGGCAACTGTATACATATGCTAGGGTATAGAACAGCAGCTTTTTTACCTAAATATTTGTGAAAACCTTCTTGTTACTGTGCTGAGAAAAGGTATACAGTTGTACATAATCTTTTCATTTTAAAGGAAACCTACCAATAAGCTAAAAGTTTTTATTTATAAAGCATTTATTATAAAATATATTGCTAAAATAAATTTTATATATATAGGTAAAATATATAAAATAAATTGGTAAATGCCAACTTGTGTTGAAACGTTTAAAAAGAGGGAAGAATTCCACTGGTTTGCTATAATAGGAAAAATCAAATGTTCATTTATTTGTAATTAACAGTCTCTGGGCATCTTTTATTTTGGTCAGCAACAAAAATCTACTAAATTTTCCCATCACCCTCAAAATCTAGATATAGAAGCCTTCTGTAACAGTAAAATATAATTTAGATATTTAATTCTAAACAGTTTTTAAAAGTCTATATTGTCTAGTTTGTTTTAAATTCTGCTAAATATAAAAGAGGGCACGCATTAGAATATTGATTTTTTAATTCATTGTCATCAGATAAAAATAGGATTCTTAGTGTTACTGAGTCTTAGAAAGTTTTTTGGTGTTTGTGGTGATACTATATATAAAAGCAAAGAACTGATAGCAATGTAAATAGGCAATAATACAAGAATAGTTAATTAAAGGAACCCAGTACAGTACTTTGTCTATTGTATACATTGTAAAAGTGATAACTAGGAAGGTAGGAAGGCAACATTAAAAAATGCTTATGATAAACATAAGTTAAATGGAAAAGATAATTTATTAAAATGTATATACTCTGACTGCCACCACAGAAAAGTTATGTGAAGACTGGAGTAATAGGTTATGGAAAGTTCTTCCCTCATTATCAAAACTTTTTGTAACTCTTGTCTTTCTAGATTTTAAGGGAAAGAAGTGACCTTGAGTCAGCCATTTTCAAATATAATAGCAAATATTTGGCCACCAGCAACTAGCGGAGAAGTCTGAAAGCAGGAATTGTGTATAATTCAAAACCAAATATGATTTCTGAAGTAGTTATTTTGAAAAGGATTGAAATATTTCAATAAATATGTCTTTGAATATACTGTGCATGAAAGACAGTTATTTTTTATACTAAATGATTTCTCTTCATTTATCCAATATTCTTTATATGTTTAGTCTGTAAGTTAATATATCCATTCTGAAATTCAACTTGATCATCTTGAATGCTTGCACCAACACCTTCTGTGACACATAAGGTGACCTTTGGTTTCTTATGGTCTAACTATAAGCCTGAGTGGGTTTTGCCATAAGTCACTGGAAAGTTGTTTTTCCCTTGACTTCCACTAGATTCTAGGTCCTATCTGACCCAATTGTTTATAGGATAAATGTTGCTAAGGCAGTTTCTAAACTAAAAGAAATGTAATTTAGTTTGATTTAATTGTACTTCCCACAGCTTAATACTAAACTGTTTGATTCTAAGAAGACTCAGATTAGGAACCTGTGTGTTCGATGGGAACATGGCCCTACTCTATATCTAACACGGTGATCAGCATGTGTGCACAACCTTCACAAGTGTCTAGGGTATTTGGAGTCTATTTTCATTTTTTAAGTTGTTTATTTGATAATCCAATAATGAGAGAGACAGTGACAACCACTTCCTGAGGTATCATTTCTAAGACATTTTATGAGCTTTTCTAACTTTTGTAGATGATTTCTCAAATGTAATAAACTTCCCGTAGCAAAATATTTTTAAACAAATTTAGTGAAGTAATAAATGGGGAGTTCCTTAATATCAGAGAGTTAACTTTGTTTTTTGTTTCTTGCCAATACCAAATGTGGTATCTACTTATACAAAAGGATTAAGTAATATCGTTAATTAATATTGTTAAATTGAATTATGTCTTTGATTGTCTCCTCAAATGTTTACTGTCTAGACTAGCACCATCCAATAGGACTTACTGAAATGATGGGTATGTTCTCTGTGCCATGCAGTGCAGTAGCTAATAGCTGCATGTGGCTATTGAATATTGAAATATAGCCGATGCAACTGAGGAACTGAATTTTTAATTATATTTCATGTTAATGAGTTTGAATTTAAATAGCCTTACGTGGCAACTATATTGGAAGATAAAGATCTAGAACTGCAAGATTTTATTTGTGTTGAAGAACAGCAGGATTCTCTCAAATGCTGAGCCTGATTAAACAAGTTCCCTGTACTCTTCCTCTTTTTTGAAACAAATTCTTGGGAGTTAGCTTGTTTTTTTTTTTTTTTTTTTTTCTATATTTAAATTGGCCTATACCCAAATCTACAAATATTTATTCATCATTAATTATGTGCTGTGCAGTCTGCTGGATGCTAGGGATACAAAAATAAGCAAATAGGCCCTTTCCCACAAGCAATTTATACCCTAATAGGGAAGAAAGGTGAGTGCGTAAATAAATGCAATGGAGGCCACACAGGGCCCAGTGTGGCCACAGAGGAAGGAATCATTGGTGATTTCTGGGAGATCTCAGAGGGTGCCATGAACCATGAAAAATGAACAGGCATTTCCCTTTTTTTTTCCTTTCCTAACTACTAGACAACCAGGGAGAGCAGGAATCACTAGGTGAACAAATGAAGGAAGACATTTGTTGTGGGTTGAACTATGCCCCCACCCACATTCACATTTGAAGTACTAACCTCTAGTAACTCAAGATGGCTACCATATTTGGAAATAGGGTCATTGTAGATATACTTAGTTAAGATGAGGTCATACTGGAGTTAGGTTGGTCCCATATCCAATATGACTGGTGTCCTTATGAAAAGGGAAACTTTGGATACAAACACAGCCACACACACACACACACACACACAGACATACACACAGAGAGAGAGAGAGAGACAACACTATCTGAAGATTTGAAGATCTTGTGGATCCTGTCACAAGCCAAGGAACTACCAGAAGCTAGGAGTGAGGCCTGGAACAGATCCTTTCTTCGTGCCTTCAGAGGGAGTACTGCCCTGCTAATACCTTGCTCTCAGGCTTCTAGCCTCCAGAACTGTGAGATCATAAGTTTCTATTGTTTAAGCTGCTTAGTTTGTGGTACTTTATTACAGCAGCCATAGCAAATAATATAGCATCCAGATTAAGGAAACAGTATTGTAAAAACAAGGCAAAAACAGCTATGGAAGTTATTTATTAAAGTTCTGTTTTGTGATTACCTAACCCAGGAATTTTAGAAGGAAAAAATAAAGCAAGCATTAGCCTGAATGCGAAAATTTCTTTTTTTTTCTTTTTTTTTTTTTTGAGACAGAGTCTTGCTCTGTCGCCCCAGGCTGGAGTGCAATGGCGTGATCTCGGCTCACTGCAACCTCTGCCTCCGGGATTCAAGTGATTCTCCTGCCTCAGCCTCCTGAGTAGCTGGGATTACAGGCACGTGCCACCATGCCCAGCTAATTTTTGAATTTTTAGTAGGGACGGAGTTTCGCCATGTTGTCGTCAGGCTGGTATCGAAACTCCTGACCTCAGCTGATCCACCTGCCTCAGCCTCCCAAAGTGCTGGGATTACAGGCATAAGCCACTACACCCGGTGAAAATCTCTTTATAAATATTTTTCTACTCTTAAAAGTTAAGGCTATAATAATGTTTGGGGGTAAAATTACATTTCTGCCAAATATGTATCATGAATCAAAATATAAATGTTTCCTGGTAATCATAAGCCAGTTAGAAGAAAGTTTTTGCTTACTAAGCTTGTCTCCCTACATAAAGTAGTTCAATCAATGAGTAATAAGACCCTTCATTTCCCTACATGTTATATGAGGAAATGTAGGTATGAGAGGTACTACTCTATTTCTTATACATCACCTTTGGGGGAGAGGGGTCATGAGCAGAAACTGGGGTAGGAGTCACATACTGGGTGGCTGCAGCTAGAACTATGTTCATCTTGGTAGGCTGGTGCCCTAAGGTCCAACCTCATTCCTCCAGTTATTGCTGAGATGGGAAAGATTAGGCCGAGGGGCCAAGTTAGAGTCCAGAAGACACCAATAACATTGTAACTCCTGAAAGCCACATCCCTTGCAAAAGAATTGTCAGACCCCACACAGCCTTCTAGCCAGGATTCAGGAGTGAAAGAATAGGGGCCATCAATCTTTTCCTTTTGTGTGTAGCAGTAAGTGCCAACTGTTGATTGACTCATAGGAATGAGTCAGGGACAATGAACTGTGGATGACATTTATTCATTTATGTAGTTTAAAAATCATTCTGCAACAAATGTAATAATGGTATGGCACCTCGGAGGAACTAAATGCAGCCTAACAAGGCTAGAGCATAGCAAGCATGGCAAGTGAGGGTTTGAGGGATGCATATAACTGAAGAGGCTGGCAAGGGCAAAAGAGCAGGAGGTTTGATATAGGGATCATGAATAATTAAGGATCACCTTTGGACATTTTGAGTTTGAACATCTTATGAGACATTCAAGGGGAGATGACCAGGAGGCAGTTAGACATACTTAGGGCAGGGGTCTGGATTGAAGATACTGATTGGAAGATCTCAGTATAAATGTCAAAATTAAAGACAGATAAGTGTAGGTAAAATGAAAAGAGTGTCAACATTACGTAGGTAAGAGAGGGAGATAGCCCCCCAACACCCCCCCAAAGAAAAGGAAGAAAAAGAAAAGTGAGATACAAGAATTATGTAAGAGTGGTTTCTCTGACTTCATGAGAGGAGAAAATTTCAAAAAAAAAGAATAATTACCGTGTTAAATCCTGCAGTATGGCCGTGTCTGATAACATTTGAAAAAGAGCTATCAGAGTGGGAAATTGGGAGCTCATTTTGTATATTGTGAGAGCTGAAGTTCAACGGTAATGAGCGGTAAGTGAATGGGGTCCAATTCTAGAAAGATTGCAAACCAAGTCAAAGTTGAAAACCTCCTGTTACAAGCACTTAGAAATTCTATATAAAAAAAACTTTAAGCCAGGCGCGGTGGCTCACGCCTGTAATCCCAGCACTTTGGGAGGCCGAGGCGGGTGGATCACGAGGTCAGGAGTTAAAGATCAGCCTGGCCAAGATGGTGAAACCCCATCTCTACTAGAAATACAAAAATTAACCGGGCGTGGTGGCGGGCGCCTGTAATCTCAGCTACTTGGGAGGCTGAGGTGGAGAATTGCTTGAATCCCGGAGGCAGAGGTGACAGCGAGCCGAGATTGTACCACTGCACTCCAGCCTGGGTGACCGAGTAAGACTCTGCCTTTTTAAAAAACAAACAAACAAACAACAACAACAAAAACTTTAAAATGATAAGTACATAGTCGACCTCAAAAAAGGCAGTAGTAATCAACAGGTATCAGAAACAAAAGAATGAACAGAAAACCAGTAAGAAAATAATGCATGTACACTATTTGAGTAGATAATGGCTGGGAGTTTTCAAAACAAAAGTAAGACTCCAATATCCAGATTCAGGAAACCAACAAATTCCAGGGAGGATAGGTAAAAAGAAATCCACAGCTGAACACATTATAGTGAAGCCGCAGAAAACTGAAAATGGAGATAAAAAATCTCAAAATCAGCTAGGAAAAAGTTACCTTCATAGGATCTATAGTTCAATATACAGCCGATGTGTCAACCAAAACAATGAAAGCTATGATGGTTGAACAATAGTTTCAGTGAGCTGTAAGAAAATTGTTGTCAATACAGGATCATATAGTCAGTAGAAATAGCTTGAAGAAAGATTTTCAAACAAACAAAAATTTAAAAAGACTCACTATTAGGAGACCCAAAATAAAATTCTAAAAATGATTTTTTCAAACAGAAAGAAAATGATCCCAAATGAATAGTCAAAGATGAAGAAAGGAATGAGGAACACAAATCTTACAGAAATGAGGACAGAAAAAGGAATCTGGTATGGGTAGCCAGACACCATGGCTTTCCATGGTGGTGAGTAATTGTAGGATCCTGAGAATGACAAGTGGGGGATTCCAACAGCCTCACGAGGCGTGAGATGTGGCCCTAGCCATGGGATTCGAGGGAACTAGAACCATACCCTGGTAGAAAGCCTGGTGCTTCAAAATGCTTGTCTTCCTGGACTAGAAAAACTTGGCCCACAGGACCAGAGAAACTAAGAAGAAATATTTCTGTCTTGAGTATTAAGTGGAATAAAAAAATCACACAAGGCTAGGTGTGGTGGCTCACACCTGTAATCCCAGCACTTTGAGAGGCCTGAGGTCAGGAGTTTGAGACAGCCTGACCAACATGGTGAAACCCCCGTCTCTACCAAAAATACAAAAAGTAGCTGGCCTGGTGGTGCACGCCTGTATTATCAGCTACTTGGGAGGCTGAGGCAGGAGAATCACTTGAACCCAGGAGGCAGAGGTTGCAGTGAGCCGAGGCAGAGGTTGCAGTGGAGAGGTTGTACTCCAGCCTGGGTGACAGAGCAAGACTCCGTCTCAAAAAAAAATCACATGAATGATTACTTAGATGGAGAAACTGTTTACAGACTATCTGTATCGCAGATTACAACTAAAAACTGAACAAAACACAAAAAGCATCTAAGGTCGGAGTCTGGGTTGAAGATACTGATTGGAAGATCTCAGTATAAATATCAAAATTAAAGACAGATAAGGACAGGTAAAATGAAGAGTGCTGACATTAGGTAGGTAAGAGAGGGAGATAACTAACAGCCCCCCTCAAAAAAAAAAAAAAAAAAGGAAGAAGAAGAAAAGTGAGAGAAATACACGAAGAAGCTCTGTGGAAAGTTAGCAACAGCAGGCAGTACAAGAGGGCAGCCAAAATTTGAAGAATGGCCTGTACAGAAGTGAGTCCCACATTTCCTGCCTCCCCGACTCTTCATCTTCCAGCTTTAACCTGAGGGCAGATATGATGTGAAACAAGCATAAGCAGCAAGAACTCTGAGGGAAACCCTGTTATTCTGTCCAGAGGAAGGAAAATAGGGCCCCTGCAAGCTGGAGAGAGTGTGGCAATTGCTGTTTTTTTTCCTATTCTCTCAGTTTTGTGCCAAGGGTGGCCCCAGTCACAGAGCTGCACTGAGGTGGTGAAGGTGCAGGGGCTTAAAACTCCAAGAGAAAACCCATCTTTATGACCAGAGAAACTGGTAAACCTGAGAAAGGGGATCCTGAGTCCAAAAAGTGTGAAGGGAATCATTTTTTCTCTCTCTCTACTCTGAGGATGGCTCTAGTCATGTAGATCTGCGTGGCAGTGTAGACAGCTACAACTCCAGTAGAAACCCATCTTTCTAGCCAGAGGACCAGAAAAGTGGGGCTCTGGGGACTAGAGAGTGTGGGGTAAAACATGAAGAGGAGACAGCTGGAGAAGGGGACCCTTTAATTCTGTGACTGTGAAATCACAAGTCTCAGGCCCCACTCCTGAGTTATGCATAAGCAAGACGGATGCAAAGTGGGATAGCAAAGGCTTTAAAACCTGAACTGTGATTTAAAAACAATAGCAGCAGCAACAACAAAAGAACACCTGAGTCCCAGCCTAACCCCTGAGAGGGACAAGCATGGGACAAATCCAATGCAGCAGAGCAAATGCTCTGAAAACTGAACTCACTGGAGCCACAACTCATAGAAAGTGAGACATAACTTGCAGTCCAAACTTCACACACACACCCCAGAGATTTTTTAACACCTTCATAAATCACAACATAATGTTCAAAATACCCAGGATGTAATCTAAAATTATTTGACATACAAAGAACCAGATAAACGTTCCCAATTCTTAAGGAAAAAATTCAGCAATATATAAAAAGGATTATACAAGATGGTCAAGTGAAAGTTATGTCAGAAATGCAAGACTATTTCAGCATTTGAAAATCAATCAGTGTAAGCTGGGTGCAGTGGCTCACATCTGTAATCCTAGCATTTTGGGAGGCCAAAGCAGCAGGATTGCTTGAGGCTAGGAGTTCAAGACCAGCCTGGGCAATAGTGAGATCCCTCTACAGAAAAAATAAAAATTATCTGGGCATAGTGGCACTTGTTTGTAGTCCTAGCTACTTGGGAGGCTGAGATGGGAGGGTCACTGGAGGCCAGGAGGTTGAGGCTGCAGTGAGCCATGATTGCACCATTGTACTCCAACCTGGGTGACAGAGCAAGAGCCCATCATTAAAAAATTAAAATTAAAAAAGAAAATCAATGTAAGAGAACTGAAAACTTACATTCACACAAAACCCTGTATGCAAACATTTATAGTGGCTTTACTCACAGCAGTATAGGAAACAACTCAAATAGTCTTGAACTGTTGGATAAACAAAGACTAGTACATTCATACAAAGGAATACTCAGAAATTAAAAACTTAAAAATTTTTTTTTTTTTTACTTTTTTGAGACAGAATCTCACTCCATCACCCAGGCTGGAGTGCGGTGGCGTGCTCTCAGCTCACTGCAACCTCTGCCTCCCGGGTTCAAGCAATTCTTGTGCTTCAGCCTCCCAAGTAGCTGGAATTACATGAGCGTGCCATCACACCCGGCTAATTTTTATATTTTTAGTAAAGATGGGGTTTCACCATGTTGACCAGGCTGGTCTGGAACTCCTGACCTCAAGTGATCGCCTGCCTTGGGCTCTCAAAGTGCTGGGATTACAGGCGTGAGCCACCCCGCCCGGCCACAAAAGAAACTCTTGTTACACACAATAATATAGGTGAATCTTGAAAGCATTATACCAGATTTAAAAAGCCAGTCTCAAATGCTACCTACTGGATAATTTCATTTATATGATATTCTGGAGAAGGTGAAACTCTAGAGATGGAAAACAGATTAATGCATGCCAAGAACTGGGGAGTGGGGAGGTCTTGATTACAAAGGGGCAGTATGAGAGGATTTTTTTGGGTCACAGAACTGGTTTGGTTTGTGTGTTGGTTGGGGTGGGGTTACATGACTCCGTTTTCTTCATTTGTCAAAACTCATAGATCTGTACACAAAAAGTGATTTTCATCTTATGTAAAATAAAAATAAATTACAATTTTAGAAAAGTCACAAGTTGAGTGCTGGATAGGAAAATGAATGGAGAGATAGCTGAAACAAGAATAGCAATATGTAGATAATAGTTGAAGCTGGGTAACGAGTACATGGAGGATAATTATACTATTCTGTTTACTTTGTATAGGTGTGAAATTTTCCACTATAAAATTTTTTTAAAAGAACATCTATAAAAGACCTACACCTAACATCATACTTAATCATGAGAAATTTGATGCCTTTCTGCTAAGATCAAGAGCAAGGTAAAAGGCCAGGAGCAGTGGCTCAAGCCTGTAATCCCAGCACATTGGGAGGCCGAAGCGGGCGGATCACTTGAGGTCAGGAGTTCCAGACCAGCCTGGCCAACATGGTGAAACCTTTTCTCTACTAAAAATACAAAAACTAGCAGGGCGTGGTGGTACACACCTGTAATCCCAGCTACTCGGGTGGCTGAGATAGGAGAATCGCTTGAACCCAGGAGGCGGAGATTGCAGTGAGCTGAGATTGCACCACAGCACTCCTGCCTGGGTGACAGAGTGAGACATTGTCTCAAAAAAAAAAAAAAAAAAACAAGGCAAAGATGTTCCTCCCTCTCACCATTGTTATTCAGTGTCATTCTAGAAGTCATACGAATGCAATAATACAAGAAAAAGAACAGGTACACAGATTGGAAAGGAAGAAAGCAAGAATCTATGTCTTTGTTCATAGATTACATGATTGTCTATATGGAAAATCCCAAAGAATCAACAGAAAAGCTCCTGATACTAATAAGTGATTATATAATGCAAGGTTGCAGATACAAAGTTAACACAAAAAAGTCACTAGAAAATCTTGACTTATGACAAATGAAGATTGAATCAGTAATCAAAAAATGTGCAAGAAAAATAGCCTAGGACCAGATAGCTTCACTGATGAATCCTATCAAATGATTAAAGAAGAGTTAACACTAATCCTTCTCAAACTCTTTCAAAAATAGAGAACAGAACAGTTAGATAAGAAAACTATAGACCCATATCATTATAAATGTAGATGCAAAAATCCTAAACAAAATATTAGCAAATTGAGTCCAGCAGCATAATAAAAAGATTTGACACCATGAACCCAGTGACATTTACCCCAGGAACACAAGGGTGAATCTCAAAAGCATTATATCAGATTTAAAATGCCAGTCTCAAAATGCTACATACTGGATGATTTCATTTATACAATATTCCGGAGAAGGCAAAGCTATAGAGATGGAAAACAGATTAATGCATGCCAACATACACAAATTAATCAATGGAATACACTGAATTAATAGAATAAAGGGAAAGATCCACATGATTACCTTGATTGATTCAGAAAAAAAGCATTTGACAAAATCCAATGCTCTTTCATGATACAAACAAAGGAAGCTGCTGTCTTCCCTCCTCCCTGAGCTTGCCTTAGGACACCGCCATTACTGTTTTATAGTTGTACTGCCCCAGTCAAACTTCCCATCTGGCACTGTCTATGTAACTGGTCATGTCCAGCTGCTGCAGCCAGGCACTTAGTATCAGGAATGAGAGTCCTTTGGGACTCAACTCCCTGCCTCATCTGGTCAGTGAAAATACTATTGTTTCACCTAGGCAGGATTTTGACCTGGAGGCGCTCAGTTATAATCTCACAGATGGCAGCTTCACTCCATTGGTTCCTTAGCCATGCACACACACCAAACGTTTGAGCCTGGAGTACTGAGCAGGATTACCATGGCAACAACACATTATCGGACCATCTCATCATGGTCCAAATTAACTGAATGTCTCTACTTGAATAATTGATCTCACCCCCCTTCCCTTCTTGGGCCACAAGTCCCAGTAGCCCCGTATTTATTCTAGGCATAAAGGTTTTTTTCATTCTGGCATTCAGCCTGATGGTTGGCTCACGGCTTTTTCACAGTAGTGAAACTTACAGGGTGACACTTTCTGTAGGTAAACAACTCCAAGTCGACTTTCTAAGCTAGGCAAAGAGCCATGAAGAAACAGGCCTACTTACATAGCACATGAGGAAAATCACAATAGTCATTAGTCTTTCATTCATATATACACATTGACAACAAAGAATTACAAGATATATGCCAGCACCCTGAAAGAAAAGATAAGAGAACAATAAAAGGAAAATAAATTAACAATTCTAAGTTATATCTGAAAGATTTTGAAGATGTGCATCTATAAAAGAATGATATGTGGCCGGGTGTGGTGGCTCACACCCGTCATCCCAGAACTTTGGGAGGCGGAGGCGGGTGGATCATGAGATCAAGAGATTGAGACCATCCTGGCCAACATGATGAAACCCCATCTGTACTAAAAATACAAAAATTAGCTGAGTGTGTTGGCACGTGCCTGTAGTCCCAGCTACTCAGGAGGCTGAGGCAGGAGAATCACTTGAACCGGGAGGTAGAGGTTGCAGTGAGTCGAGATTGCACCACTGCACTCCAGCCTGGTGACAGGGTGAGAGACTGCCTCAAAAAAAAAAAAAAAAAAAAAAATTTAAATGCATCTATGAATTGGCAAAGAAGGACTTAACTCCCAGGCCGAAACCAAAGTGAGGATGGGTACTCAGGGAAGTAAACTCTATGGACACAAATCTACAGATTCAGAAACCAAATGACATGCAAGCAGGAAAAATAATAATAAAATTTTAGAACACAAAAATAAAAGGGAAGATATTAAAAGCAGCCAGAAAAAAACTCACAACATGTTATCATTAAGCAAGTAATAAGCAGACTGACAGCTGACTTTCAGCAGCAAAAAATGGAAGCCAAAAGTAACAGAATGAACAGAATTCTATACTTCAGGGAAGTATCTTAAAGAACGAGGTCTGCTGGCTACAATTTCTTCAGCTTTCATTTCTATAAAAATGTCTTATTTTACCTTCATTTTATAATCATTTTTATAGGATATGAGATTCTAGGTTGTCATTTATTCTTCTTTCAATACTATAATATCCCCCATTCTCTCTGATTTGCATTAAGTTTGAGGAGAAATCAGCCATTATTCTTATTAGTGTTCCTCTGTGTGTAAGATGTCTTCTGTCTCTGACTGCTTTTACTTTTTTATCATTCTTTTTCAGTAATTTGACTACAATGTGAGTAGCTATCATTTCATTTTACTTGTTTTTTTGTTTAAGTTATTGGATTTGGTGAGATTGATTATGGAAAAAAGAGAGATGGCAAATTATTAGAAATGAAAGATGGAACATCATTACGGATCTTAGAAATACCTAAGGCATTATAAAGATATAAACAACTTTGGGCCAGGTGCGGTGGTTCATGCCTGTAATCCCAGCACTGTGAGAGGCTGCCTGTAATCCCAGCACTTTGAGAGGCCGAGGCAGGTGGATCACCTGAGGTCAGGAGTTTGAGACCAGCGTGGTCAACATGGTGAAACCCCCCGTCTCTACTAAAAATAACAAAAATTAGCTGGACGTAGTGACAGGCGCCTATAATCCCAGTAGCTCGGGAGGCTGAGGCAGGAGAACTGCTTGAACCCAGGAGGCAGAGGTTGCAGTGAGCCGAGATCGCACCATTGCACTCCAGCCTGGGCAACAAAAGCAAAACTCCATCTCAAAATAAAATAATAATAATAAAGATATAAACAACTTCATGCCAACAAACTTAGAACTGTATGTGAACAAAACAATTCACTAAACAAGCCTACTAACAAATGTAGCTACCTACAACAAATCTACGTAACTCCAAGGGCAGGTCAGTAGTTCTTGGAAAATACTTCTTGACACAAACCTCTGAATATTACAGGAAAGCTCTCAGTGGTTTTTTTTTTTTTTTTTGTAAAATCATTTAGAAACTCAAATTTTGCATGCCAAATAAAGCACAACTTAAAATTTGTGGTAAACACACCTGAGGTTGGGAGTTCGAGACCAGCCTGACCAATATGGAAAAACCCCATAAATACAAAATTACAAATTTGTAATTTTGTATTTGACTAAAAATACAAAATTAGCCGGGTGTGGTGGCACATGCCTGTAATCCCAGCTACTTGGGAGGCTGAGGTAGGAGAATCGCTTGAACCCGGGAGGTAGAGGTTGCAGTGAGCTGAGATCGCGCCATTGCACTCCAGCCTGAGAAACAAGAGCAAAACTCCGTCTCAAAAAAAAAAATTATAGTAAACAGAGTTTAATATATTTTAACATTAATTGTTTATTTTCTATTCAAAGATTGAGGGCAAACCCAGTGCTTCAGATTTTCAAAGTATTTGGGCCAACAACTTCTCCACTAAAAGAATCTCATCAGGTGCCAATTAAACTTGTGGCTTATAATTTCCATTTTAATTGTGAACAAGTCTGATTTTATATATTTGAGGTATATAATTCTATTTCATTGTTATCGCTTCTTGCTCTGCATTCAGCCTTAACCAATACAAAGATCATGACCTCTGCTTTTCTTTAGCCAACCGTTATTATTTTTAGACATTTTACGTCACTTTATTTATGTTCAGTATATAGTTAATATATCTATCAGATACTAGAAACTGTTGTAGTTATTTCAACAGAAAGGAATTCAGTACAGGGACCTTGGCACTTATAAATCTCTGTAAGGGCTGGAGGATCAGGCTCTAAGGTGCACCTCCCTGGAATGACTCTCAAAACAATCTAACAAAACTAGCCTACTTGGGGAAGTGCTGTCTCTAACACAACTGGTAATGAGCTGTTGCATCTGAAAGCTGCCCCTGCCGCTCTTGGCTCTAGAAATTCACCACCTTATCTGTATTCCAGGCATTGGAACTGCCACAAAACCCATCACATCCAGGAACAAACTATAATACCATAACTACAATCCAGCGACCAGGAATCTGCTGCCAGAACCTTTATGGAGCCATGCTACACCTGCTCCATCTACACTGATAAATATGAATACCCTGTGTCCCTCTTCTCAACACCTTTGGAGCATGGTCCTCGGGGTCTTTTATGCAGCTACAAAAACAAACAATGGGCAGGGAGCAGTGGCTCACACTTGTAATCCCAGCACTTTGGGAGGCTGAGGCAGGAGGACTGCTTGAGGCAAGGGGTTCAAGAGTGGTCTGGGCAACATAGCATGACCCCCGTCTCTATTAAAGAAAAAAAAAAAGAAAAAAAAGAAAAGAATAGAAGAAAGAAAGAAAGAAAGAAAGAAAAGGAAAACAACAAACAACCCCGTGCCTCCATAACCATGCTTATTAATAGAAGCAGCAGAGAGATTCAGAAACATGACCACATTCACATGTCCACCTTCCAAATTTGACTCATAAAATTAAAGAATTAACCATGTGATCCAGAAATTCTACTGCTAGGCATTTACCCAAGAAAAATAAAAACTTTTCCATCTAGGACTTTCTTTTTTGCCCGTGAATGTTCTCAAATACTGCTTGTTGGATATGACATGGTACAACCCATTGGAAAATTCTTTGATAGTTTCTTCCAAAGTTAAGTGTATATCTGTCCTATAACACAACAAAATGCATCGATCTCAAAAACACAATATTAAGCATAAAAGAGCATGACTTCCTTTATATGAATAGCTAAAACAGGCCAAAGTAATCTATGGTGGTAGAGGTAAAAATAATGGTTACCTTTGGGGAATTATTAAGTAGAAGAGACATGAGGTAGCTTTTTCGGATGCTGAACATATTTTATATCTTGTTCTGAGAGGTTGTTCTAAGAATTCATGGCCGGGTGCAGTGGCTCATGCCTGTAATCCCAGAACTTTGGGAGGCCGAGGTGGGTGGATCACCTGAGGTCAGAAGTTCGAGACCAGCCTGACCAACATGGTGAAACCCCATCTCTACTAAAAATACAGAAATTAGCTGGGCGTGGTGGTGAGCACCTGTAATACCAGCTACTTGGGAGGCTGAGGCAGGAGAATCACTTGAACCTGGGAGGTGGAGGTTGCAGTGAGCTGAGATTGTGCCACTGCACTCTAGCCTGGGTGACAAGAGTGAAACTCCGTCTAAACAAACAAACAAAAAAGAATTCACAAAATCAAGGTTGGGTGTGGTGGGTCACGCCTGTAATCCCAGCACTTTGGGAGACCAGCTGAGACAATTAGATCACCTGAGGTCAGGAGTTCGAGACCAGCCTGGCCAACATGGTGAAACCCCATTTCTACTAAAATATATATGTACATATATACATATATATGTGTATGTGTATACACGTGTATGTGTGTATACACGTGTATGTGTATACACGTGTATGTGTATATACATATATGTATATGTGTATATACATATGTGTATGTGTACATATATGTGTATGTGTATACATATATGTGTATGTGTATATACATATGTGTATGTGTACATATATGTGTGTGTATATACGTATATATGTGTATGTGTATGTATATATATGTGTATATACACATATATACACACATATATATACATATATACACACATATATACATACATACATATATATACATATATACACACACACACACACACACACACACACACACACACACACCTGAGGCCAAGAGAGACTTGACAAGCTCTCCACACTACACATCTCTGGCTAACTGTAGACTGCATGCATGTACAGGGAGACCTGAGAGGGCCTAGTAAGAAGTAAGACCTGGGACAGACTTCAAAACTACCTGAGTTTGAATGTACTCATAAACTCACATATAAACCCATTGACAGGGGTTGGAAATCCTATTGGCTTTAGGAATTTTGGTACAGCCTCAGACTGATCAGTGGCTGACCGCCAGGTTATGCAGGGGACAACACCTAGGAAGCAAGTTAAAACATAAGAAGAAATATTTTTTTTAAAATGTAGCAGGGACATTAATGCCCACACCACAGGGGAGGCAGGTTCAGTTATCAGTCTACTGCCTCTTGGCTCCAAATTCACCCTGTGAAAATGAATCTGAGTACTTTAAATATTTTTCCTTTGCCAGATGGCACAATGTCAAAATTTGTCAGTAGAAGGTGCTGGAGAATCATTACAACAGGAAAGGATTTTCCTTCCTGGTTGTGGTGTCTTTCACTGGGCAGCTCTGGTAGAATGCATGGTTTCACCAGAATACAGCCCCTGTAGTGTACACGCTTGCCTAACACCATGCTTCTGTAGCATGGGCAGCTTCTCTAGTGCTAGGATACTGCACAGCATGTCATACAAAGATATAAAAGTCTTGAGCAACATTGTCAACCTGAGGGACATTTAAAAACACTCCACCCAACAGCATAATACACATTCTTTTCTAGTGCACACAGAACAGTCTTCAGAATAGAGCATATGCTAGGCTGTAAAACAAGTCTCAATGAATTTAAAAGAACTGAAATTATACATAGTATGTTTTCTAACCAACACAAATTATAAATCAATAACAAAAAGAAATTTGGACCTGTATCATAGGTGAGACATCTACTTCTATGCAGCCTTGCCCAACACTATGAGAAATAAATGAAGTGTTTCTCACAGTGGTTAGAGGAAAATATGTACATTAAGTGACAATATCAGAAAACAAAAAGTCTCAACAATGTAAATTCTACCTTAAACTAGAAGAAAAGAGCAAATTAAATCCAAAGCAAGCAGAACAAAAGAAATAATAAAATCAGGCCAGGATCAGTGACTCACGCCTGTAATGCCACCACTTTGGGAGGACAAGGCAGGCAGATCACCTGAGGTCAGGAGTTTGAGACCAGCCTGGCCAACATGGCGAAATAATATATTTACTAAAAATACAAAAATTAGCTGTGCGTGGTGGCAGGCGCCTGTAATCCCAGCTACTCGGGAGGCTGAGGTAGGAGAATCGCTTGAACATGGGAGGCAGAGGTTGCAGTGAGCCGAGATCATGCCACTGCACTCCAGCCTGGGCGACAGAGCAAGACTCCGTCTCAAAAAATAAATAAATAAAATCAGAGTTAAAATCAATAAAATAGAAACAAAAACAGAGAAAAATAAATGACATTCGAAGTTACTTATTTGAAAAGATCAACACATTTGATAAATCTTTATCTAGATCAACCAAAGAAAAAAGTAGGCACAAATTACCAATATTGAGATTGAAAGAAGCTTTGGGAGGCCACGGTGGGAAGATCATTTGAAGCCAAGAGTTCAAGACCAGCCTGGGCAGCATAGTGAGACCCTGTTTCTACAAAGAATTTTAAAAATTCGTTAGGCATGGTGGAATATCCCTGTAGTCCCAGCTACTCAGGAGGCTGAGGTGGGAAGATATCTTGAGCTCAGGAGTTCAAGGCTGCAGTGAGCTATGATCACGCCACTGTTCTCCAGCCTAGGTGACAGCAAGACCCTGTCTCAAAAAAATTAAAAAAAAAAAATTGAAAGAGGGAACATCACTACTGACATTACAGAAATTGAAAGGATAATAAGGCATTTTAACACTTTTTTGCCAACAAATTATAAATTACATATTTACATATGAATTATATACTTGCAACATATAAAGATTACACACCATAATCGTGTGGACTTTATCCTAGAAATATCACATAATCACATCATTTCAAAGCATTTGGAAAATCCAGCATTAATTTATGATGAAAACTGTCAATAATCTAAGAATATAAGGGCATTTCCTTACCTATTAAAGGGTGTCTTAAAAACTACAATATCAGCAAAATGTAGAGCTAGACTCATACTTAATGGTGAATCACTGATTGTTTTCCCCAAGGATCGGAAACAAGACAAGGATGTCTGTTCTTATCACTTCTATTCAACATTGTACTGAAGGTTCTAGTCAATGCAATGAGAAAAGAAAAAATAAAGGCATACAGATTAGAAGGAAAGAAAGAAAACTGCTCCTGTTGATAGACCATGTGATCCTATATGTAGAAAATCCAAAAGTATCAACATACAAGCTACCAGAACTAGTTTAGCAAGGTCTCAGAACAAAAGGATGGGGTACCGCTATAAAGATGCCCAAAAATGTGGAAGCAACTTTGGAACTGGGTAACAGGCAGAGGTTGGAACAGTTTGGGGTGCTCAGAAGACAGGAAAGATGTGGGAAAGTTTAGAATTTCCTAGAGACTTGTTGAATGGTTTTGACCAAAATGCTGCCAGTCTCTTTGCTAAATCTTTCCAATAACTTCCTCATCTTCATCTGAGATCACCTCAGCCTGGACTTCATTGTTCACATCACTATCCGCATTTTGGTCAAAACCATTCAACAAGTCTCTAGGAAGTTCCAAACTTTCCCACACCTTCTTATCTTCTTCTGAGGCCTCCAAACTGTTCCAACCTCTGCCTATTACCCAGTTCCAAAGTTGCTTCCACATTTTTGGGCATCTCTATAGCAGTACCACCCTCTCAGTGGCACCAATTTACTGTATTAGTCCGTTCTCACACTGCTATAAAGAACTGCCCGAGACTAGGTAATTTATTAAAAAAAAAAAAAAAAGAGGTTTAATTGACTCACAGTTCTGCATGACTGGGGAGGTCTCAAGAAATTTACAATCATGGCAGAAGGGGAAGCAGGCACTTTCTTCACAAGGTAACAGGATAGAGTGTGTGCAAGAACGAGGAAGTGCCACACTTTAAAACCATCAGCTCTGGTGAGAACTCACTATCAAGAGAATAGCATGTGGGAAACCACCTCCATGATCCAGTTATCTCTCACCTGGTCCCTCCCCTGACATGTGGGGATTATAATTTGAGATGAGATTTGGGTGGGGACACAAAGCCAAACCATATCAAAGATCAGTATACAAAAATAATTGTAGGTTTCTACGTACAAACAAGCAGTCCAAAAATAAAAATAAAAAACATTTCCTTTCCCAATAGCATCAAAAAGAATACTTTTGGAATAAATTTAACAAAGAAGTGCAAAACCAGTAGAACACAATACTGAAAGAAGACCTAACTAAATAGACATTCCATATTCACAGACAGGAAGCCTCAGTATTGTCAAATGACAATTCTTCCTAAATTGACCTATGAATTCAATGCAATCCCTATCACAATCCTGGTGGAGTTTCTTAAGAAATGGATAAGCAGATCCAGAAAGTGAAAAGAACCCAATAGTTAAAACAATTGGAAAAGTAGAATAAATCTGCATGGCTTATACTACCCAATTTTAAAACTAACAAAACTACAGTAAGTAAGACAGTGTATCAAAGAGAGTCCAGAAATAAATCTTTCAACATATGGTCATTTGAATTTTGACAAAGGTGCTAAACAATTTAATGGGGGAATGTATAGTCTTTTCAATGAGTGGTGCTAGAACAATTTGATACCATATGAAGGAAAAAAATATATAGACCCATACATAAAATACACAAATATAATTAAGGAGGGATCAAAGACCTAAATATAAGATCTAAAACTATGAAATTTCTGGAAGAAAACACAGGATAAAATCTTTGTGATCTTGGATTAAACAAAGATTGCTTGGTTGTGACACTAAAAACATAATACACAAAATAAAACATTGATAATTCGAACTTCATCAAAATAAAAACATTTTACTCTTTAAAAGATATCATTAAAAAATGAAAATAAAAGTTACAGATTGGGCAGAAATATTTGCAAGTCATATGTCCAGATTTGCAACTAGAATTACAAAGATTAGAATTACAACTAGAATTGCAAAAATTACAGATTTGCAACTAGAATTACAAAGAGTTCTTACAACTGTATAACAAAAGATAAATGTCTTAATTTGAAATGACAAAACATTTGAATATTTGAATAGACATTTCATCAGAGAAGAAATATGAATGGCCAATAAGCATACTAAAAGTTGCTGAACATTATTAGCCATTAGGGAAATGCAAATGAAAACCACAATGAGATACCATTACATACCCACTAGGATGGCTATAATCAAAAAGGATAATACTGAGTGTTGGTAAGGATATGGAGCAAATATAATGCTCTCACATCACTGGTGGGAATGTAAAATGGTACAGCCTCATTGGAAAACAGTTTGGCAGTTTCCTAAAAAGTTAAACCTAGGCCGGGGTGGTGGCATGTGTCTGTGGTCCCAGCTACTAGGGAGGCTGAGGTGGGAGGGCCACTTAAGCCTGGGAGGTTAAGGCTGCAGTGAGCCATGATCGAGCCACTGCACTCTATCTAGCCTGGGTGACAGAGGGAGACCCTGTCTCAAAAAAAAAAAAAAAAAAAAGAAGAAGTTAAACTTACCATATGACTCAGAAATTCCCCTCATAAATATCTACCCAAGAGAAACAAGGCTTGTATGTGAATGTTTGCAAGGGTATTATTCATATAGCTCAAAACTGGAAACAATCCAAATGTCCATCAACTGATGAATAAAAACCAAAATGTTGAATATTCAACAATGGATTGCTATTCAGCAACAAAAATTAATAAACTACTGATACATGCTCCAACATGAATGAACCTCAGAAACATGCTCAATGATAGAAGCCAGACACTAAAGACTATATGTTGTATAATTCCATTTATATATACTTTCCAGCAGAGGTAAATGTATAGACAGAGACAAAAAGCATATCAGTGCTTGCAGGAGCTGGGTGTTACTGGAGTTGATTTACCTTATCAACAGCACACTCAATTGAGGTGGTCTATGAATGTCTGCTGCTAAAGTTCTTAGAGGTTCCCTGGTCACCTCCTTTCCTAATATTTGTGCAATTCTTCCTGCAAATCTGTTAGGTACCTTAGTCTTGTAATATATTTTGTTTTCTTTTGTGTAGTCAAAGACTGTTAAGGTTTCTAAACATGCCTTAGTCACATCCCAAATCAAGATTTGGTTGTACAATTATTTCTTCCACTCCATGAAATACCCTGGCCATCATTGTGTACACTTTTTTTCAGTTTAAGTTAGAGTCATTTCTTTAGTAGTAGAAAGTAATGCCAATGATAAGGTTCCAGAGCTAGCCCACTAGAGACATCATGAATTGAGAGTTCTGGATCCTGAAAGGCAAAGGTCACGTGGTTTAGCACAGGAGGAGACTAAGAGTTTCTGCTTCAGTTTTGGAAGAGTACTACTCCAAAACACATTACACATGTGCATGCACACACACACACGCACACTTATGTATGCACAGTTCTCACTCTTTTTCTGATTATTTCTAGGACAACCTATTTAGCTTTCTTCTTAAGAATATAATCAGCACTCCTCTTTCAAACATAAGACTACTTACAGATCTTTCCTTACCTGAAATTACTCCTAAATTATTCTCTACTGTCAAAATTTCCTTTCAGATTCCATAGAGTAGATTCATAGCAGATCCCACTCATTCAAAACCAAAACAAGAAGACTAACAGTCATCAAAGCCTCTTCTTGTAAGTACATCCCACACTTATCTTATATACTTTCCCAGCTCTAGCATTCTCTTCCTGTCCCTGTACACCCCAGAACTGCTCTCTCCAAAGTCACCTCCTGGTTCTCAGTCTAGTAAGTACCTAAAATCTATCATGTACATCTTTCTCTTGGTTTTTTCTGTTGCTGTATTTACTGGGGTTTACTTTTTTGAATTTTTGGTTTCTGGTTGGCTCTTATGGGCCTGAGCCTCCTTGTGAGGAGCTCTTTTTATTTTTTTCACTGAAACTTTGCCATCACTATTCCTATGATGTTGTATTTGAAGGTGTTGGGTTAGCATGCAGATGAAATCAAGAGGCCTGGAGATAAAGAAATAGCTGAAAATTGGAGCCGTGAGAATGATTACAGAGTTTGGAAGCAGAACATGGCATGGAGGTTGGAATTTTAAAATGTATCTCAGAAGTCCATGGTAGAACAGTCACATTGGCCAGAGTGGCAGGGCTGGAACAGGCCCAGGTTTGGTAAGTTTCCCTGAGAGATTTATAGAGGGATACTGTTACCTCTTCTCCACACGAAAGAGTTTGAAACCAGCCTGGGCAGCATAGTGAGACCTCATCTCTATAACAACAACAACAAAAACAACAATACCCCCTAGAGCCAAAACCTTTTTCTTCCTTTAAATTTTGTGACTATCCTCCCTCCCAGTTTTCCTTGGGGCTTGATTTTTTTTTTTTGGCTATTTGTTGTATTTGTCTGTTTAATGTTGTCCACAGCACTTTTCCTGCTACAAACATTCCTGGTGTATCTATATCTCCTCCCAATCTTAAGTCAAGTGCTATATCTTAGTTCTAGACATTTTTCCTAAATTTCATTTCAGAATGTTGTCCATAAGGGATCTCAATATTTTCTGCTCTTTCCTCCCAAAGCTGCTCTTCCTTCATATTTTTGGACCTAAATTATGACACTGTTTACTTAATTCTCCAAGACATAAATCTAAACTCCTCCTTCTGCTTTACTATTAAGAGTAGATTAAGTCCATTAAGAATACTGCTTTTACAACCTTCTAAACCAGTGGTTCTCAACATGGGGTTTGCAGACCACAAGAAGGAGCTCACCTGGGAACTTGTTAGAAATTAAAATTTCAGGCCCCACTCCAGACTTATTGAACTAGAAACTCTGGGGATGGGACCAGCAATTTGTTGTAACATGCCCACGGGCTGATTCTGATGCACACTAAAGTCTGAGAATTGTTCAAAACTAGTTGTTAATCCGAGAGATCTATGGTTGGACTTCAGGAGGACCAGAAAGCATCAGTAATTGTAGCTAAAAGTGAGTTTATGTCCATATATATTTTTCTGAGTGGACAGCTTTTATTCCTTTTATCTTCAAATGAGTTCAGTGATTCTCAAATTTGGGGCTGTTCCTTGCTTTCCATTACTACCACCTCTTACCTTTGTTCATGACCTCATTATAGCTTATTCAGATTATTGCAATAACCTACCCAGTTTCTTTGCCTCTAGTCTGAACCCTTTCCAATGTATCTCCAGGTTGCAGTGACAGTCATCACTTTCTTTCTTTCCTTCCTTCCTTCCTTTCTTTTTTGAGACAGGGTCTTACTCTGTCACTCAGGCTGGAGTGCAGTGGCACAATCACAACTCATTTTCACTGTAGCCTCGAACCCCCAGGCTCAAGCAGTCCTCCCGTCTCAGCCTCCCCAGTAGCTGGGACTACAAGCATGCACCACCATGCCTGGCTACTTTTTTGTTGTTATTGTTTGGTAGAAACGGGGTCTCTCCATGTTGCCCAGGCTGGTCTCAAACTTCTGGGCTCAAGCAATCCTCCTGCCCTAGTCTCCCCAAATCCTGGGATTACAGGCATATGCCACCGCACATAGCCAGTCATTTTAGAACATGAATCTGATCAGGGTCACTCTTCAGCTCCGAGGTCTTCAGTGGCTCCCAGCTTATGATAAAGTAATCTCTACCATGACAAATAATACCCTTCATAAAGGCTTATTCCTTTGCATGCATCTCTAGTCATTTTCAGCCCAGCAATAACAGACTTTGAATCTTCTGTACCTCACTCGAGCTCTCTTTTACCTTAACCCTGCCTTTGCATATTCTACATGCTCAGTCTGGAATGCCCTTCACTGCTCCTCCTTCCCTCCTTGCCTGGGTAATTCCTATTTGTTCAATATTCAGCTTAAGCAATATTTCTTCTGGGAAGTATTCCATTAGAACTAAGTTTAAGAGGCCCTCCTGTGTGCTCTGAATTCCTCCATGCTTATACCTATGGTAATAATAATTCTCAAACATTTTGGTCTTGAGTCCCTTTACATTCTTAAAGATTATTAAGGACTGTAAAATGCTTTTATTACTATCCACATTATAAATTAAACCTGAGAAATTTGGTATTTTGAGATTCATTTAAAAATAATTATAAGCCCATTATGTTAATAGAAATGACGCATTTTTTTCTTAGAAACCGAGATTGAAGGCAAAATGATGCATTTTTATGATAAAATATTTTTCCAAAAAATTGGTGAGAAGAGTGGCATTGTTTTACATTTTTCAAACCTTTTTAATGTCTGCTTTAATAGAAGACAGCTGAATTCTCCTATCTATGTATTCTTTATTTTTTTCCAACTTTTATTGTAGGTCCAGGGGTACATGTGAAGGTTTGTTACATAGATAAATTCATGTCATGGGGGTTTGTTGTACAGATTATTTCATCATCCAGGTATTAAGCCCAGTGCTCAATAATTTTTTCTGCTCCTCTCCCTCCTTCCACCCTCCACCCTCAAGTAGACCACAGTGACTGACGTTTCCTTCTTTGTGATCATGAGTTTTCTGTGTATTCGATCTGTTGTGATATGTTTTGGTTGAAATATATGAGGGAAATCTGATCTCATAAAGATAAGGTGTTGGAAAAGGGAAAACTACTTTATAGCCTTTCCAGATAGTTCTAGATATTATTCTTTGATACGGTACCAAACTTACATGTGGTAGTTTCTTAGCCTTCATTGCAGTGTGGACTGAATCTGAAACCACATCAATTAAGCACTGAAATCCATCAATCTATCTTGCACATACCAGAGGCTTTTTGCCTTTGTAATGGCACCCACTGGCCATTTGAAAAATAGGTGTCCACTAAGTTGTAAAGATCACAAAAATGTTGACATATTTCATTATATAGTCAAAAATAAATTGTTAATATAATGCTTCTTTTACTAGAAAAGTCTTTAAGTACTGGCAAGCTGTCAAGCTCAAGCTGGTGGATACAAGTGTAATAAAATTTGTATTTTTAGGTGAAAATTCAAAGAATTACACTAGTGCTTTTTCCGGAGACAACCATTTCACTTGGGCATGTAGCGGCAGTAGTTTCCATTTTTTCACACATATTCTTTAAAAGACGTGTAAGCAAGGATGGATTTGAAAAAAAAATACAATTTTTAGTTATTTGTGAAGGACATTTTTAAAGTGAAACTAGCATACTTTAAAACCTTAAATGTTGTATGATGTGAAGAATACAAAATGCAACTACCAGTACAAGACTGGCGCCACTGCCTTGATTGCTGCTAAGGTGTCAGCAGTTTAATCTTTTACGTTACCAGTGCAAATGGCAACAAAGTGAAAAAGGTCAAGAAACTCTTAATATTATTACGAAAATCGTTTTGACCTTGCCAACTTACTGAAAAGGTCTCGGTACCCTTAGGGATCTGCGGAGGGCATTTTGGGAGCAGCTGCCATGGACTCACTACTGTTGTCTCTCATTAGGTTGCAAGTTCTATGTGAACTGTCTTTAACTGTCTGTTACGTGCCCTTGCCTAATAGTGCCTGGGACATAGCACTCAATAAACATCAACACCTGTGGAACGAGGGAATTAAAAACAGGTTATAAACAACCCCTGCACAGCCTTCATCTTACTGCCTCTTTCCTTAATTCAACCTGAACCTACGCATTTTGTAAAATTTTGTTTTTTTCACAATTAGGACGCCTGCCAACTTTTAAAAATAGTTGGAGTTGGGGTGCTGCCTGTATGTGATAAGGCTGCCCTATAGTTTGGTCAAGTGTTCTTCCGTGTTGTCCAAGAGTCATTCCTTCTTTACAGTCCCGCACCAGTAGGCCAGGCCGCTTGGTTTCCCAATCCGAGACCGGAAGGAACCGGGTAGACATGAGCACAAGACTCTCATCGACTTTTGGGGAAAACAAAAACACCGATAAAAATCCAGGCGGTGAAACGAGCAGCAACAGCCCCAGGGACCCGGGAGCTGGAGGCCGCAGCCGCGCGAGAACCGCCGGGTTGCCGGGGCGACGCTTCCGGCTGGCGCGCGCAGCCCCGGGAGCAGGGGAGTTGTGAAATGGGCGGCTAGATCTGCCCGGCGCTGTGAATTCGCCAGCGGGAGCGCGCTCGCGGCCGCGCGTTCTCCGCTTTCCCGGCTCCGTCGCTGACGCGTCGTAGACGTTGGGGAGCGGGAAGGCAACGGCAGCGGGATCGGGATGAACAGCGGCGGCGGCTTCGGTTTGGGCTTAGGCTTCGGCCTCACCCCCACGTCGGTGATTCAGGTGACGAATCTGTCGTCGGCGGTGACCAGCGAGCAGATGCGGACGCTTTTTTCCTTCCTAGGAGAAATCGAGGAGCTGCGGCTCTACCCCCCGGAGTAAGTGCTGGAGCTCGGCTGGGGGAGGGGCGCGGGCGCCATAGAGACCTCGGGAGCCGAGGCGTGGAGGAGAGCGCGGACGCGGGCGCGCGGTGCATGTCACGTGATCGCGCCGGCTTACCTTGGTGCCCATATTTGATTAGGGCACCCGGGTTCCGCCGTCCTGCTCTCCTTAGTCGGATTTGGGGGGTTAACTACTGCACGGAGCCCTTACCAAGGATTTAGAATGGTTGCCCTTTCTGTGCCTCCGGGACTTGTGTTCGCTGCTGGGTCTTCGAATTCCGTGCCCCCACCCTCTTATTTCCCCCCGAACTTAAGATGGCCGCAGGTGGGCCCGGAACAGCCCTCATGGCAAACGTCTCAGAGCGTTTTTCCACTCTGAAAATCGCGGAGACCGCGCCTGAGCCACAGTCCAGTTTTTAAGGCCTTGGTGTCAGGCCGTTTTGCTGACGAGAAAGCCTGCTGCTGGTGACAAGATGGAACTGGGGCTGTGTTTGTTTCCCAGGACGGTCGCACAAACTTAGCATTTTGGTTTATCTAACCGAGCGCATCCATGTTCCCAAAGATCATGTCTGTTAGCCCTTTTGACAGCAGATTAAATTTTCCTCCTGAAAGGTCACACTGTCCCAAAGCTTTCAGAAAAAGTGTAAGTCGGTGCAGGGTTATCCCTCCCGTATACATTTAAAGTCCAGATCTTGGCTGGCATTCACAGCTCGCGGCCACTTCCCAGATAGTGTATTTTGGAATGGTAAAATTTCCCTCGTACGATATTATTTAGAAAACTCGCAAGGGGTTTGTAGGTTGTTCACATTCTTGCACACAAACTTTTTTTCTTTTTTAATGGTAGATCTTACAGTATTAAGATCCTCCGTTTTTTGTTCATTATATCAAAATCCTTTGAGGGAAGGGGTAATTGTTACCCAAGATTTATTTCTTTAAAAAAATTTTGATTTATTTCCTAGTGATGCATTTAGACCTATTTTTCTTTAGTTTTCTATCTCAGGTTATAACAGTGCTGTTGCATAACTATATAAAAGTTGTGTGGATATTTAAAATTTACTTTTTAAGTTTTTCTTCTCTGCTTTTTGTTTTGGAATATTTCATGCATACAGAAAAGTTGAAAGAGTAATACATTGAACATCCATGTTCCTTTTACGAGCATTTTGTCTGTTTTTGGCTACAGTTGATTATTAAAATTTCCCCAGTTATTTTAATAATGCTTTTTTGTCTGCTTTTGATCTAGTATGTAATTAGATAACACTGTCTCCCTTGAATATGCCAAGTAATCCATGTATTAATAGTTATCTCCTTTAATCTAGGACAGTCCCGTCCCCTTTTAAAGATTCTAAAGTCGTGACATTGATATTTTGTTTTGTAGTTCATTTTGTCTTGTAATATGACTCATAATCTGAGTTTATATAGATGAGATATATAGATGAGGTATATAGAGATATGTGTATATATATATCTTTATATTCGTGACGAGATTCAGGTAATACATTTTTGACGAGAATACTGCATAAGTGCACGCACGTACATTTTGATTGATTAACCGTGGCATTATTGCTTTAATTATCTTAACTTTTGGAAATGCTTTCAGCCATCTCAATTTAAGTTCTCAGAACATTTCTTAATAGTTGAGAATAATTGAGAATTGTTTGGGGGAGTGCCGTATCCTGCAGGCATTGGAATCAATCAGTAAAATACTTTGTACATGAACCTTTGTAAATCTTGCTTTCAAGGCTGTGGTAATAAGGTATCTCATAGGTAGAAGAAATATATTGGAGAATGTTCTTCATTATCAACATAATATTTATTTGGTTGAAACCTGGGTTTGGGTGACAACACATTGCCATAACTGACAGTAATGGGCCACTTTTTTGAAATCAGATGTTATTACTTGGAATTTAAAAGTCAAAGAGAATAAAAAGTTCTTCACTTAAACATATGGAAGATTACGGTAGTGTATTTCACAAACTGTAACACATTAAGCAAAATTGTTGCATACGTGTAATATATATAGGCCAGGCAAAATCCTTAACTAGTTTTTCCCTAAGTGCAATACTAGATCCCTCATTCATGTTTTGCAGCAATACTGACATGCTTTATTCACAGGTTTTCTGCTTCGTAATGAAGTTGTCATTGCCTGGTCCTTATATTAGAAGACGTGTTTGCAAATTTGGACTGAAATGGATACAAAATGCAATAGTAGTAGTTGTATTGAAAATATATTGTTTTGCAGTGTCACATAAATTATTTTATGACATCTTTAGAGTTGAGTAGAAATTTAAATTGTTTTAAAATTGGAAATATATTTATTTTCAAATACATATTTCCAGGTATATTGGAAATACATTAATAGAATGTGAAAATAGTTTCTCATTAAAATTTTATGATTGAGCCAGGTGTGGTGGTGTGCACCTATAGTCCTAGCTACTCAGGAGGCTGAGGTGGGAGAACAGCTTGAGCCCAGGAGTTTGATTCCAACCTGAGTAACATATTGAGACCCCTATCTCTTAAAAAAAAATGACTTAAATGACTTAAGTTGCTAATATGAAAATTCAGATTTTAAATTTAATTCTTTTGGCATGATGCAGTGGTTGAGTTTCATCTTTATCTTTTAAACGTTAAGAATTTTTTAAGGCTAGGGAATTCTTGTGAACATTCACTGTAAGCATTAAGAATTCTTATTTGTAGTTTGTCATCCTTTTTTTGTGCTGCCAGTTGATAAATATGTAGAATTACTATTAACTTTTTGCACAATAAATCAATCTCACAGCTTGTGAAACTTTCTTACACAAGTAAGAAATCCTTGTTGTTTTTTCAGTAAATTTTTCATTGAGGTTTAATGTACCTACAGAGAAGTGCACAGGTCGTAAGCGCAGGTTGATGAATCTTTACAAAGTAAACATACCTATATAACCAGCACACAGTCAGGATTATCTGCACCCTGTAAGTTCCCCGTGACCCCCTTCAAGTAACTAAAACCTGAAGGGTAAGCCTACCCTGATTTGTAACACTAGACATTTTTCCTGTGTTGATTTTTTTTGCTTGTTGATTTCCGTCACTTCTCTGGTCTTCTAAAGTTCTAAGAAAGAATGGAAAAATCTGTCAACTACTTAAGTTTATTTAGTTAAAAAAAATGTAACCACTAAAGCCACTTTATAGAAAATAGAGAAAAGGAAACAGCACTTGTGATCCCACCACTCTATCAAAGCTTCTCTCCATTTCCCTGTAGTCCTTTTCACATGCGTTAATAAATATTGGACATATTACCTCATTGGTTTTAAAAATAATTGTATAGTGCTATCATTATGTAATATATGTAATATAGCGTAATCAAAGGAATCACACTGTTATTTTACTTTTTTCACTTTGTCATAAGCATTTTCCATATTGCTGTCTTATTTATAGTAATATTTAGAGATTAGTAATTTCTGAGTGTATTGTGTGTTTTTGAAATTCTATTGTTGGATATTTTGATTGCTTTTTTTGGTATTACAAATTAGTGGATTTTAGCTAGAAATTGGGAGGTGTGTCTTTTTGATTGTCAACAATGATTAGAGGGCCTGTTGGCATTTAGTGGGTAAATGTTAGCAACTTATAAGTAGTCTTAAACAGGATGAATTGTGCTAATCCATAGGGCCACTGAAGCCCAGTGAAGAAACCCTGTTATAAATAATGCACCAACTAATATTTTTGTACATGATACTGTATGCTTCGCTCATGTTTTGGCATATCTTTTTTGGTAGGTCCTCTGTCCTCTAAAGGATGTGTATTAATGTACTGATAAAATACTGGACATATTATTACCTCATTGGTTTTAAAAATATTGTATAGTGCTATCATTATGTTTAATAAAAGACAAAATAACCAGTTAGGGCCAAGAAATTTAATTGATGCCCAAAAAGTTGGTTCTTTGGTTTCTGCGTGTACTACCCACTGAAAAGTTTTAATTTTTTTTGAAAAATTGATAAGATTTTGTATTTTAAAAAACCAAAACTTTAAGTCAACGAATGAGGTCAAACTAAAATCTGCTAAATTTGGGTACTGCTATTTTCTTCTTAAAATTTATTTCTAAAATTTTATTTATTTATTTAGTTAAGTAGAGACAGGATTTCACCATGTTGCGCAGGCTGGACTCAAACTCCTGGGCTTAAGCAGTCCGCCTGCTTTGGCATCCTAAAGTGCTGGGGTGACAGATGTGAGCCACTGTGCCTGGCCTGCTAGTTTCTATAGATGCATACATTTAGACCAAATGGAATATGTCATCCCTTTTTATGTGTTTTTTTTTCCCCCAAGGTCTTCTTCTGTTGCCCAGGCTGGTCTTGAACTCTTGGGCACAAGCAAGTACACATTTGTTTGATGAGCTATCTGTTTGTTGGCTTGCTACTCTAATAATTTTAGTTTATAATGGTCAAAATAAAATAGTGTTACCTTGCCTGAAATTTTCAAATATTTGCATTTTTATAAAGTAAATGTAAGTTGGTCTTTATTTTAAGGAAGGTAATTGGAAATGAAGATTAAGAAAATTGGCCGGGTGCAGTGGCCCACGCCTGTAATCCCAGCGCTTTGGGAAGCCGAGGCAGGCGGATCACGAGGTCAGGAGTTCGAGACCTGTCTGGCCAACATAGTGAAATCTTGTTTCTACTAAAAATACAAAAAATTAGCTGGGTGTGGTGGTGTGCACCTGTTATCCCAGCTACTTGGGAGGCGGCAGGAGAATCGCATGAACCCGGGAGGCGGAGGTTGCAGTGAGCCGGGATCCCGCCATTGCACTCCAGCTCGGGTGACAGTGTGAAACTCTGTCTCAAAAAAAAAAGGAAAAGAAAAGAAAAGAAAATTGCTTAAATCAGTGGAGTAGCCGTACCTAATATCCATACTTCCATGATGATGCTGTTCAGAACAGACCAACATTTTTTTAACCAGTTCCCAGGCTTCTGAAATGTTGGTGGCATGTCTTCAGATGTAGTTGCATTACAAACCAGACTCAGAATTCCTATTCCTGTGGATGTTTTAAGTTTGAAATGAAGTAGATTTCAACTAGGGGTATTTGGAAATGTGGTTTTAGTTTTCAGTAGTGCTTACTTAACATTTACATTCCTTCACAAAAGGATCCGTCAGTTTAGGAAATGTTGCTTCAGAGATGACTGTCAGGCTCTTGAAGATTTCAGAGGCAAAAGAGTTATTCCTGTTGGAATTGCTAGGGCTTTAGTAGGTTATTATAATCACAGATTGTTTTTGGTTAAAAAGGACAGAAACAGTGTTACCCAAGGTACATCGAGAAGAGACATTATTATTAAAAAGAAAGATTTCACTGCGTTGAAAAATAAAGATTGTAGTACAGCCAGGCCTCATGGGAACTAGTACTGGGAACCAGAAGGGTATCAGCAATCAAGATGACTATCTGCTTCTTTCTCTGCAGTGGTTATTATCAGTTCAGTTTGTTTCTATCTACTCCATTTCTTTGCATACCTATTATGTACTCATCATCTGGCTTACAGCTTGCTGTAAGTCACCTTCCAGCCCAATAGAGAGAACCTGATTGATTGATCTAGCTCATTTGGTCGAGCCTGACTTCCAAAATTAGAGGTTGCTGGTCAGCCAGGGAAATGGGCCCTTGAGACTGGTGACTAATCATTTATGGCTAGAGAAGCTTATAGGATCTTTTGAGGGTTTCACATGAGGAAACCGTGCTAAGGCCTGTGCCAAAGCAATATAGAATGTCTTGGTAGCACATGTAGGAGGCTGTACCTAATGATTGCGGTATCTTAAGATGGTTTACCAGAAGACTTGGAAATTTGAGCCTTGAAGAAGAGTGGAATTAGCATTCAAAATGGGAGTTAGCGAGGACATCGTAACCAAATGGAACAGCATATATGAAGACCCATATGTTTGTGATGTGTTGCTGGAACCACAGGTATCATTTTTGGGTGCATTTCCATGACGAGGCAAGAACAGAATAGTACCTTTAAGGAAATTTGATATGTGGAGTGACACAATGAAATTTAGTGTTTAGAAAGATCACTGTGGGAGCTTTGGTGGAAGACCATTAATAAGGATTTGAGGTTGGGTGCTGTGTGATTTCTTAAAAGCTGTTAAGTAATCCACATGAGAAATGATGAGGGTCTGAATTAAGGCATTGGTAATGAGAATGATGAAAAAACTAATGTGACAAATATTTACAAGGTACTCTAAGCAGGATATATTGACCAATTGGATGAGGACAGAAAGGTCAAGGATAATTTATCAGTTAGAATAAGTAGAGTTTTGGAAATAACTTCAGATCTTTGTAGTTTGACAATTTTTTTTTTCTTTTTTGAGACACAGTCTCACTCTCTTGCCCAGGCTGGAGTGCAGTGGTGTGATCTCGGCTCACTGCAAACTCTGCCTCCCGGGTTCAAGCAATTCTTGTGCCTCAGCCTCCCAAGTAGCTGGGATTACAGGTGTGTGGCACCACACCCAGCTAATTTTTGTATTTTTAGTAGAGATGGGGTTTCATCATGTTGGCTAGACTGGTCTCAAACTCCTGACATCAGGTGATCTGCCTGCCTCTGCCTCCCATAGTGCTAGGATTACAGGCATGAGCCACCCTGCCTGGCTGACAAAATATTTTTTAGACTAAATTCGTGGGGGTGGGAACTTTACTCATTGTGGTTATTCACTCTGGGATGAAGTTGATGAGTCCCAGCCATCTTTTGAATGTTGCCAGTCGTTGTGGTGGAGGAAAAGAGTCAAACAGTGGTTCTCAGAGCTTCTTCAGAATAGTGACACATGTCAGTTCTGCTCATATTTAACTGACCAAAGCAGGTTACATGGCCACACCTAACTTAAAGGAACAGAAAAATGGAATTTTATTGTGTACCTAGAAAGAGCTTTGGAAGTAGTTGGTGGGCAGTGCTTAGGATGGTCACACTAGTGACTCCTAGGTTTCGGACTTGGGTAGTATGATATCTTTTACTGAAATATGGAATGCAGGGGACAGAGGGCAAGACTGGTAAGGAAGGAGGTTGATGAATGTATTTTCAACTTACTTAGTGACCATCAAGGTGTAATATTCCAGCAGGCACTTGTACCTGGGAGTCTAGAGCTCACAAGAGGCCTGAATTGGTGATTTGGTCATGTAAAGGTGGTGAGTTAAGTCTGGATGTGCATACAGTTAACCTCAGTGTCAGTACACAAGTTGCTTTGACTTAGGTGTTGGGTTGGGTAAGGAGGGATTTTTGTTGAGGGCTGATGTGAATCCTGAATTGGATGCCCTTAGGCAGAAGTGAGTTGGATGCTAAGAGGTACATCCTTTTTTTTTTTTTTTTTTTTTTTTTTTTTGAGAAGGAGTCTCGCTCTGTTGCCTAGGCTGGAGTGCAGTGGCGCAATCTCGGCTCACTGCAAGCTCCGCCTCCCGGGTTCACGCCACTCTCCTGCCTCAGCCTCCTGAGTAGCTGGGACTACAGGCGCCCGCCACCACGCCTGGAGAATTTTTTGTATTTTTAGTAGAGACGGGGTTTCACCGTGTTAGCCAGGATAGTCTCGATCTCCTGACCTCGTGATCCGCCCGCCTTCCGCCTTGGCCTCCCAGAGTGCTGGGATTACAGGCGTGAGCCACTGCGCCCGGCGGTACATCTTTTATTTTCAACTTTAATTAGCCTTACTAATTGTGTTAATAATGTAAATAGTTTTAAGTTCTAAATGCAGATTCATTTTATTATCACATTGTTTGGTTAATAGCATAAATATATATAAATTTAACCGTTATTAATGTGGTTATTCTACGTTGTTTAAAGATGGTTTTGTTCCTGGACGTGAAGAATTACAAAGAAATCTGGATTTTTGGATTTTAAAAACGGCTAATGTTTGTGGAATTGCTAATTTAATAGTATGTCAGAATGGTTTAAAGATTCTTGATTAGTTGAATGATTACAGTTGCATGAAGTTTGGAATTAGATGATTAGACATTAGATGTTAACTTTGCGATTTACTAGTTCTGGAATTGTAGTCAGTTTTCTTTCCTGTTTTGTAAACAAAAGTAAATGACTATTAAGTCATATATTTTTCAAGTGATCTCTCTTTTTTTAGTGTGAAAAATCTTAAATGTTTCAAATAGATTTTAATATAAAATCTATGTTACAGATTACGTATGTACTTAGTTCGGTCTTTTTTTTCCTGCTAAAGACAATTACAGATTTTAATGAAAAGTAATTATGGATAGGCTGACAAAATGATTATCCATGAGGATAGTATATTTTCGAATCTAACAGGATGTATTCATTTTAGGAAAAGTTCCTTTCATTTGTGCTTTGTCTGGTTCATTTTTAGTATCGGCCTGCCTGGATTAAACTGAATCAAGTAGGACCAGTTAGAGTCTTTGTTGCCTATAAAATATGTAAGATTTTGTTTGTAAAATCTTTTGTCTGGAAAATCATCACTGTCCAGCTCTGGTGTATGCAAAATACCTCAATTTAAATTCCATACTACCTGACTCTTTCTAAGACTGTTGTGAAGTTTTTTAGTGATGTAAATGCTTGGGAAACACATTTAGGAAGAGTTGGAATGATGATAAAATTTGAAATCTTGAGGTTTGGAGCTTTTATAAAGGGATTTTTGCTTACATATGATACACTTTTTGAGTTAATTTTTGGGTTAAATTAGCTTTTTTTACATTCACTCGGATTAAGGATTGATTAATTTGAGTTCCAAGTTTTACAAGTAAGGCAGTAGGCCTGCCTGGATTGCCTTCTGTTGTGGTAGACAAATCACCATTAAATGACTAAGTTTCACTGTTTTATGTGTTAATGATCCTTAATAACAAAAAGTTTTAAAGTCTTAATTTCGTAAGATTATGTAAAGGTTAAGAAAGAAATTTTAAGTGAAAATGATAAAACCAAGCAAATGTTTATTAGTTCAATTGTTTTTCTTTTTATCTTGCAGCAACGCACCTCTTGCTTTTTCCTCCAAAGTATGTTATGTTAAGTTTCGTGATCCATCAAGTGTTGGCGTGGCCCAGCATCTAACTAACACGGTTTTTATTGACAGAGCTCTGATAGTTGTTCCTTGTGCAGAAGGTTGGTATCTCGCTTTTTTTCCTCTTATTTGAATTTCTGTCCTGTCTGTTATTGCCTTTAGCTTTCCTAGAGATTGGCAAGTAGACAGTACTCTTGGTGTGTGTGTGAAAGTAAGAATGAAATTTGGAGGAGGTAAACCTTTTTACCTAATAGTAATATTAAAATGGTTAATTTATGACATGTACATTTGAGGTTTTACAATTTAACATTCATTGGCTTCTGGTTTGCTTTGGCTTTCTGTAGTCAATTTGCAGATTGCAAAGAAAGCTTTCTGAAATTAAAAAATAATTGATATGGGAAATTATTTTAAATGCATAAACAAGCATTTACCTTGTGTGTTCAATATTAATACTATTACAAATGAAAATAGTGTACACATTTTGGCAAATTGGGGTTAAGTGATATTTATAAGAAAATATTTGTAATTTATACTTTCAAGTACACTCTTAAGGTAATTTACCTTAATTGTTACTATGAGATCATTATTTTATATTCAATGTAATTGTTTGCTTTGCAACTGGAATTTAATGTTTTCTTTTACTGGCCCCAAAAAGGGGCAGGAGGAGTGTTGGAAAAAAAGGAAAGCAATTTTCCAAAGCCTCCATGAAGGAAGTAGTTGTTGAAGATAGGAACAAAGGCCTTAAAGTATCCATTAAATTTTATGACCTAAACTGCTTTAAGAACTAATTATTACTAATATTTTTTAGTAACTTCTGTTTACAGAGCCACTCACGTATAATAGACTGTGCTGAATTTTGACACTTCTGGTGTATAATTAACTTTTATTCAGAGCACTGACTAGCATGTGTACAGGATTTTAGAATTGGGTTATTATAAATTAAAATGTCTTAAAGTAGATTTTCTCTGGTGGATGATTGAAACTGTTTTAAACATAAAGGTTTATGGAAAACAGTTTGATGGGCTTTCATATGTAATTTTTAAAACCTCTTTTAGTGGCCAGGCTGACATTAAAATAATATATAATAAGCAGTTTGCTGCACTTTAAAGGTTTTATGCTTATTTCAGAATGCCTGTTCTGGGATGTCAAAAACATTACAGTCTAATACAGTGAGTACCAGGCTCGTATTTTTTAAGTCCCAGAATAGGACATTCTCAGTATTTTTCAGATAAATTTGGAAGTGTCTTTCCCATGCTTGGGGGTTAGAGTGGGTAGGGAAGATAAAAATGGATTAAAGTTAATTATTGGCCAAATGTATCTTTATCTGCTGATCTGTAAGGCTACAGTAAGCCCCAAATTGGTGAGGTGGGAAAGGAGCTGGTGAATGGTTTCGTTCTACAAACTTTGTAGTGAAATTTCATACTGAGAAACTGCATGGGAAAAAAGAAATCAGGTAAAAGGTTTATTAAACTGGAATATTAATTATATCAGAAAATTAATACCACCAATAACACTGGGTCTTTTATTGTGTTAGCTTATTACTGAATTGGAAGGAAGAATTTTATCAGTGTTGCTTGGTTGAAACCTGCTTTATTCCCATAGAATCTTTCATATATCTGAGAAGCCCTACTGTATTTTGTTATAAATGTTCAAGATGATGGGCGTGTAGATGTCCCTTTTATTGTTTATTTTACTTGATAGAGATGAATAAATGCACAGTCAGATGTACCTTTTTAGTGTTTTTAATATTACAACTTGGACAGTTTTACTGTTTTTGAACAGAAAAATTTAAGCATACTTTTATTGCAATTTAGTTATAAGTAAGTAAATATTTTGAAACACTAACCTACAGTTGGTATTGGTGAAACATTCAGATATACGTTTTTCATTAGTTGTATTAAATACGGCAGAGATGAATTTATGGAACCTCGAGAATTTCACAGTGAGCTGTTAAAATACTGATTATGCACTACAAGCAAAGAAATAGTGCATTATTGTACTAAAAAAGATAGCAGAGTGAGTGTGAAATAACCAAAGAAAAGTATTCCAGTGGAGTAAGTTCTGTAAGAGGAGATGTGCTGTGGTGCTGTAAGCAAGCAGTGTTCTGTTGACCTCACTGAATGCATCCTTTCCTTGATGTTGAACAAACAGCATCATGACATAAGTGAGAAAAACCATAGAAAAAAATTTAAGAAGTTTTTTCAGTTTCTTTGAATTGCTGTTTTTTAGTGTAGACAGTAATGTGAGAAGATCCTAAGTTGTAAAAGTAACATTTGATGTGTAACAGTTTCATGCATATTAAGCCTTAGCCTTTGTTAATAAAACATGCCATTTCAAAATAAAATATGCTTTCATTATACTTGTCCAAATATGACCTCTTTTTGTTGTTGCGTGCATTTCAGATTTCTTTTTATAAATGTTAACACGTAGAAAAAGATACGGTCAAACATAACAAGGGTGTCAGCCTAATCATCAGTCATAACTTTATGTCCACATTTTCTGGTAGATGGATTTTGACTATTAATTTGGTTTTGTATGTTTTCTCTATGTGATATTTGTGCATTATTAGATGACTAGACTGGCCAAGGCAGACCTGTTACACTTGCCTGAGTTAGGCATTGTTTGCCATGCCACTAAACCTGCCGTCAAGTGAAACCTTCATTGGGGAAATGAGATCGGAGTCTGAACCGCAGAAGATGGACGCCCTGTCTCTGTTTTTTATTGTTTTACTTTAATTTCATTTCTTTTTCTTTATTTTGTCCCTTTTTTTGTTTTTGTTTTTGTTTTTGTTTTGTTAAATCTCTTTCACTTTAACTTGTGAGCTGGTTTTCCCAGTTCTTTGTAAATGGTATTTCATTAAGGGTTCATAACGTGTTGCAAATTATATTGGGAGATGATTAGTAGAGCTCAACCTTAAGATAAAGCAAATTTTCATGTGGTAAATTAGGATACAGTGTTGTGAAGCTCATTGTGAGTCTTAATTTGTGTGTATGGACTCATAAGGTACATTTTATTCTTGAAACATTAAAACACTGATAAGTATCTCAGGAACACTTTCTGATCTCAGCGCAACATTTTTCTAGTTTTTTTCCCCCCTAGTCTACATCTCTCATAAAAACTGATAGCTTCTAATTTTTGTCCTTCCCCCTGGAATTTTAGGCATACAAAATCATCAAGGAAAATAAGTAAATATAACAATCTGGGAGTAAAGAAGAGCCTTTCATTTTTATGATGGTTATTTATCATATAACTTATTTCCTTGACTTATGAAGACTTTTTGTTGCCTATGTGGGGAATGGATATTTGAGAAACTTAAGTATTTGCATGTAGGTTTTTGTTAGCTTGAATTTTTTGTTGAATATTTTTCAGAGGTTACTAGCTTCTAAATGGATTCTGAGATTAGGACTATAATACTGTGAGAGATGTTTTCCTCAGTTGACTTTGAGGAGTATAGTTTGGGAAAAATGCTAAATGCTTATTTGTTTTATACTTTTATAAGCTCTGTTATTTGGAGGGTAAATTTGGTAGAATTCTATCTTGGAAATTAAGCAATGGAGCTTTTTCTTAAAGTACTTTTGCCATTACCTTTAGGTAATTAGAATAAGTATATAGAGTAATTAGAATGGTAATTGAAAGTTAATTTATTAAAAAATGTGCTTATAGTGGATTTATACATTTATAGTAGTATACTATATTTATAGTAGTATACTCTTTTGAAAGGCAGTGGGAGAGTTTGACAACCTACTGATACTTAAGCTGAAAGTGAAAGACTTCATAATACTAAGTAGTCAACTTTTGGCCAGTGTTGAATACCCTTTTTGTTTGTATAGTCTTTCTACAATGTCTTCAATAGGTAGTTTTACTTATTAAAGGACAAGTAATATTAAATTTGGGACATTACTAGATTAGAACTCTGAGTTTCCTTAGGTGCATACATTAAGGTAGTGACGATGGAGTTTCTGCCTCAAAACCTCAATTTATCAAGAATGTTCAGGTTTTACAAACCTTTTGAGATAATACCAATTTATAACAGATAAAACAGGTGAAATCAATATAAATAGTATAGTGTATATGTGGGTATATATAAATACATGTGTTAATACCAATAACTAATACATATAAAGCAGATTATTGTTATTTGATGTTTTCAGTAAGGCCTACCTGCCTTTTGTTGATGCATGTTAAGAAATCTGTTCTCCAGAATTTTCACTGAAATAATAAAGATAACTTTGTTTTTGAAAGTAATAAAGTAATATAAACTTAGATGCTGCAAAGGTAGAAAATAGTAGGTTTTATTTGCTTCCTATAAATAAGGCATAGCCATTATTTAAATCAAGTTTTAAATTCCAACTTGAGTTCCATCCATGTTTAAAGATATATTCAGATAATATTGTTTAGGGATTTATCTCTGCACATGTGGTTGTTTTAAATATTTTTACAACTGAAACCAGGCATGGTGCTTGTGGAAATTTACTGCATATGCTATATTTCAGTTTAGCATGATTTTGTGCATTGTCTTTTAAAACACTTTTGGAGAATTAATAATAGAAATGCTTTACCAGCTACCACATGAGTGTTCTTCTAAATATATCCACATGTAGTCAACTATTTAAGAATTTTTTTTTTTTTTTTTTGCCTAAGGGGATAAGGAAAAATAATGTGAAAGTTGCAGTCCTTATCAGAAGTAATTGATTAGAATTCAGCAATGAATATGCCAAATCGTACTTATTTCAGAGTAAGTTTTTCATTTTTTTAGGTTGTAGGGAGTTTTTTTCCTACTGAGTGTTATTAGATTATTTTAATGTTACTATTGTTATTAGGCAATTAAAATGTTTTTAAGCAAGCTTTAAGGCATTAACCTCCCCCTTCAGATAAGTATACATAAATTGGTTCTAAAAGTTAATAAGAAGTTTTCTGAAACCAGGGAACTTTTTTTTTCCTGAAACATTTTTAGTAGTTTCCCAAGGCATATTTTTTGGAACTGAGTTCTTTTAGGCATCTCTGATGTTGGTGAGATGCTTTATTAACTGAATGGATGTAGGCTTCCTTTTACGTTGAAGTTGATTACATGGAGTAAGTTTTTGTTTTCTATTTGAAATTAAATGGAATCTGTTGGAGGGTTATCAAAATTGTTTGCATCACAAATAGGTAGTTTCAGTAACAGGATAGGGGCACTCATTAAGAAATTTCAATTCGCACATATTTGTTTTTTCTTTTTCTTTTTTTTGACTAATTTGGTTATTTGCCATTTCTGGGGATTAAACTTTAAAAAATGTTCTTCTTTTCTGTATCTGATGTTCTGTGTGCTATTAGTGATGCAGCCAACACGAACGGTTGTCATGTGTAACACAACTTTCGATCACCGCGAAAACACCGTCCTGGGAAAGCGTCCATGCTTGATATCGTTTGGTTCATGAACATTAAGTTTCCAGTACAGGTGACCCATAGCTCAAAGTGTTAAATAATTGTCTACATTATTCAATTTTTAAAATAATATTCCATTAATGAGATTGTTAATATTTGAAGTTTTGCTCACTTTTATTTTTCCTAGTAGAGCAGGATAAAAGGAAAGACTTAAGTTCTTATTTATTTCTTTATACAGATCTGATAGATAGATTCATTTATTATTATTATTTTTTAACTGCAAGGGTAATTGTAAAATCATAGTGTAAAGTTTGTGTGGTGTTTCTGCTTTTTGTAATGTTTGGAACTTGCCTCTGCAGGTAAAATCCCAGAGGAATCCAAAGCCCTCTCTTTATTGGCTCCTGCTCCAACCATGACAAGTCTGATGCCTGGTGCAGGATTGCTTCCAATACCGACCCCAAATCCTTTGACTACTGTAAGTACTATAAGCTGGCTTATGAAAGAGGTGAATGTTCAACTGTGTGACCAGTTGAATAGAGAGCTTCAGATTATTTGCATTTGGATCTTCTTCTTTTTTTTTTTTTTAATAGAGAGGATTCGAAATCACTGCTTAAACTTTTTTTTTCACTTTATCAGTGACTTAACGCTGCGTTTTGGATTTACTCCTGAAGTAATAGGGGATTCATTTAAATTTGAGAACCCCAATAGATTATTCACTAGAAAATCAGTTATTAAAACTCAATATTTTAGATAGCATAGAGGATCTAGGTAACTGTATTTCTCAGTTAATGAGGATTAAATCCATTTAAAATACGTGAAATGATCCACAACTTTGGTAATGGGAAAAAAACAGGTCTTTGTCTGATATTGAGAAAATGTAATAAGGTGAAAACATGGCAAAATATTTTTCCATTAACTATGCAGAATTAAATCATAATTTAGTAATGCTTCCTTTGTGATTTCCAAGTGGGATTAAAAAAGGATATTACGGCCAGGCGCGGTGGCTCATGCCTGTAATCCCAGCACTTTGGGAGGCCGAGGCAGGTGGATCATGAGGTCGGGAGATCGAGACCATCCTGGCTAACACAGTGAAACCCCGTCTCCACTAAAAATACAAAAACTTCTCTGGGCGTGGTGGCGGGTGCCCGTAGTCCCAGCTGCTCGGGAGGCCGAGGCTGGAGAATGGCGTGAGCCTGGGAGGCGGAGCTTGCAGTGAGCGAAGATTGCGCCACTGCACTCCAGCCTGGGCGACAGAGGGAGAGTCTCAAAAAAAAAAAAAGGGTATATTACTATTACTGGTTCTTGGTTTTTGCTTAAAAAACTCTGGCCATATTTATTTTAAAAGAAGTGCCATTTTTCTTCAAAAGACAACATAGAACAAAATACAAAGCTTGCCTTAATTGGAAGTTGAATCTAGCTTTGTGGTGTTGGATAGGAATTGAACTAAGAAATGAACTATGTGATTGTAGTTAATTTATCTAGATTGTAAGAGTGGTTTCTGAAATTTTGAAGTGCAAAATTTTAGATTTGTAGTTTTTACATAACATTGCTATGCTGAAGACCTGCATTCTGATTCTTGGGGGGAAATGTTTTTTAATTGAACTTATGTGTTCAAGGAACAGAATGGTGGTCAGTATGGTTGAAGCATAGTGAGTGAGGGTCATGAGTGTTTGAGATTGGAGGGGATAGATAGGACACAGATTATGGTAGGGCTTTTTAGACCATGGAAAGAGGGGTTTGAGTTTTATTCTTAAGGTAATTAGAAACCATTGATGGGTTTTAAGCAGGGATATGACATGATTTGACATGTTTTAAAAAGATCAGACTGGCTGCTGTGATAAGTGACATTGATTTCATAAACTTCCGTTTTCACCATTAGCAAGTGCCATTACTTAACAGTTGTTAAAATCTTAGTTCTGTATCATATTTGTATATATAGTCATTAATGGTCAAAATGTTCTCTAATAGTATAAGTGGAAATGAAAAGAGTTGTGCTTTTTTCCTTGAAAGCTCTTTTCGTTCTGAAAAATTTTTTCTGTTTTCAAATTCTGAGATCTTACATTTCTTCTAGTTTACATTCATATTAAAAATAATACGTTCCTTAATGCTGAAAGTAAAAACTGAATTTAGTGATGCTATAGAAAGATCATTCAAAGTTTTTTTGAAGGTTTTTGCCCTTTTCCTACCATGGCATAAGTAAGGGCTCAATATTTTAGATATATTTTCTTAGGTAAACTTTCAGCATGATAATAATAACCCATTTCTTAGGGTTGATATGAGGATTAAGTTACTACCTCAGTTAAATTCGATGCTATGATAATTGTTGACTGTTAGGAACTCATACTCATACTCATCTGTGTTTTTCAATGACCAAGGTACAGTTGATTCTCATTCTTTGTGAATTCTGTATTTTTGAATTCACTTAGTAAGTAAAATTTTTTTGAAATCCCCACATCAACAGTTGGAGCACTTTTGTGGTCGTTCGTGGACATACACAGAGTGGTGAAAAATTGGGGTTTGTCTATTTGCACGGAGGTCGAAATCTTCTTGTTTTGGCACTCAGGCAGTAAACAAGCACGCAGTCTGTTTAGTGCTATGTTCTTTGAATTGTTGTGCTTTTTGTTGGTGATTTCACTGTTAAGATGGGCCCACAAGTGTAGTGCCAAACTGCTGTGTAGTGTTCCTAAGTACAGGGAGATTGTGAAGTGCCTCATGGAGAAAATATTAAATACATGTATTAGATAAGCTTCATTCAGGCCTGAATTGTAGCGCTGCTGGCTGTAAGTTCAGTGTTAATGAATCGACAATATATAACAGCTAAGGTGTCTTTAAACAGAAGAACATATAAAATAAGGTTAAATATTTTACTAGTTAATGTAAATGTGACCAGAGGCTTGTAGGAACTTCACCCTGTATTTTCCCTAGGAATAATGGTTCAATATTCAATAATTCATTGTTCACGGAAACTATAGAACATAGCTATGTCAGGTAATGAGAAACAGCCTGTCTTTTAGGGTCAAGTTTAAAAGTGGCTAAAATATCCAGACAGTAAAATATATTTCAAATTACATTTAAAACTAATGTGACCTTACTTTAATAACTCAGACATATATATGACTGAAAGTTCGGAGTCCCTAGTCTCCTTTCATTCTTGTTGAGTTAGTTCATTCTTTTCAAGATTAGAGAATGGTATCTTTGGATACTAATAGAAAATATGTGTTCTGTGTGTTTTTTTTCTTCTTTCGATAGCTTGGTGTTTCACTTAGCAGTTTGGGAGCTATACCAGCAGCAGCACTAGACCCCAACATTGCAACACTTGGAGAGATACCACAGCCACCACTTATGGGAAACGTGGATCCTTCCAAAATAGATGAAATTAGGAGAACGGTTTATGTTGGAAATCTGAATTCCCAGGTAACTAATTAAAGAAGAAACAAAGCAGCAGTAGCCCTTATTCTTTTTCTCTTCTTAAAAATCATATCAGTGGATACAGTAATATTTATCTGATTTTTTAAATGGATATATTTTATCAAAGTGTCACTTTGTTCCCTTAGACAACGACAGCTGATCAACTACTTGAATTTTTTAAACAAGTTGGAGAAGTGAAGTTTGTGCGGATGGCAGGTGATGAGACTCAGCCAACTCGGTTTGCTTTTGTGGAATTTGCAGACCAAAATTCTGTACCAAGGGCCCTTGCTTTTAATGGAGTTATGTTTGGAGACAGGCCACTGAAGTAAGAAATCCTAAACAAAGAAATTTTAATGATTTTGAAACATTTAAAGTATTTTTGATGTAATGAAGGCTTTTTTTTTCTTTTTAATAGTAATTGGCAATTTGTGGAAAGGAAGACTTTGTGTTAAGTATAAATGAAATACATGAGATACTTACCATTTTAGTCTTTAAATTCCTTTATTTAGAGACATTTATTTTCTCATTTTCTGTTTTCTAGGGTCTAATTCAGTGTTAACATTATTTATATACCCTGCATAACGGTTGTAGGTCTTTTTCCATAAACTTTAATAGTCAGGTTGGTTTTACATTATGACACTAGACTAATTGAGCAACTTAACAGGTGGGTTGAACTACAGTACTTCCAGTAACAACTGTGGTAAATTCAAAATCTACAGAAGGAAATTATAAGTGCCCAGAAATGTTTTAAACCAGAAATTTTGACTTTTGAGGTTTGCTTACATCCTTGTTTGTAAAACGTTGATAATGGCCTTCGAGATACTCCAGACCAGAAATTCTATTTCATGCAGATTGTTGAGGCATATATAGTTTTGCTTGAATTTCATAGATTGCTTTAGTTATACAATTTGATCAGGATTTTTCTGTTAAGGATAAGTTTTTAGTGGGTACTTGTCTTCCCAGTGTGGAAGGGGTAAAGCAAGACACATAATATCCATTCATGTGCATCAGAGAAGTCACTCTTACCTAGTAGAGGAAGAATTTTTTCAGATGCCTTGCACATTCAAAGCTATGTCTAACTCAGCCATGGTTCAGCGTTGGTTAAAATGGTGTACATAATATGATGATATACAGGTAGCTTACCCTTCTTCTAGAGTGTACAGGATATCAGTAAGATCTTTTGATTTGAAAATAGAAATGATTCATTTTCATATTGGTATCAACATTTTAATTTATTTTAATTCTAAGCTATGGAAAAGCACTTCATCTAGTCTGTTTGAATTAAGTTAGCTAGGGTTCAATTTTTCTTTTCTCCCTGCTTTTGGTTGTATTCGCAAGGAATGATAGGAAGTGGGGATGAGAGATTAATCATGGTTTTGAGGTTGCTTTTGGTTATTCTGTATATCATTCTTACGTGCTTCTGAGATGTCCTCACGTTTATAAATATGTGTATCATATAAATGTTTGTTTCATGTTTTATAAAATGTGGTGTGTATTTGTGATATGCTAATATTTTTAATTTAGAATAAATCACTCCAACAATGCAATAGTAAAACCCCCTGAGATGACACCTCAGGCTGCAGCTAAGGAGTTAGAAGAAGTAATGAAGCGAGTACGAGAAGCTCAGTCATTTATCTCAGCAGCTATTGAACCAGGTAAGTACATAACGTTGTTACATAGGTCATAGTTTAAAGATCATAGACTCTTAGAACTGGAAGGAATTTTAGAAATCATCTTGTTCAGTCACTTCATTTTACAAACAAGAAGACTGAAACTCAAGAAATAGTAAGTAGCATACTCATGTCAAAGAACAACTTAGCCCATATTTTATCTCTTTCTGTGATACTGAATTGAGGCACTTTAGTCTGAGCTAATCAGCTCTGTATTTTCATAGCAAAATCAGTGCTCACAAGTGATTTGCTGAAAGCAAAAATGTTATTGCAAGGCTAAAAAGAGTACATATATTTAAAACGTTACGACTCAGCAGGTTTACTTTTCCTCAACATTTTAATTTTAGAAGTAGAGAAGAGAGCCCGTGATTTAGAAAAAAATACAGATACTGTATTTTAGTAAGGTAAAAGAACATCTATTTAAACTTTTGTGTTGCTAATGAAAATAATTAAAAAACCCATTCTAAAAACATCTAGGTGGTTTACATTTGAGCAGATTTTCTAAATCAACACTTAGAATTTAAGCTTCAAATTCTAGCAGAATAAGTGGAGAAAGGACTTAAAATCACTGTCACAGGAATTACAGACATGTTGTAATCGTACGTTACGGCAGCAACAAAATATTACGAACAGCTGTTTATAATCATCTGGTTTATATGTACTGCTGCAGGGTGGCTGCACTCAACGAGTTTATGCAATGACTTTCTTGGATGTTTCTGAAGGAGGAGGATGTACAGAGAGTAGGCCCCTTGCACTATATGTGGTACATTCCACTTGTGCCTGATTATTAACTGGGATCTTTAATTGTTCTGAGCTTACACTGCAAAGTGATTTTTTCCTCCCAGAGTCTGGAAAGAGCAATGAAAGAAAAGGCGGTCGATCTCGTTCCCATACTCGCTCAAAATCCAGGTCTAGCTCAAAATCCCATTCTAGAAGGAAAAGATCACAATCAAAACACAGGTGAGAATTTCTGCTGTCATATTTAAATTTTATTTTAGTTTTGTATTTAAAATATTAAGATTTTATGAGTTTTCGTCAAAATATCAGAAGTTAGAAATTTTAGTAGTGTACACCTGAAGTGTGGTTACCTTTAAATATTGTTCTAATTGTAATACTGTAGTTGAGAATGAAATTTTGTCTAATGATACTTAATTTTTAAATATTTGAACTTATCTTTATTTTTAGAAGTTAGTTTTGTGTCTAAAGATACTCTATTCCAGATTTTTCTAAGAGTAAACTAGTCTTTATATAGAAGTGACAAAAGCTGTTTTCATTCTTCATATTGAGAAAAGGGAACATCCTTAGTGACCATGCTGAAAATAATTGCTCAAGTTGCAGCTTTTTTGTTTTGTTTTCCCAGTCTATTCCAAGTTTGGGGAGCACCACCCCAGATCTTTCACGCAATTCCCTATTTTCAGTACCACGTATCCAAAGGAACACTTTGAGTCCTTGGTATTGCTGGTGATAAGAGCCTCCTCTGCCCACTTTTGGACCTGAAACACAGGAGTAACTTGCAGTTTCAGCTTCAGTTTTAGTACTTTGCTTAAGCTCTGTTTATCTTATTTTTGATCATAGCTTTGTCCTTTTGATTTTCTTTATCTGTCATTTCTTTGTCTTTGGTATAAAGGGGACCTTAAAATGCAAATTTGGCAATACCATCCTAATTGGAAGTACCCTAAAGATCATTACTAAAGTTACAAATTTTGTTGTCTATTTTAAGGTACGGAGGGGGCTGTTTTTGAAATGTGAAAGTATGTATAGTGGATCCTAATTGCATGTTATGTGTACATACGTACTCCTATGTATGTCTTGAGAGAGCAGGGAGGGAAGAGTGTATCTGTGTATGTTGGGATTTTAAAGAAGGAGAAAGGATTTGGGGGAGGGAAAAGGAACCAGTTTGTTGTACATTGTTTTACCAGCAGGCTCAGTTTACTTTGTTTTTGTGTGTGTGTGTGTTGATCAAGGAGATTCAAAGAATGAGGAAAAATAGGATGTTCTTTCTTAGATTCTAGTAAACAAGTATACACCAGATATACTAGTGTATACTTGTCTATTCTTAGTTTGCAAAATCTCCTTTGGAATATGGTTTTACTGCGTTTATCCAAGGACTTACAGTAAGACACTTTCAGAACCAAGTGAAGGAGGTTGTTTCACATACAAGAATAAGGCAGTGCAGCAGAGGCCAGAATCAGGAAAGGACAGTGGAACAGAAGCTGCAGTGATACTAGACTGTGGATATTTCCATATGTTGACAGGATGTGGTGAGGGTAAAGGAGATCAAGGAAATAATAGAATTGGGCTGAAGAGTAATATTACAACTTCTTTTCTGAGGAAGACTGATGACCTGGATCTCATATTGTGTTGATTGTAAGAGAGAGCTAATGTCCAAGACTGGAACAAGACAAAACTTGATGATGAATAAAATTGTTGTTTCTTTGATCATCTAAGTGAAGTTTTATGTGCTTTATGTAGATATGTCTATACAGATGTACACACAATGTCTGCGTAGCATTAGAAATAATGTATATATATTCCTTTTTTTTCCCCCCCCAAGATGCAGTTTCAGTCCGTTGCCGAGGCTGGAGTGCAGTAGCTTGATCTCGGCTCACTGCAACCTCCACCTCCCAGGCACAAGTGATCCTCCCACCTCAGCTTCTCGAGTAGCTAAGCCACAGACACGCACCACCACGCCTGGCTAATTTTGTATTTTTTGTAGAAACGGGGTTTTATCATACTGCCCAGGTTGGTCTTGAACTCCTGAGCTCAAGCGATCCTCCCACCTTGGCCTCCAAAAGTGCTGGGATTATAGGCATGGTATACATGTTCTTAACTGACATATATACATACATACATACTTTTGTCAGCATATTCTGTTTTTGTGCATGCATGTGGAAACATGTAGCCTTAAGTTCAAGAACAAATACAAAAGAGAGAATGAGTTATCTTTAAATGAGAAAAAAAAAATTCCTTACCTAAAAACATTTAACTTAAAGATTCTGACCTGGAAGGATCCCACTATCCCCCAGAAATCAGGAAGGGAATGATAGGCCTTTCTTGACATTTCCTCCTCTGCTAGTGGGAGTTGTTGTCCTTGAATCTCACCCTGACCTATTAGACTTAGCATGAGCGTGGGTTGCAGGAACCCTTTAACTTAAAGGCCCACCTTCTACTTTTTCACCATTTTCAAATGCTTCTAGAGCCATGCTTCCTACCTCCCAACCCTCCCCCACAGCCTTTCCCTGTTCCTTCCGCTTCTTATGGTTAGAGAGAGGAAGGGGTTTCTTGTCACTGTGACCTTGGCTAGGACTAGGGAGGTATGTTTCCATTTTATCCAAGTTTTGATGCCTGTTTTATTTATTGAGACATAGAAAAGATGGATAGTACTATAATTGTTATAATTTTAAGTAACCTTTATAGATTAGAACAGGAACTGTAAGACATTTTATAATATTTTAATGGAAAACAACTGATTTACAAATGAACTTTGATGCAGCATAATGGTAAGTTGCTGGTTTTTTACAGTTTAATTTAAAAATAAGATTTTGCATTATTCAGAATAATACAATTTCGCATTAAAAATGAGAGTTAATGATAAATCTTTAGTTAGATTAGATCTGCTCTTGACTACTTCTAGCATTCTTAATCAGAAAACTACTAGTGGGTAAGATTGACGTGAAAATATTTAACGTCACAGTTAAAATGTAATAATTACTCTTAGTCACTGTCTTTTGACATCTCAATTGCAGGGTAAGGTTGGAAGCCAAGTGATCAGTGCTTTTTATTATTAACTTATTTATGAGAGTTATACTTAATTTTTAAAAATAAGTTTTGCTTAAGGTTGGTGGAAAGCATTGCTTTGAGGAAAACAAAAGAATTATATTTTTAGCAAGGACAACTTAAAACAGAAATCTTATAGTAAGACTTTTTATTAAGTATGTAGAAGCAAAGGCACTTTAAAAGATTACCCTATGTGGATATCTGTAAACGGACTAATAATGTTCTCAGTTTTGCAGTTTTGCCTTAACATCTACTCCTTAACTTTCATGGCTCTTAAGTACTAGTGATAAAGATTTCAGCAAGCTATGAATTATCTTCTTGTATTAAAAACATGGTATGTGATTTCTTATCTAGGGTCTTTGGAAAAAAATAAAATAAAAAATAATGTGGTATGTTGAACCAAGTGAGGCTAAAAAAAAAAAATATGGAATGAAGACAATTGTATATTATTTTTACAGCCAAATAGTAGATGAGTAGTTTAAATGGAAATTAGCTATTGAAATTTTGATTTGTAATGTTGATTAGTATTTTAATCAGAATTTTGACTAACTGAAAAATGTGTTTAAAAACAAAAGATTTTGTTATTAATGAGGATTATTTGGAGGTTTTTCTGGTTTCAAAGCATACCACAAAACATGGTCTTTTTCTTTTTTCTTTTATTTTTTTGCGATAGAATCTTGCTGTGTTGCCCAGGCTGGAGTGCAGTGGAGCGACCTCAGCTCATTGCAACCTCTGCCCCCCGGGTTCAGTTGATTCTCCCACCTCAGCTTCCTCAGTAACTGGGAATACAGGTGCATGCCACCATACCCAGCTAATTTTTGTATTTTTAGTAGAGACGGGTTTCACTATGTTTGGCAAGGCTGATCTTGAAATCCTGACCTCAAGGCAGGTGGACCTCAAGTACCACCTGCCTCGGCCTCCCAGAGTGCTGGGATTACAGGTGTGAGCCACTGTGCCCAGCCCAACTATATTTCTTTTACTGATAATTGTTCTAAATTTATTAAAACATGACTATCAAGATGAGTTTTAGCTGTATAAAGGATACTTATAGAAGTTCATTCAGCTTCCTTGGAATACGTACATAAGGATATAAAGTTTACATTTATGTTAACTTTTAATGATGATGACATTGAGAGTTAAGATTTTTAAACATTTATTTTGTGCTAGAGAATACTACGCAGTTTTACATACATCATCAGTTGTAATCCTCATGACAGCCCTAAGAGATGCAGGTATGATTGCTACTCCACTTTATAGAGGAAGAAACTCAGGCTTGGAGAGGTTAAGTGACTAGCCAGAGTTCTCACAGGTAGCGTGTGGCAGAGCTGACTTTCAGAGCCAGATTGTCAGACTCCAAAGCTGTTGAGTCTAATCACTTTGCTATTTAAGTTGTGTACATCTGTTTTGTTACAATTTAATAAGCAGTTAGGATACCTCGTTATGAAAAAAATCACATTCTCAAAAAACTTTTTCAGTGAGAAAGGGGGCCTAGTCCAAATTGGAATAACAGTTACTTTTCCTGCAATTAAACGTTTCCTGCAGTTAACAGTTTCTTTTCATACAGGTTGAGACTCACAAATTTGAAAATCTGAAATTCAAAAGGCTTCAAAACTTTTTGAGCGCTTTCGTGATGCTCAAAGGAAATGCTCACTGGAGCATTTTGGATTTTTCAGTTGTGTGTTTGGGATGCTCAACCAGTTTTATGCGTGTGTATATATAGAATGCAAATATTCGAAAATCTCCAAAAATGTGAAATTCAAAACACTTTTGGTTCCAAGCATTTCACATAAGGGATACTCAACTGGTAGCTATGATTATAGTTACAGCTATAAAATCAAGGCATTGCAAATCCAATATTTGATTATATCTAGTTTTAACTTATGAGTAATGATTTTTATTTTCCTGTCACAGTGGCGCTGTCATTAGGACTGTGCTTCCTTTTATATATTCTTTTTGTTTGTTATGACAGACAGCACACATTCACAGGAACTACTCAACCACGTAACCACTACTCCCTGTCATGATGTGTTATGACCAGATTACATGCAAGTCAACAGGGAAAAATCTTCTATACTGATTTGAGGCATAAAATGACTAGCAAAAGCCACATCTGAAAATATACGAAATAACTGTTAAATTCTTTGTTTCTGTCTCTGTTCTAGACAATGAAATATCCGGTAAAGTTTCCAGTAAATGTATTTCAGATTATGTAACTAAAGTATTATTTAAGAGAAATTTTTAAAATATTGTTAAATACTGTTAGGATAGATTTTAAATTTTCTTGTTTGAAAGATCGTAAATTAAGTTTTGATATTCTAACAATTTTTTTTCTTTAGGAGTAGATCCCATAATAGATCACGTTCAAGACAGAAAGACAGACGTAGATCTAAGAGCCCACATAAAAAACGCTCTAAATCAAGGGAGAGACGGAAGTCAAGGAGTCGTTCGCATTCACGGTGAGTTTTAGAGAAATTAACAATAATTTTTTTTTCCTCAGAGTTCTGTTAGTGCTAAGGGATAATATTTTAATTGGCTTCATTTGTTAAAAATCTGTTGTGGTTTAGGTTTTTAATGAGAGAAATTAAACCTTTTTTATTGTTTTAGTAATCTAGGATTAATATTGATTGCCAGTGATCTGAATCTGATGTCAGTGTGACTCATGAGGTTTCCAAACTACTCAGTTCAGCTTGCGTAGTATGAATAGCTTTGTTTAGCAGCTTCTTGTACACCTGAGCTATATAAAAATGTATATGTAAATGTCTGTAGGTACTATAAATTGTCTTGTGTTGGTAATTGTTGAAGAGAGAGAGGTCTTTTTGGAGGAGGTAGAACTATTTTAGTTATGAATTTATTTATTTTTGTTTTTAAAGGGACAAGAGAAAAGACACTCGAGAAAAGATCAAGGAAAAGGAAAGAGTGAAAGAGAAAGACAGGGAAAAGGAGAGAGAGAGGGAAAAGGAACGTGAAAAAGAAAAGGAACGGGGTAAAAACAAAGACCGGGACAAGGAACGGGAAAAGGACCGGGAAAAAGACAAGGAAAAGGACAGAGAGAGAGAACGGGAAAAAGAGCATGAGAAGGATCGAGACAAAGAGAAGGAAAAGGAACAGGACAAAGAAAAGGAACGAGAAAAAGACAGATCCAAAGAGATAGATGAAAAAAGAAAGAAGGATAAAAAATCCAGAACACCACCCAGGAGTTACAATGCATCGCGAAGATCTCGTAGTTCCAGCAGGTTTGATAATGCTTAAAATTTTTACAAAGGGATTTGCTGATGACAATTGGAAACAAAATTTTTTACGGAGGGAGAAAAGGTTACTGTACGCAAGTGGAACCTGTAAAGTAATATAAGAACATTTTCTCCTAATTTCAGAGTAAACATTTCTCTAGCAGAGTGGGGAAAGAGATGATACTGGGCAACATTATTTGAAGAGTTTTAGCTATTCTTTGTAACCACTATTTTAATAGAATAATAATAATTGTTATTTTCTTAGAGGGTGGGATGGCAGGGAAAGGTACTTTTTTTAAAAAGCACATTAAGAATTTGCGTCTTAGGCTTTTTCCTGAACTTTTTTTGAATGGTGTGATTAATTTTAATATGTAAAATGATTGCTGAAGTTGCAGTGTTAGCCCTCTTTGTCACCTAAGTTAATTTTTATCCTTATTTTGTTAAGTGCATAACATTTAAATTTTGGTCGTGTTTTATTTTGTCAGTTTTAAGGGTTAGAGTTTTTCCTTAGGACCGTGATTTCAGTTTATTAATAGCTTTACTACCACCAGGTGGCAGCAAGTTGCCATAGTAACAGCTGTACAATGAGAACAACTTTTGAGATTTAAGATTATCTAAACCCACATCCTTTACTTCAGATGATACCATGACTGTAAATGGAAGTTCCTAACTTATACTACACTATCTTAAAAATACTAAATATATATATTAGCAAATTTTTGAAGATTTTTAAAGATGGTTTTTTAATAGAAAATAATTTGAGATAAAGGAATATATGTTTCCCATTTTTAAAACTTGTGCTTTAGTAGTTTATTTTTAATACCAGCCTTTGACTAGATAATAAAAGATAATCGTAGACATTTATTGTGCACTTTACTGTATGCCAGACATGATGTCAGTAGACTTTTTCATGTCTCACCTTATTTAATCCTCACAACAGGCCTGGGAGAAGATTATTATCATCACTGTTTTAAAACATGAGGAAGCTGACGCTCTGTATGAGAAGTATAGTAGCCCTTTTCCTTTATTTTAGAGATTAAGTTTGAGAATTCTCTAGTACTTGTACTTACTTTTAAAAACTACCTCAGAAGCATAAAGTTGAAAGCAGTAGTATATGTTAAAACAAGGCTCAAAATAAACAGATCACTGCTGGATTTCAGCACATTGAACCACAGATTGAAGAATTAATGTAACCTCCTTTGCTGTGGGTACTGGTTTGAGCCTTGTAACCACACCTTTACTGCAAAGTGATTTTATTGATTCTGTGTCACACATGCCTTTGTGTTTCTGTGATTGTTTAGACATTACCTTTCACAGCACCAAATACTATTTTCATTCCTTTTTAATAACGAATTTACTTTTTTTGATGACATGGGAATGTTTAACTTTTTCTCGGGCCATTTTAAGTTGTTTGGTGTAGAGGAAAGTTCAAGTGTTCACATTCATTCCTAAATATATATGTATATATTTTTTGAAACAGAGTCTTGCTCATCGCCCAGGCTGGAGTGCAGTGTCATGATCTTGACCCACTGCAACCTCCCCCTCCTCGGTTCACGTGATTCTTGTACCTCAGCCTCCCGAGTAGCTGGGATTACAGGTGTGCACCACCATGCCTGGCTAATTTTTGTATTTTTAGTAGAGATGGAGTTTCACCATATTGGCCAGGTTGATCTTGAACTCCTGGCCTCAAGTGATCTGCCCTCCTTGGCCTCCCAAAGTGCTGGGATTACAGGCATCAGTCACTGCACCTGGCTCAAATACATTCTTCAGTAACAACTGGGGCCTTGAGAATAAAAGATGACTGACATTAGTTTATAAAGGCAGCAGTTTGGAATGTTTCATGCTTTCAGAAGAGCTTGGTAAAGAGTTACAATTTCTTTGAATTTTTTTTTTTTTTTTTTTTTTTTTAGACAGAGTGTCACTTTGTCACCCAGGCTAGAATGCAGTGGCACAATATCTGCTCACTGCAACCTCTGCCTCCTGGGTTCAGCGATTCTCCTGCCTTAGCTTCCTGAGTAGCTGGAATTACAGGCGTGTGCCACCACACTCAACTGATTTTTGTATTTTATTTAATAGAGATGGGGTTTCACCATGTTGGCCAGGCTGGTCTCAAACTCCTGACCTCAGGTGATCCACCCGCCTCAGCCTCCCAAAGTGCTGGAATTACAGACGTGAGCCGCCACCGCCCCCAGCCAAGAGTTACAATTTCTTGTCTTTTAGCATTTTTCTGCTTTTCAAATGTTCTGATTTGTTTACTAAATGGAGAATATTTTAACTGTTCAAAAAATAGTTAATATTTTTATTTCTAACATTGTCTCCTAATTTATACTTTTAAAGAAAATGATATTAAATAATTTTTTAATGCTTAAATTTACTGTCATTAAAGGTGATACCAAGAAAGGGAAGGAAAAAACAATATTTATTGAGCACCTACTCTGTGTCACACTCTATGCTTTGCACATTACAGATTTTATCCTAAATCCTCAACAACCTAATAAAACTTGAATTATTAATTGTCTTTATTTTTCAGTTGAAAAACAGATTAGGTTAAGTAATATGATCCTGGTTGTATAGCTGGGTAAGGTGTATAACTCAAATTTAAGTCTAAATCTCACCAACTTTAGTTGTTAATACAATTTCTTTCTCAAGTAATTGTCTAGATTGCTGTCTATGGAGACTTTCCTCTCATTATCGTCAGCTAGTAGGTATTAGACATCCACTTGTACATAGTGCTTTCTGAACAAATAAGTAAAAGAATTACACTGATAAAGGCAGAGCGATTTTGTGTAATCTTAAAGTCTGGAATACGCTGACATTCACATGCTTTGAAAAAAGTATTTTTGGTTCTTAGGCTGAGCTGTTAAGAGAATGTCATTGATGTAATCAAATAATGTATCTAATTTCCACATTAGAAGTGTAATTGTGGAGTGTCTTGGGAATAAAAGTGGGTAATGGAGGAGAGAGTCTTAGGTAGAGGTAGAATTGAGTTGTGTTCTCAGAGTTCTTGAGCTTTGTATTTTAATACATATTATATATACCGTGTGAGCATTTTTTATTTTAGAAATGAAAAACTTAAATTATTTTATTAGTCTCTTAGAATCAGTTTCCTGAAATGGTAAGGATAACATGAATTCCAGAGGATTTGGTTTTTTAGCTATGTGGTCACTGATTATCAGAACTTGTGAGATAGATCATTGGGTATGTCCTCGTACCATATCCCTTAAATTATAGACCTAGTGAAGTTCATTGTTTCTGAGTTGAAGTAGTTTAGAATATGTATCATTTGCTAATCTGATAAGCAAAATGGTTTTTAATAATAATAACGTAATCTATTTTATAATTATTCCTGTCATATTTACTTTTCAGATTGTAACTGTTTTGCTTACATCTAAGCAACTTGTACACTAAATTTTAAATTAATAGAACAACAGTAATGAAATGATAGGAGGTTGGAGGGAAAAGCAATTTCTCTCTAAAATGATAGTAATGTAAATGCTTTTTAAGTAGACATTGTTGATAATTGGGTATAGAAAGTTCACATTTTACAAGCCAGTTTATGTTTCAGTTTTTGAAAAGGGCCTGTTACTTTGTTATAATCCACAGTGGGGCAGCAAGGAGCTAGATACATGACAAAGGATTTGATAAGCAAAACTTGTTTTAGCTGCTGAGAAAATACACTTGAGAGAAGCAGAAACGCCACGCCATTAATATTTTTTCTACTGAAGAAATTGTTCAAATAAACGAGGTGAAAAGGAGGAGGTCTTCTACTCTTCCTAATATGAAGTCTTAGATGATGTTTTCATCAGTCTGTAAAATTTATGGTTCATAATTTGACCCACTCTAAAGTTAGGTAATTGAACATGCTCATAAAGGACATAAGTTTAAACTGGCCTCTAAAGAATACTGTTCATATGAGAATATCAAGGACCCTTTTGCTTTTGTATATTTGAATTGCCGTTTATTTCAATTGCTGTTTTTAAAAATGATGTGTTTTTGATTTTCAGGGAAAGGCGTAGGAGGAGGAGCAGGAGTTCTTCCAGATCGCCAAGAACATCAAAAACCATAAAAAGGAAATCTTCTAGATCTCCGTCCCCCAGGAGGTAGGTTGGGAGCTTGTGCTAAAACTAAACAGGAGAAAGCAATAAATATTTTTTGAAATTTTAAATTTCTCTCTTTATTTTTTAAACTTTATATTTTGAATGAATAATACATATGCATTATTCAGAAATTAAAGATAAAAGTTATGTATCAGGAAGTCTTAATTTCCACTCTTGCCCATCTACACTGTTCCCAGAAGTAATGACTTCGTGAGGTTTTTTTGTATATGCTTCCAGTTTCATATACAGATAACAAGATGAGAATGTATCATTTTTTTCTAATACAAGAAGCAACACAGAATACACACTGTTGTGCCCTTGGTTTTGTCATTTAACTACCAGGAAGTCTTTTTGTCACTTAACTTACCAGGTCAGAGAGAGCTTCTTCAATTCCTTTTTATAATTGCGTAGGCTTCCGTTGTATGGCCATACCTTAGTTTTTTAACTAGGCTACAGTAGAAGGGGTTTTTTGAATTTTTTTTACCATAAATTATGTAATGCTGTAATGAATAGCTTTGGACTTAAGTTGTTTTTAGTGTGCATGTGTGTAGGAAAAATCTCAAGAAATGGCATTGTTAAGTTAGATAATAAGCATGTTTGTAATTTTTGAGAGATATTTCCTAATTATCCTCTATAAGAGTTGGCAGCAGTTTGCACTCTTAATTATGAGAGAAGTGACCACTTCATAGATTTGAAAGCCATTTGTATTTCTTTTTCTGCGAATTGTCTGTATACTCTGCCCATTTTCCTGTTGGCCTTTTTGTTTCCTTTTCTATTTCCAAGAACTCTTTTATATTAGGGAGCTTATTGTTTAGTGATGTGATTATAAATAACATTCTCAGTTTGCTGTTTCTTTTAAAAAATTGTTTGTGAGACTTGATTTTACAAAGGTTTTTCATTTTTAAAATAACTTTCTCTTTTTCTTTTATGACTTCTTATGTGAGTCAAAAACTGATAAAAGGCTTTTCCTATTCCAAGATTATGATAGAACTTTCCCATTGTTCCTTCTTGTACTTTTATGGTTTTATATTTTGCAGTTAAATCTCTGGTTAGAGTCTTATTCTTGTGTACAATATGGCAAATGGGTTCAGTTTTATTTTACAAATGCTTCCGTGTTGTTGCAGTACCATTTGTTAAAAACTCAATTTTTCTAACATTAGTTTGATATGTTGCCTTTGTCATGTGCTGTGTTTTTCTGTGTGTTTGGGTCTATTTCTGGGTCTTCTGTGCCCTTGGATTGGTTTGACTGGCCGTTCATGTGCCAGTGTCCCACCCTTTTAATTATTGAGATTATACCGTATTTTTAAGTATTTGGCAAGGCCTGTTCTCTATACCCCTCATTGCTTTTTTGAGTATAGTTAGCTTTCCTTTCAGTGGTTATTTTTCTGCTTGAACATGAGTCAGTTGTCTGCATTCCAGAAATAAAACCTATTGATGATTTGTGTTACAGTTGCATTCGATTTATAAATTAACTTAGGGAAAATTGATAAACAGGTTTATTAATAAAGATTCATGATGACAAGTCGTCTGTCCAGGAATATGGTGTATCTGATGAGATCGGGCATGCTCAGGGTGATATGGCTGTAGACAAGGAATGTGGTATATCTTATTAGGCCATCATTAGTGTTTTCAGAAATATTTCATCGTTTGTTTCATACAGGCTTTATGCATTTCTTAATTCCTAGAAATTTTTGTTGTTGTTGCTGTTGGAAATGAGGTATTTTCTTTCATTATGTTTAATTGGAGGTTAGGTTTGTACATAGGAAAGTTATTGATTTCTGTATATTTATTTTTTTAATCCCACTGCCTTACTAATTGGTTATGGTTTTTTAGGTGATTTTCTGTGATTTTCCAGCAGAGGGGTCTTTTGTTTATTTGCTTATAGGTTTTTGGCTTTTGTGAGAATAACGGAAGGCTTAGGATACTATAGATGCAGGCCATGTTTGTATTTTTGAAACAAATACTTTACCCAGGAAAGTCAAAACTTTTCTCTTATGAACTGAAATTAGACAAAAAGATACATTCAGAAAATGTCACTCCTGTCTCCATTCCATCTGCCTTGTTCCCATTCACCCTGTGTAATTGACCAATCATTTGATTGTCTTTCCTTTGTTTCTCTTTGCGAAATGAGGCGGATACATATTCATTTGGTTTTATTTTCTCCTTATTGCAGTACATAAACAAATATTGAATATTCGAAAACTATTAAATAGGCTATGCCAAATAGTGTTTTATGAGAACATATGGTGGCCTCTGCCAAAATGACTTGTGTATCCTTAAGAAACTAACTGGGGTAAGGGTGGGGTAGGTCAGGTTGTAGGGCTCATTTATGTTACTTTGCAAACCAGCTTACTGTTGATGCTTATTAACAATGCATTATTTTAGATATCCAGTGTTAGAAAAGGATATTTTGTCAAGAATATAATAGATCTTACAATTTCTTAGAATTTAACTGACATATCAATATTCTTATAGCAGAAATAAGAAGGATAAAAAGAGAGAAAAAGAAAGGGACCACATCAGTGAAAGAAGAGAGAGAGAACGTTCAACGTCTATGAGAAAGAGTTCTAATGATAGAGATGGGAAGGAGAAGTTGGAGAAGAACAGTACTTCACTTAAAGTAAGCAGCAGTCATTCGGTGTCTGGCACTTGAAATGGTTCTTTATTGCATACAAATGGTTTTAGACTGAAAGCTCTTTGGGGAACAGTGTCTTGTACATTGTTGGCATTTTATGGCATTTTAAAATATTTAAAATATTTAATTGGTAATTTAAAAAAACTAAATGTTGAAGAGATAAGAGCCAATTAAAACTAAAAAAACTAAGTTAAATCCTAACATGGCATGCAATAAGAAAAATTTAAGAAATCAACAGTAACAAATGTATTTGATTTTATGTAGATAGGATTTCTGCCTGATGCCATTTTCCTCAATTTATGTTTCAGCAAGTTTGAAAAGACTTTGTGTAGTTAACATTAGGTTTGTTGGGTTAGAATACCTAATGGAAAACCACATTCCACCAAGTGAGCTTTTTTGTCACTTGGATAAATACTTCAAGTAGTTGTGAATTAAGTTACTTACACTGGTAAAGTATATTTGTATTTGGAAATTATGAATTTTGGAACATCTATCTTATAGTTTTATGTACTGTAATACTGATAGACGATTATCATCATCATCAATAACATTGATAACATTTATTAAGCATTTACGATGTGCCGGGCACTGTTTGTTCTCATTTAACTCTTTTAAATTGAGGGTAGAAATTGGAGTGCTCTTGAACAGCCTTTTCCAGGAGGCATAGTGACTTCCTTTTCCACATTTCCTTATTTTTGCTGCATTGGTTTGCAGATTAAAAATCTATCCTGGCATCCTTGGAAATTATTTCACTCTTTCAATAGATCTGTCTCCGTTTTTCAAGTCTGTCAGCAACATTTATTGAGCACTTGCTTAAAATTTCTGTTCACCAATTCTAATTTAATTTCCATGGATTGTCCATCTTTTATGAGAACACAAAGGGGAAATTGATAGTGTTTGCATATTCATTTTGTGTGAAAACGTAATGAGAGAAAATCATACCCAGTTTTTTAAATTTGCAAAAGATAAAGTTTCACATTTTTGTCGTCATAGCAGGCAGTTCTTGAGGAAAATATTAAATGCATACCTTAATTACTCATTGTAGGAGAAAGAGCACAATAAAGAACCAGATTCAAGTGTGAGCAAAGAAGTAGATGACAAGGATGCACCAAGGACTGAGGAAAACAAAATACAGCACAATGGGAATTGTCAGCTGAATGAAGAAAACCTCTCTACCAAAACAGAAGCAGTATAGGACCGACAAGTGTACCTCTGCACTCAATGCTGGAATCAAATCCAAAGCTTTTAATTCTCTCAACAAGATGTAAACAGGAAAGAAATCTAGTTGAGCATGAAGATAGGATCTAACAGCTTTTCCAGTTGTTAGATGACTTTGTGGCCATCTTGTTATTGAGTAAGAAAATAAAGCATGGACATCATGAAAATAACAGATGTTACCCAAACTCATCTTCTAAAATCTGTGCATTTCCATGGTGGCTGACACACTTGTCATGTGGTCTGTTAGTGTTTGCCAAGAACCATTGCAAATAAATTGAACATCAAAGATCCAAGTTTGTACTATCCCTAAAGACTGGAGATAAGCATTGGAGGCTCTTTTAAAAAATGCTAGTTACTGAATTTTGTATTGTTTTACTTTTTTTTTTATTTCAATATATACAGTTTGATGATGTGCTTGAAATTGGTGCAAATATATACACACCCTTGTAAGTGCAAAGTATGTAAGAAGTTTTAACATTTACTTCACAGGACTTGTGATTGTGTTAAATTCTCACTATTGTGTTTTCTTTTGCTCACTGTTTAGGACAATTTTTCTTTAAAATAGTTTTGCAGATTAAAATTGCTTAAATAAGTGGATTAAAAAACTGACAATGCATGCTACTGTTCTCTTTCAAAAGGAAGAGCAACCGTGTTGAATACTAATAATGATGAATTAGTATTCAGTGTTTAGAATCATTGGGACTACCCACAAAGTGAGCATTTCTTTTTAAATTTTCTTGACATTTCCAAGCTTATTATGAATAATATTGCAGTGTGTCTTGTCAGCTGTAGGTGGCAAAGGTGCCCTTATAAAAAAGGAAACTGGCTTTTCAAAATGGGCTATGGGAGCACAAGCTGAAGCTTTAGTGCCTTCTACAATGTGGTATACTGTTTTCTAGAATTTTATATGTGCTAGTCATTCTCAATTCATATGGAATCTAGATGGATATTTCATGCATACCCATAGAGAAGTGTGTAAGTGATATGTCAGAAGAGCTTCTTACTGATTTCACCTAAAATGAGAAGGAAGTCCTGTTTTCAAGAATGACATTAGAGTCATGCAGCTTTGGGACCATCAGTTTTATACTGTGATAATTGAAAATGAAACATGTTCTTATTTTCCTTAAATTGAAGAAAACCCTTTAGTTGTCTACATTGGATGGCCTTATTACCTCTCAATCATCTTTTCATAAATGATGTGCAGAAATTGTACTTAAGGACTTAGGAGTATATGGGAGGTTATTGGTTTTATGTTTAAGGATACGTTTACTTGAGTTTAAGATACAGGTCATCCATCATTCTTAGGCTCACTTTTTACAGAAAGTATGCAAATAGTAAAGTGACAGCACTGCTAATGTTTTTCCCCAGTACTATAACTTGTGGTTTCTGAACTCATTATTGTTGTATTTCCAAAAAAGTAATACCTTTTAATTAGTGTATTAAAAGTTAAGTATAATTATTTTAATGCAATCTAATACAATCAGATTACTCAGTTGCCTTACCTCATGGGAAGAGTTACTTTTTTAGATCTAAAAAGCTGAATAGCATGTTAGTTACTTGGTTTCAACTTGAGTTTTCTTTTAATGTTAATAAGATTGAAACTTTAGTATTTAGTGGGGAATGGAAAGAGTTGCCCTTGTTGCAAGTAATGAAGCCTGATTTGATTATGAAGCTGCTTAATCACTCTTCATGTGTTCAGAATTACTGTTTTTTTTGTTTGTTTTTCCTTTTTGTCACTGTGTACATTAAAATTTTGGAAGATGCTTTACTATGTAAAGTATAGATGGTCATTTTAATCATTCAGCCACATACGGTTGGCTGGTAAACAGCTTATTCTGATACAAGAATGCTTGGGTGCATATGGAAAGATTGTGAAAGAGTGTGTCTTGCATCAACAGCTGTCTTATTTATGATATATAAGTAGAAATAGAGCAAATGTTGGAATCTGTTATTTTTAGTACCATGTCTTTAATAAAGCTAAGTATTTTAGAGGAAAATGTTTGTTTATGCATTTCAAAAAAGCATTTTAGTTTTATCCTGCTCATTTTAGTTGTCATAGAGATTGTTGTGACGTGGAGAGTGCATGTTTGTGTGGTGTCTATAAAACAAGTCATTTAAAGTATGAGTGTTTTCTTGTACTCTGGACCTATTACATGTTTCTTTATGTTGGTAATTAACATTTAATTTGGTTCTTGCTGCTAATTATTTTCTCTGCTGATATTTATTAAGCTTTAAAATAATCGTACTATAATCTTGAAACACTGATTTGTAAAAACTAAGAATGAGTAGGAATACAAGAGATCTGGAGGAACAAATCAGATTGTTATTAGGGTTTGACTTTTTTTTTACATGGGCTTATGGAAGCAAGGCATTCTAGGGTCTAGAGGGATGTGTGTGTGTGCTTGTGTGTCCATGTGTGCGCATGCGCACGTGTGTATCTGTTTGAGACATACTTTCTCTGTTCACTTAAAAGAGCTCATGTTTTCATTTGTTTATTCTTTTCTTTCAGGGTATTTTGTTTTTTTCTTTAAGACTTCTTTTTTTAAATCCCAGGTAGATGTTGTCAGATAAACTTGAGGTAAGGCCAAGAAGACAGACATTTTATGCTTCATACTTTCTGTAATTATCTTTTGTAGCTTGATTACATAGAGTACCCTCTCTTCCTTAAGTTGTAGTTGCTATTTATCATTGTAGACAAATTCTGTTGCCTTTCAGCAACGTATGCTGAACTAGTATCATAAGATGGTGCATCAGTTCATAAGCTAGTGCATAAGTTTTGTGTCAAAACTTTTAAATCCTGAAGTTCTGCAGTTATCATCTTAGTTATTTTCTATCTAATTAGCTTATAATTGCAAACACTAGTCAGCTTGTGATCTCTGTGTTTCAAGTTCTTTTCTTCACGAGGTTCAGTACCTGCTATGTTGATCTTTGGCAGTGCCAGAGGCTTAAATTTTGACCTGCTCAATTAAAAATAAACACTGGCGTTTATAATGAAAAGGTTTTTTTGTCGGGGGGGGGGGGGTCAAGAGAATTTATTTTGTGATAGTAATAATTTTCAAGACCTTCAGTCATTCCTATGTCTATGTTGCTATCTTTATTTTAAAACTTAGAACCCTGATCTAACTCCCTTCTCAAGTGAAGATACTGTGTAGATTCAAGAATTATAATGTAGAGTAATAGGCCTTTAAGTTTTTTTTTAATCTGTTAGAAATAAAGAGCATGATTTAATTATTGTTGAATTAACAATTAAAATGAATCCCTTTGGAGGGATGGCATTGAATAACTTATAATTTCAGTGAATCATTTACGTTTTCATTGGAAGACAGTATCTGATTTCAACTGGTGCGTTACGAAGTAGAGCCATTCCCACAAAGTAAATGTGCAGTGCCCATGTTTCTTGTGTTTAAATATTTTTTATTTTCACTACATATATATTATTTTCTCATGTTTATTTACTAATGTAATTTTCACTTAAAATTAGATGTTTATTTTCAAATTTTAAAAGCTAGTGCTCTTAAAAGAGCTAAATTATATTTCTGGAAGCAGGAGTTTAGTATAAATGTAATAAAATTTTAAAATAAAATTGACTTCCCTACTTAATCTTGGGTTTGTGGGTGAGTTTGTTTTTAGTACACTCTTATTGGTGGTTTTGCCTGAAGAGTAATACATTATTATTATTACTTTTCTTTTTGAGACAGGGTCTCACTCTGTCACTCAGGCTGGAGTGCAGTGACACGATCATGGCTCACTGCAATCTTGACCTTTCTCGGCATGGATGATCCTCTCACCTCAGCCTCTTGAATAGCTGGGACCACAGACATGTGCCACCAAGCCCAGTTAATTTTAGAATTTTTTTTGTAGAGACAGGATCTTGCCATGTTGCCTAGACTGGTCTCAAACTCCTGGGCTCAAACAATCTGTCTGCCTCAGCCTTCTAAAGTGCTGAGATTACAGGTGTGAGGTACTGCACCTGGCAATACGTTATTTTAAAAGTAAACGCTAAGCCATTTATGACTTTGGTTATATTCAGTCAGTTGGATTTAGTAACTAATAACTAGCTTTCTTCCATTCTAAGGTACTTTTATAGTTTCTAGCAATTAGTTTGTTACAATTAGCTTATATCAGATATAACAGTTCTTAATATAATGTTTATAAAAGGTTTTAAGTCTGTTGCCTGATTTTTAAATTTATATCTAGTTAACATTTTAATTTTAAAATTGCCAACTTTTGGGAGATTTCACATATTTTACCTCTATATTTTATTTTTCCAGGATTGGTATGGAGGAGTAGTACCTTCTATTCTTGGTTTATTTTTATTTGCTAGACATAATTTCTTAACTACATATGTAAGTATAAATTCATAAAAATCACACTGAAAGAATAGGTTGATTTCAACCATTTTGAGGGTACTGGTAGGTAACACACTGTTGGGGAATAAACTAAAGAATTTCTGATTTCTACAATAGATTTAAGTATGAAATTTGAGTATACTGTGTAGCTGTGTAGATCAACTTAATGCTTAAAAAATTACCTCCTTAATGATTAGATTAATAGAACAGTGTTAGATTATCAAGGGAAGAGTTTGGAATGTAAACATAAACATGCTGCATAGGTGGTGGTTATTTGTGAGTAGGACTACTTTTAAATGGTACTAGTAAAGATTTATCAAACAATGCTGCTATTATGTTGCTATATTTTTAATAAAATGAAAATCTTAAAATCTTGCCACTGTTGAGTAGTAATTTCACCTATTTCTGGAACAGTTATTTGCATATTTACATCTTATTTCTATAACTGAAAGGTGATAATAGGCTTTTCCAGGGTTCAAGATTACTACCAAAAATGGAAGGTTTTGCATACGGGGCAATCTTCGTGTTTTGTGGCAGTTAACTCCAGTCAAGGCTTTTCATATTAAACATTGTGCAGTATCCAAGTAAGTGATAGCTGCTCTCTGAATCTCCCTTCTCCCCAGCCGCCACAAATTCAGCTTCTTGCTAGGATATTTGTACAATGAAAACTATCACTTTGTCTTTTAACAACAGGTGGAATGCCTTCTCCCACTTATAAGAGGTGTAACTCTCCATTTGGTGAATGAGCTGTGTGCTCAGGGTGGTCACTTAGGTAAGACAGCCTATTAGCCTATTAGTCTAAAAAAAAAAATTACCTGTTAGATAAATTTAGAATCCTGCGTGACCTGATTGGCTTAGCTGGCCTAGAGATGTTGAGGCTATGTATATTGATTTATCTACATAGGCCATCTATCTTAGCTGCCTTCTGTGGCTAAAGGCCATGAGCCATTTTGGTTTTCTTTTCTTTTTTTTTGTTTTCTTGGTTTTTTTTTTTTTTTTTTTTTTTTTTTTTTTTTTTTGGAGACAGAATCTCACTCTGTCACCCAGGCTGGAATGCAGTGGTGCTATCTTGGCTCACTGCAACCTCCACCTTCCAGGCTCAAGCGATTCTCGTTCCTCAGCCTCCTGAATAGCTGGAACTACAGGTGCCCGACACCACGCCCAGCTAATTTTTGTATTTTTAGTGGAGATGGGGTTTTACCATGTTGGCCAGTCTGGTCTCAAACTTCTGGCCTCAAGCGAGCCCTCCACCTTGGCCTCCCAAAGTGCTGGGATTACAGATGTGAGCCACCGTGCCCAGCTGCCATTTTGGTTTTCAGATGTGTTAAACTGCATGTGTAGGGGTGGGAGAGCAGAGGCCTTTAAAATGCACCCCTTGCCAGTAGTGGGTTTGTGTGTGTGGCGTTCTCCACAGGACTTCTTGAAAGCAATGCCAGCTTAGAGTAGGAGCTGCTTTGAACAGCAGACTTCTACCAAATCGTAATTACTTAAGGAGTATCATTATAGTAATTTAGTTTTTATAATTATCATTTTCTTACCTTGGGAAGAACATCCTAAGATTTGCAGAAAAGTATCTCTTTTAAAAAGTATACTACCGTATTTAATGTAGGAATAACCACAATTGATGAGAGGTGGTAAATGGAATCAATTATATAGGCATGACCTTCAGTACCATGTTTCCCTCTCTCCTGAGCTTCAGTCACCTTTTCAACTATCTGACACTAAGAACTCACTGAATATCAGCTATTACAATACTGGGTATCTTACTAGCACCCTAAACTTATCTCATTCCAAATAAAACATTGAGTTTTCAATCCCAAGTGTATCCCTTTACTGTTTATTGTCTTTCACCAGCACTACCATTTTTCTAATTGCACATTGCCATCATTACAGGCATACATCTTTTTTTTTTTTTTTTTGAGATGGAGTCTCACTCTGTTGACCAGGCTGGAGTGCAGTGGTGCAATCTTGGCTCACTGCAACCTCTGCCTCTTAGGCTCAAGCAATTCTCCTGCCTCAGCCTCCCGACTGGCTGGGATTACAGGCACGCACCACCATGCCGGGCTAATTTTTGTATTTTTAGTAGAGATGGGGTTTCGCCATGTTGACCAGGCTGGTCTCGAACTCCTGACCTCTGGTGATACACCCTTGTTGGCCTCATACCGGGATTAAAGGCATGAGCCACCGGGCCTGGCCGCATACTTCATCTTCTGGCACTTTGCAGATACTGTATTTTTACAAATTAAAAGTTTGTGACAACCCTGCATCTGGCAAGTCTGTGGACACCATTTTTCCAGTAGCATGTGCTGACTTGGTGGCTCTGTCACGTTTTGGTAATTCTTGCAGTATTTCAAACTTTTTCTTACGGTGATCTGTGGTCATTGATCTTTGATCTTACCATTGTAATTGATTTGGGACTCCACAAACCGTGCCCATATAAGATAGCAAAGTAATAGAGAAACGTTTGTGTTCTGACTGCTCCACTAACTGGCAGTTCTCCTGTCTCCCCCTCTTCAGGTCTCCTATTCCCTGAAACAGCAATATCGAAATTAAGCCAATTGATAACCCTATCATGGCCTCTAAGTTTTCAAGGAAAGTACAAAATTTCATGTCTCTCACTTGAAAAGCTAAAAATGATAAAGCTTACTGAGGAAAGAATGTTGAAAGCCCAGATAGGCTGAAAGCTAAGCCTCTTGTACAATGCAGTTAGCCAGGCATGAAAGCCAAGTTATGAATTTAAAGAAGTTGAAGGAAATTAAAAGTACTACTTTGGTGAACACATGAATGATAAGAAAGCAAAACAGCCTTATTGCTGTTTTCGGTGGTCTGGATAGAAGACCAAACCAGCCACAATATTTGTTTAAGCCAAAGCCTAATCTAGAGCAAAGCCTCAACTCTCTTCAATTCTGTGAGGGCTGAGAGGTGAGGAAGCTGCAGAAGAAAAGTTGGAAGCTAGCAGAAGTTAATTCATGAGGTTAAAGGAAAGAAGCTATCTCTAACAAAAGTGTAAGGTGAAGCAGCAAGTGCTGATGTAAGAAGCTGCAGCAAGTTATCTAGAAGTAGATTTTCTGGAAGCCAAGGTCATTGTCGAAGGTGGCTACATGAAACAACAGATTTTCAACGTAGATGAAACAGCCTTATATTGGAAGAAGATGCCACCTGGGACTTCCGTAGCTAGAGAGAAGTTAATGCCTGGCTTCAGAGCTTCAAAGCATAGGCTGACTCCTATTAGGAGGTAGTGCAGCTGGTGACTTTAGGTTGAAGCCAATGCTAATTTATCATTCTGAAAATCCTAGAGTCCTTAAGAATTGTGCTGAATGTATTCTGCCTGTGCTTTATAAACGGAACAAGGTCTAGATAACAACACATCTGTTCACAGCATGATTTACTATTTTAAATCCAGTTTTGAGACCTATTGCTAAAAAAACAAATTCCTTTCAGAATATTACTGTTCCTTGACAATCTCCTGGTTGCCCAAGAGCTCTGATGGAGATGTACAAGGAGATTAATGCTTTCATGCCTGTACAAACGATATTCATTCTGTAGCCCGTGGATCAAGGAGTAATTTTGACTTTCTAGTCTTATTATTTAAGAAATACATTTCATAAGGCTATAGCTGTCATAGATTGTGATTCCTCCGATGGATCTGGGCAAAGTACATTGGAAACCTAGAAAAGAGTTACCATTCCAGATGCCATTAACATTTGTTATTCATGGGAAGAGAACAAAATAACAACATGAGGCCAGGCGGGGTGGCTCACGCCTGTAATCCTAGCATGTTGGGAGGCTGAGGAGGGTGTATCAGTTGAGGTCAGGAGTTTGAGACCAGCCTGGCCAACATGGCAAAAGCCCATCTCTACTAAAATACAAAAATTAGCCAGACATGATGGGTGCATGTCTGTAATCCCAGCTACACAGGAGGCTGAGGCACAAGAATTGCTTGAGCTTGGGAGGTGGAGGTTGCAGTGAGCTGTGATTGCGCCATTACACTCCAGCCTGGGCAACAGAGGGAAACTGTCTTAAAAATAAATAAATAAATAAAAATAAAAAGCAACATCAAGAGGAGCTTGGAAGTAGTTGCTTCCAGCCCTCATGGATGGCTTTGAGGGGCTTAAGACTTCAGTGAAGGACTTCACTGCAGATGTAGAAATAGAGAACTAGAATTAAAAGTGGAACCTGAAGATGTGACTGAATTGCTGCAATCTCATGATAGAACTTGAAGAGATGAGGAGTTGCTTCTTATGGATGAGCAAAGAAAGTGGCTCCTTGAGATGTAATCTACTCCTGGTGAAGATGCTATGAATGCTGTTGAAATGACCACAAAGGATTTAGAATATTACTTAATTGATAAAGCAGTGGCAGGGTTTGAAAGGATTGACTCCAATTTTAAAAGTACTACATGGGTAAAATGCTGTCAGACAGCATCCCATGCTACAGAGAAATCTGTGAAAGGAAGAGTCAATCGATGTGGCAAACTTTATTATTTTAAGAAATTGCTACGTTTACCTCAGCCTTCACCAATCACAACCCTGATTAGCAGTTATCAACATCAAGGCAAGACCCTCTACCAGCAAAAAGATTATGACCCACTGAAGGCTTAGACAATCGCTAGCATTTTTTAAGCAGTATTTTAAATTAAGGTATGTACACTTTTTTAGATATAATGGTATTGCACACTCAATAGGCCATAGTTATAAAACATAACTTTTAAATGCACTGGGAAACCAAAGAATTTATGTGACTTGCTTTATTGTGATACTCACCTTATTATGGTGGCCTGGAACTGAACCCCTAATATCCCTGAGAATGCCTGCAACTTCCATCTTGTTCCCACCCTCAGTCACATCTGCTAAGTCCTCCCAATTGTGCATTTCCTCTGAAATATCTTAAGTATGCCCTTGTATGATTTTAGTTACATGGAATAGAATCACTCTAGCAGAAAAGTAACTGTAGTATTAGAATTGTCATTTTCCTTTTAGTCTGCTTCTGTAGCCTACTAATTGGTCTTGCAACCCCAGACCTTTTTCAAATTCATTTCAACGTATGTTGCCACTTGATTAAATGTATTTAAATTGGTCTGAGTTTTTTTGTAATTTCATTCTGGTTTTGGTATAAGGGGCATGCTTGCCTAATAGAATGAGTTGGAAAGTAATTCCCTCCTCTTCACTTTTCTGAAGGAATTTGTGTCAAATTGTTAAGGTAGAATACCTCAAAAAAGCCAACCTGAGCCTGGAATAGTCTTTCACACTACAAATTCAGTGTTAAAACTAGATTTAGAGTTATTCAAGCTATTTATTCTTAGGGTTTATTTGTTTTGTTTTGTTTTGTTTTAGAGTTGGGGTCTCACTATGTGGCCCAGGCTGGTCTCAAACTCCTGAGCTCAAGAGATCCTCCTCCTTCAGCCTCCTGAGTAGTTGGGACTACATGCACACATCCCCATGCTTGGCCCTTGTTTATTTATTCTTAAATGAGCATTGATGTTGTGTATCTTTAATGAAATTTGTCTATTTTATCTAAGTTGTCAACTTTATTGCCATGAAGTTATTCATACTTCCTTACGACCTTTTAATACATATAAGATCTATACCGATGTCCTCTCTCACTCATAATATCGTTAACTTGTGTCTTCCTTCTTTTTATTCTGATCAGTCAAGCTAGAGGTTTATCAATTTATTTTCTCAAATCAGATTTCACTGTCATCAATTTTTCTTTTTTAGTTCACTGATTTCTGCTCTTCATTATTTATTTTCTTTTTCTTCTTTTGGATTTAGTTTGCCCTCTTTTTCTAGTTTAAGGTGTGAACAGGAGTCACTGACTTCAGACCTTTCTTTTTTAATATATGTATTTAGTGCTATACATTTCCTTCAAAGCACTACTTTAGCTGTATTCTAACAAATTTTGCTGTGTTGTATTTTCATTTTCATTGAGTTCAAAATACTTCATAATTTTCCCTTAGATTTTGTCTTTGATCCATGGGTTATTGAAATGTGTGTTAATTAGTGTCCAAATATTTGGGAATTTTCAAAGATCTTTCTGTAACTGATTTCTAACTTAATTTCATCATGGTTAGGACACATCATTTGTATGATTTAATTCCTTTGAAATTGTCTGAGACATGTTTTATGGTCCACAAGTAATCCACTTTGGTGTTTTGCATGCACTTGAAAAGAATGTGCCTTGCTTTTGTTGAGTGAAGTAATCTGTAGTGCCAATTAGGTCATGTTCGTTGATAGTGGTGTTCAAGTCTTCTATGTACTTAATAATTTGCAGTCTGCTTTTTCTGTCAATTCAAAGTCTTGAAATTTCCAACTGGATTGTGGATTGTTTTATTTCTTTTAGCTCTGTTTCTTTTTAATTTTTAATATTTGTGGGGTTCATAGTAGGTGTATATATTTGTGGGGCATATGAAATGTTTTGATATAGGCATACAATGTGTAATAATCACATCAGAGTAAATGGGGTATCCATCACTTCAAGCATTTATCCTTTGTGTTACAAACAATCCAGATATACTCTTTTACTTATTTAAAAATGTACAATTAAATTATTATTGACTATAGTAACTGTTGTGCTATCAAATACTAGATCTTATTCATTCTTTCTATTTTTTTTGTACCCATTAACCATCCCCGCAGTTCCCCTCTACCCACCTGATTACCCTTCCCAGCCTCTGGTAACCATCCTTCTACTTTCTGTCTCCATGAGTTCAATTGCTTTTATTTTTAGCTCCCACAAATAAGTGAGAACATATGAAGCTTGTCTTTCTTTTTTCTGAGACTGAGTCTCACTCTGTTGCCCAGGTTGGAGTGCAGTGGTGCAATCTCGGCTCACTGCAACCTCTGCCTCCCAGGTTGAAGCGATTCTCCTGCCTCAGCCTCCCGAGTAGCTGGGATTACAGGCATTGCCACCATGCCCAGCTAATTTTTGTGTTTTTAGTAGAGATGGAGTTTCACCATGTTGGTCAGGCTGGCCTTGAACTCCTGAACTCAGGTGATCCACCTGCCTCAGCCTCCCAAAGTGCTGGGATTACAGGTGTGAGCCACCACACCAGACCGGAAGCTTGTCTTTCTATGCCTGACTTATTTCCCTTAATATAATGACCTCCAGTTCCTTCTATGTTGTTACAAGTGACAGGATCTCATTCTTTTTTATGGCTGAATAGTACTCCATTGTGTATATGTACCACATTTTCTTTATCCATTAGTCTCTTGATGAACATTTAGGTTGTTTCCAAATCTTGGCTATTGTGAATAATGCTGCAATAAACATGGGAATGCAGATATCTCTTTGATGTACTGATTTCTTTTCTTTTGGGTACATACCTAGCAGTGGGATTGCTGGATCGTATCATAGCTCTATTTTTAGGTTTTTTTTTTTTTTTTTTTTTTTTTTTGATGGAGTCTTGCTCTGTCCCCCAGGCTCGAGTGCAGTGGCATGATCTCGGCTCACTGCAACCTCCTCCTCCCAGGTTCAATTGATTCTCTTCCCTCAGCCTGTCAAGTAGCTGGGACTACAGGCAAATGCTACCACGCCTGGCTAGTTTTTGTATTTTTGCTAGAGACAGAGTTTTGCCATGTTGGCCAGGCTAGTCTGAAGCTCCTGACCTCAGGTGATCCGCCTGCCTTGGCCTCCCAAAGTGCTGGGATTATAGGCGTGAGCCACTATTTTTAGTTTTTTGAGGAACCTCCACACTATTCTCCGTAGTGATTGTACTAATTTAAACTTCCACCAGCAGTGTATGAGGATTCCCGTTTCTCCACATCCTTGCAATTTGTAACTGCCTGTCTTTTGGATAAAAGCCATTTTAACTGGGGTGAGATGAAATCTCATTGTAGGTTTGATTTGCATTTCTCTGATGATCATTGATGTTGAGTACTTTCCTTTCTTTCTTTTTTTCTTTTTTATTACATCACAGTTCTGTAGCTCAGAGTTAAAGAAGGCTTGCCTGGGTTCTCTGCTTAAGGTCCCACAAGGCTGAAGTCAAGATGTCAGACAAGGTAGGCTCTTATCTGGAGGCTCTGGGGATGAATCCAGTTCCATGCCCATTCAGATTTGGGACAGATTTTGATTCCCATATCCTTCCTAGTTGTCAGCTGAGAACTGTTTTCAGCTTCTAAAGGTTACTCATATTCTTCTCAAATTCCCGTCTTCCATTTTTGAGCCAACAGCTTACATCAGATTCTTCTCTTGCTTAGAATCTGTCTGACTTCCTTTTCTGCCACTGGCCAGAGCAAATTCTCTTTTAATGGGGGCATGTGATTCAATTGGTCCCAACTGGATAGTCTCTTCTTTCATTATCCCAAAGTCAACTGATTTAGTAATATTAATTACATCTAAAAAAATTCCCTTTTTGTCATGTAACATAACATAATCATGGGAATGGAACTAATCATATTCATAATTCGAAGAGAGGAGAATATACAAAGGCAAGGGTCATTGGGGGGTCATTCTTAGAATTCTGCCTTCCCCAAGTGAGGAAGTGGGAGGACTCAAGTGACTCTTGAGATTTATGGTTAAGGTATTTGGGTGGATGGTGGGGCCACTCAGTGAGGTAGGGAAATCCAGGGCAAGAAGTAGAGTCGGTCATTCATTCATTCATTCATTCATTGACAGGATCTTTCTCTGTCACCCAGGCAGAAGGGCAGTGGCATGATCCTAGCTCATGGCACCTTCAAACTCTGGGGCTCAAGTGATCCTTTTGCTTCAGCCTCCCAAGTAGCTGGGACTACAAGCGTGTCCCACCACACCTGGCTATGGGGTTTAGATGTGTTGAACTTCGGGTACCTTGCTACATCTAAGTGGAGACTCCAGAAGGTAGTGGTAGATACAGACCTGGAGCTCAGAAGAGAGGTCTGGGCTAGAGATACAGATTTGGGAGTAATCTTCAAACAATGATAGTTAAAATCAGGCAAGTAGATGAGCTCACCAAGGGTGCATGTGAGAAACTGTCCAAGGAAAAGACCCTGTAGACATTTGCATTAAATGGATGGGTAGGAATAGGAGCCTGGGAATTGTTAGAGAGAACCATGGAGAACTAGATGACGATGCGTCAAGAGAACACTAAAAGGCAGTTGTGGGCAGCTGCGTCAAATGAAGCATACAGGGTCTGTTTCAAATAAAGATTTAGGATAGTAAATCAACCAAATCCAGATGATTCGAATAGTCCTTTTTGCTGGGAACAGAAAGCAAAATGTTGAGCACCTTTTCATACACCCGTTTGTCATTTGTATGTCTTCTTTTGAGAAATGTCTGTTCAGATCTTCTGCCCATTTTTAAATTGGATTATTAGATTTCTTTTTCCTGTAGAGTTGTTTGAGCTCCTTGTATATTCTGGTTATAAATCCCTTGTCAGATGGATAGTTTGCAAATATCTTCTCCCATTCTGTGGGTAGTCTCTTCACTTTGTTGATTGTTTCGTTTGCAGGCAGATGCTTTTTAACTTGATAATTACATTTGTCCATCTTTGCTTTGGTTGCCTGTGCTTGTGAGGTATTACTCAATAAATCTTTGCCCACTCCAATGTCCTGGAGAGGTTCTCCAGTGTTTTCTTTTAGTAGTTTCATAGTTTGAGATTTCAGATTTAAGTTTTTGTTTTGATTTTTGTATGTGGTGAGAGGTAGGGGTCTAGTTTTATTCTTACCCAGTTTTCCTAGCACCATTTAATGAGGGCCTATCCTTTCCTGAGTGTATGTTTTAGGCACCTTTGTCAAAAATGAATTCACTGTAGGTGTATAGATTTGCTTGTGGGTTCTCTATTCTGTTCCATTGGTCTGTGAGTCTGTCTTTATGCCAGTACCATACTATTTTGGTTACTGTAGGTCTGTAGTGTTAATTTGAAGTCAGGTAATATGATTCTTCCAGCTTTGTTCTTTTTGCTCAGGATAGCTTTGGCTATTCTGTGTCTTTTGTGATTCCATATAAACTTTAGGATTTTTTTTTATTTCTGTGAAGACTGTCATTGGTATTTTGATAGGGATTGCATTAAATCTGTAGATTGCTTTGGGCAGTATGGACATTTTAACAATATTGATTCTTCCAATCCATGAACATGAGGTATCTTTTCATCTTTTTGTGTGTCTTCAATTTCTTTGATCAGTGTTATATAGCTTTCATTGTACAGATCTTTCATTTCTTTGGTTAATTCCTATGTATTTTATTTTATTTATAGCTATTATAATGGGGTTACATTCTTGATTTTTTTCAGATTGTTCACTATTGGCATATAGAAATGCTACTGATTTTTTAATGTTGATTTTGTATTCTGCAACTTTACTGAATTTGTCTATCAGCTTTAATAGTTTTTCAGTGGAGTCTAAGTTTTTTCAAACTTAAGGTCATATCATTTACAAAGAAGGATAATTGGACTTCCTCTTTTTGAATTTAGATGCCCTTTCTTTCTTTCCTTTGTCTGATTGTTCTAGCTAGAACTTCCAGTACTATGTTGAATACCAGTGGTGAAAGTGGGCATCCTTGTCATGTTCCAGATTGTAAAGGAAAGGCTTTCAGTTTTCCCCCATTCAGTATGATACTAGCTGTGGGTCTGTTGTACATGGCTTTTATTATGTTGAGGTATGTTCTTTCTATATGTAGCTTTTTGAGTTTTTTTTGTTTTATCATAAAAGGATGTTGAATTTGTTATCAAATACATCTTCAGCATCAATTGAAATGATCATATAGTTTTTGTCTTTATTCTGTTGATATAATGTATTACATTGATTTGCATATGTCAAACCATTCTTGCATCCCTAGAATAAATCCCACTTCGTCATGATGAATGATCTTTTTAATGTGTTGCTGAATTTGGTTTGCTAGTATTTTATTGAGGATTTTTATATCAATGTTTGTCAGGGACATTGGCCTGTGGTTTCTTTTTTTATGTGTCTTTGTCTAGTTTTGGTATCAAGGTGATACTGGTCTCATAGAATTAATTTGGAAGTATTCCTTCCTCCTTTATTTTTTGGAATAGTTTGAGTAGGATTGGTGTTAGTTCTTTAAATGTTTGGCAAAATTCAGCAGCAAAACCACTGGGTCCCAGGCTATTCTTTGCTGGGAGACTTTTTATTATGGCTTCAATCACATTATTTGTTATTGGTCTGTTTGGGGTTTGGATTTCTTCATGGTTCAATCTTGGTAGATTATATGTGTCTAGGAATTTATCAATTTCTTCTAGGTTTTTCAGTTTATTGGCATATTGTTGCTTATAGTAGCCTCTAATGATCCTTTGAATTTCTGTGGTATCAGTTATAATGTCTCCTTTTTCATCTTTGATTTTATTTACTTGGCTATTCTCTCTTTTTTTCTTAGCCTGGCTAAAGATTTGTTCATTTTATTTATCTTTTCAAAAAACCAACTTTTTGTTTCATTGATATTTTGTATTATTTTGTTTCAATCTCATATCTGCTCTGATCTTTATTATTTCTTTTCTTCTACCAACTTTGGGTTTGATTTGTTCTTGGTTTTCTAGTACTTTAAGATTGTTAGATCATTTATTTGAAGTTTTTCTACTTTCTTGATATAGGCACTTATAGGTATAAACTTCCTTCTTAGTACTGCTTTTGCTGTATCCCATAGGTTTTGGTATGTTGTGTTTCATTTGTTTCAATAAATTTTTCAATTTCCTTCTTAATATCTTCATTGACTCACTGGTCATTCAGGAGCATATTGTTTAATTTCCATGTATTTGTATAGTTTCCAGAATTATTCTTGTTATTGATTTCTAGTTTTGTTCCACTGTGGTCAGAGAAGGTACTTGATATTATTTCAATTTTTTGAATGTTTTAAGATTTGTTTTGTGGCCTAACATATGTTCTATCCTTGAGAATGATCCATGTGCTAAGGAGAAGAATGTGTATTCTGCAGCTATTGGATGAAATGTTAAGTAAATAACTATTAGGTTCATTTGGTCTATAGAACAGATAAATTCCAATGTTTCTTTATTGATTTTCTGACTGAATGATGTGTCCAATGCTGAAAGTGGGGTATTGAAGTATCCAGCTATTATTGTTTTGGGTCTATCTCTCTTTAGCTCTAATAATATTTGCTGAACTGGGTGCTCCCAAATTGGGTGCATATATATTTACAATCGTTGTATCCCCTTCCTGAATTGACCCCTTTATCACTATATAATGACCTTCTCTGTCTCTTATTATAGCTTTTGTCTTGAAATCTATTTTGTCTGATATAGGTATAGCTATTCCTGTTCTTTTTTGGTTTCCATTTGTGTGGAATATCTTTTTCCATCCCTTTTTATTCAGTATATGTCTTTATTGGTGAAGTGTGTTTCTTGTAGGCAACAGATTATTAAGGTCATGTTTTTTATCCATTCAGCCACTTTATATCTTTTGATTTTGCTTTCTGGTTGTTTTGCGGTCTTCTCCTTCCTGTCTTCATTTTAGTGAAGGTGATTTTCTCTGGTGCTTTTTATTTGTGTATTCGTTGTATGTTTTTAGATTTGATGTTACCATGAAACTTGCAAATACTATCTTATAACTCATTGTTTTAAACTGATGACAACTTGATGCTGGTTGCATAAACAAACAAGCAAAAAGAAAACTAATAAAAACTACACTTTAACTTCATCTCCCCCTTTTTAAGCTTTTTGTTGTTTCTGTTTATATCTTATACTGCCTATGTCTTGAAAAGTTGTTGTAGTTATTGTTTTTGATTGGCTCATCTTTTCATTTTTCTCCTTAAAATATGAACTGTTTACACACCACAATTATAATGTTATAATATTCTGTTTTTCTGTGTACTTACTGAGTTTTGTACCTTCAGATGATTTCTTATTGCTCATTAACATTCTTTTCTTTCAGATTGAACTCCCTTTAGCATTTCTTATAAGGCAGGTCTGATGTTGATTAAATCCCTCAGCTTTTGTTTGTCTTGGAAAGTCTTTGTTTCTCATTCACGTTTGAAGGGTATTTCCACTGAACATACTATTCTAGAATAACAATTTTTTTTTCCTTCAGCACTTTAAATATGTTATGTTGCTCTCTCCTGGCCTGTAAGTTTTCCACTGAAAAGTCTGGGACAGATGTATTGGAGCTCCATTGTATGTTACTTTTTTTCTTTTCTCTGGATGATTTTAGGATCCTTTCTTTATCCTTGACTTTTGGAAGTTTGATTATTAAATACCTTGAGGTAGGTCTTTTTTTTTTTTTTCCCGAGACGGAGTCTCGCTCTGTCACCCAGGCTGGAGTGCAGTGGCACAATCTCAGCTCACTGCAAGCTCCACCTCCTGGGTTCACGCCATTCTCCTGCCTCAGCTTCCCAAGTAACTGGGACTACAGGCACCTGCCACAACGCCCGGTAATTTTTCGTATTTTTAGTAGAGATGGGGTTTCACCGTGTTAGCCAGGATGGTCTCGATCGCCTGACCTCGTGATGTGCCTGCCTCGGCCTCCCAAAATGCTGGGATTACAGGTGTGAGCCAGTGCACCTGGCCGAGGTAGGTCTTCTTTAGGTTAAATCTGCTTGGTGTTCTAAAACCTTCTTGTACTTGAATGTTGATATCCTTCTTTAGGTTTGGGAAGTTCTCTTTTATTATCCCTTTGGATGAACTTTCTACTCCTATCTCACTCTACCTCCACTTTATGGTCAATAACTCTTAGATTTGCCCTTTCAAGGCTATTTCCTAGATCTCATAGGTGTGCTTCATTCTTTTTTTATTCTTTTTTCTTTTGTCTCCTCTGTGTATTTTCAAACAGCATGTCTTCAAGCTAACTGTTTGTTCTGCTTAATTTTGCCATTAACAATTCTGATGCATTCTTCGGTATGTTACTTGCATTTTTCTTTTTTTTTTTTGAGACGGAGTCTCCCTCTGTCACCCAGGCTGGAGTGCAGTGGCGCAATCTCGGCTCACTGCAAGCTCTGCCTCCCTGGTTCACGCCATTCTCCTGCCTCAGCCTCCTGAGTAGCTGGGACTACAGGCGCCTGCCACCGCACGCAGCTAATTTTTTATATCTTTAGTAGAGACGGAGTTTCACTGTGTTAGCCATGATGGTCTCGATATCCTGACCTTGTGATCTGCCCGCCTCGGCCTCCCAATGTGCTGGGATTACAGGCGTGAGCCCCCATGCCCTGCCTGTTACTCACATTTTTCAACTCCAGAATTTCTGCTTGATTCTTTTTTAATTGTTTCAATCTCTTTGTTAAATGTATCTGATAGGATTCTAAATTCCTTCTCTGTGTTATCTCAGATTGCTTTGAGTTTCCTCAGAACAGCTATTTTGAATTCTCTGTCTGAATAAACACATATCTCTGTTTCCCCAGGATTGGTTCCTTGTGCTTTATTTAGTTCATTTGACGAGGTCATGTTTTCCCAGATGGTCCTGATACTTATGAATGTTCATCAGTGTTTGGCCATTGAAGAGTTAGGTGTTTATTGTATCTTTGCAGTCTGAGCTTGTTTGCACCTGTTCTTCTTGAGAAGGCCTTCCAGGTATTTGAAGGGACTTTGGTGTCGGTATCTAAGCCATATCTATGGTAGGGCACACCTCAAGCCCAGTAATGCTGTGGTTCTTGGAGACTTGTAGGGGTTCTGCCTTGGTGGTTTTGGATAAGATATGGAAGAATTCTCTGGATTACCAAGCAGTGACTCTTGTTCTCTTCCCTTACTTTCTTCCAAAGAAATGGAATCTTTTTCTCTCTGTGCTGAGCTGCCTAGAGCTAGGGGAGGGGTGACACAAGCACCCCTGTGGCCACCACTACTGGGACTGTGCTGAGTCAGACCTGAAGCCAGCACAGCATGGGGTCTTGCTCAAGTCCTGCTGTAACTACTACCTGGCTACTGTTTGCATTTGCTCAAGGCCCTAGGGTTCTTACCACCTACGATCAGTAGGTGGTAAAGCCAGCCAGGTTTGTGCCCTTGCCTTTAGGGCAGCAACTTCCCTCAGGCCCTGGGTGGGTCCACAGATAGTGTCAGGGAGCCAGGACCAGGAGTCAGAAACCTTAGAAATCTATGTGGTGCTCTATTCTACTGTGGCTGAGCTGGCACTGAAACCACACGACAAAGTCCTTCCCACTCTTCCCTCTCCTTTCCCCAGGCAGAGGAGTCTTTCCCCATGTCAACCATCATCACAGGCCCACAAGGAGCAGTGCCAGGCTACTGCCAACGTCCACTTAAGGATCAAGGACACTTTTAGGCAGTTTGTGGTGAAGGCTACGAGTCCTGAATCTCTCCCTTCAGGGCAGTGGCTCCCCTCTGGCCCAGGGTAGGTCTAGAAATGCTGTCTAAGAGCCAAGGCTTGGAATCAGGGATCCCAAGAGGCTGTTTGGTGCTCTACTGTGGCCAAACTGGTATCTAAGCTGCAAGACAAAGTCCCCTTTACTCTTCTCTCTGCTTTTCTCAAGCAGAAGGAGCCTCTCCTTGTAGCCACCACAGCTGTGAATGTGCTGGGTCACACCTGAAGCCAGCACATCTCAGAGTCTCACCCAAAGCTTACAACACTGCTGAGTATTCAGGGCCCAAGAGCTCTTTAGTTAGCAGGTGATGAATCCTGCCAGGACTGTGTCTTTCCCTTCAAGACAGTGGGTTCCCTTCTGGTCTAGGGTGTATCTGGAAATGTCATTTAGGAGATAGGGCCTGGGATGGGGCCCTCACAACTCTGCCTGGTGCCTATCCTACTGTGGCTGAGCTGGTATCCAAGTTGCAAGACATAGTCCTCTTTACTTTCCCCTATTCCCAAGCAGAGGGAAGGGGCGTCTTTTAGAGCTGTGAGCTGCACTGCCTGGGGTTGGGGGAGGGGTGGTGGAAGCACTCCATTAGCTGCCTCAGCTGGTGTCTCTCTAGGTCACATGCCCCTCAAGTCTACTAGCTCTGAGCCCAACACAGCACTAGGACATACAGTCCTTGTGGCCTAGACTGCCTTTCAAGTTTATTTAGAGCACTTTAGCCCATGGTGGTCAGGTTTGCTGACACTCAGGTTTTGACCACTGGGATGGGTGATTCCCCTCTGGCTAGGGCTTGTCTAAATGCTCCCTCTGTGGGTGTCCACTGAGTTCTGTCTGGCGTTGGCAGCACTGAGTTCCAATGCAAAGTCCCACAATTGCTGTACTCTCCCTCCTCCAAGCATACAGATTTCCTCTGCACAGTACATGTCTGCTGCTGGGGGATGGGAGAGGGGTAGCATGGCAATTCAGGACTGTCTTTTCTACCCTCTTCAGTGTCTCTTTCAGTGATATTAAGTTAAAACTAGGTACTGTGATCACTCACTTGATTTTTGTTTCTTATGAAGATGTTTTTTGTGTAAATAATTGTTAAATTTGATGTTCCTGTGGGGAGGATGATCAGTGGAGGATTTTATTCAGCCATATTGCTCTGCTTCCCTCCCTTTTTGTTTTTTGTTTTTGATATGGGGTCCTGCTCTGTCACCTGGGCCGTAGTGCAGTGGTGTGATCATAGTTTACTGCAGCCTTAAACTCCTAGCCTCAAGTGATCTTCTTGCCTCATCATCCTGAGTAGGTAGGACCACAGGTGCATGCCACCATGCCCAGCTAGTAAAAAAAAAAATTGTAATAGATAAGATCTTACTATGTTGCCCAGGCTGGTCTTGAACTCCTGGCCTCAAGCAATTCTCTGACATCAGCCTCCTGCATAGGTGGGATTACAGGCATGAGCTACCATCCCCAACTTAGTTCTGTTTTTGTTTTATGTATTTTGAATCTCTGTTATTAGGTTCATAAATGTTTCAGATTGTTATGTCTTCATATTAAACTGACCCTTTAATCATTATTAAATTACCCTTTTTATTTCTGATATTTTTGTTTTAAAATCTTTCTGAAATTAATACTAGCATTGCAATTACAATTTGTTTCTTGTTTTTTTTTTGTATCAGCATTGTATAATCTTTTCCTATCCTTTTACTTCAAACTTCTTTGTGTTTTCATATTTACAGTGCACTTCTTGTGCGCAGTGTATAGTTTGATGTTGGCTTTTTATCCAGCCTGACAACCTCTGCCTTTTAGTTGGAGTGTTTAAGCCAGTTGTGTTGAATGTGATTATTGAGATCACTGGATTTAAATGTGCCACCTTGCTATTGTCCTCTATTTATCTCTTCTATTTTTGTTTCCTTTTTCCTCTTTGTCTTCTTTTGAACTAATTGAATATTTTTAAAACTCCATTTTATCTTCTCTGTTGGCTTATTAGCTAACATTTTTTGTTTTAATTTTTAAATAGTTTTAGGGTTTTGTGTGTGTGTCTGTGAAGTGAGTGTATTTTTAAAGTTATCACAGTCTACTTTTATGTAATATTATACCATTTCATATATAGTATAAGAACGTTACAATAATATTTATTGATTTTTAAACTCCCAAATTTGTGCTAATTTTCTCCTGCATTTTACTTAATGTATGTGTTGAAATCCCCACAATATGGTGTTATTTTTGCTTTAAACAGTCAGTTTGATTAAAAAAATAAAAAATTCCTCATATTTACCCATAGATTTACAATTCATGGTACTTTTCACTTCTTTGTGTCAATTCAGATTTCTACTTCACGCTATTTCTCTCCTGCCTGAAGACATCCTTTAGCATTTCTTACAGTGCAGGTCTGCTGAGGATGGATTCTTTCACCTTGTTAAAAGAAAAAACCTTAGACAAATTACATTTAATAGAGTTTAATTGAGCAAAGAATGATTCAAGAATTGGGCAGCACCTGAAACAGAATAGGTTCAGAGAGACTCTAGCACAGCCATACGGTAGGAGAAAATTTATGGACAGAAGAGGGAAAGTGATGTGCAGAAAACAGAAATGAGGTACAAAAACAGCCAGATTGGTTACAGCCCTGCATTTAGCTTATTTGAACACAGTTTGAACAGTTGGCTGCCTTTGATTGGCTGGAACTCAGTGATTGGCTCATGAGTAGGTTATACATCCCGTTAGGTTAGAGTTCACTGTGTACAGAGAAACTGTTAGGCCAAACTTAACATGTGTAAAGAGGCAGCTTTAGGCTAATGTTAACAACCTTTTGCATGCTGAACAAGTTTTTGTGTCAACTTATTTTTTAAAGATATTTTTGCTGGCTATAGAATTATACATTAATTTTTTTTTCTTCTCTTAGTTCTTTAAAGATGTGCTACCACTGAACTCTGGTTTACTTTGTTTCCAACAAGGTGTCTGCCATCATTCTTGTTCCTCTACATAGAATGTGGCTTTTTTTCTGTAGCCACTTTTAAGATCTCTTTTCTCATTGGTTTAAATCAATTTGACTGTGATGTGTTTGGTGTAGGTTTATTCATGTTTATTGTGCTTGTTGTTCTTTGAGCTTCTTTAGTCTGTGTTTAGAGTTTTTGTTAAATTTGGAAATTTTCTAATCATTATTTCTTCAAATATGTTTTCTTTCTCCTCCCTCCCCACTTCATGGTCTCCAATTATATGTATTTTAGTCACTTGAGGTTGTCCCACAACTTGCTGATGCTTTGTTCAATTTTTTCATTGTTTCATTTTGGATAATTCTGTTTCTGTATTTCTGAGTTTACTAGTATTACGTAGTTTCTAATCTGCTGTTAATCTCATCTAGTGTATCTTAAAAAAACCCTCAGATATTGTATTTTGTAATTCTCTGGGTTCAATTTAAGTCGTTTTAACATCTTCCATGTTTCTGTTTTCCAAGCTTAAATGTAAAGTAATTTCAGCATGTAAAAATAATTTAGAATTTTACCTTGTTGGGTGCTGATTATTTTGGTATTCTGTAGATATTCTTGATCTTTGTTCTTAGACGCACTTCAGTTACTTGGGAACAATTTCTTTCAAAGCTTGATTTTTAAGCTTTGTTGGAGATCAGCCTTTTCTCCAGAGATAATTTTGAGCATTCCTGAAGCAATATCCTTCTGAGTACTTGATGCCCTGGGAATGTTACTCCCTCCACTGCTTTCCACCAGGCTCTTAGAAACACAAACGATTTTCTCCTTGTTTGAGCTCTAGGGATTTTTTTTTTTAATCATTCAGATGTTTTTTCCTGGCCCTTGGTTGGTTTCTCCCTATACATATGTTGATCATTACTTAGCTGAAGACACAAATAGACCTACCTACAGATCTTCAAAGCTTTTTCTCTGTGCACCTCTTTTCTCCACACTCTGTCCTGCCATCTTGGCCTCAGTGGACTCCCAGCTTCATCAACTCAACTCAGACCACTGGGTTTGGCTTCCCTCTACTTGAGCCTGTACACTTTTTCAAGGCAGTAAGCTGGGGCACTCATAGGGCTTACATCCTTTGTTAATAAGGGATCACTAACCTGCACTGCCTGATGTCCAATGTCTGAACTCCCCCCGCCCACCACCCCCCACACACGTGCACATACACATATACATATCTAGTTTTTTGTTGTTTCAGGTGGGATGGTAAACACAGTTCCTGTTATTAAATTTTGGCCCAAAGTAGAAGTCCAGTGTCATAATTTTTTGCCTGTCTTTTTTGGCTGTATAGTTTTTGCTGATAATATATTTTAGTTACTACAAAAAAATTGACCATGTAAACACATTGCTAAGGTCCCTCCCAGAATTTTGGAAGGGGTTGGTACAAATGAGGGGTTTCTGAAACTTAAACATTATTAGCTTCACAGTAAATCCCTATTTGGGTCTTATTTAGGAAAAAAGGAAGGACAGGAACTAGCCTCAATCCAGCCCAATTAGCCTTCCCCCAAGTGCAACGAGGCCAATGACAACCAATGATGAAGGCAGTGTTTACAAGGACCAATCTCTTGACGGATCATTTAAAAACTCTTTAAAGATTCAGGGAAACCACCCAGCCAGAATGTTGATATCAAGACATGATGGATCTACTGTGTCTCCAAGGTAAGGCAGCTTGGAGTCCAGGTGGCTCAGGAGGGGATAGAGGTATGGGCCATCCATCCAAGAGATTGCTCACCTGCATGGAAGAGATCTCACTTTACTCCTTGAGCTGAGTCTGTGTTGCATGCCTATATATTTTTTGTCCTAGCTTCAAGTTTCTGTGAATTGCATGGTGTGAGAGCAAGCTGATATCAGAAACTTGACAGGGTGACTATATTCAATAATAACTTAATTGTACATTTTGAAATAACTAAAAGAGTGTAATGAGATTGTTGGTAACACAAAGGATAAATGCCTTGAGAAGCTGGATACCCCATTTTCCATGATGTGCTTATTTCACATTGCATGCCTGTATCAAAACATTTCATGCTCCCCACAAATATATACATGTCCTAGGTACCCACAAAAGTTAAAAGTAAAAAAATTAAAAAAAAAAAAGAAACTTGGATAGAGGTTAAACTGAGATATACTATAATCAGGATAATATGATTATAGAACAAATCATGAAACTAACAATTTAAGCTAAACAATTTAAACTACAGCTAACGACTTAGATTGTTGTCATGTGTATAGCTGGTGGTGTAAGGACAACTTCTGAATTTTGAAATTATATAGCTAGTGTGTTTCTTTTGAGAGTTCTCTAGGTTCATGAGCATGTAAGCTTTTTGTCATTGTCAAGATTAATAATAAACAGTAATAAATTAATAGCAACGATAAAAAATATGTTCTTTAGCCGTCTTCTCTGAAGCAAGAAAGGAATCTGGCAGCCTCTCAAAGAAACTGTGAAACCCAGGGAGGTGGGAGCAAGACTGCTGCTAACCTCTTTGGTGCCTTTGTGCAATTAGGAAAAAGTGCTGCCACTGGGCGATGCAACCTCATGGGTGCATGGCTTGGCAAGGGGAGCTCAGTTTGGAGTTCAGGCTCCTTTGTCTCCTGGACTGGGCAAGGTTGTGCAATAAATAGACTACAAAATTGTTGGTGAAGTACCAGTTGCAGGATGCTGCTTCAAGTCTCCTTCCTTCAGTCCTAGCCTCTGGCTGGCCTGTTTGGCAGGCAGAGGAATGACAGGTCAGTGAGAGATTTGTTGATTTAACAAAAGGATGAAAACCTGACTATGAAATCCTGAGCCCATATAAATATGCTGCAGAGGAATAAGAACAAACTGTCCACAAGCAACAGGATTTTAGAGCTTGAAAGGATCTTGTAAATAATGCAGTTCTTTCCTTTGTACCTTTACTTTACAGCTTTGGAATCCCAAAGCCCAAAGAGGAAGTGAGGAGCCCCAGGTCCCACCATTAGGTAAGCAGCAGAGTCTGGGAAGGACCTGGATGTTGTGATTCTAGCCCATGTTCTTTTCATGACCCAGCACTCAACCATCAGCAATTTCTTTTCCAATATTTACCACTTTTATAAATTAATATATGAATATATTTTCTTCTAATGTTTTTCTTACACTACAATTTATCTTGAAAATACAGATAAAAATGTAAGTTCTCTGATTCAAGGATTACAGGACTTCCAAACATCATTTATAGTATTTGAAAAACTGCAATTTTAATTTTCATGGGAATTGTGGCTTCTAGCAGTAATAATTCCATTACTCTTGATAAACCAACCAAGTTAATACAATTTGTGTTCAAAGATGTCCTAAAAGGCTGATGTAACTTTATAATCAGAACATGACTTTTAAAACTATTATAGCTATTAAAATAAACAATGAGAACATCTTCTAACATCACTCTAATATGATTTCCTGTTCTTCCAGGTCAGGTGGCAAAAGTTTAATGAGGAATTTAATTGCTTAATGAATCAAATAGGTCGTGTTTTTGCTCCAAGGGTTGAGGTAACATTGGTTCAGATGAAATATTAGAGTTTGGGTTAGAGAGTTTTACCTTCGAGGAATAAGACGTGCTTTAGAAATCATTTCCAGGTCCCCCAAATACTTTATTGTGCTTACCTTCATACCCTTACTAATTACTCTGCATAAAATCCACCAACCTTAGAGCTAGATTTCATTTTAGAAATATTTTGTTATCTAATTTTACCCAAATGGCATACACTAGGGCAGCCATAACAAAGTACCACAAACACGGGGTCTTAAAAAACAGAAATTTATTCTCTCAAAGTTCTGGCTAGAAGTCTGAAGTCAAGGTGTCAGTAGGTCCACGCTGTCTCTGAAGGCTCAAGGTGGGAGTCCGTTCCACGCCTTTCTCTTAGCTTTTGGTGTTGCCAGCAATCCTTGATGTTACTTGGCTTATAGACACAGCTCTCCAATCTCTGCTTCCATTGTCACATGACATTCTCCTGGTGTGTGCCCTTGTGTATCTCTTCCTCTTCTTATAATGACACCAGTCATATTGGATTAAGGGCCCATCCTACTCTAGTATGACCTGATCTTAACTAATTATATCTGCAAAGACCCTATTTCCAAATAAGATCACATTCGTAGATACCAGGGTTAGGGCTTGAGCATCTCTTTTTGGGGAACACAATTCTACCCACTGCAGCATGTACCCCTACTGCTTCTATGAATACAGAACTCTACAGGCTGTCATTAATTGCCAAAGCTTTCTGTGAGGCTCTTTTTGTTAGGTAAAAGTAGGATGCAGATGCAGGGTACAGTCACATACACACACCATTACTGACCTCAGAAGGCTTACAGTCTCATAAAAAAACTGATCGTAAATCAACCTGTAGCTATTCATTAGAAAAAGTCCTTTAGGGCTTAGTCCATTTGGACTGTTATAACAAAATACCTTAGATAGGTAACTTATAAACAACAGAAATTCATTGTTCACAGTTCTGGAGGCTGGGAAGCCCAAGATCAAGGCAGCAGCATTGATGTCTGGTGAGGGCCTGCTTCCTCATAGATGGCACTTTCTATGAGTCTTCACATGGCAGAAGGGGCTAATAAGCTTCTTCAGGCCTCTTTTATTATATAAAAGCACTAATCCCATTCATGAGGGCTTTACCCTCAAGACCTAATTATTTCCTAAAGGTCCCGCCTCTTAATCCTATTGCATTGGGGATTAGGTTTCAATATATGAATTTTGGGGAGATGCAAACTTTCAGACCATAGCGTGTAGTGATGGGAAGAAGACATGGTTTACATAATATGGATGGGGGGCCTCTCTGAGGATATGACATTAAACTGAGACTTGAAGGATGGCAGTGAATCAGCCATGGGAAAGATAAGGAGAATGTTCCAGGTAGAGTTAACAGCAAATACTAAGGCCCCAAGGCAGGAAAGAGCTTACCACTTTCCAGGGACTAAAGGAGCAAAGAGGGGGAGATGACAGAAGATGAGATTAAAGATGTAGGCAGGGGCCACATCTTTACTCTTTAATTGCCTAATGGGCAATGAATAGCTTCCAAACTTTTTTGCTGCAACCCTACAGCTAAGAAATACCTTTGACACACTACCTGGTCCATAGACGCATATATACACAACTGGACAGTAGATGGGAAGATAGTGAGTCGTCGTTAGATTTTTTGGTTGCCTTTTGGAGGTAGCATCTCCGGATCTCAAGGATTGTGCATGGGAAGGTGAAAGGATTCCAGATGATGCTCAGCAACTGGGCTTGAGTAGTTGTGTTGAAGGTGGTGCCAATAAATGACATGACAGCCTGGAGGAGGAAAAGGATTTTGTTGGGGAGGGTGTGGCTGAAAATAAACAGTTCCGTATTTGACATACTATGTTTTAAGATACCTGGATAGTAGTAGGAAAGCAAACTAACTGGCTGTTTTCTTCTACTATACTCTCAACACTCAACACAGCAAACTTCACATTAGGTCACAAAAATGTGTCAGGGGATTTCCGCAACAACCAATTCTCCAGCAGACACCAACTGGGTGTCCTGAATTCAGTTCAATTCTGATACTCTAACCTAGAGTCAGATCCCACAGGTTAGGGCTCAGTCCCACAAGACAACCTCCTATTTCCGATGCCAGTTGAAAATCCCAGATTGTGACTCGTGCTTCTAATGACTGGGTACAAATTGGGAGTTCCCATGACCCCCTCCTCAGATTCAATCATTTGTTAGAGCAGCTCACAGAACTCAGGAAAGTGTTTCATTTATGTTTCCTGGCTTATTATAGAATACATCACAAAAGATACAGATGAATGGCCGGGTGGAAGAGATGGCGTGGTGGCACACATCTGTAACCCCAGCACTTTGGGAGGCTGAGGCAGGAGGATCATTTGAGGCCAGAAGTTTAAGACCAGTCTGGGCAACATAGCAAGACCCTGTTTCTATTTAAAAAATAATAAAAAGTTAAAAAATGTGTAAAATATGTATAAAGGAAGAGATGCATAAGACAAGATATGAGTAAGGTGTCTTGGAGCTTCCATGCCCTCTCTGGGTGTACTAGCAACCTGGAAGCTCTCTGAATTCTATTCTTATGGTTGCTATGAAGGCTTCATTATGTAGGCATGAGTGATTAAATCACTGGCCATTGGAGATCAACTCAACCTACAGTCTCTCTCCCCTTCCTGAAGGAGGGTGGTGTGGGGGTGCTGAAAGTTCTAACCCTCTAATCACATGGTTGTTTCTCCTGGCATCTTGAGGCTCTCCATTAGTCCCCAGCCAGGGATCATCTCGCTAGCATACAAAAGGGTACTTATAACTTGGGAAATTCCAAAGGTTTTAGGAGTTCTGTGCCCTGAAACTGGAAGAAGACCAAAATATGTTATTTCTTCTTATAAATCACAATATCACAGTTACTGAAGTCAAAACCACAGAGATTATCACTTAAATAAAAGGAAGCAAGCTTCTTTTGCTTCTGTCTTGCTGCATAGCTCTGAAACCCAGTCCTGCCTTTTGTAAGAGTGAGTGAGCATGTGTGTGCACGTGTGCTGTGCTGAAGGGCTTTTCTGAGGTAAAGCGAAGTTCATGAGCCGAGACTGAGCTGAGCTGTCCAAATTGGTTTCAGCTGATGGCCTTTGTTAGTGGAGTTTGAATTCCTGCTATCTGTCTTGTTATTTTTTTCATTTTCTTTCCAAATTCATTTCTGGAGCTTGGGGCCTCAAAAATAACAAGTTGTTAAAATGACTGAGTATGCTGTCTGGCTCCACCGAGCCCAACCTCCCCCACTATGTGTCCTAAGCAGGACTGTGAGTCCTCATTTTCCAGATCAAGCTCAATGGAGCAGTGGCGGGGAACCAGGTCTGTTGATCCTCGCTCAGCTGGGGGAGGAGGGTGAGGCAGGTGGGGAGGAGGGACATCAAGGTTGGGAGGGCAAGAATGTGGAGGTAAAATGGTGAGTCAGAGGCAGGTGGAGATGCTGGCAAATCCTGGCTTATGTTCCAGAGCGTTCTTTAGCAATCTTAAGATGGAACTGAAATCTGGAATTAAAGAGTGAAAGTCTTTCGTAACAGAGGCCTCTTTGTTCTGGCTCAGATCCTCCTGGACCACAGTCACTCGAGGAAGCCTACCCCACACTTACAAAGACAAGACCTCGCCACACAGCATCTGTCCTCTTCAAGATCTGCCCCCACCAAGATGTGTCTCCAGACCAAAACCACAGTCAGATTGAAGCACAGGCCAGTGCAGAGGAAATACTGAACACAGAGGAAAAAATGGCAAGGCCCTAAATAGTAGGTTCAGCAGGCCCCAGGGGGCCGAGTGTGGAAGTGGATCTTGAGGGCTTGGAACTGGTGTTGGGGAGAATAGAAGGGTGGGAAGGTGAGAATTTACTCACATGGAAGCCCTCCCAGCAAAGACACCTGGGCCCATCCTCACTGGCGCCCGGTTGCTTTCATAGCCGCGGACACAACTTGGGCCCACAGTTAACGAGGAGGAAGGCAGAGCGTGCTGAGCAGAGCACCAAGGAAGAGAGCTCGGCTAGCCGGGAAGGTCCGAATGGATTTATTTGGTGAGGCCAAGGAACCCACTGCCTCCACGGTGTTCCTCCAGGAGGCTCCTCCCTTCACTAAGGCAGCAAGGAGTGCACTGGTGAGGGGAAGGTAGGTATTTTCCAGAGGCTTGGGGGTGGCTGAAGGCTGGGGCTGACCCTGGGCCATGTTGCCTCCGAACTGGCCTCCCTAGTGTCAGTGGGTGTGACACCAGTGGGTGCAGTTAATCCAATAGGCAGGGGAAACACAACACTGGTTTCTAGTGATAAGGACGGTAGTGCTTTCTCACTAGACTTGACCTGAAGAAAGTGCTCCTTCTCCCACAGTCCATCTCTCAGTGAACAATTTTGCCATCAGGCAGCAGCTCAGGCCAGAAAACTGCAGCCAGTAGCCCCAAGTCATGCCCCCACTGCCACCAAGTCCTGCTGTTTGTGAATGTTACTCACACGTGAGACGTCCTCACACGTGAGACGTCCTCGCCACTCTCTCTCCTCCTGCTGCAGTTCAGGTCCTCATCAGTTCTCATTCCGATTCTTCCTGGAGCCTCCTTTCTCCCTCCCTATGTCTAACCATTGTACACAATGGTCTTTCAAAACTGCAGGCTTCTCATGCCACTCCCCTGAAGAAAATTTTTCAGTGGCTTCCCAGTGCCCTCAGGGCAAAATCCCAGCTGGGGTGTGACATGCCAGGGGCGATGACTAAGGCCTTCCAGCCACCCCAGACCTACTGGGCTACCTGGAGGAAGTTGGCCTGCAGCTGGGGAGAGTGAGGCTGACACCTGTTGGTGAGCACAGCTGAGGAAAGGAGAGAGAGAGAAATTGAGGACATTTTTTGCACTAGGATCCAAAATGCCTGAGGCCTGCAGCATCCCTAGATGGCCTGGTTATAAGAGACAATGAATTCCCTTTTTATTTTGGAATTCACCTAATTTGAATTGGGCGTCAGTTACTTACGTTGAAAGAGTCCTAATTCAGGCCCCATCAGTTGCTTCAACCTGTGTTCCTGTCTCTTCTGTTGATGGCAGACTCTGTGCTCCACACTCTGCTCCTCCCACGCGGCTTCCTTTCCTGACCTTGCCTTCTCAGCTTGGAATGTTCTCTGTGCCCCACTGCCTCCAATCCCATTCATACAAGTGCAAATTCCACCTTTCCTTCAAGGCCCACGAAGAGTTCCCTCAGATATGATCAAATGGTTAGCCGTGGTTTCCTTCCCTGCACACTGCAGCTTTAGCCTAAAACATTCAGACATAGCAAGTGCTTCATGGTGCACAGAGAGCTGTGGTCTCTCAGGAATGAACACACTGTGCTCAGACTGCACTGCCAACAGTGCCCCAAGACAAGACAGGATCCACGCCATTTATCATAGAAATTGATTTTTCTCCAACATGTATTACTAAGGCAGATACATCTTACTTTGAACTTGGAATGTGCTGCAGCACAAAAATCACAATAAGTATTCAGCAGCGAGGTCAGTCGAAGGTACTGATGCCCAGAAACATAAATTGTTTCATTCTGATCTCAGTGAGACTCAAGAGTGGCTCTGCAGTTTTTGCACAGAAGTCCTTCCAACATTTGAGCCTTTTCTTGCATGTTATTTGGCGTCTAAGAGGAGGCTTAAGAGCCATAGTTCACAAAAATTTTACTAGCCTGTATTTTTTTTTTTTTTTTTTTTGAGACAGAGTCTTGCTCTGTCACCCCGGCTGGAGTACAATGGTGTGATCTCGGCTCACTGCAGCCTCCACCTCCCAGGTTCAAGTGATTTTCCTGCCTCAGCCTCCTGAGGAGCTGGGATTACAGGCATGTGCCACCATGCCTGGCTAATTTTTTTGTACTTATATTAGAGACAGGTTTTTGCCATGTTGGCCAGGCTGGTCTCAAACTTCTGGCCTCAAGTGATCTGCCAGTCTCAGCCTCCCAAAGTGCTGGGATTACAGGCATGAGCCACTGTGCCCGGCCAAGCCTGTACTTCTTTTGAGCTTATGGATTGAACTCAATTTTGAGATAATCCAACCCAACCCAATATTGTCCCTTGTAGAATTCAAGGATTAAAGTGGGAGCACATTGCTAAGGTTATTCCAGCTTGGATTCTGTGAACCAAGAAGATGCTTCAGGGTACGTAGAAGTTTGCAGAACTTAGTAAGTCTAATTATTGTCAATAAGACCAACATAAAAACCACTGTCACGCACTGAGTCTGTTTCCTCTTTTGTCAAGGAAGGAATAATATTGTCTACCTTGCAGGGTTTTTGTAAGAAATTAGAAATAATACTTGTAAAGCATAGTATCTGGTAGAAAAAAGATAGTATATGATTGCTGCTATTATTATTAATATTACCAGTTACTGTTTATTTTAAGAACCTTCAGAGAGTTATAAACCAAATACTAAGGGGGTGCCATGGAAGAAGGAGAGAAAGGCTTCATGAAGGATTTGTGGATTTGGAAGAAAGGAAGGATGGATAAAGTTGGGCTTCTAGGGCTGGGTGCGGTGGCTAATCCCAGCACTTTGGGAGGCTGAGGTGGGCAGATCACGAGGTCAAGAGATTGACACCATCCTGGCCAACAAGGTGAAACCCCGTCTATACTAAAAATACAAAAATTAGCTGGGCGTGGTGGTGCGTGCCTATAGTCCCAGCTACTCAGGAGGCTGAGGGAGGAGAATCATTTGAACCTGGGAGGTGGAGGTTGCAGTGAGCCGAGATCTTGCCATTGCACTCCAGCTTAGCGACAGAGCGAGACTCCATTTCAAAAAGAAACAAAAAAAGTTGGAATTCTGTAGGTGAAGGTGAGAATAGGCCTTTTGGTCACAGGACTGGCTCTCGTCTGGAGAACATTCTCCCTGCTCCCAATTCTTATCTACAGCATGAATATCTTTCCCATTCACAAAGTTATATTCTAACTTCGCCAACACGCAGGCCCCTTCACCCTCCTCTGTTCATGTGATGGTTATATATTATGTCTGCATACAACAAAAACCCCGGCAAACAATGTTAGCATTTTTATCTTCAATTGTCGTGCATGTTTTGAAGAACCCAAGAGGAGACTAATAGTCTTTCATATTTGCCAGATATTTGCCATTTCTGTTTCTCTTCCTTTGCTCCTGACAATCCAGATTTCCTTCTGGTATCATTTCCCTCTGGTCTGAAGAACTTCCTTGAGTCATTTTTTAAGAGCGAATCTGTTAGCAATGAATTCTCCTAGTTTTCCTCCATCTAAGAATGTCTTTCTTTACCTTTGGTCCTGAGGGATATTATCCAGGATATAGAATTCTAATAGTTCTTTTCTTTCAGCACTTAACAAATGTCCCTCTTCTTCCTTCTGGCCTCCAGATTTCTGAGGAGAAATCTGCATTTATTCAAATTGTTCCCTATAAGTAGTGTATCATTTTTCTCTCAGAGCTTTCAAGATGTTTTCTTTGTCTTTAGTTTTCAATAGTTTGATTATGATCTGTCTGGGTGAGATTTCTCTGGTTTTTTCCTGATAGGGTTGCTGAACTTTTTGTATCAGTAGGTTTCTGTCTTTCACCAAATTCAGGACATTTTCAGCAATTATTTCTTCAAATATTTGTTTTACACCACACTCTTCCCTCTCCTTATAAAAGTCTGATGACATGAATGTTAGACCTTTTGATATTGTTCCACAGGTCTGTGAATCAACCCAGGGACTAATTATTTTTGACCTTTTTTCTCTTTTTTGCTCAAATTGTATAATTTCTATTGATGTAGCTTTACATTCACTGACTCTCCTCTATCATCTCCACTCTGCTTTTAAACCCGTTTAGTGAAGGGGCTTAAATTTAAAATTTCAGTTACTGTACTTTTTGTTTGAAATTTTCCATTGGCTCTTCTTTCTATCTTCTGTTCCTTTGCTGACACTTCCTGTCTTTCTGTTCATTTCAAGAATGTTCACCCTTACTTGGTGGAGGACTTTGATAATAGCTGCTTTATAGTCTCTATCAGATAATTCCAACCTCTGTGTTATCTCTGTGTTAGCATCTGTTGCTTGTCATTTTTAATGGAAATTGAGATATTCCTGGTTCTTCATATTCCAAGTATTTTTGAATTTAATATTGAACTTTCGTCTTTTTTGAGCAGAGTCTTGCTCTGTTGTCCAGGCTAGAGTGTAGTGGCGTGATCATAGTTCACTGCAGACTCAAACTCCTGGGCTCAAGCTGCCCTCCTGCCTCAGCCTGCCAAGTAGCTAAGACCAGAGGTGTGAGCTACTACACCTGGCTAATTACAATTTCTTTTTTTTGTTGAGACAGAGTCTCCCTGTCTCCCTGTGATGCCCAGGCTGGTCTCAAACTTTAGGTCCCAAGCAATCCTCCTACCTTGGCCTCTCAAAGTGTTGAGAATTAGAGGCATGAGCCACTGTGCCTGGCCTAATATTGAACATTTTGACTATTGTGAAAAGTTAAGTATTGTTAAAACTCTGAGGCGTATACGGATATATTTTCTTCGGGATTTGCATATCCCTGCACTGATGCCAAATTAGGTATCATCAACTAAGATGTATATTAAAAGTCAATTGAAATAGTTCACCAAGTAAGGGTGAACATCCTTGAAATGAATGGAAAGATAGGAAATGTCAGCAAAGGAACAGAAGATAGAAGAGCCAATGGAAAATTTCAAACAAAAAATGCAGTAACTGTAATTTTAAATTTAAGCCCCTTCATTAAAGAGGCTTAAAAGCAGAGTGGAGATGACAGGGGAGAGTCAGTGAATGTAAAGCTAGATCAATAGAAATTATACAATTTGAGCAACAAAGAGAAAAAGGATCAAGAAGAAAGTTCTTCACCAGTCTTTTGTGGATTGTGGTTTTGGTGGCAGGTGCTTTTCCAAAACTTTGCAGTGCTATTCAGATCTGTCCTGCGTGTGTGCCACCTGGTGTCCTGTCTGACACCTGGGTGGTGACTTACCCCTTTGGTTCAGCTCTCAAAGTCATTTCTTGGCTAGTTAGGAGCAGATCCATTGCATGCACGGCTTGACAATGAGCCCAAGAGTTCATCAGCAATTTTATGGGATTGATTTTCCACACTTCTTTCTCTGTGTGATTTCTTCAGTACTTTCCAGTTTCCTGGGGATCTCCTTTTTTGTATTCCCCCAAGAAAGCTGGGTTTTATTGACCCTGCTCTGTTGTTCACTCCCACAACTGCGTCCGCATTCAGGGCCAAGTGCTTGGAGGACAGAGAGAAAAGGCCAATGGGGATTTGCCCCACCTTTTGGTACTATTGCTCCTCTGATTAGAGAAGAACATTCCCCTCCCTAACAGTTTTAGGTGTCTGGGGCCCCCTTTGCCACCATGGTCTACCAGGACACCTGTTTACAGTTCCTGAAACTTGGAACACTGCACTGATGCCCACTTCTCCTCTCTCCACCCCTTCACTCTTTCCACCCCACTAAGGCCAGGCAAGGTTATTCTGGAGTTTAAACAAAATGGTAAGCTCTCCACTGGTTTGGTGGTGCTTCGAGAGCTGATCCTCCTCCCCAGTCCTTTTCTGTTTTTCAGAGTTCCTAAGTTGCATTCTGTTCAAGTTTTATAACTATATTCAGTGGGGGAGAGCCAGAGGGGTCTTGCTTATGTCATTTTCCCTAGAACTGGAACCCCACTACCCAGAAATCAACACTGCCAATATTTTGGAGTCTTTTTGTCCAGTGTATATTCTGGACACACACACTCACTGTTGAAATCACACCCTATGTACAGTTTAGTCATTTACTTCTTTCAATATCATTGTGAGAAGTTTCCAAAATATTATTAAAATATGAATAAAATATTTTAAATCTGATTTCAATGTGTAATATATTTGTCATTGAAATGTTAGAAAAGGAGAAAATCATAAACAATAAAACAAATATGTAGTCCACCACTCGGAAATAACTCTTAACATTTTGATGTATACCCTTCCAGGCTTCTAAACACTTTACATGTTTAAATAACTGTGCATACTACTCTGAAAGTTGCTGTTTTTTTTGAGCTTGATAAATTTATTAGGTTGGTGCAAAAGTAATTGCAGTTTTTGCACCAACCTAATATTTTCCATACTTTTGAATAATCTACAAGGCTGCACTATATTCTATTATATACATGTATTAGAATACATTTGACTCTTGAACAACACAGGTTCGAAATACATGGATCCACTTTTATGTGGATTTTCTTCTGCCTCTGCCACCCCTGGGACCAACCTCATCATTTCTTCCTGCTCAGCTTACTCAATGTGAAGACAATGAGGATGAAGACCTTTGTAGTGATCAACTTTCACTTAATGAATAGCAAATATATTTTCTCTTCCTATGACTTTCTTAATCACATTTTCTTTTCTCTAGCCTATCTTGTTGTAAGAATACAGAATATAATACATACGACATGCAAAATATGTGTTAATTTACTATGTTATTGGTGAGGCTTCTGGCCAACAGGAGGCTATTAGTGGTTATGTTTGGGGGGGAGTCAAAATTATACATAGATTTTTGACTGTGCGGAGGGTTGGTGCCCCTTACCCCCATGTTGTTCAAGGGTCAACTGTATATTTAAATAACCAGAAATTGTACATTTAAGTTGCTTATAGTTTTTCCTTTTAGAAGGAAGAATTTAATTTTAGCATTTATAGAAGTGACTCTTTTTGTGCATCCCTACTTTTATTCTTAAGATAAATCCTAACATATAATTGCTGGGACAAAGACATCGTATACTTATCGCCAAATCATCCTTGAAAAAGATTGCACCTATTTAGAATATTAACATATCCCTGCACTTATGCCAATTATTATTCTGGAGTCTTTTGTCCAGTATACATTCTTTTAAAATATATTCTAATCTAAGAGATTAATATAGGCCATTTTAAAATTCCACTTAGTTACTGTTTTGTGTATATAGTAGTCCCCACTTATCTGCAGGAAATATGGTCCAAGATCCCCAGTGGATGCCTGAAATCTTGGACAGTACTGAATTTCCATTTTAGCTAAGCACTTACCACACATGGTGGCTATAACTTTTACAGTTTGAAGTTCGACAGTGAAACTTACACAAATTTCTTTTTCCTTCTTCACAATCTCACTAATAGACTTTTTTTTTTACTGTAGATCTTAGCAATTTCAGCATGCAGTTTTTATTTTTCCTTATTAAGTCAAGAAACTTCACCCCTTTACTTAAAGGAAACACTTTATGCCTCTCTTTAGCATATCCAAACTTCCACCATCACTACAATTGGAGTTTGGGCCATTACGAGGTAAAATAAGGGTTTCTTGAACACAAGCACTGTGATACGTCAGCAGTCGATCTGATAACCTAGCCAGCTACTAAAAGACTCATGGATGGGTAGTGTAGACAGTGTGGAGATGCTGAACTAAGGGATGATTCATGTCCCAGGCAGGACAAAGTGGGACACTGAGAGATTCCATCGTGCTGTTCAGAATGATATGCAACTTAAAAGTTACTAGTTGTGTATTTCTGGAATTTTCCGTGTAATATTTTTTGGACTGAGGTTGACCATGGGTAACCAAAACTGCAGAAAGTGAAACTCCTGGTAAGGGGGGACTACTATGGAAAATTATTTTTTGATTGAATAATATTTCACAATGTGGATGGAGCATTTTGTTATCATTGGAATTTTTTGTGCCATTTTACATAATTCTGTCATGAATGTATGACTTTATCACTATCAATCAGTCATCAATCATCTATCTGGCATACCTTTTTCCACAATCTAATTTTTTAAATACTTAATGAGACAGTTTATATAAAGCAAAAAAACCCAGGCAGAACTAAACTATGCCATTGGTAATCAGAATAGTAGTTACTCTGAGGGGTTAATGACTAGAAGGAAGAGAAGGAGGGGTTAATGACTAGAAGTGAGCAGGCAGCTTGCTTGCAGGGGCTGGTAGCATTCTATTATTTATTTATTTATTCCTTTTTTACAATTATACTTTAAGTTCTGGGATACATGCACAGAACGTGCAGGTTTGTTACATAGGTATACACGTGCCATGACAGTTTGCTGCACACATCAACCCATCATCTACATTAGGTATAAACTCCTAATGCTATGCCTCCCCTAGCCATACACCTCCTGACAGGCCCTGGTGTGTGATGTTCTCTTCCCTGTGTCCATGTGTTCTCATTGTTCAACTCCCACTTATAAGTGAGAACATGCGGTGTTTGGTTTTCTGTTCTTGTGTTAGTTTGCTGAGAAGAATGGTTTCCAGCTTCATCCATGTCCCTGCAAATGACATGAACTCATCTTTTTTTTATGGCTGCATAGTATTCCATGGTGTATATGTGCCACATTTTCTTTATCCAGTCTATCATTGATGGGGATTTGGGTTGGTTCCAAGTCTTTGCTATTGTGAAGAGTGCTGCAATAAACATATATGTGCATGTGTCTTTATAGTAGCATGATTTATAATCCTTTGGGTATATACCCAGTAATGGGATTGCTGGGTCAAATGATATTTCTAGTTCTAGATCCTTGAGGGATTGCCACGCTGTCTTCCACAATGGTTGAACTAAGTCACAGTCCCACCAACAGTGTAAAAGCATTCCTATTTCTCCACATCCTCTCCAGCATCTGCTGTTTCCTGACTTTTTAATGATTGCCATTCTTCCACAATGGTTGAACTAATTCACAGTCCCGCCAACAGTGTAAAAGCATTCCTATTTCTCCACATCCTCTCCAGCATCTGTTGTTTCCTGACTTTTTAATGATTGCCATTCTAACTGGTGTGAGATGGTATCTCACTGTGGTTTTGATTTGCGTTTCTCTGACCAGTGATGACCAGTGATGATGAGCATCTTTTCATGTGTCTGTTGGCTGCATAGATGTCTTCTTTTGAGAAGTGTCTGTTCATATCCTTTGCCCACTTTTTGATGGGGTTGTTTGTTTTTTTCTTGTAGATTTGTTTAAGTTCCTTGTAGATTCTGGATATTAGCCCTTTGTGAGATGGATAGATTGCAAATATTTTCTCCCATTCTGTAGGTTGCCTGTTCACTCAGATGATAGTTTCTTTTGCTGTGTAGAAGCTCTTTAGTTTAATTAGATCCCATTTGTCTATTTTGGCTTTTGTTGCCATGATGTTTTAGTCATGAAGTCTTTTCCCATGCCTATGTCCTGAATGGTATTGTCTAGGTTTTCTTCTAGGGTTTTTATGGTTTTAGGTCTTATGTTTAAGTCTTTAATCCATCTTGAGTTAATTTTTGTATAAGGTATAAGGAAGGGGTCAAGTTTCAGTTTTCTGCATATGGCTAGCCAGTTTTCCCAACACCATTTATTAAACAGGGAATCCATTCCCCATTGCTTGTTTTTGTCCAGTTTGTCAAAGATCAGGTAGTTGTAGGTGTGTGGTGTTATTTCTGAGGCCTCTGTTCTGTTCCATTGGTCTATATATCTGTTTTGGTACCAGTACCAGGCTGTTTTGGTTACTGTAGCCTTGTAGTACAGTTTGAAGTCAGGTAGCATGATGCCTCCAGCTTTGTTCTTTTTGCTTAGGATTGTCTTGGCTATACAGGCTCTTTTTTGGTTCCATATGAAATTTAAGCAGTTTTTCTAATTCTGTGAAGAAAGTCAGTGGTTGCTTGATGGGGATAGCATTGAATCTATAAATTACCTTGGGCAGTATGGACATTTTCTGGATATTGATTCTTCCTATCCATGAGCATGGAATGTTTTTCCATTTGTTTGTGTCCTCTCTTATTTCCTTGAGCAGTGGTTTGTAGTTCTCCTTGAAGAGGTCTTTCACATCCCTTGTGAGTTGTATTCCTAGGTATTTTATTCTCTTTGTAGCAATTGTGAATGGGAGTTCACTCATGATTTGGCTCTCTATTATTGGTGTATAGGAATTCTTGTCATTTTTGCACATTGATTTTGTATTCTGAGACTTTGCTCAAGTTGCTTATCAGCTTAAGGAGATTTTGGGCCGAAACAATGGGGTTTTCTAAATATACAATCATGTCATCTGTAAACAGAGACAATTTGACTTCCTCTCTTCCTATTTGAATACGCTTTATTTCTTTCTCTTGCCTGATTGCCCTGGCCAGAACTTCCAACACTATGTTGAATAGGAGTGGTGAGAGAGGGCATCCTTGTCTTATGCCAGTTTTCAAAGGGAATGCTTCCGGTTTTTGCCTATTCAGTATGATATTGGCTGTGGGTTTGTCATAAATAGCTCTTATTATTTTGAGATATGTTCCATCAATACCTAGTTTATTGAGAGTTTTTACCATGAAGGGGTGTTGAATTTTATTGAAGGCCTTTTCTGCATCTATCAAGATAATCATGTGGTTGTTGTCATTGGTTCTTTTATATGATGCTTATATGATGTATTATGTTTATTGTTTTGCATATGTTGAGCCAGCCTTGCATCCCAGGGATGAAGCTGACTTGATCGTGGTGGATGATAAGCTTTTTGAAGTGCTGCTGGATTCAGTTTGCCACTATTGAGGATTTTCCCATCGATGTTTATCAGGGATATTGGCCTGAAATTTTCTTTTTTTTGTTGTGTCTCTGCCAGGTTTTGGTATCAGGATGATGTTGGCCTCATAAAATGAGTTAGGGAGGAGTCCCTCTTTTCTATTGTTTGGAATGGTTTCAGAAGGAATGGTAACAGCTTCTCTTTGTACCTCTGGTAGAATTTGGCTGTGAATCTGTCTGGTCCTGGGCTTTTTTTGGTTGATAGGCTATTAATTACTGCCTCAATTTCAGAACTTGTTATTGGTCTATTCAGGAATTTGACTTCTTCCTGGTTTAGTCTTGGGAGGGTGTATGTCACTAGGAATTTATCTATTTCTTCTAGATTTTCTAGTTTATTTGTGTAGAGGTATTTATAGTATTCTCTGATGGTAGTTTGTATTTCTGTGGGATCAGTGGTGATATCCCCTTTATCATTTTTTGTTGTGTCTATTTGATTCTTCTCTAATTTTTTCTTAATAGTCTGGCTAGTGGTCTATCTATTTTGTTAATCTTTTCAAAAAACCATCCCCTGGATTCATTGATTTTTTGAAGTGTTTTTCATGTCTGTGTCTCCTTCAGTTCTGCTCTGAGCTTAGTTATTTCTTGTCTTCTGCTAGCATTTGAATTTGTTTGCTCTTGCTTCTCTAGTTCTTTTAATTGTGATGTTAGGGTGTTGATTTTAGATCTTTCCCACTTTCTCCTGTGGTCATTTAGTGCTATAAGTTTCCCTCTAAACACTGCTTTAGTTGTGTACCAGAGATTCTGGTACATTGTGTCTTTGTTCTCATTGGTTTCAAATAACTTATTTATTTCTGCCTTCATTTCGTTATGTACCCAGTAGTCATTCAGGAGCAGTTTGTTCAATTTCCATGTAGTTGTGCGGTTTTGAGTGAGTTTCTTAATCCTGAGTTTTAATTTGATTGCACTGTGGTCTGAGAGACTGCTTGTTATGATTTCCATTCTTCTGCATTTGCTGAGGAGTGTTTTACTTCCAATTATGTGGTCAATTTTAGAATAAGTGCGATGTGGTGCTGAGAAGAATGTATATTCTGTTGATTTGGGGTGAAGAGTTCTATAGCTCTCTATTAGGTCCTCTTGTTCCAGAGCTGACTTCAAGTCCTGAATATCCTTGTTAATTTTCTCTCTCGTTGATCTGTCTAATATTGACAATGGGGTGTTAAAGTCTCCCACTATTATTGTGTGGGAGTCTAAGTCTCTTTGTAGGTCTCTAAGAACTTGCTTTATGAATCTGGGTGCTCCTGTATTGGGTGCATATATATTTAGGATAGTTAGCTCTTCTTGTTGCATTGATCCCTTTACCATTATGTGATGGTGTTCTTTGTCTCTTTTGATCTTTGTTGGTTTAAAGTCTGTTTTATCAGAGACAAGGATTGCAACCCCTGCTTTTTTTTGCTTTCCATTTTCTTGGTAAATATTCCTCCATCCCTTTATTTTGAGCCTATGTGTGTCTTTGCACTTGAGATGGGTCTCCTGAATACAGCACACTGATGGGTCTTGACTCTTTATCCAATTTGCCAGTCTGTGTCTTTTAATTGGGGCATTTAGCCTGTTTACATTTAAGGTTAATATTGTTATGTGTGAATTTGATCCTGTCATCATGATGCTAGTTGGTTATTTTGCCCGTTAGTTGATGCAGTTTCTTATAGTGTTGATGGTCTTTACAATTTGGTATGTTTTTGCAGTGGCTGGTACTGGTTTTTCTTTTCCATATTTAGTGCTTCCTTCAGGAACTCTTGTAAGACAGGCCTGGTGGTGACAAAATCTCTCAGCATTTGTTTGTCTGTAAATAATTTTATTTCTCCTTTGCTTATGAAGCTCAGTTTGGCTGGATATGAAATTCTGGGTTGAAAATTCTTTTCTTTAAAAATGTTCAGTATTGGCCTCCATGCTTTTCTGGCTTTTAGGGTTTCTGCTAAGAGATCTGCTCTTAGTCTGATGGGCTTCACTTTGTGGGTAACCCGACCTTTCTCTCTGGCTGCTCTTAACATTTTTTTCTTCATTTCAACCTTGGTGAATCTGATGATTATGTGTCTTGGTCTTCTTGAGGAGTGTCTTTGTGGTGTTCTCTGTATTTCCTGAATTTGAATGTTGGCTTGTCTTGCTAGATTGGGGAAGTTCTCCCCTGGACAATATCCTGAAGAGTATTTTCCAACTTGGTTCCATTCTCCCCATCATTTTCAGATACACCAATCAAATGTAGGTTTGGTCTTTTCACATAGTCCCATATTTCTTGGAGGTTTTGTTCTTTCCTTTTTATTATTGTTTCTCTAATCATGACTTCATGCATTATTTCATTAAGTTGATCTTCAATCTCTGATATCCTTTCTTCCATTTGATTGATTTGGCTATTGATACTTGTGCATGCTTCACGAAGTTCTCGTGCTGTGTTTTTCAGCTCCATCAGGTCATTTATGTTCTTCTCTAAACTAGTTATTCTAGTTAGCAATTCATCTCATCTTTTTTCAAGGTTCTTAGCTTCCTTGCATTGGGTTAGAACATGCTCCTTTAGCTCGGAGGAGTTTGTTATTATCCACCTTCTGAAGCCTACTTCTGTCAACTTGTCAAACTCATTCTCCGTCCAGTTTTGTTCCCTTGCTGGCGAGGACTTGTGGTCCTTTGGAGGGGAAGAGGCATACTGATTTTGGAATTTCCAGCCTTTTTGCACTGGTTTTTCTTCATCTTCGTGGATTTATTGACCTTTGGTCTGATGTTGGTGACCTTGGGATGGGGTTTTTGTGTGGACATCCTTTTGGTTAATGTTGATACTATTCCTTTTTGTTTGTTAGTTTTCCTTCTAACATTCAGGCCCCTTCAGGCCCCTCTGCTGTAGGTCTGCTCGAGTTTGCTGGAGGTCCACTCCAGACCCTGTTTGCCTGAGTATCACCAGCGGAGGCTGCAGAACAGAAAAGATTGCTGCCTTTTCTTTCTTCTGGAAGCTTCATCCCAGAGGGGCACTCACCAGATGCCAGCTGGAGCTCTCCTGTATGAGATGTCTGTCGATCTCTGCTGGGAGGTGTCTCCCCATGAGGAGGCACATGGGTCAGGTACCTACTTGAGGAGGCAGTCTGTCCCTTAGCATAGCTCGAATGCTGTACTGGGAGATCTGCTGCTGTCTTCAGAGCCAGCAGGCAGGAACGTTTAAGTCTGCTAAAGCTGCGCCCACAGTCCCTGACTGGGGCTGCTGTGTTTCTTTCAGAAATGCCCTGCCCAGAGAGGAAGAATCTAGAGATGCAGTCTGGCTACAGCAGCTTTGCCGAGCTGCAGTGGGCTCCGCCCAGTCTGAACTTCTCAGTGGCTTTGCTTACACTGTGAGGGGAAAACCGCCTACTGAAGCCTCAGTAATGCCCTTCCCCCCACCAAGCTCAAGTGTCCCAGGTTGACTTCAGACTGCTGTGCTGGCAGTGAGAATTTCAAGCCAGTAGATCATAGCTTGCTGGGCTGCATGGGGGTGGGATCCTCTGAGCAAGATCACTTGGCTCCCTGGCTTCAGCACCCCCTTTCCAGGGGAGAGAACGGCTCTGTCTCACTGGTGTTCCAGGTGCTACTGGGGTATGAAAAAAACTCTGGCAGCTAGCTGGGTGTCTGCCCAAATGGCCACCCAGTTTTGTGCTTGAAACCCAGGGCCCTGGTGGTATAGGCACCCAAGGGAATCTCCTGGTCAGTGGGTTGTGAAGACCATGGGAAAAGCATAGTATCTGGGCCAGAATGCACAGTCCAAGCATAGTATCTGGGCTGGAATGCACAGTCCCTCATGGCACAGTCCCTCAGGGCTTCCCTTGGCTAGGGGAGGGAGTTCCCTGACCCCTTGTGCTTCCTGGGTGAGGCGATGCCCCACCCTGCTTTGGCTCGCTGTCCGTGGGCTGCACCCACTGTCTAACCCGTCCCAATGAGATGAACTGGGTACCTCAATTGGAAATGCAGAAATCACCTCCCTGCTGCACTGATCTTGCTGGGAGCTGTGGACTGAAGCTATTCCTATTTGGCCATTTTGCCAGCCAACCCCCACAATCTAATTATTTATTTATTATAAATGTAAAGAATGAATTTACTGGATCAAAGATTATTAACTTTTTTCTTTTTGCAGACATATATATGTGTATATATATGTATATATAAATGTATGATTTTTTCCTCATTATTAAAGCAGTGCTTGTTCATTACAGAACATTTAGAAAATAAAGATACATATAAAGGAGAAGAATATCCCCCTGTGGCAGAGAAGGCTCACTTTACTGTTCACCAAACGTCTTGTTCTTTTTTCCATAATTAGTCTGGGGATAGATTTTGCAGTCCCTACCTCTCACCCACTGCATCTACATGTGACCAATGATGTGTAAACAGGTCACTTTCAAGCCAAGACTTTGAAGTTACTAGTGTACTTTCCTCAAGATGTTTTTCTGTCTGCTGGAAGGAAGCAGTTGATAATTAGGCTCTAGGGGATGTGAGGAACCAGGAGATGGAAGGAGTCTGGATCCCTTAATCACTGCATGGACGAGTGCCCCCTGCTGACTAGGACCGCTGGGTTTCACTGTCACATAAAACTGTTGGGTTGTCACTGGTATCTGGTGATTAATCTTTTAGAAAGAATCATTGTTAACATTTTGGCGTATTTTTTCTCAGTTTTTTCCTGTGCACTTTTTTCTCTTTAGATCGTGGAATAAAATTCTTTAAGGCTATTAATGTGTATTACCAAAATGCTTTTCAAAAATGCTGCTTTAATTTATACTCAAGCAATACTATATGCGAGAATGGCTTGGTCAGCATTGCTTGTTTATAGTTGCTGCATTCTTACAAATATTCTTATAACAGCCTACTTACAAAACCCCTCTAAAATATGTGACAATCTTCTAGATACCTTATTTCTCTTATCAAACTGTAAAGTTTTTGAGATTCGATGTTTGAATGTCCTTCACTATCATAATAGCTTAATCCATATTTGTTAAATGACTTTTAAGCCCAATGTTCAGAATGTTTACCGAAATCTATCTGAACATTGACATAATATAGTCCAGCAAACATTGTGGGCTAATTAGTGTATTTTCAGAACCAATATTTTTTTTTGTCATCCTTTCGAGTTGACATTTAAAGGCTTGCCATGGGTTACATCATTTTAGAGTCAGAGCATTACGCAGTGCTCTGAGCTCATCTGGCTTCCCAGCCTCCAGGGTCACCTCTGCTCTATCCTGTTCCCATTCATTGTTCACTTAATTATTCAACAAATATTTTTTCAGCACCTGATATGTGTCATCACCTAGGTTATGGCTGTGAACAAAACAAAGATTCCTTTCTCCATGGAGCTTACATTTTAGAGGGGGAGATGGATATTAAATAATAAACACAATAAGCAAATTTAGATATTGTATTAGTCTGTTCTTGCTATAAAAGAATACCTAAGTTTGGGATAATTTATAAAAAACAGTGGTTTATTTTGGCTTACGGTTCTGCAGGCTCTACCGAAAGCATGGTGCTGGCATCTGCTCTTGATGAGGGCCTCAGGAAGCTTCCAATCATGGTGGAAGGTGAAGGGGAAGCAGGCACCACATGGCGAGAGTGGGAGCAAGAGTTGGGGGAGGTGTCACACTCTTTTAAACAACCAGATGTTGCATGAACTCAGAGGGAGAACTCAGCACCAAGCCATTCATGAAGGATCCGTCCCCATGACCCAAACCCCTCCCACCAAGCCGCACTCCAACACTGGCGATTACTTTTCAGCTTGAGATTTGGAGGGGACAAACACCCAAACTATATCAGACATGTTAGAAGATATGGAAGAAAAGAGGAAAAGCAGGGTAAGAGGGAGGTTGCAGTTTAAAATACAATTGTGTTAGGGTAAACCTCATCAAGACAGTGACATTTAGGCAAAGACTTGAAGGAGGTAAGGGATATCAAAGAGACAAATCATTCCAAACAAAGCAAACGGTGTGTGAAAAGCCTGAGGCAGGACTGGGTTGGTGTGTTCAGGGAGTGGCAGAGAGGAGGCACTGTGTCTGCCTCAGGGTGAGGGAGGGAGGTCAGGCCCAGGGTGTGAGGCAGTGGAGCACGGGAAGGGGCATTCTAGGGCTTTGGCTCTTGCTCTGAGTGAAATGGGAAGGAGAGGAGTGACATGACCTGATTTAAGTGACATGCTGAGTGCTGTGTTGAGATTAGGCTACAGACAGGCAAGAAGAAAAGCAGAGGCCCAAATGGAAGCCTATTTCAAAATCCAGAAGAGACAACCATGGCTTGGATCAGAATGGTAACAGTGTCTACAGGGAAAGAAGCAGGAGTTTGGATGTATTTGGAATATAGAGTCCATAGGATTTCCCAATAGACTAGATATGGGGGTGGGGGTGGTAAAGGTCTCTACAGTATGGGTAGAGAGACCTTTCTGAAATGTAAGTCTAAATTGTAAATGGCTGAATACCTTGCAATAGCTCCCTTTCATTCACCATGAATAAATGTCAAACAAAACAAATAATTGACAATGTATAATGTAGCCCCATAATGTAGCCCACGACTGGTCTTCTCTCTCACTTTCTTGCATTTTAAACTGATAGGAACATATACTACACTTGGTCTTAGCTAAAAGGCTGAGAAGTGGTGCCTTCTTGCATTTTCTACACCAGCCACAACCAACCACTGACTTCTCACTTTCCATCTCCACACCTTCTACAACGCAGCTCAGGCATTTTTGTTTCCCCCCTGGAAAGTCTTTCCCAACTTTTGGTGTATTAGTTTCCTGTGGCCACTATTACAAATGACCACAAACTTGATGGCTTAAAACACAGGAATGAATTTGGTCACAGGACTGAAGGCCAGAGTCCAAAGTCAGAATGTAGTTCAGGCTGCACACCCTCAGAAGGTTCTGGAGGAGAATCCCTTTCTTGACTGTTTCAGCTTCTGGTGGCTGCCGGCATTCCTTGGTTTGTGGCTGCATCACTCTGATCTCTGCCTCTGTCTTCTCATGGCCGTTTCTACTGTGTGTCTGTATCAAATCTCCCTCTTTCTCTCTCATATAAGGACACTTATGATTGGATTTAGGGCCCATCAGGATAATCTCCTCATGCCAATATCCTTAGCTTAATCACATCTGCAAAGACCCCTTTTCCTTATAAGGTAACATTTACAGGTTCCAGGGATTAGGACCTGATCTGTGGGTGGCCTGAGTCAGCTTGCTATACTTGTTAGAGGCCTTATATCCCCAGCCATAGCACTTGCACACTCAGTTGTAATGACCTATTTCTGAGCATGTGTACACACACAGATATTCCTACTTCTCAAGGTTTCTTAAGGCCAAGGATTACATCTTATGAATAATCACTGCTTTCCCCACCCCAGCAGTTTCTAGGTCACAGCTGATGGTCAGGACACATTGATTGGGTGAATGAATGAAGATTCATGAAGCAGAGTTTGTAACTGCTATGTACTGTTGGGACTTCATAATTTTATGAAAATGAGATCAGGATTGGATTCCTCAGATATCTGCACAGTGGCTTTTCTTTGTTTCTTTCCTTTTCTTTTCATGTCCAGCTGTTGCATTAGAACACCCTTATTAAATGAACCTGTTCCATCTAGGTTTTGGGCCCAGTTATAGTCCTTGATAAACATAGCAATAGTTGGATAAAAGAAGAATACATATTTTCCTTTCACTGGTATATAAAACCTAGAATGCAGAACATTTGTGTTGGCTCTGGGTGCTAAGAAAGTTGATCATGCTGCCTATTGGAAACATAAGATCTCTAAGGGTTATAGGTGGGGAGCAGGGTATCCTGATAATAGTCCTTCCTTTGTTACATGGGTGGTCATGATACTGTGTCAGGAGGTGGGTGGGACTGCCAGGGAGGTACTTGGGAAGTGACTATGACTTTGGCTTATTTGTATACTCTGCCTATTTGGGTTAGGATTTAGCTGGGGCACTGTTTGGCTTAACATGGTGGGACACCATGAGGGACACATAGGTCAATATAATCTCCCAAGATTCTACTTACCAAATGGTTTCTGATTTTATTGCCATTGCCCTAGGGCTTAGTCATACGTGGCTACAAGAAGAGTAGGTCTGGTGGCTGAAAAGCAAATCAGTGTTGTGCTTTTGCAGTGGATTCTGTCTGTCCAGAAAAGGCACACTATTTAATTTCTCATCTTGGAAATTTTCTTCCTATGTTCCCATCATTTTCTTCCTATGTTCCTTTGATTATTGTGAGCCATGTTTGCAGATAGCAGTGACCTACTTTGCTACATTTTTGTAAATCACATTTATTATCAACCTTGATAGGGGGCCAGACGTACTCAAACATTACACTGGTTAAAATCACATGTGCTTTCAGACGCCTATGGGGCAAACTGTGGCACATTTAAAAATTCTTCAGCAAAGTCTGGATAAATGAAATGATAAATCCCCCCTGCTGTTATAGAAATGCAATGATTTATATTAATAGTCTGCCTTAATGCAGAGTCCTCTTGAATGAGTTCTATCTTTTTATTTATATCCTCCTTCCTTGTACTCTAGCAGCTTGTCCCAAATATCCATTAGGTGACCTCAAGGCTAGGGAACATGGATCTCTTTTTTATCGATGAAAAAATTCAAAATGTGTTGACAATGAGGGATTAGATGGAGAAAATGGAGTTAAAAAGGAGAGGGAAAATGACAGAGAGCTATAAGAAAGAGCCCTTTCAGCTGGACACCTTCTAGGTCCCTTTAAACTTGCTGTCACGTCTCATGACATTTCTGCAACAACTCTCACTAGAAACTAGCATTGTGGTCTCTTCTTTGCTGTGTGTGGGTAATTTAAAAGGGCCAGGAAGATCATGAAAGCCTAGCCTCATTCCCATTAGCCTAGCCTCATTCCCATTAGAGGACAGGAGGAGAGTAGGAAGGAGCTGGAGTAGAAACAGAGCTGTCTAGATCCAAGAACACTGAGCCTGGTTTTGCCATCAGTGAGGACCCGCCCTTTGCATACATATTCTCTGGGGCCCTCTCCTGTGACTGCCAACTGGCAGTGCTTATTGTCTTCCCTCGAGTGTCTTTAGAGCCTGTCCCCTTTCATCCCAACAGAAGATGGTCTCTGAGTCCTGGCCAGCCCTGCAGGCTCTTATCTGGCTCCCAGCTCGTGCTCAACCGGTCCCCACTCAGGAGAGCTCTGTGATGGGTTAAAATGAGGACTCTCCCTCAGAGGTGTTTGCATTTTAATAAGAGACACTTAAAATCTAATTCTTACTATTATATTACAAACATTATTATTGTAAATATTACTAAGTATAACATATACACAGCTCAGAGCCCAAATTTTAAGTGTACAGCTTGAATTTTTGCAAAGTAAAACCACAATCTACATCAAGATTAGTATGTTAGCAGCACCCTAGATGCCTTCCTTGTGCCATGTCTGGATCGCCTGGCCTGTTGCCAAAGGTGACTACTATTTTGATTCCTATAATCGCAGATTAGTTTTACCAGTGTGTGAACTTTATAGCACTGGAATCACAAATATATACAGTTGACCCTTGAATAGCTCAGGGGTTAGGGACAGTGACCCTCTACACAGTTGAAAATCCATTTATAACTTTTGACTTTCCGAAAACTTTACCAATAGCCTACTATTTGTCCGAAGTCTTACTGATAACACAAGCAGCCAATAAACATATTTTTGTATATATATATTATATACTGTATTCTTACAATAAAGTAATCTAGAGAAAAGAAATTGTGATTAAGAAATCAAAGAAGAGAAAATATAGTTACTATTTTCATTAGGAGGAAGAGTATCATCATAAAGGTCTTCATCCTTGTCATCTTCACATTGAGCAGGTTGAGAAGGAGGAGGAGGAGGGGTTGGCCTTGCTGTCTGATGGGTGGCAGAGGCTGAAGAGAGTCTGAGTCTAAGTGGACCTGTGCAATTCAAGCCTGTGTTGTTCAAGGCTCAACTGTGCTTTTTTGGATCTTTTTTTTTTTTTTTTTCGCTCAAACTGATGTCTGTTAGAGAGTTATCAAGGTTGTTGCTAGCAGCTGTATTTGCTCTTTTTATTGCTGTATAATATTCCATTTTGGGAAAACTTCATAATTTACAGACAGTCCCCGACCTCAGATGGTTTGGCTTAATGGTTTTTCCACTTTATGACAGCATGAAAGCAATGTGCGTTCAGTAGAAACCATACTTTGGGTACCCATACAACTATTCTGTTTTTTGCTTTCAGTACAGTATTCAATAAATTACATAAGTTATTCAATGTTATTGTAAAATAGGTTTTGTGTTAGGTAGGGGCTAGGCTAAGCTACAGTGTTCAGTAAGGGTAAGTGTATTAAATGCATTTTTGACTGCAATATTTTCAACTTACGATGGTTTAATTGGGACATAGCATTGAAAGTCGAGGAACATCCATATTTATCCATTCTATTGTTGATGAACATTTAAATTGATTTGGGCCACAATGACTCACACCTGTCATCCCGGCACTTTGGGAGGATGAGGTGGGCAGATCACTTGAGGCCAGGAGTTCAAGACCAGACTGGCCAACACGGCAAAACCCCGTCTCTACTAAAAATACAAAAATTAGTTGGACGTGGAGGCGGATGCCTGTAATCCCTGCTACTTAGGAGGCTGAGGCAGGAGAATCACTTGAACCTGGGAGGCGGAGGTTGCAGTGAGCCAAGATCATGCCACTGCACTCCAGCCTGGGTGACAGAGTGAGACTCTGTCTCAAAAAAAAAAAATACTCCTGTGAATATTCTTAAACGTGTTCTCTGATGCATGTAGGAGCAGGATTGCTAGGTCATAGAGTGAACATATATTCAATTGGGTAAATATGGACAAGTTCCAGAGTGGTTCTACCAAGTTACATTCCTACCAGCAGTGTATGAGTCCTAATAACTACATACCTCATCGCCAGTATGTGGCATTGTGGTTTTTTTTTTTTTTTTTTTTTTTTTTTTTTTAGTTTTAGCTATTCCAGTGGGAAGGTAGTAGTGTTTCGTTTGGTTTTAACTCACATTTTCATGGCAACTAGTGCTATTGAGCATCTTTTCATAGACTTATTGGCCTTTTGTTTATTCTCTTTTGTGTAGTGCTTGTTTAATTTGGAATAGATTTCAACAGATGGCCTACTTATCTGTATATCCATGTACATCACATATATATGTGTGTATATAGCTATATCTAGATGATATATAGTCAGATATACATAAATTTCTGGTAAAAATGTAATTGAGATAATTAGTATATACTTGTAATTGATTGAAAATTGGCCCTAATTGTCCACCTTTCCCTGTAACCACAACTTTTGCAATATAATTTGAAACTCCTCCCATCAAAAGTCAGTGTTAGTTCCCTCCAATCTTTGCTGATCTTTGACTTGTTTTGGCTAATTAAGATGCATTGGAAGTGACTGTGTGCCAGTTCTAAGGCCAGGCCTCAAGAGGCCTTGTGTACTTCCTGCTGCTGCTGCCATGGTGACAGGCTGAGGCTAGCCTGTTGGAGACTGAGGAGTGCTGGGGCACCCAGCCGATAGCCAGCACATTCTTACTAAAGAAGAAACATTAACATTTGGTAAATGAACATGGTATCATATTTTAATCTGTATTCCTTTGATTACTAGGAAGATAGAACATTTAAAAATCTATTTAGTGTCCTTTGCTTCTTCATGTCCTTTATACATTTTCCTCTTGGAGAATTCATCTATTTGTAGAGCTTTTTAGGTAAAAAGAATATTAACTCTTTATATTGTATACAGAAAAAATGTTCTCTAGCTTTTTATTTCCTTTTACATTTTATTTATCAAATTTTTATATGCAAAATTTTTAATTTTTTTTTTTTCACATCAGTTGGGTAATGTGCCTACATGGTAACAAGCCTTGAAGGAGGCACATTTCACACATGAATGTGAAAATCCAGTTATCATGCTTACCAACCACAAAAGGATCATTTCAACTTTTTATGTTGTTAAATGTATTAACATTTTTCTTTATAAGTCTTTTTTTTTGGTGCAATGATAAGAAAAATAGTTCCCTCTCCAAAGTTATATAGTTATTTACCCATCATCACCTATTAGGAAACACAAGTATTCAAAGGAATAAATCTCTACTTGCACAACATGGAAATTGATGGGCAATTCAAGAAGATAATGTGGGCATGAAGCCAGTATTAATTAGGATGCTTTCATATGCCAGTGACAGAAACTCTGCCTCAAATTAGTTAAAAATAATGACATTCTTTATTTTACATAAGAAATTCAGAAGTGTGACAGCTTCCAAAATTGGTTAAGTCAGCAGCTCAACAGTTTTTTCCACAAACATGTTTGTTTTGTTTTTTTCTTTCTATCACAATGCCATCCTTGTGCTGTTGCCTTTGTCTTTAGGTGGTTCTTTTCACCGTCACACTGTGGCTGCCAGTGGTCAAAGGGCAGCAGGCTTCCTTGTCCTATCCAGGAAAAAGTGAAGTGTTTCTCCCAGTCATGGAATGTATGCTCCTCCCTTAAGTATAACCGGGTCATCTAAGGTCATGGACTCACCCTTAGACCAATAATTAGAGAATACTAATTAAGAATCATCTTAGATCAATCAGGATTCCCTTTGGGAATGAAAATTAGATGACTAAATATCTAACAGAATTGAGGTTTGGACAGGAAGGAGAAAAGGGAGAACAGATGTTGGACAGGTCACTGAGAGTGTTTGCTCCAGGTCCTTCTGTACATCCTTCAAATTGGGTGCCATTTCCCAATTTGTAGTCTTAAAAAATGTAGCCATTTCCCACATAGTCTAAAACAATTATGGATTTTGGATTCAGCTGCCCCCTGGTATGAATTCAGGCTCTGCCATTTATCATCTGTGGCACGTGATGTAAGTTATTCAATCTCTTTACATTTGTTTCCCCACCTGTAAAATGGAAATAATATCTATTTTGTCTGGCACATAGTAGATCTTCAATAAATTATTATTTTTTATTATTATGGCCATTCATAAATCAGCTCATAGTTCCAGTTTCCATAGCTGGTTTTTGTCTTATGACATTTAAGTCAATTCGTGGTTATGATGCTATATTCTATCTGCTTTGAGGCCAGTTTTAAACACTGAGCTGGCTTTTCTTCGCAACCGTATTTTCACTTGCCCTCCCACTGTCCTTCTATTTCTCTTGAACTTCTATGGGCTTGGGTGTTTCCTGCATTTTATACATGAATGGCATTGATTTTTTTTTTCCAGTGAATCATCTCTGACTTACAGTTCTGAGGGTTAACATATACAAAAAATGATTCTATGGTGAAGTTACCGACTCTCTAACATATTTAAATCATCTTTTGGTGTAATAATAAAAACCAGCTCCCTTTTCCCATTTGAAATTACATACGTAAGCCGAGTTCTTTAATTTATATCACCTCATGCTTTTCATGTGAAGCTGAGTTTCTTTGAAGCATCACCTGTTTGTGCGTGTGTGTGTGTGTGTGCGTGCGTGCTTTCGCCTAGTGTGACACAAGGCAATCTGTCATTCTGGCAGTGAAGAATGAGTCTCATAGATAGCAGGATGGAGAAGCAGAAAGTCTCCTTGTGCTGGCATTCTGGGCTGATGACCTGGGGCCCTTTCACACGTCATAGCAGTCAGCACTAACACTCGGGTCATGACCAAATGAAGTGTCTGCAGCTGGCAGCCGTGATGAGCTGGTCTGGAGCTGAGGCATACCTTTGTTTTTCCTTCCAATGATGGGAGTGACTGCTTCCCGCTTTAACAAAACAATACGTGAGCCATCTGGGCCTCCTTCACATATCCTGAAACACACCACACCCACTGGTCTATGTGGCGATTGTTACCTTTGCAGAAAAGCAACGTGCCCCTCACCAATATTTTCAGAGGCAATTGGATCTTTCTCCCCTCACTGTGTTTTCTGTTTCTTCCTCAAGGGAGGTATCCCATTAGGCCATAAGATTGGAAGGCAGTATAGACTAATGATTAAGCCTACAGGCTTAAACCGGCCTGCCCATGTTACTAGCTATATGGCCTTGTGCAAGTTAGTTAACATGTCTGAGCTTCAGTTTTCCCATCTGCATAAAAAAGAGAACAGTACCCACCACAGAGTGGTGTTGAGAAAATGGCTTAGGGGATCCTGTACATTGTTTAGCATGGCTCCTGGCATGTAAATACCAGGTAAATACTCCACAGGTGGGAGTGTGGATAAGAGTTGGTTTTTTTTTTTTTTTTTCCCTGCCATCGGGGAAATTTATGGAAGATTTACACCTGCTTACTCACTTGGGAATTCTTTTACTGCATTTTGCTCTATTTTTAAGTTGATTTTTGTTCAAACATCCAACTCTGAATACTGTGTTTTGGAGACCAGTCAACATTACTCCATTACTCTGCAGGACGGCATTGATCCTTTCAAAGGCGTTATGAAGAAGCACATCTTCATTGCTTAATAGAGAAAAACAGCCTACCTATTTAGCGAAAAGCCTTATTGTTTATAACTTCCATTTTCCACTCTTGCTTTGTCTTTTAGAGGAAAAGCTAACCTTTTGATTTTGTATCCTGCAGAGTTTTACGAGATCCTATGTGCTAGGTCATCTCTGTAACAGAAAAAGGGCTTAGAGACAAGTCTGGGCAGTGAGTGGGAGGGAAATAGTTGTTCTTCTTTGAGTCTCACTGGACCATGGAAGCCAAGTGTGTATTGGAGGAGGCTGGTTGGCATAATCAAATGGTGTTGACGATCCAGACATAGCCCCCTTGGCCACCACCAGGCAATGTAACTAGGTTTGCCATGTGGCCTGCATAATGGATCTCATCATGTGGGCACTGAGATAAAATTAACTGGTGGAAATCATGCTTGTTTTGTCTCTAAAATGTCCAGAAGGCCTTCAGTTTGGCTGCCTTTTATTTTGCTTGAGCAATAGCTTTGCAGACAGCACATTTCTGAGAGGGCCTGACAAAAGGGGAGAACCTAAGCCAGGGGGAACTCTCCAGCCTGGTGCTGTGGGGTCTGCATCCAGAATGGGGTCCAGCCCTCTGCCTCTCTGTGTGCGCGGGAGGATGTGGCTCAGCAGTGCTGTTGAGCCCCTCACAGGCTGCAGGAATGCATCTAAGAAGAGAAAGTGTTTCCTGCTACATGTCACCCACAGTCTGTGGCCGTGGAGATCTCTCTGTCACGGTCAGGATCTCCTTCCTCCTCCCTCCTAACCCCAAGGCCTGACCACCAAGACGCCACTGTCATGTCTCAGCACCACAGGCCCAGGACTTGAGCGGGAGCTCATGGAAGGCTTTGTGCTTGGGGGAAGCATCTCAAAGTGCTGGACTAAAGGCTCTGGACATCTAGATCAGTGTTCTCTGACTGTCGCGTGCATGGGAGCCACCGGGGTGCTTGTTGGTGCAGGTTCTGCTTCAGGAGGTCTGGGTTAAAGTCCAAGATGCTGCATTTCTAACATGCCCCAGGCCATGCTGATGCTGCTGGTTCTGGGACTACAGGTTGAGAAAGGAGGGTCTAGAGCAGGTCTCAGAGCGAGGACCACCCATCAGCAGCAGCCGCACCCCCTGGGGCCTGACCCTAGATGTGCTGAAACTGTAACTCAAGGGTGAGGGTCTGCAGTCTGTGTTTCAGCAAGCTCTCCAGGCGATTCTGGTATTTGCTCAAGTTTGAGAACCCCTGGTCTGGGTACAGGACTACTCAACCATTCTGGCATAACCAATGTGCTTTTTCTCAGAAATGACAGAGGGAAACTTAGAATATTAAAGTCTTTATGTTTGAAGGTAAAGTTCCTGGACCAGATCACAGTGTAACAAATCTTTACATCAGCTGTCCACATCTGGCTATTTTCATTTGGCTAACAATTCTGAAGAAAGGCAAACAACAACAACAACAACAACAAATCACAAAGGAAGTCCACGCTCTCCTTTTAAAATTCACATAGTACTGAATGTTATAATTGAAGAAGTGAAGACTCTCCCTCCCATGTCTCTACCCGTTTCCTGTGGAGAGTAACCACTGTTCACATCTTGACGTGTAAAGCAGATCTTTTTCTTCGAACAGTTAAAAGTTTATTTACAAACACACTATCTAAAGCCCCCTCCCCTTTTTTATTGAGTCGATGTCTCGCTCTGTCACCCAGGCTGGAGTGCAGTGGTGCGATCATAGCTCACTGCAGCCCCGACCTCCTGGGCTCAAGCGATCCTGAGATCGCTCAGCCTCCTGAGAATAGCTGGGACTACAAGCGTGCACCATCATGCCCAGCTAATTTTTTGATTTTTTTTGTAGAGACAAGGTCTCACTGTGTTGTTCAGGGTGGTCTTGAACTCCTAAGCTCAAACAATCCTCCTCCTGCCTTGGCCTCCCAGAGTGCTGGGATTACAGGCATGAGCCACCACACCCAGCCAAAAGCCCATTTTTAAATACAAAAATTACATTGCTGGCCTGGTGCGGTGGCTCATGGCTATAATACCAGCACTTTGGGAAGCCGAGGCGGGTGGATCATCTGAGGCCAGGAGTTCAAGACCAGCCTGGCCAAGCAGTAGCCGTCCCTACTAAAAATACAAAAATTAGCCAGGCGTGGTGGCGGGCGCCTGTAATCCCAGCTACTTGGGAGGCTGAGGCAGGAGAAGCACTTGAATTGGGGAGGCGGAGGTTGCAGTGAGCCGAGATTGCACCACTGCATTCCAGCCTGGGCAACAAGAGCAAAACTCTGTCTCAAAAAAAAAAAAAAAATTATATTGCCTTAACATTTGTGAAATACTCCAGACACAGAACTAATATAAAGCCCTTAATAATCTCCTCAGTGATAGGGATGCAAGGAGCATTTGTTTTCTAATATTCGACCCCAGTTCCTGACACAGAGCTCCTAATCCCAGGAAATGTCCTGGGTGATTGGAGTTTCTTTTGTTCTAATGAAATAACCTTTAGTGGGTTCCTGGATGGTTATGGTCACCAGGAACACCCAGCCCTGATTAGAAACCTGAACTTTCAGCCCTCCCCTCCATCCTCTGGGAGGGGAGAAGAGTTGGAGATTGAGTTAATACTCTATCATGCCCACATGATGAAGCTTCTATCAAAATCTCTAAAGTGTAAGGTTCAGAAAGTTTCCAGTTTGGTGAACACATCCATATGCTGGGGAGGTGGCACACCCCAAGTCCACAGGGACAGAAGCTCCTGTGCTGGGGACCCTTCCAGACCTTGTCCTACGTACTTCTTCATCTGTATCCTGTACCACATCCTATATAATAAACTGGTAAATGTGTTTCCCTTAGTTCTGTGAGCTGTTATAGCAAATTATTGAACCTGAGAAGGGGGTTGTGGGAACCCCCAATTAGTAGCCACGTTGGACAGAAGTGCGGGTAACCTAGGACACGTTACTCGTGATTGCTGTCTGAAATGGGGGGCAGTCTTGTGAGACTGAAGCCTTAACCTGTGACGCAGGTGCTGACTCCAGGTAGTGTAGTGATTGAATTGTGTACACCTGCTGGCTTGTGGAGAGTTGGAGAATTGGTTGTTGTGAGAAAACTCCCCACACATTTGGTGTCAGAAGCGAAGTGTTGTAAGACTGAGTGAACACTTTGGGAGGTCAAGGTGGGTGCATCACCTGAGTTTGGGAGTTCAAGACTAGCCTGACTGACATGGTGAAACCCCGTCTCTACTAAAAATACAAAAAATTAGCCGGGCGTGGTGCTGGGTGCCTGTAATCCCAGCTACTTGGGAGACTGAGGCAGGTGAATCGCTTGAACGCGGGAGGCGGAGGTTGCAGTGAGCCGAGATTGCGCCACTGCACTCCAGCCTGGGTGACAGAGTGAGATTCTGTCTCAAAAAACAAACAAAAAAAGAGTGGGTAAAGAAAAATGAATTTTTCCTTTTCAATATTGTTTTCCAATTTGTTCATTGCATCTCATCTTCTTGCACAGGTATGTGGACATTTCTGAAAACCTTAAGACCATAGGGCAGCTAGCTCTGTGATCACCTTGTGTTGGTGTAGGGGCGCCCTGGCACGGCTCTTTCCCACAGTGAGCTCCTGATGGGCAGGCAGGGTCCAAGGCTCCCTGCTGTAGCTGGGCTGCAATCTGTCCACTTCTTCTCTGGATACTGCTCTAGAGAGGGCAGGTGAGAAAGCACACACCTCACTGCCTGCTTCTGTTGAAGGTTGTGTAAATGTCTGTCTTTCTTCCCACATTCCATTTGGTTGGAAAGGACAAGTCTTTCTCTCTTCTCCTTATTTAATAGAATCAGTCTGGGGTCGTATCTTGAGTCCCTTCTATGCTGTGAGAAAACTTGATGATCTGAATTGGTGGACAAGGCTTCCAATACAGGAGCAGTGTCAGTCTGGGGTCAGTCCCATATGGCAGCAATCGCTCTGGTTAGTTTTAACATACATAGATTTAATACTTTTTGTTGGACAGCCTAGGGGAGGAGGTTCCAGTTCCTTGCAGAACAGCACTGCAGAATTAGCCCACCAAGGGTGCGGCCACTGCTACTGGGGCCTCGGTAAACCTCTGCCTCAGCTGCAGGACTACACAGCCTCAGCCAGCAGCCAAGCCAGTAGAAAAGATCACTGTGCTCCGCCAGCCGAAAAGCCACCTCACTGAGGCTTTGCAGATCTTTTGTGGCATGTCTGCTCAGTTGAGTTCTCAGAGTGTCAGGGAAACAGTCTTGCTTGCCAGCCTCCAGTGCATGCAGCAAGGTGGGCTGGAATGGCAATGCATGAGGTGATCTGCAGTACCTCCCAAGATCTGAAGACTGGATAAAACAAGGATGAAAGTACATTGGCTTTATATTCTCCCAATATTGTTATCAGCATAATTCCATAGCCACAATGCCCTTAAGCCTCATGTGTTTGAATGCTTCTAGAACTTGGTTTAAAAAAAAAAACTGTTTTACTTCTTTAGAAGTTCATCAGGCATGATATAAAGTGATGTGTCCTTTCATTTGTCCTTCACAAAGTGCCCAGTACCGACATCTCCAGGCCAGAACTAGGGGCTAAGGGGATGTCAAAATGAAAAAGGAGAGAGCCCTGACTCCAAGTCTAGTGGGGATCCATAGGAACCGCCTAATAATTGTGATCATCACCACTGAGCAACTACTATGTGCAACTTAGTGGCTACATTTCACACATCATCTCATTCATGCCTCAGACCAGCCCTGCCAGAGAAGGATATTCCTTTGACAGATGAGCAATCTGAATTTCAAAAAGGTGGGGTAAGTTATCCATTGTCACAACCAGCACATGGCAGGGCTGGAATTTGATCCCAGAACTGGGCAAAATGAAAGTTGATGCTCCTTACTTTCTATCACTGTTTCCTATAATTGCCTAAGATTTGGAACACAGCTACACATGCAGCCTCATCACATTTTTACAGATTTAAACCAAGTGTCAGCAAATTACGACCCGTGGGGTCAAATCCAGCCAGTCACCTGTGTTTTGTAAATATAGTTTTATTGGAACACAGCCATGGCTATTCGTTTAAGTATTGTGTGTCGCTGCTTTTGTGCTACAACCGCAGCATTGAGTGGTTGTTGAACAAATGGCCTGCAAAGCATGCAATATTTACTATCGAGCTTTTTCCAAAGTTGGTCTTGGTTTAAACAATTCCAAGTGGATTCCTTTTTATCCCTTTTCTATCCAATAAGGGAACAACAAACTCACTATTCAATGATTTAACGTTTCTGATTGCTTCTAGTTTTGTTTTGTAAACTTTCCCAAGTATGTGATGATGTGAGGCAGGGAAGTCCAGTCGTGTAGAGGGCAGCTCAGCCTTTGATAAATCTGCTCTGAGCACTGCCACTTACTAACTCCATAAGCTTTGAGAAATTGCTTAATCTGCCTAAATTGATTTGTTCTCATTTATTCACACCTTAATTTAAAAATACTTATTGAATACCTATGTGTGGCAGACACTGTTCTACGTGTTGAAGACATAGCAGTGAACAAAACAGGTAAAATCCACAACCTCATGGAGTTGTCCTTCCACCAGGTGGAGGCAGACACTCAAAAAAGAAGTAAAAGTTTGTAGTAGAAAGATGACAATAAGTGTCATGATGAAAAAGAAAGCAAGAAAGGGGGACAGGAAATTTCAGGGCAGGGAGAGGGTGGTTGTGGGGCTGCAGTTTTAAGTAGGGTGGTCAGGGAAGCCCCAGTGAGAGTGGGATTTTTGATTGAAAACTGGAAGGAGGGAAAAGAGGAAAGTAGTGGAAATATGGAGGAAAGAACATTCCAGGTAGAGGTGTCCAAAAGAACAAGAGCCTGAGGCAGAAGTGTGTCCGGCACACAGAAGGAACAACGAGCAGGCCAGAGGGCCTGGAACAGGTTAAATGAAGGGGGTCCAGCAGGAGAGGAGGCCCGAGTGATCAGTGCTGGGGCCATCAAACCAGCATCTGCTAAGTTATTGTAAAGATGTTGGCTTTTACTTTTAATGTGATGGAAAGCCAGTGGAGAGCCTTTTGAGGAAAGAGGGACTTAACGTGATTTAATTTTAAATGTTTAGTTTTTTTTTTATTGTTGTTTGTTTGTTTGCTTTTTGAGACAGAGTCTCACTCTGTTGCCCAGGCTGGGGTGCAGTGGCTCGATCTGAGCTCAATGCAACCTCTGCCTCCCAGGTTCAAGCAATTCTCCTGCCTCAGCCTCCTGAGCAGCTGGGACTACAGGTGCCTGCCACCAAGCCTGGCTAATTTTTGTATTTTTAATAGAGATGGGGTTCACCATGTTGGCCAGGCTGGCCTTGAACTCCTGACCTCAAGTGACCCACCCACCTTGGCCTCCCAAAGTGCTGGGATTACAGGCATGAGCCACCGTGCCTGGCCTAATTTTAAATGTTTTAAATGGTCCACTTCTGGCACTGTGTTGAGGAGACACTGGGCATGAGGAGAGTGGACAAGAATAGAAGGCGTGACCAGGTAGAAGGCGACTGAAAAATTCAGGTTAGACATTATGGGGGTTCAGACCAGGGTGGTTGTGGTGAATTGGAAAGATGTGGTTGGATTCTGGCTATATTTTGAAGGTAGATCCAACAGGATTGCATGACAGGCTAGATGTGGGATGTAAGAAGTATAAAGGTTTTTGGTTCATACCTGTGGAAGAATGAGACAGCAGTTGGGGCAGGTTTTGGGGAAAGATAAAAAGTTTGATTTTGGATGTGCTCAGTTTGAGATGGCTGTTAGACAATGGGAATATGAAGTGGACAGTTGGATTTATGAGTTGGGATGCTGGAAATTGACAGTATGGAGGGGTGCTTTATTGGTAATGAATGGTAAGGGTGTGACCGTGGGAATGAGTGGCTGAGGTAGATCTTAAGGACCTGAAAAAGATCATCCACATGGGTATTAAAATCACCAAGAATTTTGATACGGGTACCGCTGAAGAAAGTGGCAGTCAGCCAAACTCAAAACTCCTACGGGAATTAGGGCAGTAATGTTGGGTGGGGGGCTCAGTGGATGACTGCCATAGAGGGCCACTGGATGGGAACAGTGTGATGACATAGGACATGGAGCCTGGGGGAAGGGGCTTAGGGAAGAAGAGGAATCTAGAAATGGCAGTGAAGGGCAGAGGACAGCTATCCCATCCCTGACCAGTGGTTGAAGAGGCATGAGAGAGAAAATGTCCAGCACTTAAATCAGCTGCAGGAGAAGCAGCATCCTCAGGCTTCAGTTAGAGCAAGAGGTGAAGGAAATGAGCCCAGAGGAGGCTAAGAAGAGAAGTGACTTTCTTTTCTTTTTTTTTTTTTTGGAGATAGAGTCTTGCTTTGTTGCCCAGGCTGAAGTGTAGTGGTGCAATCTGGGCTCACTGCAACCTCTGCCTCCCGGGTTCGAGTGATTTTCCTGTCTCAGCCTCCTGAGTAGCTGGGACTATAGGCACCCGCCACCACACTGGCCAATTTTTGTATGTTTAGTAGAGACGGGGTTTCACTATGTTGGCCAGGCTGGTCTCAAACTCCTGACCTCAGGCAATCTGCCGGCCTCAACCTCCCAAAGTTCTGGGAGTACAGGTGAGAGCCATTGTGCCCGGCCAACGGGTGATTTTCTTGAGGACTCATTGTGTGATCCAGCAGGTGTGGTGGAAGAATGTCAGAAGCTAAGGGTGGGTAGTTGTAGGAAATAGGGGTCAGAAAAGACACACAGATGCTTTGGAGTCCTGGGCTTCTTATGGTGGCTGATGTAGCAGAGATAAAGGATCTGATGGTGACAAGGCAGAGGGTGTAGTCAGGGTGTGAGTGACGGGAGAAGGAAGGGCAAAGAGGTCTTGCCAGAGCACTCTGAGTTCTGCGGCCCCCTTGGCTCCTGCAAATGGAATTGGCAAGGCTGGAGTGGGTAAGGTCTACCTTGCGGCATAGGGCTCTTTCTCGTTCCTGGAGTGGGTGATGCTCCCCCTTGCGTTCTGCCATCAGAGTCACGGAGGTCATAGCAAGGAACAGAAATCTAGCTTTGGAAAAAGAGCTCGCTGGAAGATCTCTCATGGGCTGCAAAGGCTGCCTGATGTTGGCAGCGGGAGCTCACTGTACCTCTTTCCAGTCTCTGCTGCTAAGACTTAGCAACCAACTTTCAGTCTCTCTTGCTGTCAGTTCAAATTTGGGCTTTTGAATGGCCCATTGGACAGCACCAGGTGGTAAAAGCATGTTTCTTGGGAAGTTCCATTTCTGGATTGTGGGGCAAAGATCGGGGAGTTCAGGAGATTGAAGATGATTGTGAATTGGTCAGATACTTGCCAAAGTGTCTAATTCACTAAATTTAAGCATCTCATCAGAAGTGTGTCTGTGGGGTAACAATAGTATTCTTCTCATTCAGTTGAGCTGAATGAAATGAGATAAATGTATAGACAGCACTTCATACAGCACCTGGTATCCCGTGGGTACTCTATACCTCTCAGCCATTAGTTTTAGAACCATGGGGTCTGGTAATTTGTAATCTTACTGAGGGACAAGTTTGAATTGTTCCTGCTGTGTGTGAATCATTGGGCTCAGGAGGAAGTTGGGGATGAGGTGTGTGTGTGCTGGACAGGATGGGAGTGCTGAGGTCTGGCTAGGTCCCCAGCAGGACTCCCAGCAATGAGCACTGACATTTCAGCATGGCTTTGTTGTTCTTTATCTGGGTCTGAAGGGTGCACACTGCATTTCTATTTGTATTTTATTGCTTTTTATTGGGGAAATTCTCCTATAGAAACTTGCTTGAACATGGGGACCCCTGATGGTCTGGGGACTCATTCTCTGCTAATGGCAAAGGCCTCGGTCAGTCTCCTTTGGTGCCGTCTGCTATAGCAGCCCCTTCATCTCTCTGACCTTTACGGCTGGACTCCGCTAGCTTCTTTTGTGTGGTTTTCCACTTAGTTTCTATTAGGACAGATCTTGAATGTGAGCAGCCATGCATTCACCCCTGGATGAGAATTCTAGTTAGCTCTTTTATTTGGTCATTTAGAATTTATTGGCTTATGTATCTATCTGAGCACTTGTGGATAAATGTGGGCATGATGCATGGGTATGCCCTCTATTGTGTGCTTTAAAGAGATCATAAATGTATCGATGGAAGTTGTATGATAAGAAAAATGAGGTTTGTGCTGAAATAATTTGGGTTCCCACTGAGAAACCTTGAGGGCACCTAAATGTACTAAGTCTGTAATGTATTATTGAAGAGGAGACTATTCTCATTCAGATCACAGTGATTTGCAGCTACTGCAAGGTCATGGAGACCCTTTCTGTGATCACCTCTGGATTGTCCCAGGTAGCAGAGAATGCTGAACTGCTGATATCAAATGCTGATTTTTCTGATTTCTTGCTTTATTGCTGTGGATCTTGCTGTAAAGCATGGGCACAATTTTGGGGAAATAAACTGCTATAGACTTGAGGAGAAAAAGCCCTAAGGCATTTTTTTGACATGAGCCATAAATAAAATACAGTGGTAACTGAGAAAATAGATGGCTATAAAAATTCTTTGAGCATGTTACTGATAGTATTATTTGATCATCTTCCAACAATTTATCCCATCAGATGTCTGAAAAGAGTAGAGAGGTGACCAAAGACAGGTGTTGTAAAATAGATTATTTTGAAAATATTAGCATTTTTATGCCTACCTGCCAGTGACAAAGTTTCTAAAGCCACGGGAGTTTCCTCATGATTATTTATGACAAATGATGAGCCTACAATAAAGTCTCTTATCAGTACTCATGTTCAGTCAGGATTGCCATTGAAGGGGGCATGGAATATACTGGTTTGTTCTCTTTATACGATCACGGTGTTTTGTTACTTCATTCTCTCTGGTTTTAAAGGATTTCATGGCAAAATACATACCTTATTCCTTTAAGTGGATTTTAAAGTAACCATGCTGTGAAAAATACTGCATGGTTATTATGAAGTATTTTGATTCCATTTGCCTGATTCTTGGAAGAGGAACATTTATACAGTTCTGTTATCAACTTGAATGGAAAAGAATCGTATTTTTATTACGTAGAAAAAGTCATTAGGGTAAACAGGACGTAAGCATTAGACTTTGTGTATGGATAAATATTTCAATTGTCACAGACCATAAAACATTGCACCCATAATATACAATTAACTTAATTCTAGACTGAAAAGCAGAGGAGTCTGGTTTATTCCTGGCCCTGTGTTGGGTCCCTCTTCTCTGACCTGGCTATAGCCTGACACCCTCCATGCTATCTTGTGGCAATTCAAAGAGCTCCTGGGCCACGGTGGGGCAACTTGCAAAGCAGCTTTCTCACAAGCCATTGAGAGAGAATGGACGGTGTTCTAAACGTAGATTTGGTGTAGGATGTAATTCTGGCATCTGGATGGCCCTTCCTGAGTGGGCCAGGGCCGTTTTCACATGCACTTGTCAGGGCTGGTGCTGGCATGCAGACTAGGACTGCATTAGCCCCAGGGATTCAGCGACCATGTGGCCCCCCACAGAGATTCCTATCCACCTGCAAGATGGCAATGTTGGACTCCAAGTCCACCTCTGTGCCCCTGTCCCAAAAGAATGCAGCTGCCATTTGTGTGAGATTTGACACACCTTCCCCCAAAGCCAGGATATGATAGTCCCCATGTAGGTGTAGTTGACATCTACTTGAGGGCCTCAAGACCATTCCTATCATTTTTTCCCATCTGACTTTCCCACCTCCAGGCCTTTGCAGAGACTCTCCCTTCTGCCTGGAACATGCTTTTCACCAGCCCTTCTCTTGGCTACTTTCTACTTGTCTTTCAGAACTTAGCTTAAAGTTCCTTCCCCTGGCAGCCTTTGGAGCCCCCAGGCCTGACCGAGACGCTCTTCTAATCCCCCATACTTCTGTTAGTGAAGCCCTTCCTGCTCCAGAGTAAAATTTTGGTTTGTATAACTGCCTCTCCCACCAGGCTATGAACTAGTTTCTCCGTACTTTCAAAAACTGCTTCTCTTTTACATTTAAATATTTAACTCATCTTGACTTTGTTTTAGTGTAAAATGTGAGGTAAGGATTTAACTTTATTTTCCAGATATTACTTACAGAAGAATCCTTTCCTTAGCCTTTTCCTTGTCTACACTGAGAAGATTACGACATATCATTCAAAATTTATTGAGAGACCTCTCTACGTGCCAGCCACAGTGGTTGATGCTGGGGATGCAGAAATGAGTAAGGTGCTGCTCCTGACCTCAAGAGGCTTCCCTTCTGTTTGAAAAGACATAAATATAAACAAGCATTAATTGGATTGTATGAAATTGTCATCTTTGTAGGTCAAAATGGTCAAATATTGGCAATTTCACATGGTTTACCCCAATATAATACAAAATAAGCACAATATTTTAGGTTGCATTTCTCTGAAAATGGAGCCCTAGAAAATATACACATAGATGGTTTATTTGGAAATGATTCCAGAAAGAGACTCAGGAAAGGAGGGAGAACCAATACACAAGGATGCTTTTTGGAGCTGGCCAGTGCTCAGGCCACTGGTGTTTGAGCAGCTGAAACGTCCATGGAGTTTTGTGAAATGTGCCTCAGCAGGGTCTGCACAGGGGACAAGGGGGGAAACTTAATCCACAAGGGGCCCAGAGGGATTAGTTACCTCCCTCCAGTTCTTCTGGTGGCCCTGTGTGTGTGTCCAGGGGGTTTCTGTTGATGTGCCAGTCTTGGTATCAGAGAAGGCCTGGAGCAGGAAGTGAGAGATGAGCAGAGAGGGCTGAGTAGAGGTGTGGGTCAACTTCACCTGTGTGAGACTGATCGAGTGGTCTGAGACGAGTTGCTGTAGCAGTGGCTGCAGTGAGGGATGGGGCTGAGAGGATGTGAAGAGATGTTGGGTACAAATGATAGTAGTGGTATATCCAAAGAGGAATGGTTAATTCTATGAGAGTTTGACTGGGAGGAAGTAAGAAGTAGTGACTAAGGAAATAGAGGGAACCTTCAAGGATTCATTGGCACCAGCGTGGGGGGCTGGGAGTGGGCATTCTGGGTGGAGGGAGCAGCATGAAAGGACACAGCACACTGAGGGAGCTTGGAGTAGATTGACGTGGTGGACATGGGGCTGGGTGATGGGATGTGACCAGAGAGCTGGGCAGAGGCCAGAGCAAGAAGAGAACTTGGGGGTGTATGAATTTGCTAGGGCTGCTGTTACAAAGTACCACAAACCAGGCAGCTTAAACAATAGAAATTTTTTGCCTGTAGGCTGGAAGTCCAAGATCAAGGTGTCAGCAGTGTTGGTTTCTTCTGAGGCCTGCAAGGAAGAATCTGTTCCATGCCTCTTTCTTAGCTTCCTGTGGTTTGCTGGCAATCTTTGGTGTTCCTTGGCTTATAGAAGTATCACCCCAATCTCTGCCTCCTACCCTCTTTATACAGAACACTCTTCCTACAGTGCTGTCTCTGTGTGCATGTCTGGGTCCAAATTTCCCCTTTTTATAGGGACACCAGTCACATTGGGTTAGGGCCTACCCTAATGACCTTATTTTAACTTGATTATCTCTGTAAAGACCCTCTCTCCAAAAGAATGTTACACATTGAGGTACTAGGGGTAGGACTTCAGCATGTGCAGTTTTGGGGAAATCAGGGAATCTGCTGGGAGTCAGAAGCTGAACAGAGCCACCTCTGCTGGTCTTGCTGGGCTGTCAGTTCCCTTTGTCTTCCCATGTTTTGCAGTGAGCCGCAGGTGTTGAGTACTGCTTCTTACACCTGGGCTCGTTTCTCTTCCAAGGATCTTACTTGCATGCGATGTTGCAAGGCAGTTCTGTGGGGGTATATATTTGAATAGGGTTTTTAGAAAATGTCTTTAAATATGAGTCTGCAACATCCTTCCAGGGCTAGATCACTCTTTGGTCAAATTTTATGCCATGGATTTGCCATGATTCTCTTTATTTCTGGGACTTTTTAGAGGGTTATTTTGTGTGTATATGTTGTTAAAGAAGAAGGCTGGTGGTAATGAAATTGGGTTTTATTAGATACTGTAGAGCTACTTACTGACAGGCTTTAAGGCAAGAGTGGCATGGTAAGATTAGTGTTTTTCAAAGATCGTTCTGAAAGCAGGATAAAAAAGGGATTTGAAGAAATCAAACTTGGAGGCAGGGGTGCGGGCAGATGACTCAGGCAATGATTCAGGCACACAGCAATGAGAGCATGAACTAAGACTTGGATGCATGGAAGAACCCCCAGGAGCTTTAAAAACGTCCCAGTGTTGAAGCCCCACCTCAGACCAATTAAACAATCCCTGGAGGCTGGGCCCACACACTGGCGTATTTTTATTGACGTTCCCTAGGTAATTCCAATCTGGGGCCAATGTCATGAATCACGAATCAAAGGCAAAGCAATGGGGAAGGTCAATGGCAGATAGGGTTAAGAGATTTTAAGAAAGTAGAGTGATGGGCAGAAAAATAACTAGAATGAATCTGGTGTCTTGCTTACTTAGGTGTTACTCTAGCTACCAGGTATAAATTATACATTTCTAAGGAATTACAATATGCCGAGATACACTTAACACCAAAATTATATTAAATATGACATAATCTTTCTTTGATTCAGAAGGCATTTTGAGACCTGCCTATATAGCTCTAGGACACTGTTATATGCATAAATACACTTATCGTTAAACACTACACTAGATGTCCACATATAGAAAGAAAGGATTGCATCACAAACTTCAGCCATCCACATCTTCCTATGACACCATTTCACCCACATCAGTGCCCTGCTCAGAACCTTTAGTGACTCATCAGTGTTTACAAAATAAATTCCAAATTCCTTGCCTGGAGATTCAGGACTCAAGGCTTCCACCCATCCTATAAATAAACCTACTGCTCAGCCAGCCTATTTTCTATGGGTTTTAGGCTACTTCACTGTGATAATTAGTGTCACTATTGGGTGTGTGATATACACCATGCACTGTTCTAGGCACCAAATACTGTGTTCTTTCTAATTCTCATAACAACACATATGGTTGGCTTTATTGTCTATCTTACATGTGAGAAAACTTAGGTTCAGTAATGTTATGTAGCTTGCCACGGTTTTCACAGCTAGTAATGAGCAGAGCTGCGATTTAAATCCATGACTAAAGCCCATGTCATTCCCACCACACTACACTGTGCTCCAACAGGAGCACTTCAGTTTCTGCCATTTTGCACGCTGTAATTTCCTTCTGATGTGGCCCTCCTCTAGTGCTGTGCTGGTTAATTTAATAGCTGGCTTTCTCAATGTAGCTTTGACATGAATGTTGGTTGACATTTTAATTTACATTAATGAGCACATCAGAACTTGAGTGTTTATCAACGATGTGAGGGACTTCTTTGCTGAATCAGATAATAATTTTTAAGTGCTAGAGGAAGATTTCTTCCTTTTTTGGGATCATTCACAATATAACAACTACAGATATGAAATATTTTTAGGTTTCTTCTGCACGGTTAATATTTTTCTATCACTTTCTTACCTCTAAACAATCAACAAAACAACAAATCAAGCCATGCTTTGTGGGGTTTGCAGATTTCTGTTGTGTCAATACTCCTGCTATAAAGTTAGAAAGAGATGCATGGAGACGCACTCTTGTATGTAGTATTTCCACTGTGGAGATGCAACCGATGTAAATAATCTCGAGAACATAGATAACAGTAAAATATAGTAAAATAGTTAGGAAGTGATGAGTTCTGAGCATTTACTGCCTTTTAAAAAATTTTTACTTTAAGTTCTGGGATACATGTACTGAACGTGCAGGTTTGTTACACAGGTATACATATGCCATGGTGGTTTGCTGCACCCATTAACATGTCATCTAGGTTTTAAGCCCTGCATGCATTATGTATTTGTCCTAATGCCCTCCCTCCCCTTGCCCCCAACCCTCAACAGGCCCGGATGTGTGGTGTTCCCTCCCTGTGTCCATGTGTTTTCATTGTTCAACTCCCACTTATGAGTGAGAACATGCAGTGTATGGTTTTCTGGTCTTGTGTTAGTTTGCTGAGAATGATGGTTTCCAGCTTCATCCATGTCCCTGCAAAGGACATGAACTCATTCTTTTTTTTATGGCTGCATATTTGCTGCCTTTTAAGATAGAATTTATTCATTGTAAATTTCTATAATTTAATTTTCAGTAACTGCCACATTTAACAACTGCCTCACAATATTTCTGAGAATGTAACAATCAGCTCTCGGGAGACAGTGTGAGCCAGCTCCAGCACACCACTGCTTTCCCTCTTCCACTCCACTGGCTCAAAGTCTACCCAGTCTTCAAAGTCCAACCAAAATTCTAGCATGCTAGAAAACGTACCAGGTGTATCTTTTCCTTCCTTATTGCCAGAAAAAAAGAAGAAAAAGAAAACCTATCATGTACAGTCATGCATCATTTAATGATGGGGATTATGTTCTGAGAAATGTGTTGCTAGGCAATTTTGTTGTTGTACAAACATCATAGAGTATACTTACACAAATCTAGGTGGTATAGCCTGCTACACACCTAGGCTATATGGTATAGCCTATTGCTCCTAGACTACAAACCGGTACAGCATGTTACTGTACTGAACACTGCAGGCAACTGTAACACAATGGTAAGTATTTGTGTATCTAAACACAGAAAAGGCACAGTAAAAATACTGTATAAAATATAAAAAATGACATGCCTGTACAGGGCACTTACCAGGAATGGAGCTTGCAGGACTGAAAGTTGCTCTGGGTGAGTCAGTGAGTGAGTGGCGAGCGAATGGGAAGGCCTAGGACATTACTGTACACTATTGTAGACTTTATATACACTTAGGCTACAATAAATTTCTAAAACAATTTTTCTTTCTTCAATAATAAATTAACCATAGCTTACCGTCACGTTTTTCACTTTATACACTTTTTTCCTCATTATTTTTAAACTTGACTTTTTTGTAATAACACTTATCTTAAAACACAAATATTGCACAGCTGCACCAAAATATTTTCATTCTTTATATCCTTATTCTATAAACTTTTTTTCTATTTTTGAAGTCAAATTTTTTAGCTTTTTAATCTTTTTTGTTAAAAACAAAGACACAAATGCACATATTTGCCTAGGACTCCACAGGGTCAGAGGCATCAGGGTCACTGTCTTCCACCTCCACATCTTGTCTCACTGGGTCTTCAGGGGCAATAACACGCACGAACCTGTTATCTCCTATGATAACAATGCCTTCTTCTGGAATACCTCCTGAGGGAACTGCCTGAGGCTGTTTTACAGTTAGCTTTAAACAAATAAAGTAGAATGAGTATACTCTAAAATAATGGTAAAAAGTATAGTATAGTAAATACATAAACCAGTAACATTGTCGTTTATAATCATTATCAAATATTATGTACTATACAAAATTGTACGTGGTATATTTTTGTGCAACCAGCAGTGCAGTAGGTTGGTTTACATCAGCATCACCACAAACACATGAGTAATGAGTTGCACTGTGACACTGACTGGCTACAATGTCACTAGGCAATAGGAGTTTTTCAGTTCCATTATAATCTTCTGGTACCACCATCATCTATGCAGTCTGCATTGACTGAAACATTATGCAGTGCACGACCTCCCCACCAGGCCTTCTTTCGACCTAAATCCTTCTGAAATCCTTCAACCCTTTTAGCTGACACCAGTCCTTAGCCCTTATCTTATACTATTGCTCCATGCTGTCTTTTGGTTTGAGTCAATCTGTTTCACCAACATTTTTTTTTTTTTGAGACAGTCTCATTCTGTCTCCCAGGCTGGAGTGCAGTGGCATGATCTCTGCCCACTGCAACCTTGGCCTCCTGGGTTCCAGCGATTCTCCTGCCTCAGCCTCCCAAGTAGCTGGGATTACAGTCTCCCACCACCACTCCCGGCTAATTTTTGTATTTTTAGTAGAGTCGGGGTTTCACCATGTTGGCCAGGCTGGTCTTGAACTCCTGACCTCAGGTGATCCACCCATCTTGGCCTCCCAAAGTGCTGGGATTACAGGCATGAGCCTCTGTGCTCGGCCTCTTTCACCAACATTCTGACCACTTGTGAGGACAGGGAGCTTGCCTAGTAACCATTGCACTTTCTGACGATACTTAGCATCATCTTCACACATGCGGCACTTGATACTATAATATTGATCTAGTTGCTTTTTGGATGAATTACTCACATGCAGTTGTAAAATCTCCATTTGTCCCCACCTCATAAAGTTGAGCACAAAAATACCAATCTGGTTCCAGGTGAACAGGAGTTTATTTGCCTAGCTCAGACTCTGCTGACTTCAGGGGCTGCAAAACTGGCTCAGCGTGACCTCTGCATGCACTGTTCACATCTCCAGACTCACTTTCTTTGAAAAGATCATCTTTGGCTCTCAGAACCCTGGCAGCCCACATGCAGGCATCATTACCGTACAGCATTTCCTGCCTCCCTTGGGTCACCTCATCCTTTTCTTAGGCAGGAGTTCTGTCTACCTGTTGAATTTTGAATGAAAACCCAATGGATGGAAGCTCTGCACTGAATTCTCTATTTTGTTCCTTGCTGAGCCTCCATGAATATGAAATACCAGCACAAAGGGGAGAGTCAGCAGGTAGAGATCAACACTATCCATATTTAATGGAGAGGGAGTCTGAGTTCACAGGTGGAAAAGCCAAGTTAGAAGAAGGCCAAGTTCAATAATTTGCCCGTGCTCACTGAGTGAGTGTCTAGCAAAAAAGGAATGAATATCTTAAGACAAACTTCCATGATTTGTGCTTTAACGTAGCACCATCATTTTAATGCCTAAGGAGGAGGGAAAAAGAAAAAAAAGCAAACAAGAACGGGATGAAATAACTATTGCTAATCAGAAAATGTCCCTCATCTGCAATGGAGTACAAAAGAGGGGCCAGGGGCCCACATCCTTCGCCAAGAATCTGAGCTCTCTGTGACTTGGCGGCCCAGACTCTCCAACCCAATTTCTCTCTCCTTAGAAGGAAGACACGGAAACACTCACAATCTCTACCCTCTACTAAACAGCCAAGGTTGCAGGGTAGAGCTGCCTGGAGCCCAAAGCACAGTAGTCTCCCTACTGGTCCCCAAGAGTGTGACTTTCGATGTGGAACCCACAGTGATACTGGCCAGTGGCTCTTGGTAAGTCTCTCCCAATGACTGCATGTCCCAGCTTTTTCTTCTCTGGTCCCAGTGGTTTTTGACATCTTCCCAAGAAACTCCTCTGGTGGCAGCATGATCAGTAACAGTGGCTTTAGTCACAGCACCTGCAGTTCTCAATAACAATTCCTTCCAGAAACCCTCTTTGGGGTTCCCAACATCTCTCATGTGTCTCCAGCCTTCTCTAACAGGTGCCAGGTTTCTCTGTAGCTGGGCAGCCATCTGTTAGCATTAAATACACAAATATATATATTCTTATAATAACCACATTGACGAATGAAACCTGGGTCCCATCATCACTTCTATTCCTAGTCATACATACTCCTTTTGCGTTGGACATAGAAGCACCAATGAATATCACAACCCAGAAAGATCTAACACATTTTTAACCTATGTTCAGTCAGTCTATAGGTTGCATTCTTGTTCACATAGCTGCTTGCTTATTCAAATAGTTGATTCATTCTCCAACTACCCTGATATTTATTGAGCACCTAGTATGTGCCAGGCACCATGGCATGGAGAATTAGACCCAATCTTCCTGTTCAAGGTGCTCACAGTCTGGTAGTAATAATGATGATAATAATAATAATAATGGCAAATACTGATAGAATGTTTAGTATGCGCCATTCCTCAGTAGCATGAGATAAATACTATTATTCTACGTACTTTACAGATGAGATAAGCAAGGCTCAGAGAGCTTGAGTTGTCCATGTTCACACAGCTAGGCAAGTAAATAGACGATATTTCATGTCGTAGGCCCATGACACAGGGAAGCCCCACGTACATAAGGCATACTCAGATTAAGGTGTGATTCAAACTTACCATGCTTATGTACTTGCATTTCATTCTAATTATCTATCTACTATATACAGACATCTAATTCCAGGATTTTTCAGAGGTAATTAAATTTTAAAAAGAAGGAATACTTGTTTTAAAGAGAATGCCACAGGGAGGCACTAACAATAAAAATGAAGTGTTCATTTCAAATGAGAAAAGTGTTCAGTTTTAGGGTTAGTGTGACCTTTAATTTACACATGTCTTCCAGTGCTTCTGGCAAAACTCAACCCTCTTTCTGGAGAAGTGGTCTTTACAGTGATGAATTAGAAAGGGCCAGAAAGATTTGTGATTGCTAAAGAACTCTCAGGAAACCTTTTCAAAATAGGAAAGACCAGACGCATGGAGCCTATTTCCTTCCATGTGGAAGAAGGTCTGCAGACACAGACAGGAGAGAGTCTTGAAGCAGCCGAGCTGCTCTTGCCACTGTGGTGTCTGCTGAATGTCACCTCCCTCTGTTGTGCTAACACTGGCAGTTTTATTCACCCAAAGGTATGCCAGGTCTCCTTGCACTGATCTTTTGAGAACTGACAGAGGGCATTGGAACCTAATCGTAGGACCAGAAGCTTGAGAGGCTTAATAAATACACACTCTGGCTATAGCCAGATGATGAGGGATGATACCAAATCCCTCATCAGCTCTCTCAATTCAGAGAAGAAGAAAAATCAATACACTGCAACCCCCCCACCCCAGGTTTTGTGGGATTGAAAGAAGTTCTTCCGCTGACATATTCGGCCGTTTGTTGTGCTGTCCCAGAGAGGCAGCCCACGGTTTGGTTTCTGTCTTCTTTTGATATTCTGCTTTGGTGATCAGCTAAGAATCCTCACCATGATGAGAGCTGAATCCTCCTTGTGGTATTCTTCCACACCCATTTGGGACATGAAAGAAGTTTTTCCTGTCAGAAGGAACAGAGGATGGTGCCAAAAGGAAGAAGCTTCATGAGCTATTGGCAGCGACTCCACACTTATCTCTAGAAGAAAAGACTTTGCTTCCAATGTGCTTTTGCAAAGGAGTAATTCTTCACTGACGTCTTCCTAATCATACTTTTCCTAACTACAAATAGTTATAGTTAATCTTTTTAAGTAACAAAGGACATTTAACTAAAATAATACTTTGTTTTATACTAAGAGATTTTGGGGCTTTTGTCAATGTGTTTTAACTGAAGTATGAACCACTGTCTTATTTTGGCATTAATCATAATTCCTTGCCTTCCTGGCCTCTGGCAGATAATGAAGCATTTTCACATATATTTTGCTATTTTATTCTTCAGACAACTCAATTAAGTGATTAGGTCAGGCATTATATGCCTTAGTTTGAAGATAAGAAACTGATGCTCAGAAGGGTTATGTATATCTGAACCCCCTAAGTGGCAGAGCTGGGATTGGAATCAATGTTTTATTCGCAGCACATATAGATATGCAAACATGTTTGTTTGAGACAGGGTCTCACTCTCTTGCCCAGGCTGGAGTGCAGTGACGCAAACACAGCTCACTGCAACTTCGCCCTCCAGAGCGCAAGAGATCCTCCCACATCATCCTCACACGTAGCTGGGACCACAGGCATGCACCACCATGCCTGGCTATTTAAAAAAAATTTTTTTGTAGGGACAGAGTCTCACTTTGTTGCTCAGGCTGGTCTTGAACTCCTGGGCTCAGGTGATCCTCCTGCCTTGGCCTCCCAAAGTGCTAGGATTGCAGGCATGAGCCACCACGGCTGGCCTCAAGCATGTTTTTTTATATCATATATTCTGATTATTATTTTATCGTATTGGACATATATTTTATTGCTTAGGGTTTCCTATGATTCTCTGAAGATTTCACAATATAGGTATGTCCTCCTCAACAAGATTATGAACTTTCTAAAAGCGGGGATCCTGTCTCGTGAGTACATGGAGTTCTGTACAGGAACGATGAGAGTGTGGTACATATGGGCATAGGGAAAGGCACTAGACCAAGAATCCACAGACTGAGATTTAACCTTGATGATCCTGCAGACTGGCTCTGGGACAAAAGGCAAGCTGCTCACCCTCTTTGTGCCTATGAAGTGGGGATCACAAATACTCAACAGACAATACAATACACAACACCAAAAACACAGTAAGACAAATAAAATGTTTAATAAACATGCAGTACATTAAATTGTTGTAAGAAGTGGGAACTCACCATGCACATATGAGGTATAATTTGTTAAAAATTTTTCACTATAGAAACTTTAAAACACATTCAAAAGTAGGGAGAATAGCATAATGAACCCTCCAGACTCCATCTCCTAGGTACAATGATCAACTCAAGGCTTAACTTCTTTAATTTCTACCCCCATCCATTCCCCACCCACGCTGGATGACCTTGAAGCAAATCCAAGACATCACATCTGTATGTTTCCTAGGGCTGCCATAACAGATGGCTCGAAACAACAGACATTTACTCTCTCCCATCCCTGGAGGCTAGAAATCTGAGATCAAGGTGTCATAATAGTTGGTTCCTTCTGGGCGCACTGAGGAAGCATCTGCTCACACCTCTCTCCGAGCTTCTCATGGTTGCTGGCAGTCCTTGGGGTTCCTAGGCTTGTAGATGCATCACAACCTGTATCTTCATGTAGCGTTTTCCTTGTGCTGTTGCTGTGTCTCTTCTCTTCTTACAAGATGCCTGTCACAATGCATTAAGGGCCTACTCTACTCCAGTATGATCTCATCTTAACTAATTATGTCCACAATGACCTTATTTCCAAATAAGTTCACATTCTAAGGATCCAGGGAATATGTGAATTTTGAGGGTTACTATTCAATCCTCTTCAACTGGAAATATTTCTGTACATGTCTCTAAAAGAGGACTATTGCAATAAAATACAGCCACAATACAATGATCACACCTCAAAAAAGAGCCATAATTCCCTAATATCATCAGGTATCTAATCAGACATACACTTTTCAAAGTTTGTTTAAGTCAGGATCCTCATTATTTAATACGTGTCCTAAAGATCTTTTAATCTACATCACACCTACTTTTGTTTTTCCTTTGCTATATGTTTTGTTGAATAAACTGGATTGTTCATCATATAGTTTCCCATTTGAGTTTTGCTGCTTACTTTCCAGTGATATCCTCTCAAGGTGATTGATGGCTGATATGGTTTGGCTGTGTCCCCACCCAAATCTCATGTTGAATTGTGATCCTCAGTGTTGCAGGTGGGCCTGGTGGGAGGTGATTAGATCGTGGGGGTGGTTTCTAATGGTTTAGCACCATCGCCCTAGTGCTGTCTCGTGATAGAGTTCTCAGGATATCTGGTTGTTTGAAAATATGTAGCACTTCCTCCTTTTCTCTCTCTTTCTCTTTCTGTTGCTCCACCGTGTGAAGATGTGCCTGCTTCCCCTTTGCCTTCTGCCATGATTGTAATTTTCCCGAGGCCTCTCCAGCCATGCTTCCTGTACAGCCTGCATAACTATGAGTCAATTAAACCCCTTTTCTTCATAAATTACCTGGTCTCAGATAGTTCTTTATGGCAATGTGCAGACTGACACAGTGGAGTTTTAAAACATGCTGCGTGCAGTGGCTCACACCTGTAATTCCAGCAGTTTTGGAGGCTGAGGAGGGCAGATCACTTAAGGCCAGGAGTTTGAGACCAGGCTGGCCAACATGGTGAAACCCCGTCTCTACTAAAAATACAAAAATTAGCTGGGCATAGTGGTGCGCACCTGTAAACTCAACTACTTGGGAGGCTGAGGCATGAGAATCACTTGAACCCAGGAGATGGAGGTTGCAGTGTGCTGAGATTGCACCACTGCACTCCTGCCTGGGTGACAGAGTGAGACTCTGTCTCAAAAAAAAATCGTATGAATTCATGGATTTAATAATATTTGATATGTTTTAGTACATTGCAATTATTAACCTATTAATACTCAAATAGATCCATCTTTAGCCAGTTGGGCCTTCAGGTTGACTCCCGAATTATTTGTTTTTGTCTTTGACATGGCCTTAATAATCTTTGGTAGTAGCTTCCTTACTTTGTGGTATGACAAGATGTTCTAGGCTTCTCTTATATGTTTCCTACGCCAGACTCAGAAATTTAAGAAACCTTTGTTCCTTTTAGTGAGAAAAAATACTTAGAGACCACAATCTGGGCCCTAGGTATGCTGAGCACACTGAGTTAGTCATTGCTTCTAGGCCTTGTCAGTAGATAGAGCTAGAGATTCTTATTTCAGATAAAATGTATTTTTATTTTATTTTATTATTATTATACTTTAAGTTTTAGGGTACATGTGCACAATGTGCAGGTTAGTTACATATGTATACATGTGCCATGCTAGTGTGCTGCACCCATTAATTCGTCATTTAGCATTAGGTATATCTCCTAATGCTATCCATCCCCCCTCCCCCCACCCCACAACAGTCCCCAGAGTGTGATGTTCCCCTTCCTGTGTCCATGTGTTCTCATTGTTCAATTCCCACCTATGAGTGAGAATATGCAGTGTTTGGTTTTTTGTTCTTGTGATAGTTTACTGAGAATGATGATTTCCAATTTCATCCATGTCCCTACAAAGGACATGAACTCATCATTTTTTTTGGCTGCATAGTATGCCATGGTGTAAATGTGCTACATTTTCTTAATCCAGTCTATCATTGTTGGACATTTGGGTTGGTTCCAAGTCTTTGCTATTGTGAATAGTGCTGCAGTAAACATAGGTGTGCATGTGTCTTAATAGCAGCATGATTTATAGTCCTTTGGGTATATACCCAGTAATGGGATGGCTGGGTCAAATGGTATTTCTAGTTCTAGATCCCTGGGGGATTGCCACACTGACTTCCACAATGGTTGAACTAGTTTGCACTCCCACCAACAGTGTAAAAGTGTTCCCATTTCTCCACATCCTCTCCAGCATCTGTTGTTTCATGACTTTTTAATGATTGCCATTCTAACTGGTGTGAGATGGTATCTCATTGTGGTTTAGATTGGCATTTCTCTGATGGCCAGTGATGGTGAGCATTTTTTCACGTGTTTTTTGGCTGCATAAATGTCTTCTTTTGAGAAGTGTCTGTTCATGTCCTTTGCCCACTTTTTGATGGGGTTGTTTGTTTTTTTCTTGTAAATTCGTTTGAGTTCATTGTAGATTCTGGATATTAGCCCTTTGTCAGATAAGTAGGTTGCGAAAATTTTCTCCCATTTTGTAGGTTGCCTGTTCACTCTGATGGTAGTTTCTTTTGCTGTGCAGAAGCTCTTTAGTTTAATTAGATCCCATTTGTCGATTTTGGCTTTTGTTGCCATTGCTTTTGGTGTTTTAGACATGAAGTCCTTGCCCATGCCTATGTCCTGAATGGTAATGCCTAGGTTTTCTTCTAGGGTTTTTATGGTTTTAGGTCTAACGTTTAAGTCTTTAATCCATCTTGAATTAATTTTAGTATAAGGTGTAAGGAAGGGATCCAGTTTCAGCTTTCTACATATGGCTAGCCAGTTTTCCCAGCACCATTTATTAAATAGGGAATCCTTTCCCCATTTCTTGTTTTTCTCAGGTTTGTCAAAGATCAGATATTTGTAGATACGCGGCGTTATTTCTGAGGGCTCTGTTCTGTTCCATTGATCTATATCTCTGTTTTGGTACCAGTACCATGCTGTTTTGGTTACTGTAAACTTGTAGTATAGTTTGAGGTCAGGTAGCGTGATGCCTCCAGCTTCGTTCTTTTGGCTTAGGATTGACTTGGCAATGCAGGCTCTTTTTTGTTTCCATATGAACTTCAAAGTAGTTTTTTCCAATTCTGTGAAGAAAGTCATTGGTAGCTTTATGGGGACGGCATTGAATCTATAACTTACCTTGGGTAGTATGGGCATTTTCACGATATTGATTCTTCCTACCCATGAGCATGGAATGTTCTTCCATTTCTTTGTATCTTCTTTTATTTCATTGAGCAGTGGTTTGTAGTTCTCCTTGAAGAGGTCCTTCACATCCCTTGTAAGTTGGATTCCTAGGTATTTTATTCTCTTTGAAGCAATTGTGAATGGGAGTTCATTCATGATTTGGCTCTCTGTTTGTCTGTTATTGGTGTATAAGAATGCTTATACACCAATTTTTGTACACCAATGTACAAAAATCGATTTTTGTACATTGATTTTGTATCCTGAGACTTTGCTGAAGTTGCTTATCAGCTTAAGAAGATTTTGGGCTGAGACAATGGGGTTTTCTAGATATACAATCATGTCATCTGCAAACAGGGACAATTTGACTTCCTCTTTTCCTAATTGAATACCCTTTATTTCCTTCTCCTGCCTAATTGCCCTGGCCAGAACTTCCAACACTATGTTGAATAGGAGTGGTGAGAGAGGGCATCCCTGTCTTGTGCCAGTTTTCAAAGGGAATGCTTCCAGTTTTTGCCCATTCAGTATGATATTGGCTGTGGGTTTGTCATAGATAGCTCTTATTATTTTGAGATACGTCCCATCAGTACCTAATTTATTGAGCGTTTTTAGCATGAGGGGTTGTTGAATTTTGTCAAAGTCCTTTTCTGCATCTATTGATATAATCATGTGGTTTTTGTCTTTGGTTCTGTTTATGTGATGGATTACATTTATTGATTTGCATATATTGAACCAGCCTTGCATCCCAGGGATGAAGCCCACTTGATCATGGTGGATAAGCTTTTTGATGTGCTGCTGGATTCGGTTTGCCAGTATTTTATTCAGGATTTTTGCGTCAGTGTTCATCAGGGATATTGGTCTAAAATTCTCTTTTTTGGTTGTGTCTCTGCCTGGCTTTGGTATCAGGATGATGCTGGCCTCATCAAATGAGTTAGGGAGGATTCCCTCTTTTTCTATTGATTGGAATAGTTTCAGAAGGAATGGTACCAGTTCCTCCTTGTACCTCTGGTAGAATTCGGCTGTGAATCCATCTGGTCTTGGACTCTGTTTGGTTGGTAAGCTATTGATTATTGCCACAATTTCAGAGCCTGTTATTGGTCTATTCAGAGATTCAACTTCTTCCTGGTTTAGTCTTAGGAGGGTGTATGCATTGAGGAATTTATCCATTTCTTCTAGATTTTCTAGTTTATTTGCATAGAGGTGTTTGTAGTATTCTCTGATGGTAGTTTGTATTTCTGTGGGATTGGTGGTGATATCCCCTTTATCATTTTTTATTGCGTCTATTTGATTCTTCTCTCTTTTTTTCTTTATTAGTCTTGCTAGCAGTCTATCAATTTTGTTGATCCTTTCAAAAAACCAGCTCCTGGATTCATTAATTTTTTGAAGGGTTTTTTGTGTCTCTATTTCCTTCAGTTCTGCTCTGATTTTAGTTATTTCTTGCCTTCTGCTAGCTTTTGAATGTGTTTGCTCTTGCTTTTCTAGTTCTTTTAATTGTGATGTTAGGGTGTCAATTTTAGATCTTTCCTGCTTTCTCTTGTGGGCATTTAGTGCTATAAATTTCCCTCTACACACTGCTTTGAATGTGTCCCAGAGATTCTGGTATGTTGTGTCTTTGTTCTTGTTGGTTTCAAAGAACATCTTTATTTCTGCCTTAATTTCGTTATGTACCCAGTAGTCATTCAGGAGCAGGTTGTTCAGTTTCCATGTAGTTGAGCGGTTTTGAGTGAGTTTCTTAATCCTGAGTTCTAGTTTGATTGCACTGTGGTCTGAGAGATAGTTTGTTATAATTTCTGTTCTTTTACATTTGCTGAGGAGAGCTTTCCTTCCAAGTATGTGGTCAATTTTGGAATAGGTGTGGTGTGGTGCTGAAAAAAATGTATATTCTGTTGATTTGGGGTGGAGAGTTCTGTAGATGTCCATTAGGTCTGCTTGGTGCAGAGCTGAGTTCAATTCCTGGGTATCCTTGTTAACTTTCTGTCTTGTTGATCTGTCTAATGTTGACAGTGGGGTGTTAAAGTCTCCCATTATTATTGTGTGGGAGTCTAAGTCTCTTTGTAGGTCACTCAGGACTTGCTTTATGAAGCTGGGTGCTCCTGTATTGGGTGCATATATATTTAATATAGTTAGTTCTTCTTGTTGAATTGATCCCTTTACCATTATGTAATGGCCTTCTTTGTCTCTTTTGATCTTTGTTGGTTTAAAGTCTGTTTTATCAGAGACTAGGATTGCAACCCCTGCCTTTTTTTGTTTTCCATTTGCTTGGTAGATCTTCCTCCATCCTTTTATTTTGAGCCTATGTGTGTCTCTGCACGTGAGATGGGTTTCCTGAATACAGCACACTGAAGGGTCTTGACTCTTTATCCAATTTGCCAGTCTGTGTCTTTTAATTGGAGCATTTAGTCCATTTACATTTAAAGTTAATATTGTTATGTGTGAATTTGATCCTGTCATTATGATGTTAGCTGGTTATTTTGCTCATTAGTTGATGCAGTTTCTTCCTAGTCTCGATGGTCTTTACAATTTGGCTTGATTTTGCAGTGGCTGGTACCGGTTGTTCCTTTCCATGTTTAGTGCTTCCTTCAGGAGCTCTTTTAGGGCAGGCCTGGTGGTGACAAAATGTCTCAGCATTTGCTTGTCTGTAAAGTATTTTATTTCTCCTTCACTTATGAAGCTTAGTTTGGCTGGATATGAAATTCTGGGTTGACAATTCTTTTCTTTAAGAATGTCGAATATTGGCCCCTACTCTCTTCTGGCTTGTAGAGTTTCTGCCGAGAGATCCGCTGTTAGTCTGATGGGCTTTCCTTTGTGGGTAACCCAGCCTTTCTCTCTGGCTGCCCTTAACATTTTTTCCTTCATTTCAACTTTGGTGAATCTGACAATTATGTGACAATTATTGGAGTTGCTCTTCTGGAGGAGTATCTTTGTGACGTTCTCTGTATTTCCTGAATCTGAATGTTGGCCTGCCTTGCTAGATTGGGGAAGTTCTCCTGGATAATATCCTGCAGAGTGTTTTCCAACTTGGTTCCATTCTTCCCGTCACTTTCAGGTACACCAATCAGACGTAGATTTGGTCTTTTCACATAGTCCCGTATTACTTGGGGGCTTTGTTCATTTCTTTTTATTCTTTTTTCTCTAAACTTCCCTTCTCGCTTCATTTCATTCATTTCATCTTCCATCACTGATACCCTTTCTTCCAGTTGATTGCATCGGCTCCTGAGGCTTCTGCATTCTTCACGTAGTTCCCAAGCCTTGGCTTTCAGCTCCATCAGCTCCTTTAAGCACTTCTCTGTATTGGTTGTTCTAGTTATACACTCGTCTAAATTTTTTTCAAAGTTTTCAACTTCTCTGCCTTTGGTTTGAGTTTCCTCCTGTAGCTCAGAGTAGTTTGATCGTCTGAAGCCTTCTTCTCTCAACTCGTCAAAGTCATTCTCTGTCCAGCTTTGTTCCGTTGCTGGTGAGGAACTGCGTTCCTTTGGAGGAGGAGTGGCGCTCTGCTTTTTAGAGTTTCCGGTTTTTCTGCTCTGTTTTTTCCCCATCTTTGTGGTTTTATCTACTTTTGGTCTTTGATGATGGTGCTGTACAGATGGGTTTTTGGTGTGGATGGCCTTTGTTTGTTAGTTTTCCTTCTAACAGACAGGACCCTCAGCTGCAGGTCTGTTGGAGTTTGCTAGATGTCCACTCCAGACCCTATTTGCCTGGGTACCAGCAGCGGTGGCTGCAGAACAGCAGATTTTCATGAACCGTGAATGCTGCTGTCTGATGGTTCCTCTGGAAGTTTTGTCTCAGAGGAGTACCCGGCTGTGTGAGGTGTCAGTCTGCCCCTACTGGGGGGTGCCTCCCAGTTAGGCTGCTTGGGGGTCAGGGGTCAGGGACCCACTTCAGGAGGCAGTCTGCCCGTTCTCAGATCTCCAGCTGCGTGCTGGGGGAACCACTGCTCTCTTCAAAACTGTCAGACAGGGACATTTAAGTCTGCAGAGGTTAGTGCTGTCTTTTTGTTTGTCTGTGCCCTGCCCCCAGAGGTGGAGCCTACCGAGGCACGCAGGCCTTCTTGAGCTGTGGTGGGCTCCACCCAGTTCGAGCTTCCCAGCTGCTTTGTTTACCTAGGCAAGCCTGGGCAATGGCGGGCGCCCCTCCCCCAGCCTCGCTGCCACCTTGCAGTTTGATCTCAGACTGCTGTGCTAGCAATCAGTGAGACTCCATGGGTGTAGGACCCTCTGAGCCAGGTGCGGGATATAATCTCCTGGTGCGCCGTTTTTTAAGCCCTTCGGAAAAGCACAGTATTAGGGTGGGAGTGACCCGATTTTCCAGGTGCCATCTGTCACCCCTTTGTTTGACTAGGAAAGGGAATTCCCTGAGCCCTTGTGCTTCCTGAGTGAGGCAATGCCTCACCCTGCTTCGGCTCGCGCATGGTGCGCTGCACCCACTGTCCTGCTCCCACTGTCTGGCACTCCCTAGTGAGATGCACCCGGTACCTCAGATGGAAATTCAGAAGTCACCCATCTTCTGCGGCGCTCACGCTGGGAGCTGTAGACCGGAGCTGTTCCTGTTCGGCCATCTTGGCTCAACCAGATAAAATGTATTATTAGTTCTGCCAGGCATGGTGGCTCACACCTTTAATCCCAGCACTTTGGGAGGCTGAGACTTCAAGTGGGTGGATCACTTGAAGTCAGGAGTTCAAGACCAGCCTGGCCAACATGGCGAAACCCCATCTCTACTAAAAATAGAAAAATTAGCTGGGCATGGTCGTGGGTGCCTGTAATTCCAGTACTTGGGAGGCTGAGACAGGAGAATCACTTGAACCCAGGAGGCAGAGGTTGCAGTGAGCTGAGATCGCATAGCTGCACTCCAGCCTGGGTGACAAAGTGAGACTCTTGTCTCAAGAAAAAAGACTATATATATATATATACACACACACACACACACATATATATATATATGTTTATAGTAATAGTTAAAATTTAAAAATTTAGAATAAGGGGCTTTTTAAAACCACACCAATTGTACATCAATATCTCCTTTCTTTCAAGCTAAAAATCTTGCTTCTCAATGACAACAAAATACTCATCTGTTTTTCCCCACAATATGTACATAATAGTCTTAGAAAAACTATACCAACACTACAACAATCAATAATTTGATTATAGAAAAAAAGTATAAGATTATTTTTCAGTTCTTTTGTCATTAGGATATGTTCCACTAGAGATGTACTGTCAAATAACTGGGTTTTAAAGTCAGTTGTGAATCCTCACCTACCATTTCACTCACTTTCTTTGTCTTTTACTGATCATAGATATCATTTTTCTGTAAAGTGGCATTGCCCAGTGAGTGTTTTCTACCACCAGGGCAGGATACCTGACCTACAGACCCAATTCTTCAGCCACCATCAGTATTACTTAAAAAAAAAGAAGATATTATAATCAAAGAAAGTTGGCAAAGTCTTATGATGGGCTATTATGTAGCCATTCAATGTCATATTTGTGAAGAGACTGTGTTGATGTTTGAAAAAGTGTGTATGATAAAAATGGGGAAAGCAGGTTGTAAAGGTATATACCCAGGAAATGAACTCTGAAATCTGCTATCCATACAATGAAACAAAGATTAGGCATACCTTCATAAAATATAATATTTTAACATTGAATCTACCTGTTTTGCTACTGAAAAATAAAAGTCAATTGTAAAGGTACTTTCATTGCTATTATGCCACCAACTGGATACACATTTAGGCTCATTCATTTCACTTTACATTTGATTTTATGTTTTGTAAATTTTCATTTTGTTGTATGATTATATGAAATATATATTTGGTCTGAAAGTGACATCCACAAAATAAGGCCCATTCAATGAAGTCCAAATTCTGTCTCTTCCCTCTCTCTTGTATCCCTTTCTCCTCTTTCCCGTAAGTAACATTTTATTCTTTTTATTTATGGCTGCTGCACAATTTAGACAATATAAACAAATACTTATAAGCTATCATTCTCTTTTCTTTATAAAAATATAAATCTTTTAATATTAATCTAGTTTTTTTTACTACATTGTTTTTAGTTTGGTCTCTCTCTCTCACTGCTCTGCTCCCCTGACTGGTACATATTTGGTATTTAGGAAAGCTTGAAATTGTGTGTTAATGGTTACCTTTATATTAGTATCTTTACATAAAACCCTTAGTTACACCTTTTTGTGGCTATTGTCTGTTGGTTGTCTAGTAAGAGTGATGTTGAAATTAGATAGTGACAACTTCATCCCATACACTTCCAGCTTCTGATCTGAAGTCATATCTTTTTACTCCTAGTTAATACCTAAATGTAATTAGTGAGTTTATCCTCCTTTTCATACATGATCCTCATTCTCCCTCCATAGTTGAGAGATGTACATTACTTACGTTGTCAGAGTGTATAGCCATTATGTACTACACTGTCTCCTTTACAGCCACCAATCCTTATGTTGATGTCTCTCCATATATTTAGTAGATGCCTTAGGAATGTTTTAATGGAAACACATTCCTTGAGTTCTTGAATGTAGTTTTTTTAATGGCCTTTGTATTTGTGCATCAGTTTGTTTGGATATCAAATCCATGACAAGATATGAAATCATTACATTTTCTTTCCTTGTGTTGCTTAAATATGTTATGTAATTACTTTTTTGCATAAAGCATTATTGTCAAAAAGTCTGATGGTATTTTGATTTTTCTTTCCCTCAGAAGTTACTTGGTTCTTTGGCCTGGATGCCCAAAGATACTTGTCTTTTCTTTTTTAAAGACTAATTTTACTAGAATACATCACTCTAGGCCAGTATTCCTAGGTATATAGTGACATCTCATTATGTACTTTTGTAGTTTCAGGAAAGTTTTAATTTTTTTTATTTTTGCAAAGCTTTACTGAATTATAGTTTTTAGTATTTGATCTGTTTCATTTCTTTGATTTTGTTTTTCAAGGACTTATACAGTCTTGGATCTTGTCTGTCTTCTCTAATTGTCAATTTTCTCAAATTTCTTTTACCTCTTCATTTCTTTTTTATTTAAAAAATGTCCTGCCTTCCTTCTTATATTTCTCTTAAGGCATGCTTTTGTGTTACTTATAGCTTGGTCTTTATTTCTGAAATAAAATTTTCTTTCGTTTCTAAGTACTAATCACCTCCTTTTTATATCTTTTTTTTCATCACCTAATTTATGAGTTTTTCTAATTCTTACTTGTTTCATAGATTCTATTATTTTCCTCCTTTTCGTTTTTAAAATAGTAGGTTACAGTTCACTCTAATTGCCCAAAGGGATGTTGTTCTGATCCTTATTCATATTTTCCTTAGAATAACTTTGAATGAAATCAACTATAATCCCCCCTCCCCAGCTTTTGTTGGTCATTTCTTTAAGTAAAATGAGTTTCCTTGTACTTTTGCACAAGAATTGAGGGAAGACTGGGCCAGAATAGTATTTTTAGAATCATGGCTTTGGAGCTTTCTCTTGTGTTGTTATTTGTGAAGTGATCAAAACTTTCTGAGATCTGAGACCCCCCATCACCTGCTTTTAACTGGGCTTTGTCTTTGCATTTCCCAATTGTTGTTATTCTGTTTGATTTGGACTCTGCTCTTAGCAGTTTCTCTTCAGAGTGGGGCTTTCTCTTGGAAGAGAATTTTAGTTTATTATTTTTGAGAGTTTACAGAACCCAAACTGTTTAAGCACATCCAAATTTTAAATCTCACTGTGGTCTCCTTGGACATACTTGCAAATTGTAGCTTTGCAGAACCCCTTTCCAGTTTTGGTTACCAATCTCAGGATTTTGGTATTGCTATTCTTGTTGCTTTGCATGTTCTTATGAAAGCATACTGTTATGACTGCCATCTCTCTATAATCCCCTCACTGTAGTTTAGCATTCCTCTTATTATAAACTGAGTGTGTTTTCTATATATTTAAGAGGCATTTTGCATTCCTTTCACTGTGAACTGTGTGTTTATATAGCTCTCTAGCCTATTTTTCTTTCTTAAAAATTCAGATAAAATTCACATAAAAAGTAATTGTTTTCTTAATCTTATTGTAAGTTTGTTCCTTGCTAGTATATAGAAACACAGTTGCTTTTTATATATTCATCGTATATCAAGGATTTTTAATATGAGATCACTTCATCGCTGAACAGAGATAGCTTTACTTCTTTTCTAAAGTGAATGCCTTTTATTCACTTTTCTTGCCCAATTGCCCTGGCTAGGACTTCCATTACAGTACTGTATTAAATATAATTATGGCTATCCCTATCTTCTTCCTGATTATAGGGGGATGTTTTCAGTCTTTTACCATTAAGTATGATGATGGTGTAGGTTTTTATAGATGTCCTTTATTAGGTTGAGGAAGTTCTTGTCTATTTTTAGTTTATTTTTTATTTTTATTTTTTAGATCGTGAAAGGGTGCTGAATTTGGTCAAATGCTTTTTCTGAATTCATTGATATGGTTATGTTATTTTTGTTTTTTATTCAATTGATATAATGTATTACAATTATATAATGTATTACAAATTATCAATTTTATTCAATTGATATTAACGTATTGATTTTTTTTTTTGTCTGTTGAACCAACCTTTATTTCTGGGATACATCCCACTTGACCATGGTATATAATCCTTTCCATATGCTGTTGGATTCAGCTTTCCAGTATTTCACTGAGGATTTTTGCATGTGTATTCATAAGAGACATTGGTTGGTAGTTATCTTTTTTTGTAGTGTCTTTGTCTTTGTTACTTTGGCCTTATAGAATGAGTTGGAAAGTGTTCCATCCTCTTCTATTTTTTGGAAGAGTTTGAGAAAGATTGGTGTTAATTCTTCTTAAACATTTTGTAGAATTAATCAGTGAAGACATTTAGTCCTGTCCTTGTTGGAAATACTTTGATCACTGATTAAATCTCTTTACTTGTTATAGGTCTATTCAGATTTTCTATTTCTTCTTGAGTTAGTTATGGTAGTTTGTGTGTTTCTAGAAATTTTTTCATTTATCTAATTTGCCGACATATAATTATTCATAATATCATTTTATAGTCCTTTTTATTTCTGTAAGGTTGATAGCAATGTGTCCTCTTTCATTCGTGATTTTAGTTTTCTCTTTTTCTTCATCAGTCTAGCTAAAAGTTTTTCAATTTCTTTGTATTTTTAAAGAACTAACTTTTGGTCTTTTGATTGTCTCTGTTGTTTTTCTATGTTCTACTTTGTTTATGCCTGATTTAATCTTTATTACTGGCTTCCTTCCTTGCTTTGGGCTTATTTTGCTTTTCTTTTTCTAGTTCCTTAAAGTAGAAAATTAAGCTATTCATCTGAGATCTTACCCTTTTGAAAAGCAGGCCTTTAAAGCCATGAATTACCATGTGAGCACTGCTTCTGCTGCATCTCATAGGTTTTGCTATTGTATTTTTGTTTTCATTCATCTCAATGTATTTTCTAATTTTTCTTGAGATTTCTTCCTTGACTCATTGGTTCTTTAGAAGTGTGGTATTTAATTTCCACATATTTGTGAATTCTTCAAATTTCCTTCTATTGTTGATTTTCAATTTTATTCCATTGTGGTTGGGGAGCATATTTTGTATAATTTCAATATTTTAAAATTTACTGAATCTGTTTTGTGGCCTAAAATATGGTCTATCCTTGAGAATAATCCATGTACTCTTGAGAAAAATGTGTATTTTGCTGTTTCTGAGTGAAATGTTTCATAGATATCAGTTTAAATCTAGTTGATTTATACTGCTGTTTTGGTCATTTTTTTCCCTGTTGGTCTTCTGTCAAGTCATTCTATTATTAAAAGTGAGGTAGGAAAGTTTCCAACTATTGTTGTTGAACCATTGATTTTTCCTTTTAATTCTGTCAATTTTTGTTTTTTTGTGTTTTAGGGCACCATTGTTATACACATATATGCTTGTAATTGTTACATTGTATTGATGTATTGATCATATTCCCATTATATAAAGTCCTTTGTCACTGTGACACTTTTGATCTTGAAGTCTATTCTGTCTGATACTAGTATACTCATTTTAACTCTGTTTGCAAATAATATGTTTTTCTGTCTTTTGACTTTCAACCTGTGTTTGCCTTTCAAACTAAGTGAATCTGTTGTATATAGCAAATAGGTGTATCATGCTTTTTAGTATCCATTCTGCCAACCTCTGCCTTTCCATTCAATAGTTTAATCTTTACATTTAATGTAATTATTAATAAGGAAACATACCTTTCTGCCATTTTTCTATTGGCTTTCTAGTTGGATTATCTATTTTTATTCCTTAATTCCTCAATTACTGCTGTTTTGTGTGTTAAATATATATTTTCTAGGGCACCATTTAAAAATATCCTAATTTTTCTTTTCTTTTTGAAAGATAATTTGGCTAGAATTCTTGGTTGACATCTTTTTCTTTTAGTACTTTGAATACATCATCCCACTGCCTTCTGGCCTCCATGGTCTAATGAGAAATTGTTTTATTTAGAACACCTTGTATGTGGTGAGTTGCTTCTTTCTTGTTTTCAAGATTTACTCTTCAACTTTCAATAATGATGTGTTTGATTTGTGTCTTGGTATATATCTCTTTGAGTTTATCGTAATTGGACTTTGTTGGCTTCTTAGATGTGGAGATTAATGTTTTTCATCAAATTTAGGAAGATTTGGCCAATATTTTTTCAATTATTCTGTCTTTCCTTTCATCTCTCTCCTGATACTCCTTTTATGCATTTATTGGTATGCTTGATGGTGTCCAAAATGTTTCTCAGACTCTTTCCTTTTTCTTTCTGTTCTTCAGATTGGGTAATCTCAATTGACCTATCTTCCAGTTTACTGATTTTTTGTTTTGTTTGAAATAATTTGCTGTTGAACCTCCATTGTAAAACTTTAAGTTTCATTATTGTACTTTTTAACTCCAGAATTTTGATTTGGTTCCTTTTAATAATTTCTATCTCTTTATTGATATTCTTTAATTGGAAAGACGTTGTTTTCATGCTTTCATTTAGTTCTTTATGCATGGTTTTCCTTAGCTCCTTAAAGATATTTAAACAGCTGATTTAAAATCTTCTTCTAGGTACTGAGCTACCTCAGGGACAATTTCTACTGATATATTCCCAACTGTGTATGGACCATACTTTCTTGTTTCTTTGCATACTTTATAATTTTTTTGTTGGACACTGGAAATTTTTCATATTATAATGTGAGGATTCTGGAAATCAGACTCTTCATCTTTCCCACAGTTTCTTGTTTCTACATGTTGCAGTTATTGTTTTTAGTGGTTTTCCTGAACTAATTTTTTAGAAGTCTGTGTTTGTATCACTTGTGACCACAAAAGTGTATGTTCTGTTACCTTAGTGTTCAGCTAATGGTTGGATACAGAGTTCCTTACATGTTTTGAAATAAAAAAACTCCCAGTCTTTGTAGAGGGGCACTATGTGTGTGTTGGGGTACAACTTCAATAAACAGCTTTGTTTTAGTCCTCACTTTCTGCTTGTGCGGAGAGGAAAGTCAGTCAGAGGCAAGAGCTTAAGGTGTGTTTAGGTCTTTTCGGAACACGTGCCCCGTCCTGTTTGGGTGTGGTCTTCTAGATTACTAGAAATATGTTGGAGCTTTTTGAAGACCTTATTCCCCAATACATATAATTCCTCAGCCTTTTCTTCTAAGCTTTTTTGTTAGTCTATTGTTTGCCCCAACTGTTATCCATTGCTTCGCGTAGCAGCAACTAAAACATTTTTGCCTGTAAATGTTTTTGATAAATGTCCCTTGGGTAGCAGTTATAGTGCTCAGTGAGTACCAGTTGGGTGATCAATCTGTTCTCTCACTTGTTTCTGGATTTTGAGTCACAGTGAGAAAAATTTTCCCTCTCTATAATTCTAGAGCAATTTACCAATGTTTTCTTATGGTATTTGTATAGATTTGTTTTACATTTAAGCCTCTGATCCATTTAGGTTTTAGCATAGTGTGTGGTGGGAGAAATGTATCCAATTTTATATCTTTCATACGGCTATCTAGTTATCCTCTCTGCACTTACTATCTTTTCCTACTGATTTGAGATGCCTGCTTTATAATGTACCAAATTCCTATGTGCAGTTAGTTCTAAGTTGATTTTCTATTCTGTTCCATTTGTTTCTCTAGTTGTGTGCTGATACGACACCGTTTTTCATTATAGAGGCTTTATCATGAAAAAAGTATTGTACTCCCCAAATTATTTTACTTTTTTAGTTTTTTTTCTTCTTCTGGTTATTCTTGCTTGTTTGCTTTCCAAATGAACCTTGTAATAAACTTGCTTTGTGCCAGAAAAAAAATATGATGATACAGATGGTCCCTGGCTTACAGTGGTTCAACTTACATTTTTTGACTTTACAATGGTGTGAAAGCAATACACATTCAGTAGAAACCGTACTTCTAACTTTGAATTTTGAACTCCTAGACTAGCAATATGCAATGAGCTGAAGCTCCCAGTCAGCCATGTGATCATGAGGGTAAACACTCCATACTCTACACTGTACTACTGTGTTGCCAGTGTTTTTTGGATATTGTGGTTTGTGTTTTTGCATCCCATCATGTCTACAAAACATTCATTTTTATTTTTGTTTTATTTTCCCTCCATTTCCTGGTGATGAGACAAAATATCCATTTTTGACTTACAATATTTTCAAATTACAATAGGTTTATCTGGATGAAACCCCATCATAAGTCAAATCTGTATTTTATACTGGGAGTGTGTTTTGTGTATGTATTATCTTCATAAGATCTGATATGCCAAAACATATGTCTCTGAATTTCTTCAAGTATGCTTTTGGAACTTTAAGGGGTATTTTGTAGTTTTCCTCATAGAGGTTTTGGGCATTTCTTATTACATTTGCACATAGGTATTTTATTTCATATTTTGATGTCATAGATAGGGGCATTTTCTTCTACTTAACTGATTTTTGTTTCTATATATGAAACCTCTTAATTTTATAATCTGCTATTTTACTGTGATTTCTAGTAGTTTTCCCATTGATTCTTAGGGTTTTCCAGATATAAAAAGTATCAGCTGCTGGGAAATATATTTGATGGCTTTGCAAGAATTGTGAAAACCCCATGTTAACAAAGTTCTGGGAGTTGGTATTCAGTAATAAGACCCATTAATCAAGTTATTCTCTCACATGCTTCAGCATTTTCTAAGATGTTACTTTGATTTTAGGCCTAGATCAGCCTCTTGCAAATATAATTTGTGTTTTCTTTTGAGACAAGGTCTCACTCTGTGACCCAGGCTGGAGTGCAGTGGTGTGATCACAGCTCACCGAAGCCTAGACCTCCCAGACTCAGGTGATCCTCTCACCTCAGCCTCCCGAATAGCTGGGACTACAGGTGTGCACCACAACGCCCAGCTAATTTTTGTATTTTTTGTAGAGATGGGTTTCACCATGTTGCCCAGGCTGGTCTTGAACTCCTGGGCTCAAGCAATCTGCCTGTCTCAGCCTCTCAAAGTGCTAGGATTATAGGCGTGCAACACCGTGCCTGGCTGCAAACAGAATTTTTAAAGTAGCATTATCACAACTATCTTTGTCTGGGTTGCTATAATAAACTACCATCAATTGGTGGCTTATAAACAACAGAATTTTATTTCTCACAGTTCTTTAAGTCAGGAAGTCCAAGATCAAGGCTCTGGCAGTTTCAGTGTCTGATAGGGGCCTTTTTTTCTGGTTTGTAGATGGTGCCTTCAAGCTGTGTCCTCACATGGTGGGTGGGGCAAGGCAGTTATCAGGGGCCTCTTCCCCACCCCCCATCACCTGCACCCCCCACCCCGAGATAGAGTCTTGCTCTGTCACCCAGGCTAGAGTGCAGTGGCATAATCTCGGCTCACTGCGACCTCCGCCTCCAGGGTTCAAGGAATTCTACTGCCTCAGCCTCCCGAGTAGCTGGGATTACAGATGCCCGCCACCACACTTGGTTAATTTTTATATTTTTAGTAGAGACGGGGTTTCACCATGTTGGCCAAGCTGGTCTCGAACTCCTGACCTTGTGATCCACCTGCCTTGGCCTCCCAAAGTGCTGGGATTCGGGGGCCTCTTTTATAAGGGCACTAATTCCACTCATGAGGGCTCTGCCCTTATGATTTGATTACCTCCCCAAAGCTCCACCTCCTAATGCCATCATATTGGTGACTGGGTTTCAGTGTATACATTTTGGGGGCACTCAAACATTCAGAACATGGCAATGACTCCTTATATCCTCAAAGACACATATGTACACAGTCATACATGATCATCTATTTTGCTTTTGAGAAATAAATGTATGTATGGGGCTGAATATATTCTACCTCATGAGGTCAAGTTAGTGCAGTATTTTTGAAAATGCTACGAAACCCTTCACCTATAATTTGTCAAAGCTGAGGTAATAGTTCCTTAAATTTTGCTAACATTCTTTTAAATGCAATTTTGTGCCTATCTTTGCTTTTTAATCATAGTAATCCTATGTCACTACATGAGAGTTTGCTATCCCATTCTAATTCTGAGAAAACAGAGGCTCAGAGGCTAGTCACCTAGCTAGGAGTGGAGCAGAAATCAGAACTCAAATTTCCGAAGTCTTAATGTTCATTCTTTCCAACATCTTAAATACCTGCAAATCCTGCTGCTGCTCTTACAGCCCATTTCTTACCTGTCCTCAGAGGAATCAGAAAACAGCTGCTCAGCATCCTCTATTATAATATTCCTTCGTTTGCATGAATTCTGCGATTTTGTTCCCTTCCAGCTTCCCCTTCAGCAGATTAAATAGCCCTGATTCTGTTCCTTGTAGAGTTTATCTTCCAACTCTTTTGTCAGTTTTAACAAAGAGGTTGTGACCCTTGGGTTCCTGCTCAACAGAGATCTTCCTCATTATTTTGTAACCTTTATACCTCCTTCCAGGGAGAGTTAAATAAAGCCTGTGGATTTTTGATCTGAATGTCTGGCAGGCGCACGCTCACACAGAAAGGTTTCCAGCAGGGCTTGCTGATGAAAACCTCACTCCAACTACGGAGTCTCATTCATGGCAAATGAAAGGTGGTGGCACCTCTCCTTATCCCCAAACCCACAAATGGGAACGGTGAAGGTCCAAATTCCAGAGCAAGTCCCATTTTGGCAGGAAGAGAGGTTTTAATGAGAATATTTAGAAACTAGGAACTGCTGGCTAATTACTTTGGGTGAACAATTCTTCTTTGGAAAGGCACCATCCTTTCAGCTTGCTAATCATGTGTAAAAATTACTCCTGACCCACAATTTCATTATAGCACCTGAACCAGCCTGAAAATTGGAGAAATTAAATGGCATAAAATAGAAGCAATAAAAAGAAGAATAAACCTTGAACATTAACAGCTACACAGTGTTCTGGATGCTAAAGCACAAAGCATGTCAAACACACTTCAGTGGATTTTAAGAAATCCACCAGATGCCACTTGTCCTTCAGCATCCTAGGGCTCTCTTCCTAGCCTCTTCTCTCTGTACCCACAAAAAAGGTGCCCGATTTGGATAATGACAGGGTGCTTTTTATCTTCCATAAACTACTACTTGCTTTTTCGCCTTCGGGGAGTGACACGTGGCTGATATCACTGTCTTTCAGAGGAAATTGATTCATGAGTCAGAGAAATGGGTTCAAGTCAGCCTTTCATGGATGACACCAACATCTGTTATGAAGGGAACCTTCACAGACCTTTGATAAAAGGAAGCTGTGGTACAGTGGAGAAGGCACTGCTTGGGAATAAAATGGCCTCAGTTGGAATTTTTGCTCTGCCATTAAATAGCTGGATACCTCAAGAAGAACTTCTCTGAGCCTCTAAATCAGAGTTGCAAACTGGATCTGGCCTGTGCATCGGTTTTCACCTGCAGACATCTTTATTTTGGCTAACAAAATGTTTTCTTTTTTTTCCATAGTCCCCACCACTCCCTGGAGGTCAGACTTAGCTGGCTTCACACTTTGACATCACCCACCTGGCCCCCTAGTTTGCCATCGCTCATCTCTGCGATAAGTCTTCTTAGAATAAATGTATCTATGTTTCCCTAGTTTGCTGTTTCTCACTTGAGGTTATAGTTTCCTGAAGTCAGGAAACTATTTAACTTATTTTCTTCTAGCACAATATTAAGGGCAAATTAGCACTTAATAATTACTCATTGATAACGTTTGTGTGTGTTAACATATACCCTCTTTTTCCCCTTGTTCTTTCTCGCCTTTCTGGGAAAACCTAACAGTGGTTAGAAAGCATGTTTGGGGACTGGGCGCAGTGGCTCACACTGTAATCCCAGCACTTTGGGAGGCCGAGGCGGGTGGATCACGAGGTCAGGAGATTGAGACTATCATAACTAACACAGTGAAATCCCGTCTCTACTAAAAGTACAAAAAATTAGCTGGGCATGGTGGCACATGCCTATAGTCCCAGCTACTCGGGAGGCTGAGGCAGGAGAATCGCTTGAACCCAGGAGGCGGAGGTTGCAGTGAGCCGAGATCACGCCACTGCACTCCAGCCTGGGCAACGGAGCGAGGCTCCATATAAAAAAAAAAAAGAATGAACGCGTGTTTGGGGAATGGTCATAAGGTCAGATTTTATTTTATTTGCACTTTCCCTGCTCCAATTTGGACTTTTCATATATTTAGATCCACAAATGCACAGGTATCTGTGTTTGGAAGGAAATTGTTTTGGGCTCTTTTTGTTAATTGATGCTAGCACATTGGGGATTGTGATGAAAGGAGACTAGATGTACAAGTAGAGCAGAGATGATCCCAGAGGTTATCTTGCTCAACACCTTTGTTTTGCAGAGGGAACAACTGAGCCCCAGATAGGGCAAGTGCCTTGCTTTGAACCCCACCCCGAGGGCTAGAGCCCAGTACTCCCTCTGTTGAGCTCCAGCTTCTATGTCTCATCCACTCGAAAGAGGCTGCATTCTGCTTGGGTCTTGGCTCAAGACATTCATGTAAAGCTAATTAAATCTTTTAAATTGAATACCTATACTGAGTTGCTAAATTGCATTTTTAAAAATGGAGGTAGTGATGTGTTCTTGTAGAACTAAAAATCTGTAGGCTAAGTTTATTTTCTCAAAAGATTTATGAGTCGAGTCACAGAAACCAGATGATTAAAGAATGTAAAGATTAATTCAATTATCATAAAATTCTGAGTATTTAATCACATTTTGAGATAATCATTTATTTATGGTAAATGCTTTTTGCTTCCATTTTCCTTTATTTTATTTAGTATGAATTATTTTATTGTTCCCAAGAGGATATAACTTTACAATAAGTTAAAATGTTACATTGCGTTTTCTTTTATAGCATGGAATTCAATTATATTGCATCTAATTCACTTGTGTTCACTTAAAGGCTGGATTTTTTAGGTGTTTTTCAAGTTACTAGAAATATAACTTCTCCTTTTCCTCATTCTCTTTTCCTTTCCTTTCTCTCTTCTTTTTCTTTATTCTTCTTCTTTCTCCTAAAATAAATCCTTTATCATTCTCTCCTGCTGGCAAAGGTCTACAAAGATGTAGCATATGAGAGCCAGAAGGGGCTGTAGAGATTCTCTTGTCAGGGGTTCCTGACCTGTGGTTCACCCATACATGTGAAGTCCTAGGTGGGCTTTGGTGAGAAGCCCAAGAACTTTGAAATTGTATGCAAAATTTTGTGTTCATATGCACTTCTCTGGGAAGAGGGTCTGTTGGCTTCATCACATTCTCAGAGGGGTCCTTAACCCTAAAGGTTAAGTAAGAGTCACTGATGAGTAGAACAATCCCTCTAGAAATCCAAATAACTCATTCAGGATCACATGACTATTTGGTGACAGAACCAGGAGTAGAAAGTAAGTCTTTTGGATTCCAACACAAGGTTTATTCTGTTACACCAAGAAAGCAGTTTTAATGAAGTTTTATATATAGTTGTTATGGCTCCTTAACCATATTTCATGGATGGCCTAGGAATTAGAAAAAATTTACTTATAAAATCAGATTAATTAAAACATCTTAACCAACACAGAACAAAATGCTTTATAAATTCCAAGGGCTTTAATTCCTTTCATATAAAATTTCACACACTCTGAGTATGTCTGATATATAACTGCATACAAATAGAGAGAGAGAGTATGTTGGAGTGGGAAAAGGAGAGAAAACTTCCAAATTAGCAAGTGTTTTCTCCTTCCTAACTCATGGGGATACCCTTCCTTGGAAGTACCCAGGATTTCTTGAAATCCCCAGAGTATACATTCTGCTATGTCTTTCTCGTCTATTCAAAAAAAGTGTAACCGAATGCAAGGGAGAATGAAGCCCTTAACAATTGCGACACCCCGATAACTGACTGTGAAGCCATAAGGACGCTGGGCACCACTGCCAGGAACCACAGTCCCACAGAGCACTCTCTTGTAAAGCCTGCAGCCACCCATCCCCTGGTCTAATAAGCCAGAAGAAGACAGTGCTTTCTGCGGTACTTTCTATCAACTCCTCTTCTACCACTCCTCATGGCCACCTAATCCTGCCTGGGTGCTATGAGCCTTCCCTGTGGGCTGCGTGACCAGGAAGGATCTATGATCCTGGTCTTCACACTCCATTTTAGCAGTTTCATCAGGTAGTAGAGATTTCCAGCTTCATTGTCCACATTAACGTAAATTGTCTTCCTTTCAGGCACAAAGATCAACTCCTTCTCAAATGCTCTGATCATGGCCAGCTCATTGATTGTTAACGACTATGAATGGATATTAAAATTCGCCTCTGAACCTCTGTTTAGTCGTCAATATGCAGAGAGAGGCTTTCCCCCCTCCTCCGATGGTAATAAAGATGATGATTTAATCTTTCTTTCTCATGCTCTAATAGGATGGAGACGAATCATGCCGGGGCAGTTTAATCACATTTGTCATAATACAGACTGTCATTCTTTGGATTCTGTTTTATTAGCAGCATTTAAAGATCTACAGCAACTCAGATTGCTGCTCAGTTGGCCTAACAGTATGACATCTATTTCCAAAAAAAAGAAAAGAAAAAAAAAGGGATGAAAATAAAGGAAAGAAAGGAAGGAAGGAAACTAGGAAGAAAGGAAGAAAGAAAAAGTTAACTAAGCCTGTGAAAGAGGCTGTTTGAAGCACGGGGCCAGGCTAAGGTCTGCTTGAGAGGGTTCCAGGAGCCAAGGCTTGGGCCCAGAGAGGAGTGGCAGGAGGAGGCTGCCTTTGAGGCTGAGCCGCTGACCACACACCCTGAGTGATGGGCTCCTGAGACCTTAGGTGTGTGTGCCCCAGGGAGGACACTGAAGTTAGGTCTTCTCTAGAGCTTTCAAGTCTGGACTTTTTCCTGCTGCGGTTTCCCCCCTCTGCCCACATAGATCCCAGGGTTATTGGACCTCCATGACTTATGTTTTGAGTGGGTCTTGACACTGCTGAGCTCCTCAGATCCACCCTTTCCCTCAGCAATGAGATGATCAGGTGATTTTGCTGCTGCTTTTTCCCCACTGGATTCACCATCTCTCTCTGGGCTGTCAGGAGCAGGCAGTGAGTTTTGGCAAGATTAAGACCTCAGCAGCCCACAGAGGAATGTCTGTCAACTGTCTGGATAGGAAAATTCACCAAACCTTAGGCTATGGTGGCAACCGTGTGGCATCATGTTCTGGAGCACACAGCACTTGGTGGCAGCACACTATTCTCAGAGGGTAGAAGGGATGAGTTTTTAATACATCATGACCATTATTTGGTCTGTGAGAAAGACCATCTGCCAGGATCCATTTCCTAGGTGGAGGGAGGGAGAAGGATGCTATGTAGCAGGCAAGTTTCACAGATGTATTTCCTCGGCCATTAACTTAGAGTCTGGGTTCAAAAATTAGATATCACCCTGTGAGCCTCCCAGTATGTGAGTGGCCATTATGATATATGAATAAATCTAAACCTCTCATGGTAGAAACTTCTTTGATTGACTTTTATACATTTTTTGGCAGAAGCTTCTTTAAGTGCTTTTCAGACTTTTTTTTCATTAAGATGGAAAAGAATTTTAGATTATCTAGCGGCAATGGTGTGTATGCGTGTGTATGTGTGTGTGTGTACGTGTGTGTGTGTGTGTGTGTGTGTAGAGTTTTTGATCTTGATATTGAAAGAGTGACAGTCCTATAGTCTTTCAGGGGCAGTGGTTGGGAGGAAGGCTTGTAAATAGGCAGACTTCTAGTTTATTTCTTACCAAACTGTCTGTACAAAGACCCAGTACAATATGAACATTCATATCAGCACCCAAAACTAGACAACCCATGTTAGTCCATTCGGGCTGCTGTAACATAAATACCAAACAAAATACTGGATGGCTTTATAAACAACAGAAATTTATTTCTCACAGTCTTGGAGGCTGGGAAGTCCAAGGTCAAGGTGCCAGCAGATTCAGTGTCTGACTAGGGTTTGTTTCCTAATTCGTAGAGGATGCCTTCTCACTGGGTCTTCACCTGGTGGAAGGGGCAAGGGGCTTCCTGGGCCTCTTTTATAAAGGTGCTAATCCATTCATGATGGCTCTGTCCTCATGACCTAATGACCTCCCAAAGGCCACACCTCCTAATACGATCACTTTGTGGGTTAGGATTTCAACATGAATTTTGAGGAGAGATAAGTAATCAGTTCACTACACAACCCAATGACAGAATCTGGAAGGGACTCGCTGTAATTTTAAGGCAAATGGGATTGGGCTAGGAAAAATCTACTAAAGCTTTAGGTTTTTTTTTCCAAAGCAGACTGAAAAAAAAAAGTCAAGAGATATTGCATGTCTTCCTACAATTTGTCCTCTCACTAAAAGAACAGGTCCTATGTAAATTGAAAATGATCAGTTTTACCTTTTGGGTACCCCTCTTTGAGGCTGGAAAAAATTTTTTTTCCCTCCCAGGTGCCTCCCTTACCATCTTTCTACATATAGACAGAGACTAAAAAAAAAATCTCAAAATCATTTGAGCATATGTGTGAGTGCATGTGTGTGAGAGAGCATGAACATGTAGGTACAATAGCACTATATATTCTGGGAGATGTAGTCTCCATGAATAAAGCACTAGGTTGGGAGCAGAGACATGAAGACATTGGCAGAATTCCAGTCTCTCATGAACTCTGTTAGTTCAAGTATAAGGGAACAAGGAAGAAGATGTATGTAGATACCTCCGCAGTCAGTCAAAGGATTATTAATGAAAACTTTCACGGAACTGAGAATTAGCCTGAGAAACTGGCATATTACACTGTCTTTTGACAAACTCTGTTTAGAGAGATGCTTCATTCAAGGAAGACAGAATGATAACATGGGGCACATAAAAATATTGTGGTGAGCAAAGGAAAGGATATAATATCTGGGCAATTCAGAGGAAAATCATACCTTTCAAATTGTCACAGGCTGGGCACAGTGGCTCATGCCTGTAAGCCTAGCACTTTGGGAGTCTGAGGTGGGCGGATCACAAGATCAGGAGTTTGAGACCATCCTGGCTAACACGGTGAAACCCTGTTTCTACTAAAAATACACAAAATTAGCCGGGCATGGTGGCGGGCGCCTGTAGCCCCAGCTACTTGGGAGGCTGAGGCAGGAGAATGGCATGAACCCGGGAGGCGGAGGTTGCAGTGAGCCGAGATTGCGCCACTGCACTCCAGCCTGGGCGACAGAGCGAGACTCCGTCTCAAAAAAAAAAAAAAAAAAAAAAAAAAGAAAAAGGTCACCACAGAACACAGCACAGAAGAAAATTTCACAAAGATTTTTTTGAACTTCCTTAAAATATGAATCAGGGGAGGAAGTCAAAAGTAAAAAACAGCTGGAACAAAGAGGCCATTGGGCAAGATGAAAAAGGATTTAGATGAATCAAGAGATTGACTCATAGCTAGAAGGCAACTGCAGAATTAACAACTACATTAAAGGCAGCAAAAGCAGAATTGGGGTGAAAAAAAGCAGAGTGCAGATGTCCTACAATCGCAAGAGATTTTATTAATAATCTAGATTTTAAACCAGATAAATGTAAAAATTAAAGTGGATGGAAGATATGGAGAATGTACTTAATTCTTTATATCTAATAGGTGAAACTGAAAAAAATACAATTATCTATTAGTTCTGAAAGAGATCTATGGTTAAAGAATTAATTTCAGAAACTTAAAGTTATTTAGTGGAATTAAAAAGCTGATTTTCAAAACCCTGGATAATATAAAAACCAACCAAATAAACATAACACACACACACACACACACACACACACACACACACAAAGAATCTAGAGAGTAAAACATAAAACATAGAATAGGAAATAAATTATCCTTACTTAAAGAAATAGGTTCCATGTTCTCATGTTAGGTCGAAAAACATCATCCAACTTCGTACTGTTGAGAAGCAATAGATCTAAAACAAAGTGAAGCAAATGTTTAAATATAAAAGGATAGGTATATAATGATAATATAAAAACAAAGAAGGAATGTAAATATGAGGTAGAATATAAGGAACAAATTAAACAAGATTACGAGGCATTTTATATTGATAAAATAATATTTTGCCAAAAATATATAACTGTCTTGAACCTTTATGAACTAAATAATATTGCTTTAAAATACACAAAACAATTGCTGTTGGAAGTAGAAAGAGAATTCAAACATCAATAATAAAAGTTACTTTGTAACATATAATTGCTATTGTAGAATTTACAATGAATAATTCTGGAATTTATGTATAAAATTTGGTTTGTGAATATAAATAAAAAAACTTTTCCAGCATCCATGAAAACATAATTAAAACTACTTCAAATAGATCAAAAAAAGTAAGCAAATTTTCCAAAAACTAAAAATTAATAAAACAGAAAATTTAAACAATTGTAGAAATTATAAAACACTTCTTTAAATAACTTTTGAGTCTAAATGGAAATAAAAACTGCAAGTACAGATGGAGGAAATAAGCATCATCCCAGAGCCTCATTATACCCTTAATTAGAATGTTCCATTTAGGAATTTATGGAATCTTTTCTCTGCATATCATTAAGAAAATACTAGAACAACTATTCTTAGAATGGATTATGTAAGATTTCTTATAGGCAATGGTTATTCTGAGGTTTCTAAATATATCTTCTTCTTCTTTTTTTTTTTTTTGAGGTGGGGCCTCACTCTGTCTCCCAGGCTGGCGTGCAGTGATGCCACCAGGGCTCTCAACGTCCTGGGCTCAGGCGATCCTCCCACCTCAGCCTCCTGAGTAGTTTGCACTACAGACATGCACCACCACGCTTGGCTAATTTTTACTTTGTATATTTCATAGAGACAGGGTTTCACCATGTTGCCCAGGCTGGTCTCAAATTCCTGCACTCAAGGGATCCTTCTGCCTTGGCCTCTCAAAGTGCTGGGATTACAGGTGTGAGCCACCCTGCCTGGCTGTAAATAGATCTTCTAACTTTATGAGGAGGCAGAGTTGCCCCCTCCCCCAATTAAAAAATTATTTCTTTCAATGTGAAAGCAAAATAAAAAACAAAATTTAATTTCCTAAATAAGCAAGAAAAAAACCAAAAAAACCCAAAAAAAAACCCCAAACAATAAAACAAAATAAAACACCCAATTAAAAAAAAAACCACACACACAACAAACTGAAACAAAATAAGATACCACCACCACCACCAATATCTTTGTGATCTGGCACAGTGCAAGAACATTTTCCAATCCACACCCTGTCCAAGTCTCCAGTATGTCATCATCCCACCACTCTCTGATTATTTCACTCATTTAAATGACCTGTGTGGCTCTGTGCATTTGAGTTTGCAATCCTTGATAAAGGCTAAGAGTTGAAGAACTTAGATTCTTATTATCTTCTTTTGGGTTAACAGCTATTATGCAGGAGTTTGCACTCACTGAGCCTGCTGGTGGCAGGGCTGGGGCAATCACCCCAGGTGCAAAATAAGTTCAGTCGAAGTCTGTATTGGGAAGGCTGCAGCAGGGCTCTGTCAAAATTCTGAGGAAGGATCACTGTCCAATCTTGACTGTGAGAAGAGTTAACTACGTCTTCCTAAAGCAAAATAGAGAAATGGAAAAATGATTAAGGAATGATTGATAGTAGTTGTAGATTTATTAGAATAGTTTAAATAAGATTTCTTATAGGCCATGGCATTCTAAGTTTCTAAATATATTTTCTAGGTCTACTTCATTCCTAAGTGTTTTGCATTCATTCATTTATACTCATCTCATTCCAAAAAGGATTTGAGGCAGTTGGTAAGGTTGTGGCATATTAATAGATGGGGAATGGTCAGCCCCAGGGACAAGCAAAAGAGAAGTTTAAGATCAATAATAAGACTGGCTAAATGTCAGTCTGCTTTTTATTATCACGTGCACTGGCAATTCTAAACAATGTCAGTGATAAAATATTCCTCCTTGCCGAGATAGACCACTTCACTATTTGTTTTAAATACAGAGAATATTTGTATCTATTTAAAATAGGTGTTTGTATTTATTTTAAATTGCATTTCAAAATTGTGTATCATTTCATATAAATTGGAATATAGTTTGTATCAATGCTTCATTTGTGATAAAACTTTATTTCCAGTAAAAAATATATGTGATATGCCTAAAGGATAACTGGTTGGATTTCTATAGAACCCAGCCCATGACTTGCTTAGATACATTAAGCTGTCTTTCTCTTCAGAGCACTGATCAACCATCACCACTAGCCTAGCCCCATTTGTGCAGTTTAAAGTTGAGGAACTAGGAAAAAATAAGATTTTTGGCATGTGCTAGTGTTTCAAACCTGTATTTAAAAAATGTCAGGAAATATCACCCTAATTTCTCTCTTTAAAACAGTTGTCATGTATATCTAGTGATTAGCAGGACTGACGTTGTGCCACATTTAGACTCTTAGTAAACTATTTCTTGGATGAATCTTTTCCTAAAATCGTCCATTTCTATAACTTATCTGTAACTTATATCCATATGCATTTAATCCACTTTAATTTATAACTCAGGCCATTCTAAGTATCTTCTCATTGGTTCTTCTTCATCAGATTAGGATGTTTATGCTCCCTTGTGGTAAGCAAATGTCACCTTCTTCTTCATGAAGTATTTGCTTAGTGTTTCATTTGTGCTCTCTCATTCCATGGGAGGAAGGGGAGGTCTGCAAACTGAAAACCTTTTCACTCTTTGGCTCTTTGGTGTCTTGCCACTTTTCAATTGTTAGGAAGCAGGCCCCGCACAGGCAGGTTAATGTCTTCACTTGACGTGGAAATATTAGCCATCTGCTTATGTGACTTTCTTAAGAAGGTGTTAGGCCCTTGACTGTTCTTTGAGAAAACTAAGATAAAGCAAGTGTATTTTAACAAAATATAGTGCTTTCTGCCCACCATTCTCTTCATTTTGAGTTATGGGCTCCAGTGATACCTTGTTCCTCAAGAAAATTACTCTCCATTACTCAATTTTCAGATCTCTGTCTAAGTGGGTGTCTACCAATTCCTTTTGGCAGTGGTGTGTGCCTGACATGGTGGGATGGTGAGGAGAGACGCCTGTGCAGATTGAAGATGTGGCTCCTGCCAGCTGTAAACCTGCAGAGGTGTATTCTTTTGCTGCAATTCGGTGTTCTTGTAAGTTGGTCTGTCACCATCAGGCTCATGAGGAAAGGGACCCAAGAGAAAACAGAAACCAGCCTGAGCCCTCGAGGGTCTTATGTGTGGCATAGTTTAGGCTAGTGTTACCGGGGGGGTGAAATTGTTTGCTATTGCCCAGACTCAGATGGCAAAGACAAGTGTGGCCCAGATTGAAAGGAGTGCAGGAGGGCTGTGGGCTGTGCCCAGGCTCATCCCTGACAATGCTGCCTGTTGGGTTTATCATACTGGCCACAGGTAAGGCATTTGGGCAGCTGAGCCCAGGTGTTAACCTGTAAGTTGCATAAATTGTTCAAAGGAGCTTTGGAAAGCATCAGACAAAAGTGTTGCAAGGAGAACAACACAACTGAGAAAGGAGATAGACAGGGCTACAATCTCCTGTTTTACAGACTTTCCTGTTCCCTTCCTTACATTTTCAGAGGAAAAAAAGGCACAAAATGCAGTTGTTTTATAGCTTGCAGAGGAGTGACTTTGACAAGTTGTGGAAGGCCCACAGAGGACTGGCACTAGGGGATAGAAAGTCCTAATTGTTAGAAGGAGAAACAGGTCTAAAGGTTTTTAGACACCTCTTTAGGGGGTAATTATGACTATGACTTGGAATATCTAATATGTTCTTGCAGATGTATTCAAATCCACAACAATTTTTCTTTGGTCATCTCTCCTTTCTTTATGCTCATGTCAGAGTCCTTGAAAACTTGGTTCCCTAGTGTTACCACATAGCCATATATTCAGGCAAATGGTCCAATAAGGGTTATATTAAGGTTATTTAACAACTGGCAGTGCAAACACCAACCAGTCAAATGGCACCCTAATGAATCAATACAGAGGCACACAAGTGGCACAGCTGTCTTAGTACATGCTGGCTGAGTGTCAGCCCTGGGATGACAAGGTGATCTGACCTTGGGAACTTCAGAATGTCTTCATGAGCTGTCCCACCTCACTGGAAAACAGGCTTGCTTGCTCTTTCTCTCCTTCACCATGTCTGTCTATTTCTCTCTCACACAAGAGAAATGAGATTTATCAGAACCAGATTAAGGGTCAGGCACACCAAGGCAACAATCTATAAAAAGCACTACAACATCACTGGAATAAAAGAGAAATATTATGCCAGTTAATTAGGGCTTCTTAAAAACCTGGTGAAGTATAAATTTCTCTCTTATTGAAATAAACGGTAACCTGTTTTGATTTCTATCTATTTTGATATGTGTTTCTGTGTGGGGCAAGATTCATGTGCAAATGCAGATTGCACCACCAACTCTGAGACCTGCCAGCTGATGATTGCCTGAAGTCTGGGTCAAGTTCAGCTGAGAAATTGGAAGTAAACAAACTATGGTGTATTGCTCTATCCTAGACTTTGTAACAGTGGTCATAGAATTTAGAGATTCTCAATAGTTTATTACTGGGACGTCACAGGTGGGTACACATGTGCTACAAGATATTGTTCCTTTCAGCCCTCAAGGTGGTTGGGCAGGGCCTGCAGAGGCGGAGCTCCTGAGCAGCCTCATATGGGGCTCCTTGGAGGGCAGCCTGAGTGGAGCAGAGTCTGTGACTGCTCTGTGGTGCCCCTGGGTGACAAGTGTGATGAGCAACAGCCAGCACTTATGACTCTAGGTTGATGTGTTGTGGGAGGTCATGGTGCTCTACCACTCAGAGACTACTTGAGCAGCTGCCTGCGGCAGAGTACATTGATGCTGCCTGTTGTGGACAAGGGTCCTGTGGAGCTATTGGAGAATTTGTGGTTTTGGTGTGTAAGGAGCGGATGGTTGGATGTGGGAGGGGTAGAGGTTGTATATGGTTCCTGTGGGCCCAGCTCCAGGTCCTGTTTCAGAGTTAGTCACTCTCTGTATGTATTTTAGTCTCTCTTTCTCTGTATTAGTTGTCTATTGCTGCTGTAACACATAACCATAAATTTAGTGGCTTTTAAGAACATAGATTTACTATCATACAGTTCTAGAGGTCAGAGTCTGTAATGGGCTTCACTAGACCAAAATCAAGGTATTGGCCAGGTTGCATTCCTTCTGGAGGCTCTAGGGAAGAATCCGTTCCCTTTCCTTTTTTAGCTTTTAGAGGACACTTGTTGGCTCATGGCCCCTTCCTCCAGCATCAAAGCCAATAGCCCACCATCTTCAAGTCTCTCTCTGACTCTGCCCTCTGTTTTTGTTGTTGTATCTTCTCTGCCTGACTCTCCTGCCTACCACTTTTCCTTAGAAGGACCTTTGTAGTGATATTGGGTCTACACAGATAATCAGGATAATCTCCTCAGCTTGAGCTCCTTAATTTAATCACGTCCGTAGGGTCCCTTACCATGTGAAATAACATATTCACAGGTCTCCGGGACTGCAGCAGACATCTTTAGTGGGCTATTATTCCACCTCCTATACATATGATGGCTGCCCTTGTCTGATCTGCAGCTGATTCACCCTGAAGGATGACATTCATGCCCTCTGTTTGAGTGTTATCATTGTTTTGAAATACTTGACGTGAAAAAGTTTATTGGATTATAAATCTATTCTCATCATTAAAAATATTTCATTATGATATTGGCCAATGGGGAAAAAAGAGTGGTTAGATTTCTAAAATACAATTTGAACCATTATAAATTTTTCAAAAGTTATAAAAATGATTAAAACATTTGTATTATCATAATTATGAGAACAAAATTTCTCATTGATGTGACTCACAGACTTAAAGGATCATCATTAAAAACTCTTGATCACAAATTGTGTGCAGCCATTTCAGCTTTAAAATCTGGTATAAGAAAGTTACGGTTGTTAACGTTCATGGAAGCAAACTTGAGTTTCTAATTCTAATTTTAAAAAATGTAAAAATTGCTGGGAAAGTAATATTCAAATTAGATATTTAACATCTTTCTTAATATTTTATATTTAATTTTTTATCATTATAGCATATAAAACAAAAAAAAGTCACGAGGTGTTTTACACCAAGCTCCAAAGAGATATACCCATACCTCCCCCAGATTACCTCAGTGTACTCTACAAATATTATCATTTTCTATGTGTGGATAATGTGAAAAAAAAGTTGGAGAGAATGGATGTGAGTGAGGTCATCCTTTGTGACTGTATAGGACCAACTCATAGAGGTTTTTCTACAAATATTATCATTTTCTATGTGTGGATAATGTGAAAAAAAGTTGGAGAGAATGGATGTGAGTGAGATTATCCTTTGTGACTGTGTAGGACCAACTCATAGCTGTTTTAAAGAAAATACTACAAAATGATAGACAATTTCAATATAAGATTGATTGCTATGTTTAGAACACATGATAGATCCCTTATTTTGACCATAAAGAAAGAAGTCTATAGCTTTTATTCATAGACTATTAGCCTTTCCTCATGCCTGCTAGGGAATGTTGAACAAATTCTTATCACGTGAAGGGGTTTCCAATTATTAGTCTTCTGTGGGTACCCCATGTTTTGGTCTTTCCAAATTATTTCTGAAAGTTTCCTTAGATTCTTTTTCTTTTTTGGAGACAGGGTCTCACTCTGTTGCCCAGGCTGGAGTGCAGTGGTGGGATCATGGCTCACTGCAGCCTCGAACTCCTGGGCTCAAGTGATCCTCCCACCTCAGCCTCCCAAGTATTTGGGACTATAGGTGTGCACCACCATGCCTGGCTAATTTTAAAATTTTCTGTAGAGATGGGGCCTCCCTATGTTGCTCAGGCTGGTCTTGAATTCCTGTGCTCAAACAATGTGTTGGGATTACAGGAGTGAGGCACTGCACCTAGCCCATCTTTGATTGTAAAATAAATCTATAAATTTCAAAGAATTTGAGTCAAAATGCCTGAAGAAATAAATATTTTAGGTCAGGCACGGTGGCTCATGCCTGTAATTCTAACGCTTTGGGAGGCCAAAGCAGGCAGATTGTTTGAGCCCAAAAGTTCAAGACCAGCCTGGGCAATATGGCAAAACTCCATCTCTACCAAAAATATACAAAAGTAGCTGGGTGTGGTAATGTGCACCTACAGTCCTAGCTACTTGGGAGGCTGAGGTGAGAGGATGGCTTGAGCCTGGGAGGTGGAGGTTGCAGTGAGCTGAGACTGTGCCACTGTACTCCAGCCTGGGCAACAGAGCCAGACCCTGTCTCATTTAAAACAAATTTTGTTCTAGTATGGATTGCAGTGGACACATTTATTTTTATTAAGAAAGCCAACAGAAATGACCTCATAAACCCATGTCCTATAATGGGGTCCCTGTTCTAATGTGCATGGAAATGGAGGCAGGGAAGTGGGTGCTGAAAGGCAGTTTCACACAGTCCTGGCCGCATAACATTGGACCTTGGGGCATGAACAGGCACTTCAAAAGAAGGCATACAAGCAGCCAACAGACACATGAAAAAATGCTCAACTTCACTAATCATCAGAGAAATGAAGATAGCCACGGATACCATCTCACACCAGTCAGAATGACTTTTATTAAAAAGTAAAACAAACAAACAAACAAAAACCCAAACAGATATTGGCAGGGATGCAGAGTAAAGAGGACGCTTACACACTGCTTGTGACAATGTAAATTAGTTCAGCCACTGTGGAGAACAATTTGGAGATTTCTTAAAGAACTAAGAGTTGAACTACCATTTGACCCAGCAATCCCATTACTGGGTTTATATCCAAAAGAAAATAGATCTACCAAAAAGACATTTGCATTCACATGCTCATTGCAGCCCTATTCACAATAGCAAAGACATGGAATCAAGTCAAGCACCCATCAGTGGTGGATTGGATAAAGAAAATGTGTTACATATATACCGTGGAATATGATGCAGCCCTAAAAAAGAATGAAATCATGTCCTTTGCAGCAACATGGATAGAGCTGGAGGCCATTATCCTAAGTAAATTAACAAAGAAACAGAAAATCAAGCACTGCATGTTCTCACTTATAAGTGGGAGCTAAAAATTGGGTACACATTGACATAAAGATGGGAACAATAGACACGGGGGAATGTAAGTGTGGCAGGAGGGAAGGGATACATGGTTGAAAAACGACTTATTGGGTACTGTGTTCACTACCTGGATGACAGGTTCAATCGTACTCCAAACCTCAGCATCATAAAATGCACCAGGTAGCAAACCTGCACATGGACCCCCTGAATCTAAAATAAAAGTTTAAAAATAAAATAAAATATCTTTGTAAAACAAAAAAGAACAAACCTTGGTCCTGGAACACTTCCCTACCAAAAGATAAAGAGCTACACGGCCTGCGCTGGGTGTATTGGCTTGTGTGGAAATATCTTTCCCTGTTGCAAGCCCAATGTATGCTCCTTTGTCCTGCTTAGGCAGGTGCATCACATGGCACTGGGCCAACCCCACAGCTGTATGTTTCCTCCACAGGGAGGGGACTAGGTCCGTATACTGTGGCAGGGGTACACATAGCCAATTGCTCTGTGTGGGCTGTCAGGAGAGATCCACTGGCCATGGGATACTGGCACACATTGCTGAAGCAGCTCTTGCCATATCTCTTCTCCGTGTAAGTAAAGTGTTGTTCCATCCAGTGCTTGACTGCGTCCTGTTTTCCTTGGCGACTCCAGCACCATAATGCAATGGGCAAAGTATTAGGACTTCTCTTCCTGGTGGTTGGCATAGTGGTCGTCTTTGCTATTCTCTTGGTCTTAGAAATCCTGCCTTGGGGTTGGTAACCAGTGCGTGGGATTCCTCTCCCCTGGGACTGATAACGGTGAACGACATTCTGCTTAACATGGGGCACAGTGAGAGCCTCTTTGCTCCCCAGGGAACCCTTGGAAGGAGAGGCTGAGAGCAGCTTCGGCAGCACCACATGAGGATAGGTTGTAGGGAAGGAAGGCAGGAGTTTCTTGGGCAACCTGTGGCCTTCGTCTGTTCCGGGCATCTGTCCTCAGGTTGGCCTCTTCCCAAGCCTACCTCTCTCTGCCAGCCCTGTCATTCTCCACCTCCAGGATCGAGAAGCTGGTGGTCCACACAGAGCTTCTGGCGCCATTTCATCCTGTAGATGTGAAGACAAAATTCTGTCCAAGTAGTCTTTCCCTGCTGAAGTTAATGCAAATTTGTTCTCTGCTCTCAATACCTTTTATTCACTGCCTGATGTTGTACCACCTCCCACCCCAGGTCAATGGTTCTGATACCTCTGTTTATGACATAGGGTGACATGCATAATAACTGTACCTCTTTCATTCCCCTCTTCTGATTCAGAAGGTCAGAATCCCCAAGCAGGGGTCACTTTAGTACTTGGTATATATTGATAGTAAGTGCTCAACAAATACCTGTTGAATGAGTGAATGTATAATGAATGAAAAAATGATTTTTATGGAACAGATTAGATTGCATACTAAATGTTTTAGGGAAAATTATCAGGAACAGGAATTTACCAAGGGCAAAATCCTTAGGTCCCGTTTTTCTGATGTGCCCTTTTAAGCTTATATTCCTAGAAGTTAATTATTTATTGAAAAAGTAGTTTATACTCATTACATCTATTTTTTAAAGTTACAGAAAAGTATAAAGAATAAAATAAGAACTGTTTATAATCTCTTGTCTTGGAGATATCACTCCTAGCATTGCTGTATATTTTTCTAGACTTTTTTTCTAGTCACATATGCGAGAGTGTGTGTGTGTGTGTGTGTGTCTGTCTGTCCCCGTGTCACAATAAAGAAATACCTCAGGATGGGTAATTTATAAAGAAAAAAGGTTTAATTGGCTCACAATTCTGCAGGCCATACAGGAAGGATGACGCTGGCATCTGTTTGGGTTCTGGTGAGGCCTCAGGAAGCTTTTACTCACGGCAGAAGGCGACAGGGAGCAATGTCGCATGGTGAGAGTGGGAGCAAGAGAGAGAGCAGGGGAAGGTCCCAGACTCTTTTAAACAACCAAATCTCATGTGAACTAACTGTGCCAGAGCTCACTCATCACCAGGGGGATGGTGCTAACCATTCATGAAGGATCTGCCCCCATGATCCAATCACCCCCCACCAGTCCCCAGCTCCAACATTGGGAATCACATTTCAACATGAGATTTGGAGGGACAAACATCCAAACCATTTCAATATATAGTATATATGCCTTTTACAAAAATAAAACTCTGTGATGTTGCTTTATAAGATGTACAAATCTTATGTTTTGTACATGTTTTTAGCAGTACAAATAAAAGTGTATTTAAATGTTATATTAATGTAGATCAACCATCATCCTTCCTATATATTTAGAGTTTATGTATGTATTCACATACGTGTGTGTGTTTGTGTATATATACACATGTATGCGTGTGTATATATAAATATATATGTATATATGTATGTATATGAAGAATCTTATACGTCAAGATCCCACAACTCTGGCCTCTGGCCAGGCTTCCTTGAGGCATGGGAGTGAGATAGGCTGGGGCATATCTTGGCCTCCCTCCTGTATGGGCCCTTGAGTGGGTTAGTCACTTAACTTGTAGATTGCCAGTTTTTACCTTGCACGTTTTGTCTGCCTTGTAGGACTATTGTAAATTTAAAGGAGATGAGATGCTTTCTACATCTCACTTACAACTCCAGATGCCAATAATGATCATCCAATAATTAAATGTTAATATCCTTCTCCTTTAAACTTTTCTTTTCTTTTTGAGACAGGGTCTTGCTCTGTTACCCAGGCTGGAATGCAGTGGTGTGATCCTGGCTTACTGCAGCTTTGACTTTCCAGGGTCAAGGATCCTCCCATCTCAGCCTCCAGAGTAGCTGAGACTACAGGCTCACATCACCAGGCTTGGCTAATTTTTGTATTTTTTGTGGAGACAAGGTTTCACCATGTTGCCCTGGCTGGTCTTGAACTCCTGAGCTCAAGCGATCTGCCCACCTTGGCCTCCCAAAATGCTGGGATTATAGGTGTAAACTCTTTGTTAAGAAAATGATTCATGCCTCTAAGTTATGCCTCCTGGCTTTTTTTCTTAAATAAAAAAGATCCATTTTATGAACAGATGAACTGAAATTACCATTATTTTGATAGTTATGTCAGAATGTCTCACCACTGCACCTTCACAGTTTGCATGAATTACTGGTGCCACCCAAGGCTAGCTGTCAGGGAGCTCAGTGCGGCAGCAAGGCAGTTTGTCACATCTTTATGTCTTTCTTCTTTCCTACACAGGCACAGGCAGTCAGTTCCAAACACACCATTTTCTAATATGAAGGGCAGCAAACAATAATGGCTAAAAGCAATTTCAGTACCTTATCTCCACTGCCTGATCATGCACCACCTCCCACCCCCAGGTCAATGGTTCTGATTCCTGTTTATGACCATAGGCCGCTAAGGGAGCCCCATCTTCAGCCTTTCTTATTATGTTAAAGGCCTATAGTCCTGCTGGGGCAGAGAAGCCCACCAGAGAATGAATAGTGGCTCAATTTTTCTCAGAAGCCCAGCAGTATGTAATTATTCCAGTAATCCCATAGGCATTCAGATTGAAATCGTCATCATCCATGACAAATAATTATTAAGTCCCACTTTGTGTTTGGTTTCTAGGTATAATGAATGAGGTGGCAGAAAGTTTTTCGGTTAAAAGGACTAAAATCCATTTAATGCCTGGATGGACATCAGAATTAGGTGACAGATGAATCATGTGCCAGTCAAGGCAAGAAATGGTCTTTTCCGAAGTGGATATAAGCACTAAGTTGAGAGTCTCCTGATTGTTCCTTAGACTTTCTAGTTCCCACAACCTTGGGGACTCTGTAGGTGCCTACTGGGTAAGTGCTTGTTAATTTATTGTGTTTAGTATTTTAGAATGATAGAAACTGTTCTCTACTTTGGAAATGAGCAAAATAAGTTTAAATGTTGATAGTGTGTAATGATGTCTACATTCGCAGGTGGGGAAGAATTTAGAGAATTAAAAACAAATGTGTGAGCAGCCTCTTTAGATGAGCAAGGGAGGCTGTTCAGGTGTCCACCTGTGGACAAAGTATAATAATTTGTCCTCAGGCATAGGTGCTTTGGTGTTCTCTGAATGCATCCATGCCTGGTGGGGAGGAAGACTATTACCTAGCTTCAGTTTAGGCATAAATGAGTGAGAACAAAAATGCTTAGGCTTTGGCATAGTTTTGAGAAAAGATCAGTGCCTGTTAAGATTTCTAGACTCTTGGATCCTGGGAGGCAGTGGACAGAGAGTGGTGGAGAGATAACAATGACACTGCTGCCTTCTGTAAATGTCCTCATCTGCAAAATGTCTGGGTTGGACTGTCCAGCTTGAGCTCAGTGCTCCTTTCCTTCCTTGTCCATGGTTACTTCCTCCTTTGGCTCTTTCCCATTTATTTATTCATTTAACATTTACATAGTAAAGAACTGTGGGGCAAGACAGCCCCTGTCCCCCACCCCCCACCCATGTGGCTCCAGGTAGTAGGAGAGACAGATAAATGAGCAGATGGTTGCAGTCTAGTGGGGTAGGTGACATGCAGCCTGAGGACGGCTGGAAAATGCCAGGCAAAGGGCTGTGATAGGAGAACTTGAGGAGGGTGGAGAGGGAGTATCCCAGGAGAGGCCTGGAAGTGAGGGAACAAGCGAGGTATGTGCTATCAGGGGCACAAAGTCCCTCTATTCTCTAACTGGGGGTCTGCAAAAAGCAGGAAAGTGTATTGTGGAGAGCAGTAAAGAGGTCAGGAAAAGGCAGGGCACTGGAGGTTCTTTTCCTTTCTTTTTCTTACTTTTCTTTCTTACTTTGAAACCTCTCCATTTATGTGGACTTCCTCTAGTATGGAAATATGGGGACAAATAAATCCCTGCCCCCATCCATGCCCCCCACCATCTGAGTGCTCTCAGACACGCAGGTCGGGTGGTAGGAGAAGTGATGATGGGCTTCGTTGTCCAGCAGAGCGGTTCTCAAGTGCTCGCAGACATCAGAATCGCCTGGAGAGCTTGCTGAAACACAGACCGCAGACCCTCACCCTTGAGTTGCAGTTTCAGCACATCTGGGGTCAGGCCCCAAAATTTGCATTTCTTACAAGTTCCCAGGGGGTGCGGCTGCTGCTGATGGGTGGTCCTCGCTCTGAGACCTGCCCTAGACCCTCCTTTCTCAACCTGTAGTCCCAGAACCAGCAGCATCAGCATGGCCTGGGGCATGTTAGAAATGCAGCATCTTGGACTTTAACCCAGACCTCCTGAAGCGGAACCTGCACCACAAGCTCCCCGGTGGCTCCCATGCACGCGACAGTCAGAGAACACTGCTCTAGATGTCCAGAGCCTTTAGTCCAGGACTTTGAGATGTTTCCTCCAAGCAAAAAGCCTTCCACGGGCTCCCGCTCAAGTCCTGGGCCTGCGGTGCTGAGACAGGGCAGTGGCGTCTTGGTGCTCAGGCCTTGGGGTTAGGAGGTAGGAGGAAGGAGATCCTGACCATGAGAGAGAGACCTCCGTGGCCACAGCCTGCAGGTGACATGTAGCAGAAACACTTTCTCTCCTTGGTGCATTCCCACAGCCTGTGAGGGGCTCAACAGCACTGCTGAGCCACATCCTCCCAAGTACACAGAGAGGCAGAGGGCTGGACCCCAGTCTGGAGGGAGATCCCACAGCACCACGCTAGAGAGTCCTGCCAGCTTAGGTCCTCCCTGTCTGTCTGGCCCTCTCAGAAATATGCAGTGTTGGATCTAAAACATATAAAGAATGTTTATAGATCAAAAATAAGAAGACAACCCAATAAGAAAATGGGCAAAAGGTTTGAATAAACATGACAGAGAAGATATATCAAATGCCAATAAGCCCATGAAAATATGCTCAACATCACTAGTTAGTAAGCAAACGTGAATAGAGCCATAGTGGGATACCCCCACACTACACCCATTAGAATGGTAAACAAATAAAACAGCAGAACAAAATGCTGATCATAACAAGCATTGGAGAGGGTATTGGGCAGCTGGAACTCTCACATAGTGCTAGTGGAAATGTCAAATGGTACAATCACTTCCAGTTTGTCAGTTTCTTAAAAAGTTAAATGTATATTTACCGTACGAAATAGCCCTTCCATTCCTCAGTATTTATGCAAGGAAATGAAAACATGTGTACAGAAAAATGTGTACACAAATATTCACATCAGTTTTTCTGGATAATAGCTCCAAACTGAAATGAATGTCCAGAACAGGAGCATGGATAAACTAGAAGAAAAAAGCTAGAAAATAAAATGCAGGACTGATATGCACAATGTGGATGAATCTCAAAATTATTAGGCTGAGTGAAAGATCCAGAATAACAGTCCATACTCTATGACTTCATTTATCTAAACTCTAGGAAATGGGAAGCAATCTATAGGGCTAGAAAGTGGCTAAGAGACTGATTGCCTGATGAAGGGGTGGAGGGAGGGACGGGGCAAAGGGGTACCAGGACATTTTGCAGGGCAGTGGAAATGTTTGTTATCTTGATTGTGGTGGTGCTTTTACAGTACTGTACATGTGTCAAACTGATCACATTGTGCACTCTAATATGCACAGTTTAGTGTACTTCCATCATACTCCAATAAAGTCGAGGGCTGTGTGCCCCATTTCAGTGTTGGGAAAAACAAGAGTGGGTGATGAACTGGCCACCCTGGGGGTATCTGATGTTCAGAGGCCAAACAGAACCTTGGGCGTAGGAAGAGGTCTCAGCAGCGTAAAAACACCCAAAAGCTTAATGAGAAGGCTACAGTCAGAATCTGTGTGTCTGTTGACCGTGTCAGGACCCTGAATAGATTCAGGTAATTTACCAGACCTTTACTGGCCTTGTGCTGGCTTCAGAGATGGATAACAAGAGCAAGACATATATAAGAATTATTAGGCTGGGTGCAGTGACTCACGTCTGTAATCTCAGCACTTTGAGAGGCGGAGGCAAGTGGATTACTTGAGGCCAGGAGTTAGAGACCAGCCTGGTCAACATGGCGTTTCTACTAAAAATGCAAAAATTAGCCAGGTGTGGTGGCACACACCTGTAATCTCAGCTACTCAGAAGGCTGAGGCATGAGAATTGCTTCAGCCTGGGAGATGGAGGCTGCAGTGAGCTGAGATTGCATCACTGCATTCCAGCCTGGGTGACAGAGTGAGACTGTCTCAAAAATAAATAAATAAATAAATAAATAATTAAATGGAGAAATAGAGAGAAACAGAGACATGTAGAAAAACGATGAAAGGGCAGGCATTAATTGTTGGCTGGTGTGGGGACACAGAGCATTTGTGCAAGAGATAGAGAGAGTGGGAGCGCTCTGCCTGCCCCCTGCATCCTCAGCAGGAAGTGAGGGTGAGCACAGAACCTCCTTCATTTGCTGCCCGGAGCTGCCATTGTTTAGTAGTGTTGTATCAACTTGGTTATTTATGCCTCTACCTCAGTTTTCTTACCTGTAAAATGGGGATAATACCTATCCCCTAGAGTTATAAAATTTTCCATTAATAAGCGTTATTTTTTAGAGCAGTTGTGGGTTTGTGAAGAAATTTTGCAGAAAGTACAATTTCTCATATACCCCTTCTCTCCCTTTCCTATTTCATAGTTCCTCTGGGTTTCGACAAACGCATGTCATGTATTCATCATCACAGTATCATACAGAACAGTTTCACCGCTCTAAAAATCCCCCATGCTCCATCTCTTCATTCCTCCCTTCCTTCCTCCCCAACTCCTGGCAACCACTGATCTTTTTACTGTCTCTATAGTTTTGTCTTTTCCAGAATGGCATATAGTTGGAATCACAGTAGGTAGCCTTTTTAGACTGGCTTCTTTCACTTAGAATATGCATTTAAAATTCCTCTATGTCTTTTCATTGCTTGAAAGCTCATTTCTGAATAACACTTCATTATAAATATGGACCAGTTTGCTTATCCACTAATCTACCAAAGGGTGTCTTGGTTACTTCTGGTTTTTTGACAATTATGAATAAAGGTACTATAAACATTTGTGTGGAGGTTTTTGTGTCGATATAAGTTTTCAATTCATGGGGGTAAATACCCTAGGAACTCAATTGCTGGAAAGTACAAGCCTATTTTAGCTTTGTAAGAAACTATCAAACTGTCTTCCCAAGTGGCTGTGCCATTTTGCATCCCCACTAGCAATGAATAAGAATGCCTGTTGTTCCACATCCTCACCAGCATTTGGTGTTGTCTGTGTTTTGGATCTCAGCCATCTGTAGGGTTTCCATAAGCACTGAATAAAATGATGAATGTAAATCTCTGATCACAGGCCCTGGTACAGAGGCGTTGCTCGGTATCCAGCAGCTGTTGTTACTATCTTTGATACCTTTCCTCCTTTGCCCGTGCCCTTCCTCCTCTTCTTGGCCTGCTTTAATCCTCTCTTTTATTTAAGGCACAGTTTTCAGTTTTTAATCTTTGAAAACTCTTTCTCCTCCTCTCTGCCAGCCTCTTCCCCTGAACTCCTTGTCACTTCTAATTAGACTTGTGACATGCATGGTTCAATAATCACTTGCAGTATTAGGATTCTACAGAGAAACAGACCTATAGGAGGTTATCTACTATCTATCTATCTATCTATCTATCTATCTATCTATCTATCTATCTATCTATCATCTATCTATCTATCTATCTATCTATCATCTATCTATCTATCTATCATCTATCTATCATCTATCTATCTATCTATCATCTATTATTATTTCTCTGTCTGTCTATTATCTATCTATCTAGAAATATTTGTTTTAAGGAATTGGCTGCTCACATGGTGATGAGACTGGCAGGTCTAAAATCTGCAGTTTGGGCTGCAGACCCAGGGGAGACCTAGGGGAGAGCAGATATGCGGTTCAAGTCTGAAGGCTATCTGATGGCAGAATTTCTTCTTGCTCAGGGGAGATCGATCTTTTGTTGTATTCAGGCCTTCAACTGACTGGATGAGGCCCACCCACATTATGGAGGGTTACTGCTTTTCTAAGAGCCCACCAATCGAAATATTAATCTCATCAAAAACACCCTTACAAAAACATCCAGAATAATGTTTGACCGAATATGTGGGCATTGTGGCCCAGCTAAATCACATAAAATCGACCATCGCAAGTATGTGGATAGTGTTTTGACATTAAATTAGGAGCAAGAACCTTGTTCTGAACTTTTTCCATCCCAGCCAGCTCTAGCACTGAGGCAGATTCTAAACGGGCATGATAAATATTGGCTGAAAGAATGCTTGAGGGAAAGAGTCCTTTAGTTACCTGGTTTCAGATGTAGTATGCGGGGGTGATAAGGTGACTGCCATAATACCAGAGTGATCATTTACATTAAGGTATTCTTGCTTGAAGGAATTCACCACAGAGGATAATTTTGAATTATGTGAAAAATTTACAGAAATTTTAAAGATAGTGGTATTTCCAAATGAATTAGGGAGGCAAATTATTAACCTTTGTGATTTTGACTACCTGCCTCCTCTCCTTTTATTCCTTCTTCACTATGGAGGGATATAAAATAAGAATGAACTGAAACTATACTTGCAGGTGTCCAAGGTTTCTATGGAGACAGATCTTTGTAATTATTACTTTGTGGGTTGTTAGGAACTCACCTGTGAGGTACAGTGAGTGGAAAGTTCTGAGAGTCTGTGGCTCAGCCATCGTGACTATGTAACCAGTATTGGTCGGTGGCCCAAGGTCTCTCTCCTTTCAGGGTTCAACCTCCAACCTTATTTCTGCTTCCTTCATGTTGGAATTCACACTGTGAGGTAAATACACCATAGTACAGCTAAAGAAATAAACAAGCAAAGGCCAAGGGGATCATAATACACAGGGTGGTCACCATGGTCAGGCGATATTAGCTCACAAGGACAAAAGAACAGAGGCATTTGGATAAATCCAGCCATCAGGAGCAACAACTGCTGTAAATATTGTTGAATCACACACTTTCAGAACTGCAAAGGTTTTTGAGGGAATAAGGTATAGCTGGAAGGAACACAAGATTGAAAGTCAGAAATTCTGGGTTCAGAACTTCAATCTGCCATACTTATGTGCAATCTTAGCTGATCCAAGTGGCCTCTCTGAATTTCAGCATGTTCATTTCTATATTTGGGAAATGAGATTTTATAATTGTATTTTATCTTCATGGTCTGTTGGAGCAATTGAATGAGCTACCATTTGTGAAGGCTCTATGCCAATATTATTATTGAGCTACACTCTTTCATTTTACTAGTGGGGAAGCTGAGATTCAGAGAGGTTAAGCGATTTTTTCAAGGTAGGACATTGATGCTGTAAAGCTTTGTCTTTTCTTTCAGTGCCTTGTTGTTGACTCATGGATGTTGAGAATCGCTAACATTCACTGAGCCACAAACCGTGCTAAATGCTTTATGTGTATTTTTTCCTCAGCAAAACCTTATGAATTTGGTACTTGTATCAGTTTCTTTCTACTGCATAATAAACCCCCATGTCGAGTGGTTTAAAACAATGCCCATTTATCAACTTACACTTCTGTAGCTTAGAAGTCTGGGCATGGCATGACTGAGTCCTCTGCTCAGGCTCTGATGAGGCTGAAATCAAGGTGTTAGCCAAGCTGTGTTTCTTTCTTGGGGTTTTGGAGAGAATCCACTTTGAAGCTCATTCAGATTGTTGGTTGAATTTAGTTCCTTGCAGTTATAGGGGTAAGATTTCCATTTCCTTGTTGGCTGTCAGCTCGGTCTTGGAGGCCTCCCATACTTCTTGCCACTTGGCCCCTGTAGGCAGTTAACAACCTGGTCATTTCTACTTCTTTCAGGCCAGCAGGAGTTCATCACTCTGGCTTTTTTTTCTCTGTGTCTGGTTGAAAATGCTCTGCTTTGAAGGAGCTCACCTGATTAGGTCAGACCCACCCAGACAATCTCCCTTTCTTAAAGTCAATCAGTGCCATATAACGTAACCTAATCAAGGGGGTGAAATCTATCATATTTACAGTCCTGGAAATTATACACTAGGGAGTATGCATCTTGGGGCCATCTTAGAATTCTACCTACCTTGGCACTATTATTAACATGTCCATTTTACAGGTGAAGAAACTGAGAACAGAAAAGGTTAAGTAAACTGCCTGAGGCCACACAGTAGTAAGTGAAAGAGCCAGGAATCAAAACTAGGACTGGCTTCTTCCAGAATCCATGCTCTTAGGCCCTCTGTTATGCTACCTCTTGCTGCTGCCAAGACCCATGGGGCTCTTGAGAAGACCCTGTTCTTCTGATCAGGAGGGAATGATAGTGCTCGGTCTGACAAATAAATCTCTGTTGGAGATGGCCATTTACCCATAGTCACCAAAGTTTACCCAGCGGCAATGTGGGCCATGAATACGTTTCTTCTGGTTACTATGCTGCCTTAGGCCAGCAAAAACATTCTGGGGCCCTTAAGTGATGCATGAATCCAATTTCAGGAAACCTGGTGGGCTACTGCAAGAGCTGATTATGTCAAATGTCCTTTTCAATGTCTCTAAAGAGGTGTCTTGCAGGTGCTAGTCTGTTTTGCTTCCACCCAGGTAAAGCACATGCACCCCTTTGTACGCAGTTCTCTCTCTTTTTCTCCCCCACCCTTTTGAAAGAGGCATCATGTGTGAGGACAGCAGGTGTCTGGACACAGTCATAGCACCACCTATAGATGCAGAGGGGAGACGCCCAAGTGGAGCCCATGCTTCATGATGCCCCCCATCATGTAGCCACACGCCTGCCATCTCCTCCTTCATGGTGTCTGCGCCTCCCTTCTGATGAGGTGGATCTGGACCCAAATGCTGGGGCTTGGGGGATGTGGGAGGCTGGCCAAGGAGTGTTTTATTTCTGCAAGGTGTTTCCCTTACTGCTTAGAGGTGAAATAAGCAGGGAAGATATCATGCTTGCATTTTATAGCCCTTGCTGTTGACCACTGGAAGAGATTTTGGGTTTGAATGAAATATTCACAATCACCTACACATTGGCTTTAGTATTCATCTCCATAGATATAATCCTTTAAAAACACAACTTAAATTCCTTGGCTTGAATTCCTAAGCTTCTGTACAGAAATCAGGAAGAGAGAATTTTCTTTGGTTGGAACTCATTGCTGATTAGGGACATGGTATTTGTGTAAGGGTGGGGAGGAGTGGGATTCTTCCATGGAGGCAGGTTCTGGAACCCTCAAAGCAGCACATTCGCAAGCCCGACGTATAATTTGGAGCTTCCATGTATGCTCTTGACATCTTTCCAAACGAGGTCTGGTAAACTTCTCCAGGATGTTCTTCCTTATTCCTTGAAAGGTGGTTGATATAGTTTGGCTGCCTCTTCACCCAAATCTCATCTTTAATTTTAATGCTCATAATCCTTATGTGTCGAATGAGGGAACTAGTGGCAGGTGATTAGATCATGGGGGCAGTTCCCCCATGCTGTTCTCCTGATAGTGAGTGAGTTCTCATGAGATCTGACGGCGTTATAAGGCAGTTTTCCCTGCTCTTGCTTGCTCTCTCTCAACTTCCGCCACGTAAGACGTGCCTACTTCACCTTCTGCCATGATTGTAAGTTTCCTGAGGTCTCCCCAGCCACGCAGAACTCTGAGTCAATTAAACCTCCTTTCTTTATAAATTACCCAGTCTCAGGTATGTCTTTAAAGCAGTGTGAACAAGACTAATACAGTGGTCTCAGGAAGATGAGGAGAAAAGACAGGAACTCTGTTAGCATAGTAATACTTTGTGCTTTTGTGGCAAGCATGGTAAATAGTAACAAGAGGAACATTTATTTGATTTGTTTGCTGGGGAGGCTCAAAAGAACCAACTAGTCCCTCTGGCTTCATTGAGGGGGTCCACTCGGGAGGCATCAGGAGATTGGTTAAAAACACTGAGGGGGCTGGGCACGGTGGCTTACACCTGTAATCCCAGCACTTTGGGAGGCCGAGGTGGGTAGATCACCTGTGGTCAGGAGTTCATGACCAGCCTGGGCAGCACGGCAAAACTCTGTCTCTACAAAAATGTTAAAATTAGCCTGGCATGGTGGCGCATGCCTGTAGTCCCAGCTACTCCAGAGGCTGAGGCATGAGAATCGCTTGAACTCTGGAGGTGGAGGTTGCAATGAGCTGAGATCTCACCACTGCACTCCAGCCTGGGTGACACAGAGAGACTCCATCTCAAACAAACAAACAAACAAACAAGCAAAAAACATAAAAAGGTGGGGGGTTGGGTAATGGGGAGAAAATGGAAGGAAGAACAAAGCAAATGTAAGGAAGAAAGATGTGGCCTGTGTGTGAACTGGCAGGCAAGGCAAGGGGAAAAGGGACAAACTCCTGTGAGTTGTCCTTTGACTCCATGTGAATGTGAGACCACCAAACAGTAAGTGATGGACTGTGGTATCTTGCCCTTGCAGGGGTTATCTGTATAATCTGACTCTTGCCTCCTTATACTTCTCTGAGCTCCTCTATTGGATTATAGGAGTTTCTTGAACAAATACATGAAATAATCTTGAACATTACACACCTTTGTTATTCTCAAAGGCATCATGTGTTCCATATGACCTTGACCTTGGTGGCAGGGGCAGAAAAGCTCCACACTCAGCCTTCCATGCTCTCTTCTCTTCCCTGGGGGCTTGAAATCTGCAAACCACCCTCCCTTCCTGTTAGGTCTGCCAGTGCTCCCACAGTGGAGGGCATTCACTGGGAGCAGGTGGGGAGACTTAGGGAGGCCGCTGGCAGCAGTGAGTGGCTAAGGGCGGCCGTGGGCAACTGCATCATGGCGGCTTTGGTGGCACCAGCGGGCCTGTAGGCTCCTTGGTTCCCCATGGGCAGCAGCAGTGCCTTCTCCAGCAGGAGCGCCACGTGCAAGTTCTTGTCCACAGGCAGCAGCCGCTTGCAGACGGTTGGGTAACCCCCTTCGCCTTGGTGCTCCTATGCCCAAACCAAATCTTTTCTTTCTCGTATGTTCTTCCAGGCCTTCTACCACTTCTATAACTAAGCGTCTGTTTACATCCTTTTCTCATCAAAATATCCCCAGGGGTTTCATTTTCCTGAGCGAACACCGAACACCGACCCAGCCAGCAATCTTGCCCAAGTCTAAGATCATTCCCAAAGGGGGCCCAGACTTGCCTGTTTGTGTTCTCTTAGCTTTCAGGTTCAGTGTGACAGCTTTGTGGAGCCTCGCACCTATGGTTAAGAATTGTTAACATCATTGTCTTTTTTTTTTTTTAAAGGCAACCAACCAGGGGACTGATGGACATATCAATATACTGTAGTGACTAAAGCTAGGGAAGAAATTATAGGACAATGTACAGTGATAGAAATTTGAAGCTGAACTCCTCTTGACAGCCTCTGCCCTTCTACTCATCAGGATGTTAGCTGTTACACAAGCTTTGTCAAAAGGTGACAGAATTGTCAGTCAATGTTATGTGATGAACTTGGGCTGACACTGGTTGCTCTACTGATTTTTCTTAAGCTATACCACAGCAGGTCCTCAGATAATGTCATTTCATTCAGCATCATTTTGTTATAACATTGATGAGAAAAAAAATTGCTTCCCAGCTGGGGCCATTGTCTATGTGGAGTTTGCATGGTCCCCCATGTCTGTGTGGGTTTTCTCTGTGTACTCTGGTTTCTTCCCACATCATGAAGATGTGTGCATTAGGTGCATCGGCATGTCTAAATAATCTCATCTGGAGTGAGTGTGGGTGTGTGTCAGTGCACCCTGTGATGGGATGATGTCCTGGCCAGGGCTGGTTCCAATCTTGCAGCCTGAGCTGTTAGGATAGGTTCTGACCACCCGTAACCCTGAAGTGGTATAAGTGGGTGAATAATTATCTTACTCGTTTTTATTAATATTTTTTTGGATGGAGTTTCACTCTTGTCACCCAGGCTGAAGTGCAGTGGCACGATCTTGGCTCACTGCAACCTCCACTTCCCGGGTTCAAGCAATTCTCCTGCCAGCCTCCCGAGTACTGGGACTACAGGTGCACACCACCACGCCCGGCTAATTTTTGTATGTTTGGTAGAGACAGGGTTTCACCACGTTGGCCAGGCTGGTCTCAAACTCCTGACTTCAAGTGATCCGCCTGCCTCGGCCTCCCAAAGTGCTGGGATTACAGGCATGAGCCACCGCTCCCGGCCTATTAATATTTCTTAAATGGATGTATAGCTCACATTTATTTCAATGTTTAACACTGGAAATGTTTTGGTCTTTGTTTAGAAGTTTGGTGACGTTTTTGCAACCAGAAATATGCCATAGGAATTTAACTCTTGTCTATACCAAATAGCCAATGGAAAGTTGTTATCTTTTTTTTTCTTTTTTCTTTTTGGTGCTGGTTGTTTTTGTTTTGTTTTGTTTTGTTTAGAGACGAGGTCTCGGTCTGTGGCCCAGGCTGGACTGCAGTGGCATGATCATAACGCACTGTAACCTCAAACTTTTGGGCTTCAGCAATCCTCTCGTCTCAGCCTCCCAAGTGGCTGGGAGGACAGGCATGTGCCACCATGCCTAGCTGATTAATTTTTTTTTGGTAGAAGTAGGGTCTTGCTATATTGCCCAGGCTGGTCTTGAACTCCTGTTCCCAAGCCATCCTCCTGTGTTGGCCTCCCAAACCACTAGGGTTATAGGCAAGATTGGTTTTATTTTAAGTTGCAGTTTCCAAGAACCCACTGATGACGTTAATTGAGGACTTACTACATATTTCACAAAGGGGATGGGTGATATGAATATGATTTACTTTTAGAGAATGAAGCAGGGCATGAGTGATTAAGTGATATTTTTCACATACATATTTATTTATGTATATTATTTTGAATATATGTTTCAGGTGAGATGATTTTAATTATGAGTAAGAATAATGGCATAAAGACCTCCAAAGGACTTAAGCAAAAAGAGGATTTATTGGGCTCACATGATGAGAAGTCCAGAGATGGGTAGGCATCAGTGCTGGCTTAATCCAGGGGCTCTTGCCCCATTTTCCTAAGATGTTCTTGGCTCTGCTGGCTTCTTCTTCCTGGGCTTGTAGCAATGTCTAGAGAAAGAGTTCAAGGGTTGTTTCTTCAAGCTTGAGAAGCCCTCAGAAAATCTTTTCTCATGTCTCCTAGGTCCAAGTTCAGTCATATGCTCATCTGGAACCAATTACTGGGAAGGCATTGGAATGGCATTACCTTTGGAACATTCTGGAACTGGGAATGAGATTAGTTTTCCCATATGGGCTGCATGGAGGAGGATGTTTCCCTGAAGGAAATAAGGGTTTGGTTGGGGAAAAAGAAGATAAAAAGGGGAACCTGGATAATTAAGGCTGCGGAAGAGCAAAGTCCCTTTGCTCTTCTGACTCCAAAAAGCTCCCATATTATCTATGTAACTGATGGCTTATAATTTTTATTCATTCAACAAACATTTATTGAGCCGTTAAATATGTGCTGAGTACAATGCCAAATGCTAGAGATACAAAGAATAATGAAAATATTGTCTTATTCCCTCGGGGATTTTACAGTCTAGTGGAGGAGACATATCGGTGAAAAGATTATTATGAAAAATATATGAGACAGTTGTTGGATAGAGATAAAGTGAAGTGTTATGAAAACTCAGAGGAAGAAGCAACTAAATCCATGGGTAAGGGGGCTGAGGAGCAGAGGTCTGGGAAGATGGGGGAGGCCATTCCAGTCAGAGGGAACAGCATGTGCAAGGGCACAGAGGCATGGAAGAGGGTGGAATGTTCCAAAAAATAGGACTACCTGTGTGAGCATGACACAAGGTGAGCATGTGGGGAATGGTGAGAGATGAACCCTAGGATCCAGGTTATAAAGAGACTTGGACTTCATCCTGTACATGATGGGGAGGGGAAACTTAGCAGGTAGGGGGCCACAGAATAGGACTAGAAAGCGTGTTGTGGTTTCGGTGTGGACAATGAATTGTGGGAGGTAAGCCTGAAAGCAGGGAGATTATTTCAATGTCCAAGTGAGAAATAAGAGGCAGTGAGAAGCTGAACTGAGGGACAGAGGGACTGGAGCAGAGGGGACAAATCCAAGGGAAATTTAATGGGAAGAACCAGCTGGTTCTGGTAACTGCCTGAATCAGGGGAGAAGGAGGAGGTTGGGAGGGAGTTGAGAGAGAAGAAGGAATGACGTGAGTCCGGAATGCCTGCTTGAGTGGCCAGATGGTGATGGTGTTGGTAACTGAGGTGGGGACCCCAGGAGGAGGAGGAACAGGTCTGGGGGAAGAAGATGTGTTCAGCTGTGGACAATTGAGGACAAAATGCTGCAGCCATTGGTAGTCCTGGATGCCTCTAGGTGGCAGTTCAAGTGGCATCCAGAACTACCAGTCTGGAGATCAGGAGAGAGCTCTGGTAGCAAGCAGGGCAGGGTGGGATATTTGAAATAGAGGGCCAGGAAAGGCCATTATAAAAAGGGAACATTCAAACAGACACTTGAATGAAATTATGAAGCAAGCCATGCAAATATTTCACACAGGTAGCTAGCCAGCTCTCCAAGCTGCTCTTCCTAACGGCATTAGAGCCATGGAACGGAGTGTTGGTGGAAAGATGCTCACTGACCAGTAAAGGCATATCCTCCTCTCTCCTCCTCCAGGTCAATGGGGCAGGAGGCTGTTCATCTGTGAACTCCAGAGAGGCTACTGGCCTTGCTGTTGAGTGTGCGGAGGACTACAGGATTCCTCAGACTCCATCTATGCCCTCTTCTTCCCCCTTCCCGCCCCTGATTTTTGAATCCGGCATTAGAACCTCCCAGGGCTTCCCTTTAGGTCTTGACTGTAGCCTGTACCTAGCTGCAATGAGCTCCTCTTGGTGCAGATACTGCTTCTGAGCACTAGAGGGCTCTCCTGAGGACCCATCAGCCTGGATGAGATCCAGGAAAACGTGTCCTCTGAGGATGGTTTCTTGTAGGATTGTGGTACAATGGATTAAAGCAGGGGTGTCCACTCTTTTGGCTACCCTGGACCACATTGGAAGAAGAATAGTCTTGGGCCACACATAAAATAGCTAACGCTAACGATAGCCAATGAGCTAAAAAAAATTGCAAAAAAATCTCATAATGTTTTGAATTTGTGTTATCTCATAGGTTTATGAATTTGTGTTGGGCTGCATTCAAAGCCGTCCTGGGCCGCGGGTTGGACAAGCTTGTATTAAAGCATCATACAGCTTATGCAAGCTCAAATTATATTCTAATGTGGGCTTCAAAACCACCTTATCTGGTAAATGCAATGACTAAGACAAGAAACTCTCACGAAAGTCTTATTTCTTTTGTTGAATGAATGAATGATGAGTACTTTTGCAAAATTCCAGGAGAATTTCCAAAAAGGGATGTGAATAGGAAGTAAAGCAATTGCTGTTTTCCTATACTCAAGGCAAGCCCCAGCTGAGTGTTATTCCCTGATGACCCTTCCAGCTGTTACTACTGATTTGGGCGGAGACTTTTACTGGCTTCCTGATAACAAAGCCCTCATAGGAGGGAATCTCTCAACAGCAGAAGGCTGTGGCTACTGGAACGCTGAGTTCTCTCAGACACATTGAAAAAGTATTGTCTTGCTACAGTGAAGCCTTACCGTCATGGAATACACTAGACCGGTAAGATGGAGTTTATGCTAGCCAGGTCTGAATGGTACAGTACTAAAGAACAGCAAATTCATTAGGTAAAAAGGGAGAATGTCTACCTTTTTTGGATAAAAAGCATTTAAAAAATCTTATTATTTCAAAAGGGAACATGCTGTTTGTTCTTCAACGAGGTTATTCTTTAGTGTCATACCGTCTGCTAGGTTAGGTCTATACCAGGCAATACATCTTAGATTTTTGACCCACAAATGCCATATTCTTGCCGCTACAATTATCTACCGTGTCTAAAGGAAGTAGGTTTATGGTAAGCACCAATTTAAATAAAAATGAAAAATACAGCAGGCCTGAAGATATTCTGTTTTTTTTCTGTTAGTGCTGCTACCATATTCTGCGTTGGATGTGAGTTCTCAAGTTCTGGTCCATGGGGAATGGGCAAGTGAAGATGAGAATTGCAAAAAACTATACTCCGACCAATAGGCAAGTTTGGTGAATTCATTGTTTTGCCATCCTGAAAATAGTAGCCATGAAGGCTTTCATATCTGCCACCACTAGATGTCACTAGATATCAAGCTTCTTAGAACAACTGCGTTACAGGCTTGAACAACTGCTCCCCTCATTCTATTAATACAGTATTTTAAAACTGTATCTGTACTGTATACATTTTCCACATTGAATCTTGTGCATTTAATGTGACATTCATTCCTAGGAACCGAGCTTCATTCTGACCATAAGGCAGCTTACTTTTTGGATAGGAATAACTCCTCTAGCCTCTCCTTTATATGGCAAGTGAATTCAGATTTCCTTTGCTGTTAAAATATCCTGGTAAAGATGTGCATGATTCTGTTTTCACGTTGGCAAAATACTTGTCCTCTGATGGGTTTTGGCTGACTCAGTGCAACGTGACAAAAGTAGAAGCTTGATTGCCTTGCTTATGATTTAGGCTCCTCAGACAGTGTGATGCTTTCATAGAGGTCATTTTAGCCATCTGGGGCCTTCAGACAGGGCCACCATGTAAACCATCTGGGACGGGTGAAGAGCCTGTACTGGTTTAGAGACCTCTATAGAAAAGGTCTTTGCTAAAACAAAACCCTTTTCTTTGAAGCCCCTTAATCCCTTTATCTTTCTGCAGGCTTTCTTGTCATATTTTCTATGACAGCTCTCAGGGGACCAAAGCCAGCAGAATTTTCTCTGCCTTGGGAATATCTATCTCCATCAGTAATTCAGACAGTAGGAAGGAGAACTTGTCGTGTGTTCCCAAAGGGGCCCTTCAATTGTGCATTTGATGTTGACAACTTTCTTTGTCATGAAGAATGGAATTCAGGGCTGTGAGGATCCACAGTCTAATGCTAAAACTTTGGAGCTATATGAGGCTTCACAATTTCCAGAGCCCTTTCACATCTACCACCTCACTTTATTCTCACAACAATCTATTAAGGGAGGCAGGGTGGGTATTTTTATTTCCATTTCACAGGAGAGGAAACAGCAGCTCAGAGAAGTTAAATGGCTTGCCTAAGGGTCCCTCAGCTACAAAAGGTGGTGTCATGACCCCCCCTTGCATCTCCAGGCTCCCGGGCCTTGAGACCTCCCTCCCGCCATGACACCAAGCTGCTTCCTGTGGTGGAATTGTTAAGGGCCACAAGAAGTGGGCCTCTAGCAAGACTGCTTCCTCAAAGCTGGCAAAGGATCAGAAATCTGGGGTGGGAGAATTCAGAGCAAGAGCAGAGGAGTCCCTGGTCTCTCTGCTGCCAACTGCGCACCTTCTCAAGGTATCCAACCAAGGCAGACTAAATGATTCGGATAATTGCTTGAATGGCACTGCTTGCTGAAACTGTTATTTAAAAGATGTGAAAAAGATGGAAAGTACAGAGGAAGCCTATACAAATACCTCAACAATTGCAAGGCATTTTGGGTAGAAAAAGTGTTCAAGATATAAAGCTTGTTTCATTCAAAAAAGAATAATTGAGAAGGAGAATTTGAATATTGTTGTCAAGTCAAAACCCAGAACTTATCCTGGCCTTGGAGTGTAAGAGAAGATGGACAGGATGGAGTAGACTGAGGCAATGGGAACAACAGTACCAGGTGGGATGAATTGACTGCCTTCCCCAACCCTGAGAGTCAGGAATGGGTGGGGGAGAGTGCTGGGAGAATTCTTTTGTCAATATCAGGAGCTACTGTTTGACTGAACTGTATCTATAAAGCATTTTGCTAACCTGATGAAAACCACTAGCTAATCACTAAAATAACCTGTTAATCTGTTGAGTGGGATCCCTTTCCTGATGAATAGAGACTTTGAAAAATACTGCTTAATCAATGATGACGACTGAGCTAATTTTCCACCGCAGCCAGTATTTGACTGGATGGAGCTAAAATTTCCTACTTACCAGCCATGGCTGTTGGAAGTAAAGGCACCTGTCTGGTGTTATTTCTGAAAGAGGCCCTACCAGCAAAATCCGTGTTTGTGAACTCCTAGGTTCGTTTTGCAAGACTAGCCCTTCAGTTCTCATTAGAGCGAGTGGTTTTCAACTTTGGCTGCACCTGAAAATTGCTTGGTGAGCTTTTAAAAATTGCTGATACTTGGGCTTCATTCCTGGACGTTCAGATTTAACTGGTTTGGGGTAGAGCCCAGGCACTGGTATTTTTTTTTTTTTTGCCTTCTACCTATTTTTTTTTTATTATACTTTAAGTTCTAGGGTACAGGTTTGATACGTAGGTATACATGTAACATGTTGGTTTGCTGCACCCATCAACTCGTCATTTACATTAGGTATTTCTCCTAATGCTATCCCTCCCCCAGCCTCCCATCCCCCAACAGGCCCTGGTGTGTGATGTTCCCTGCCCTGTGTCCAAGTGATCTCATTGTTCAATTCCTACCTATGAGTGAGAATATGTAGTGTTTGGTTTTCTGTCCTTGTGATAGTTTGCTGAGAATGATGGTTTCCAGCTTCCTCCACGTCCCTGCAAAGGACATGAACTCATCCTTTTTTATGGCTGCATAGTATTCTGTGGTGTATATATGCCACATTTTCTTAATCCAATCTATCACTGATGGACATTTGGGTTGGTTCCAAGTCTTTGCTATTGTGAAGAGTGCTGCAATAAACATACGTGTGCATGTGTCTTTATAGTAGCATGATTTATATTCCTTTGGGTATATACCTAGTAATGGGATTGCTGGGTCAAATGGTATTTCTAGTTCTAGATCCTTGAGGGATCACCACACTGTCTTCCACAATGGTTGAACTAATTTGCACTCCCACCAACAGTGTAAAAGTGTTCCCATTTCTCCACATCCTCTCCAGCATCTGTTGTTTCCTGACTTTTTAATGATTGCCATTCTAACTGTTGTGAGATGGTATCTCATTGTGGTTTTGATTTGCATTTCTCTGATGACCAGTGATGATGAACATTTTTTCATGTATCTGTTGGCTGCATAGATGTCTTCTTTCGAGAAGTGTCTGTTCATATCCTTTGCCCACTTTTTGATGGGGTTGTTCGTTTTTTTCTTGTAAATTTGTTTGAGTTCTTTGTAGATTCTGGATATTAGCCCTGTGTCAGATGGGTAGGTTGCAAAAATTTTCTTCCATTCTGTAGGTTTTCTGTTCACTCTGATGGTAGTTTCTTTTGCTGTACAGAAGCTCTTTAGTTTAATTAGATCCCATTTATCTATTTTGACTTTTGTTGTCATTGCTTTCGGTGTTTTAGTCATGAAGTCTTTGCCCATGCCTATGTCCTAAATGGTATTGCCTAGGTTTTCTTCTAGGGTTTTTATGGTTTTAGGTCTAACATTTAAGTCTTTAATCCATCTTGAATTAATTTTAGTGTAAGGAAGGGATCCAGTTTCAGCTTTCTACACATGGCTAGCCAGTTTTCCCAGCACCATTTATTAAATAGGGAATTCTTTCTCCATTTCTTATTTTTGTCAGGTTTGTCAAAGATCAGATGGTTGTTAATGTTTGGTGTTATTTCTGAGGGCTCTGTTCTGTTCCATTGGTCTATATCTCTGTTTTGGTACCAGTACCATGCTGTTTTGGTTCCTGTAGCCTTGTAGTATAGTTTGAAGTCAGGTAGCGTGATGCCTACAGCTTTGTTCTTTTTGCTTAGGATTGTCTTGGCAATGGGGGCTCTTTTTTTGGTTCCATATGAACTTTAAAGTAGTTTTTTCCAGTTCTGTGAAGAAAGTCAATGGTAGCTTGATGGGGATGGCATTGAATCTATAAATTACCTTGGGCAGTATGGCCATATTCATGATACTGATTTTACCTATCCGTGAGCATGGAATATTCTTCCATTTGTTTGTGTCCTCTTTTATTTTGTTGAGTAATGGTTTGTATTTCTCCTTGAAGAGGTCCTTCACATCCCTTGTAAGTTGGATTCCTAGGTATTTTATTCACTTTGTAGCAATTATGAATGTGAGTTCACTCATGATTTGGCTCTCTGTTTCTGTTATTGGTGTATAGGAATGCTTGTGATTTTTGCACATTGATTTTGTATCCTGAGACTTTGCTGAAGTTGCTTATTAGCTTAAGGAGATTTTGGGCTGAGACAATGGGGTTTTCTAAATATATGTCATCTGCAAACAGGGACAATTTGGCTTCCTCTTTTCCTAATTGAATACCCTTTCTTTCTTTCTCTTGCCTGATTGCCCTGGCCAGAACTTCCAACACTATGTTGCATAGGAGTGGTAAGAGAGGGCATCCTTTTCTTGGGGCACTGGTATTTTTAATAAGCACCCCAGATGATCTAATGTGCAGTCAGGATTGAGAACCACTGCGCTGGGTGAGCTGCTTTAGAGGACGCCCTCCTCACAGGTGTGGGTAACAGAGAAGCCCAGTTAGCATGGCTTTCCACTCTAGTTTTCTGTTTCCATGAAAGAAGCTTATGCATATAACTTAGTGCAAACATCTACTAATCAATAATTATTTTATTTAAGAGCTAAATCACATTTTAGCCCCAAATTGAAATATTTACCATCACTAGATAGAATTTGCACCACAATTTAATCCAATGTTTCTCACTGTGTTTTTTGACTATTCCTATAAGAATCCTATCAGAATCTGAATGCTTATTAACATGCAGATTTCTGACCCCCATTCCAGACCTACTGAATCAAGTACCTGGATGGAAGCCCAGGAATCTGCATTATAGCAGTTGTTCCAGGAGAGTCAACAGTAATGCTTAACTGGTTTTCAGTTAATATTAACCCTGTTTGTCCTGAGGACAATAGTAAATCTTAGTTCTTTTAGTGTTTTCTTTTGTTTTTGCAATTACAAGACTTCTAGCTCTGTGGTCTCCACCATTTCTCCATCAGAACCATATCCTTTTTTTTTTTCCGTATAGACTGTTGACTACCGAGAGGGTGGCCTGATTTTAACCTTTCTGGCATCCTTAACCAACTAAAATGTCCCTTGTATCTTCTCTCAATTCTGTCACAAAGCAGAAAAAAAAAGAAAAATGAAGTAGCAGCATGATATCACTGATCTGCTTAAGAACCCCATGATTGTCTATTTTCAATTAGCAGTTTCCCTGCCAGCTGGCCTCTAAGTCTCTCCAAGCTTGCCCTGGTAGCAGGTATCCAGCTGCTTAGTGTTTGCTGATTTATTTGCATAAAATTTTCCCTTAATAACTGTCTCTCCCAGGATCAAACACCTCTGCTTTTGGCACAGTTTTCTCTCAAGAGTTTGGAGTTACCAAGCCAAGCTCTATCCATGATGATGAAAACCTATCATTAGAGAGCATGATGTAATTGTGAAGTAGCTGTAAAATGGTTTCTCCATGCATATGAAATATTTCAGATTCCTGCTTTACTATTGTCCCTCTCCTGGTTCTGGCCTAACAGTAAAAAGATTCTGGGTGCCTTCCTCATAATTCTACTATTATATCTTCTTAAAATCAAGTTGCCTTAAATCCAACTCCCAGCCACACTGAAGGATCAATGTGATGACTTTTGAGTGAAAAGACCAGATTGAGCATATGCTAAGAGACCATGTTTCCATGCCAAACACATAGAAATGCCAGAAATATTAATAAATTATTCAAAGTCAAATTAAAAAGAACCAAGTTGAAATCTTAAAAATGAGAAATAGTCATTGAAATAAAAAGCTCAGTAGATGGGTTACAGTATAGGTTAGACACAGATAAAGAGAGAATTAATGATTTGAAAGATGGAACTGACACAGTTTTTCATATGTAGTATAGAGAGATCAAGAGATAGAAATATGGCAGAAATCAGGAGTCATGGAGGATAGAATGAGAAACTCCAATGTATATCTAATAGAAACTCTAGGAGCAAAGAGCAGAGCTCTGTAAGGAAAGAATAGCGATAATGATAAAAAGCCAAGATTCAAAGACACAGTGGCTGAGTATTGTCTAAATATGGAGACATGGGTTTCTAGAAAGAAAAATTCAGAATGTCAAGAAGGATTGAAAGAGAAAAAAAAATCTTTTGGTGAGTTCCATTGTGGTAGAACAGCAGAATATAAAATCCTAAAATCCACCAGAGTTAGCTGTGAGCCAACAGCAATCAGACTGACAGCAGAGTTTTCACTGGTAATTGTCAGAAGACAATAGATACCACTCTGAAACACTCTAATCCTAGAATTTCATATTCAGTTGTTAGGAACCAACCTAAGCCTAGTCAATCACTGCCTTATTTTTTGGGTAAATTTTGGTGGCCTCCAGTGATTAGTAGTAAGTGAGATTTCCTTCTGCACAATCTTGCCACCAGGTAGGATATTTATAATGAAAGCAAGTATCAGGGTGAATTCTACCATGGTCACAAGCATTTTTTGGTAAGCAGGCACAAGTAATAGTCATGCTTGTTCTTATAAGGTCAATTAAATTATATTTCTTCATTCTTTAGGCATTTCTACTAATGCCTTGCATAAAAGACTCTCTAGAGGCAGATGTGATAATATTCTAGAAGCAGAATCAGCTCACTTTCCTGTTGGAAATTAACAGAGTCCTCTGTGAAATGGTAGAACACAGGTAGAAAGCAAGTCCATTGCTTGCAGGGAGTTGAGCTGCTGGGTGGACCTAATATTACACCCTGTTCATGCAGAAGTGAAGGAGGTACCTGTACAATATTCCTAACCAATCTGCATAGCTTGACCACCAATTATTTCAACAATTAAAAAATATTTCTAAATCATCATGCCAATTAATGCTCTCCTGTGGTTTTAGACAGCAGTATTTACTAGGCTTGAAGAAGTTGCCTCTGAGGAGTCTAATCTTGAATGGGATCTTTCAATTCTAATTAACCAACCTTGGAGTGTTTATCATTGATTAGGTACTTCCAATCTTTACCAACCACAACTAGCATATATTCAGAAATATATGTCATGCTACTTCTTCTGAAATATTTTAAAACAAACTGTAGACTATATAACACCAGCTGGATGATATTTTAAAAGTGAGGGAAAAATGAAGATATTTTAGATATGAAAGAACTTGAAGAGTTTACCACTCACAGATAGAAATAATAAAGGATGTTGTAAAGCTGGAATAAAAATGGACCAAAAGAAAGGTATGGGATGCAAGAAGCAAACAATAACTTATTTATATGTTTAAAAGCAAAATATAACTAAAATTCTGACATAAAAATAACAAAGGTTCATTTGGGAAGGGAGTTAAAGCAAGCTAAAGTTTAGGAGATACATACAGATACCAAATAACTTTAGACTCAGTTACAAAAATATAGTTAAGTATGTATTTTAAAATCTAAAGAGTAACCACTAAAAGAATGTACATAGAAAGTGAAACTTTTATTTATAATTTAAATTAAAAAAATTAAATTGCAAGTTTTATTACTTCAATAACAACAAATAGATTTAACAAAATAGATTTAATTTTACTAAGGAACAATTCACCCACCTATTTATTATGCCATAATAAACTTTTATTTTAGACTCAGGGACTGTATATGCAGGTTTGTTACCTGGATATATTGCATGATGCTGAGGTTTGGGGTATGAATGATCCTGTCACCCAGGTACTGAGCTTGTTACCCAACAGTTAGTTTTTTGATCCTTCCTCCTCCCCCAGTAATCCTTAGTTTCTATTGTTGTCATCTTTATGTCCCTGAGCACCCAATGTTTAGCTCCCACTTAAAAGTGAGAATATGTAGTATTTGGTTTTCTGTTTCTGTGTCAATTTGCTTAGGATAATGACCTCCACATGCATCCATGTTACTGCAAAGGACATGATTTTATTCTTTTTTTGGCTGCATAGTATTCCTAGTGTATATGTACTGCATTTTATTTATCTAATTCACCATTGATGGGCACCTACATTGATTTCATGTCCTTGCTATTGTGAATAGTGCTGTGATAAACATACAAGTGCATATGTCTTTTTGGTAGAGTGATTTGTTTGTTTCCTTTTGGATATATACCCAGTAATGGTATTTGCTGAGTTGAATGGTAGTTCTGTTTTAAATTCTTTGAGAAATCTCCAAACTGCTTTCCACAGTGTCTGTACTAATTTACATTCCCACTAGCAGTGAATAAGCATTCCCTTTTCTCCACAGCCTTGCTGGCATCTGTTATTTTTTGACTTTTTGACAAAAGTTATTCTCACTGGTGTGAGATGGTATCTCATTGTGGTTTTGATTTACATTTCTTTGATGATTAGTGAGGTGAAGCATTTTTTCATATGTTTGTTGCCTGCATGTATGTTGTCTTTGAGAAGTGTCTGTTCATACCTTTTGCCCATTTTTAAATGGGGTTATTTGTTTTCTGCTTGTTGAGTTTTTTACATTCTTTATAGATTCTGGATGTTAGACCTTTGTTGGTTGATGCATAGATGGTGAATATTTTCTCCCATTCTGTAGTATGTCTGCTTACTTTGTGGATAGTTTTTTTTTGCTGTGCAGATGCTCTTTACTTTAATTAGGTCCTACTTGTTAATTTTTGTTCTTGTCACAATTGCTTTTTAGAGCTTAGTCATAAATTCTTTCCCAAGGCCAATGTTCAGAATGGTGTTTTCTAGGTTTTCTTCTATGATCTTTATAGTTTGAGGTCTTACATTTTTATCTTTAATCCATCTTGAGTTAATTTTTGTATATGGTGACAGGTGGGGGTCCAGTTTCATTCTTCTGCATATGGCTAGCCAAGTATACTAGCACCATTTATTAAATAGGAAGTCCTTTCCCATTGCTTTTTTTTTTTTTTGACCCAATCTTGCTCTGTTGCCCAGGCTGGAGTGTAGTAGCATGATCTCAGTTCACTGCAGCCTCCGCCTCCTAGGTACCAGTGATTCTCCTGCCTCAGCTGGGATTACAGGCATGCGCCACCATGCCTGGCAAATTTTTGTATTTTTAGTAGAGACAAGATTTCACCATGTTGGGCAGGCTGGTCTCGAACTCCTGACCTCAGGAGTAAGTGCTAGGATTACAGGCATGAGCCACTGCACCCAACCCCATTTTTTTTTATTTTTGTCAACTTTGTCAAAGAAAGATCAGATGGCTGTAGTGTGTGCCTTTATTTCTGGGTTCTCTGTTCCGTTCCATTGATTTATGTGTCTGTTTTTGCATCAGTACCATGTTTGGTTACTTATGGTATAGTTTGATGTCAGGTAATATGATGCTTCCAGCTTTGTTCTTTCTGCTTAGGATTACTTTGACTATTCAGGGTCTTTTTTGATTCCCTATGAATTTTAGAATTTTTTTTTTTTTTTTTTTTTTTTTTTTTTTTTAGTTCTGTGAAAACAACGTTGGTAATTTGATAAGAATAGTATTCAGTCTGTAGATTGCTTTGGGCAGTATGGCCATTTTAGTGATATTGATTCTCCCAATCCATGCACATGGAATGTTTTTCCATTTGTTTGTGTCACTATGATTTCTTTCAGCAGTGTTTTGTAGTTCTCCTTGTAGAGCTCTTTTACCAATTTGGTTAGATGTATTCCTAGGTGTTTTATTTTTCTGTGTGGCAATTGTAAAGGGGATTGTGTTCTTTATTTGGCTCTCAGCTTGAACATTATAGGTGTATAGAAATGCTACTAATATTTGTACATTGATTTTGTATCCTGAAAGTTTACTGAAGTAGAAAGTATAACTTTTAAATTGGGGTAGAAAATAAAGGATTATGAATGTAAAATTATAGAAGAAATGGACTGAAAGACACATACTAAACTCAGGGCAGTGATTTTCTGGGAGTGAAAGCTTGGGGGTAAAAGTGAAAAAGGAGGGATGAGGCTCATGAATAGACAGCAAATAAAATTGTTAATTCTGCATCATGGTGATATGGAATTCCAAAATATTAATCTTTGCTATTTTTTTGCATTGTTCAAAAAAAAAAGAAGTCTTAAGGAAACCACATGTTACAACTGTGGATCAGTTTAAGTGCAGCAGCTTGGAGGAAATCAAAGGCTTGGATAAAAGGCACACGGAATGAGTGCCTTAAAAGCAAGAACCAACTGTTTCAGTTGTTATATTAAGTAGATACTCAATAAACTCTTGCAGGTAGAGGTTGAACTCTGAACATGCATCTACTTTCTTCCTGGGACTCCCAACCCCTCCAAACAGCTATCTTTCTCTGAAGGGTCAAGATCTCTCTTGGGATTCTCTGTTGTTGATCTACCCCTTCTGAGGGCAAGCCCCAGTAGACACAAAAGTAATTATGGCACCCTGGCCTAACCTCAGAATGTCTAGCCTTTAGGTATTTTCAAGTCATTTGGGCTCGCTGAACCTTATAAACCTGTCTGTTGAAGACTATTGAATAAATTCCTGGGAATATTTGAGGGAGCAATTCCTCAGCACTGCTGGCCTATGCCTGGGATGAGAGTATGCATGCCTCAAAACAATTCCTCAGCACTGCTGGCCTATGCCTGTGATGAGAGTATGCATGCCTCAAAACAATTCCTCAGCACTGCTGGCCTATGCCTGGGATGAGAGTATGCATGCTTCACCTTCGCTACGTGGGGTGAGTTTCTTGCTCTACTGGGTATTTATGGCAGCCTTTCTTCTCTCTTTGTAGAATTGTTGTCATCCTTTCTCTACGACTCCAAGAGAAACTTTATACTGGAGGAAGAATATTCTACCACTTTGGGATGCTTCCAAAGAAATGGGATACCAAAGGAGTGAACTTCAGGTCATTGGAAGTGGCCAAGCTGGAGGGCGACCTATGGAGACATGGTGAGACTGGAAGACCTCTTGGGTCCCTTGTACCTCTGAGATTCAAGGATTTTGGGATCATTGGTGATAACCCCTAGAATCAGGTTAAACCCTAGAAAACATGCTTGGATAGGGGGCCTCTAAGCAACTAACAAATATTTCATGCAAAGAAGTAATGCTATTGGTAGAGATTCTGAGGTCAGATACCTTGTTAGATTAGCAAGGTATTTTCTAATGCTTCTGAGAGGCATCAATTACAGACAATCATAAATTTCATCTGTGAATAAATCTCTGATGCTGCTGCTTCCCCTGCAGTGCAGAACTGACCAGGGGCTCCTCTGATGGAAAGCTATTTGCTTTGCAGTTAGCAAAGGGAATGAAATTCTTTTTGAATTCTTTGATGGCATATCCAGAAATTAAACTTATTCTACTGTCCCTTGAAATGTAAAGTCACATGGCATCCATTTGGTATTTAGTGCATGCAATCTTGCTTGATGAGTTGTTGTTAGGTGCACAGGTTTTGTTTCCTCAATTCATGTATTACCTTCCAGAGGGAGGAGCTGTGTCTTACACTTTGTATCACTCACAGTGTCTAGCAGCATATTCTATACATATTGGTGCTCAATGATTGTTTATTAAATCATTGACATGAGCTAATATAGAGCTTGATAGAAATGATTGAGCTAAGTTTATTTTAAGGATGATAGTCAATGTGTCTCTTCACTAAAGACAATACTTGTCATTGTTTTTTGCTCCTTTATCTTCACAGTCCACTTCTGTATGTTCTCCTGTGGGTCACAGGACTGTCTATGCATCCATACAAAATGCAAAACAGGGGATGACATCCTAGAATGAATTGTGGCAAAACAGCTTCAAACTAGCCAAGAAGACAAACAAAATATGGAGGGAAAATTGAATAAAATTAAATACCCAGAGTAATGCCCCCCAAGGCAGATCCCCAATCAAGGATTTGAGCACATGTAACTCAACTGAGAGTTCACTCCAGAAGCCACTGGTAGATGGGTGGGGAAGTGAGACGAGAAAAGACACCAGTAAAGGGTACGTGAAAGCCAGGCACCTGGAGCTGGGGCATGTGGGAGAATGTTGGGAGACAACATAGGACTTCCCCCGGGGTCATTGCAGCTGGATATTGATTCAGCAGCTTTCATCACTGGTTCAGGCTACCTTTGGGGTCATTAACTCCTTGACTCTTCCACCTTGCCCTATGTGTCAGCTGAGTATGTTCCCAAAATCAGAAAAAGAGCCCTCCTCGGTCAGACAGTCACAGGGGTTCCCAGTAAGCAGTGTTTGTCATGTTGTGTGGAAGTGGAGCCGGGAGGATGGACAGGTTTCAGGGTGCCACTGCAGGTGGCACACATGTGTGCCATGAGGGAATGCTCTGTGCAGCCTGGGAGGGGACTCCTGTGGTGGCAGCCCACATTTCTCCTCCCCTTGGGAACTTGTTTGTCCCTGTCTCACTGTACCTGACTGTGGCAATTCAGCCTTGGCTCTGATGTCAGCTTCCTCTGCCGCCCTCTTTCCTAAGCATTAGGCCAGGGCCCCCAGCTCTGCTCCTGATGGCCAGGGAGAGCCATTTCTGGGCTAAGCACACTGTGGCAACTGAGAGGAGAAAAGTGAAAGAAAGGCTGTGTGGCTCTGACCATTTGTCACCTCTGCTGAAGTGGTATTTAGGGAGATTCAGCTCCCAGAGGTGTTTTCATTTTAGTAGGCGGCTCTCAGTCTAGAAGTCTATAGGATTCAAAAGAAGGAATGTTTCAGGTGTGATTTGGGCACTCTGACAGTCTATTTGTGGCAGGGCCTCAGGAACATCACACACAAGCAGGAGATCCTGGCTCATTTCTCTCCCTGGTCCTGGCTCCACAGCCTCCATCTCCTCAGAACAGGAGACTGTAGGAAACCCCATTCCCAGGCCACATGGATGCAATAGTCCCTGTCCCACTGGCTCATACCCTATCCCATCAACACTGCCAGTCCTCTACTGGGAGTAGGATTCTGGGAGAGAGGGAATTCCCTTCTGGGAGGAGCTAGGCTAGGTAGAAGCCATACAACCTGAAGGGTCTCAGACTACCTGGGTTTGCATCCCTGTCTACTCATCAGCTGTAGGCCTTTGGAAAAGTTATCTAAATTCCCTATGTCTCAGTCTCTGCATCTGTGAAATGGGATAATAATAGTACTTACCTCACAGGGTATGTGAGGATGAAATGATTATTTTGTGAGAAGTGCTACGAACTGCTAAGAAGTCCTGGCATAGTAAGTGTTGTGAAATATACAGGACAGGAGTGTGGAGCTGAATGCCAGGGGATAGGGGCTCTAACAAGTGGTGGAGTCGACAAGCTGTGTGACCTTGGAACAGCCGTTTAACCCCTTAGAATCTCAGTTTCTCTTTGTAATATTTACACAAAGTCGTTGTGAGAATTAAGTGAGGTAAGGATGTGAACTATCGAGCACAGAGTTTGTCCCACATAAGACAATTTGGATAAATATTGCAACTGTAGTAAAAGGTCTTACCGAGGATTTACCTTGTCTTTTGCACAAGAGATTAAGTCACTGTGGTGAAACTGAAGAGGAAGCTTTGTCCTTTTTGGATGTGGGTGGGAAGGAGAGAAGATGAGGTACGCGTCGGGATGGAGTGGGGAGGGGAGGATGAGGGGGGAAGGGAACAAAGGGGAGCTGTAGGAATTTATTCAAAGGAAAAGACATCATTATATTGAAGGGCCATCTGAACCCCTGTGTTTATTGCAGCACTATTCACAATAGCCAAGACCTGCAATCAACCTAGGTGTCCAACAACAGATGAGCAGATAAAGAAAATGTGATATATATATATATATATATATATACACACACACACAATGGACTATTAATCAGCCATAAAAAGAATGAAATCCTGTCATTTGTGGCACCATGGAGGGAACTGGAGGACACTATGTTAAGTGAAATAAGCTAGGAACAGAAAGTTAAACACTATATATTCTCACTTATATGTGAAAGCTAGAAAAAGTTGATCTTATAGAAATGAAAAGTAGAATAGAGGATACTAGAGGCCGGGAAGAGTTGGGGGAAGAGGGGGCTAGGGAGAGATTTGTTAAAGGACACAAAATTATGGCTAGATGGGAGGAGTGAGTTCTAGTGTTCTATACCACTGTAGGATGACTGTAGTTAACAATAACATATATATAGTTTCAATTAGCTAGAAGCAGGGATATTGAACAGGAGGAGAACCAGTGGATTTCAAAGGCTGAAAAGAAAGATCTGCTTGCTTTCTAGGGGTTGGAGGCACAGGGATGTGGATTACGGGGAATTGAAATAGTCAGAGAGTTCTTGCTATGTAAAACAATTCTGACAGACAATCCCTGGAATCCTGACACCTGGAGGAGGGAGGGAGGGAGTATCACCTAAGAACTGCTGTCCTAGAACCCTTGCTGGGGAGAGGGGTGCACAGCCTTCGCTGAGCTGGACATTAAAGTTGACCATCCTCCCTCAGAAGACCAAAGGTATAAGGCCAGCACAGTGTGGAGGGAACATCTCAGGCTGTGGGCAGTCAGAGTTCAGCAGCCATGTTGGTGGCAGCAAGGAACCAGGCAGGAGTGGATTGTTCAGAGACCAGTGCTCTCCTTGCCGAATATGAGAGGCAGGCTGGCCATTAATATGGGGCTGAGGTTATTAGGAAAATACTGGACTTATTGCTTTATGGTAGGTGGGTGACTGAGGTGGTTTTATTTTATTTTATATATATATATATACACATACATACATATATATACATATATATGTATGTATATATATGTATATATATGTATGTATGTGTATAGAGAGAGAGAGAGATTGAGTGATGGATGCATGCTAGCTGTGGCCTGAATTAATGGAGCAAGTCTTTGTTCTGTGTCCTATTGGTAAAGATAGGAGAATTCTTTAGTGCTCTAGGGTTGTCTGTTCTCACTGGGGCCTTTGGTCAGGAAAGGCGGCCATTCCATGACAAGAAACCCAGGAGCAGGACCTGTGCCCCTCCTCACACAGGATACCTACAACAGGCATTTGTAATGACTTAGAAATTCATGCACTACTTTTCTCATTTAATTCTTATAATAACCCTGCAAATAGGCATTTGTCTGCATTTTAGAGATGAGAAAATTGAAGCCTAGAGAGGTGCAGTCATTTGCCCCGGTCTCATGATGGAGGTGGTGCTCAAGCACAGGCCAATTTCAAATTCTGCTTTGCTTCCCATATCCCATTCTCCCCCATGAGACTTCACAGTGCGTGTGTGAAGTGCTCCGGATGTTGGGATTGAATACAATGGCAGTTCTATTGCACACATTTTTCTTTCTTGCCGGGAGTCTAGGCTTCTTTAAGTGCATAAATAATACATAAATTAGTATGTTGAGCTGATTCCCACACTTTTTCAACAGACCTTCAGTTCTTCCTGAGATCGATAAAGCTTAAAAGAAAAGAAAAAGCCAACTCAGCTTGTGCGTGGATCCTGGACCTTGCTCTAATACAGACCCCGCTCCTGGAGTGTAAGCCATGCTTGACGGCTCAGCTTTCTTGTCACTAATGAGGTGGGATGTGGTTGTGCATTCAAAATCTAGCAAGGACGAAGTGAGTGCACCACTGATTAAACATGGAGAGAAATTTCTTTCCAAAGGGCTGTGTAAGAGGAGAAGCAGGAGATGTATGTAAGATTTCTCATTTGTGCAATGCATCCTCTGAACCACTGTGATGCCACGGGCTGCTGAACTTTCCACAGGGGCCATTAGGGACGAAATCACACCGATGGAATGAAAGGGAAAATAACCAAAGACAACAGCAACAGCTCAAAACACCAGAAAAAGCAGCAACACTATATCTATCCGTCACTGGCCCAACTCGACATCTGGAAAAGAACCCAGAGTAGCTGCCAACCAGATGGCCCCTTGGTGTAAGTGGGAGGAGGTACCTGTCCAGGCACATGCAGCCCTACACAGGCTGAATTTCAGGCCTCCTCGTGCAGGGAACCCTCTTCCCAGCTGTACATGGTCCCCTGAGCATTCGCATGTAATTCTCTCATCTTTCCAGCCATTCTTTTTCTCTTTCCTTTTTTTAAGGCCTGGCAGCTACCTTTTTTTTTTTTTTTTTTAGGACCGTGAAGCTGCAGCCTCTGACATGATATGTAGATAAAAGACGTCACGGGGATAAGAGCTAGAGAAAGCTTTAACGAGAAGAGCTTAGACCATTTTCAAAGCTCCTCCACAGTGCACGGAGGGGCCCAAAGCTGGCGGAGCGCTGGGCGACACGCTCCCGCTCGCACCAAGGCCTCGCTCTGATGAGCTGGGCAATTGGGAGACTGTTTGAACAAACCAAAGAAAAATATCAAAAGGCAAATTGGAGTTAGGGAGAAAATGAATAGCCCATGATCTCCAAGGGAGATTACAGAGGTAATGACAAAGCAGGCAGGTTTTTAGAGGCGCTGTTATTCCAAGAAAGGTAATTTTGTTCAACTTATTTTTTTTTTAACGGAAAAGAGGATGAAGAGATCAGCACTAGCTAAATCATCACTGTCAGATAAAAGATAAATCTTTCATTAGGAACCATATCTTTGCATGCCCTTTTGACATTGAAGAATATATTTGATGTAAGGATTTGGGGCTTTATCAAAACTATAGTATTCTAAAATAAACAAAACCACAATGTCATGTTTTATTGGAGAACAGCCATAAAAAAATGAAAAGAACTTTTAAGATTAATAGCACATTTTCCCTATAGGAGCTTTGCTCTTTTTGATAGCTTTTTAAGATCCATACTCACAGAATGTTTGCATATTCAGCAAACATAGACTTAGATAACAAGAGGAGCTGCCTTTAACCCCTGGAGATTCAGACTCCATCCAGTCTTCCAGTGCCTGCCAAGCTAGAGAAAGGACAAAAGAAACCTTAACCAAGAAAAGACCCTCAAGAAACTATCCTGCTGCTCCACCTCCTGGGACTTGGTGCTTCCACCAGGTCCCTTCTTCCTTCCTCTATCCCCCCTCTCATTGGTCCCCCCTCTTACCTGGCCTGGACTGTGCACCTGCCAAGTCTCCCTGGGACTGGCATTGTGCCCATGTCATGGTTCCTGCCTTTGACTTCCCTAAGCCTGTGCCACATCACCACACAGTCTGTTCCCATCCCCCTGGGGAGAGCTCTGCCACCTGGCTGGTCTCCCAACTCATTACCATTGGCTGCAATTCCCGAGTTCTTTGCCTTTCATCAGCCCCTAGCTTCTCTGGACATGATCTTCTGACCAGCCAAGTCTCCTCCTCTTGCCTGCAGCTGTGTTCCCACCTTAATATCTGTCCTACTCTGGTAGACAAATACCTTCCCCAGGTTTCCAAACCCTTTGTCTGGCTTATAAAACACCACTTCTTTAGGAACAGTTCATGGATCTTCAGTTTTGAGCTCTGCCATCAATAGACTCAGAGACCCCCCTCTCTGTTTCTGTTCCATTCTCTGGTGACTTAGACTCCTCATCCTCTACCCAGTGTTTTTTCTCTTCCAAGAGTCTTCATTACTCAGTGCATGCTCCCTTAGAACATCAGCTTCTATGTGGCCCATTTAGCCACTTTGTCTTCCCTCTGTCTCTCTGTTTCCTTCCCCCGCTCTCTCTCTATCTCCCTATCGGTTATAGGTTTACCTTTCAGCTTCCCTTAATTATTGCCTGACTCTCTGATATTTTTGAGAAATTTTATTTGCACAGCTTACACCTTTTATTTATTTATTTTGCATGAGGTTCAAAACATGCAAACAAAGGAAAAAACAGAGAGAATTCTCCTACGAATTGCTTGTTCATGGGACGGGTGCCTCCTTCTACTCTAATCAGTCTGGCTACAGGTTGTCCATTTACAGAAAGTACTGTGGATGTGACACGGTTTCTAGGAAGGTCTTGGGGTGAAGCAGGCACCAGGACATGTCTAGCATTTACCATTTACTATAAAGTAAATAAGGTTCAAATTGAAAAATAATTAAAAGGATCGAGCTATTCCAGGTGGATTAAAAAATGGCCTCAGATCTTTCCAGATTATCAGAGTTCACCAAGTCATCCAATCCTTGGGGAAATAAAATTAATGAAATCGGGTTCTGAAATTCTGAAGAAAAAGAGAAAACACACAAACTCAAAAAACAAAACAAAACAAAAAACTCTGAAGAGGCAGCTTTGTGTAGTAGAAGGAGGAGTGAATGAGACCCAGAAAACTTGGGTTGGAGTTGTCTGTGGCACATTGCATGAGTCATTTCTCTGGGGCCATAGTGGACACTGTGACCCTGCCCCGATCCCCATCACGGGCCCAGGGACCCATCTCCCAGCTGCTGTGGGCACTGAGATCTAACAGCTCACAGCTGTTCCTTTCTCTGGGAACCATCCACTTCTGATATCAGCTCCCCACTTTTTGGGGGAAAGCCTATAGCCAGAGCCCTTCAGGCCAAGACTGAACTTTGCTGAGGTCACATCCTTAACCAGCACTTGCTTCTTCCTTATACTACTTCTCTTACTCCCTCAGATGTGTTTCCTGAAGAGCACGCCCTCAGTAAATCATGGGCACCTGAATCCCTGTCTCAGGCTCTGCTTTCAGGGAATGTGTGACCTAAGATAGCAACTCAGTTTACTTCTCTGTGCAGTGAAGTGGGAGGCTGGGTTGATTAGCTCTGAGGTCCCTTCCTACTCCGATATTCCTTGGTTCTTTTTTGTGCATTATCTCACTTCTATTTCCAAAATAGACCAAGCTTAGAAGAAAACTTGTGATAGTATTGGAATAGCTGCATTTCCATGTAGCTTACTACATAACTGACATAAGCTAAGGGTGTCTTAGCTAATCAGATCTCAACATTTTCTTCGGTTACCCCTGGCAATGGGATTTGGAAGTGTTGCAGGGGTGACCACTGTGGTGTGATTTTTATCAATGTGCTTATATTATACACACACAAAGTTCCTGGCTTTCTGAACCATGCAGACATTTCAGAGTGCTGAGTTCCTGGAATGTGAACCTATTCAGTCACTTCTATCAGCCTGCCTTGGTACTTGTTGACACCTAGGCAGATATTTGGAAGTCTCACATGGTGTTCCTCACATAGAACAATTTGTAAGTCATTTACAGCAATAGGCAGACTGTGTTCCAAGTTATTTGTATCTAAAAAATGTTGGTTGCACATGATTGTATTATTTTCAGTCTCGGCTTGGGTCATGGAAAAACTGAAGATGCATTAGATCATCAAAGAAAATGGCACAAACAACCCTGCAAAAGAAAGGATCTTCTTCCAGATTAAATCTCTTATAATATAACTCCTCTATTGGATGGTTAATTCTAACTATCCAATGTCTCCCTTTTTTTTTCTTTAATTTACCAGCCCGGGCAACATGGTGAAACCCCATTTTAACAAAAAATACAAAAAAATTAGTTGGGGGTGGTGGCATGCGCCTTTAGTCCCAGCTACTCAGGAGGCTGAGCCTGGGAGGTCGAGACTGCAGTGAACCGTGATCATGCCACTGCACTCCAGCCTGGGTGACAGAATGAGACCCTGTCTCAAAAAAAAGAAAAGTTAACAGCCTTTGCCAGAACTTTCTCATATGACCATTGCCAAGTAGCCATCAGTGACTTTCATTTAGGAAACCATATTAAATGAACCTACTGAACATGCAGTTCTTGGTGTGGAACTCAAGATCTGACTGCTTTCTCTTCTACTGACTTCACCTTGTTAGCATAACAAGGCACTCAACACTCCTGTGGCTGAATGAGTTTTGCCATCAATGAGAGATAATAATTATTCCCAAAGGGTTATCTGAGTGTTGCTTAGGGAATACTTACAAAGTGCTTACCGCACCCCCAGTTGGGCTCCAAGTCAGCTCACAGTGTTCCTTCCAAACACGCAGAGCTAGCTGGGGATCATAGCAACATTGAATTCAGAAGTAAGTGGCTTTCTGCTGTTTCTGTCCCCAGATCTGAACAGTCCCAAGCAGAGACCCCCTAGGGAGCTCCCTCTGCCCTGGGCTTTGCTTTGAGCTCTGAATGGGGTCTATGGTGGGAGAAGAAAAGAGGGAGAAGAATTGGCATCTACTTATGGGCTTTGTACTAAGGGCCCTGCCTTATGCCAAAGGGATCCATGGAGCAGACTCAGGGCTTCTTTTACTGTGTGCTGTGTGTCCTCTTCAGTTCATTTTCCTAAAATCCAGGGCCATCCAGCTTCCAGGGTTCAGGAGAGGAATGGTTCGATGGAGATAGGACTGGGAGACAGAAGACCAGGCTCTAAAGACCAGTATGAGCTTGGCCAAGTCAGTTAACCAGCCGGGACTTAGATTTCTTCACCTGAAACAGAAGGGGCTGAGGAGAAAATGCCTCTTTCAATCACAGAATTGTGCCATTTTAGGCATGGTAAAGTCCCAGAAATCATCAAGACCAACCTCCTCACTGATGGATGAAGAAATGGGGTTGGAAGAGTCACTTCTGCACCTGCCAGGTCTGTGCTCAGAGTCACTCAGTGTGGGAACTGTCATCACTGTGATTCCTGATTGTGCACCTGCCAGGTTTGGTGCTCACCCCAAGCTTTGATGATGTTGGTGACCCAGAGTCAATTTCAGGGTTTGGTTTGAAAGTAAACTTTGGGACTTTCTGGACAGTGCCTGGCACCTAATTTGCATGTACTCCTCTATCCAGTGTAGGTAGAGTGGGTATATAAGGAGAAATTTTAAAATTTTAGGTTATTGCCAATTTCCTTACATACCTGAAGTTGTAATTTGAATGTGTCTCCTCCAAAATTCAGGTATTGAAACTTAATGGCCAATGTGACAGAATTAAGAGATGAGGTCTTGAAGAAGTGATTAGGCCAGCAGGGCTCCTCCCACATAAATGGGATTAAAGCCCTTATAAAAGAGGCCTCATGCAGCAGTGTTTGGCTTTCTTGCCCTTCTGCCTTCCACATGGGAGGATGCAGCATTCTTCCCCTCAGGAGGACACAGCAACAAGGCACCATCTTAGAAGAGAGATAGGGCCCTCACCAGCTGGCCCTTTGAACTGGGACTTCCCAGGCTCTAGAACCATGAGAAATAAGTTTGTTCTTTATAAGTTACCTAATTCCAGGTATTTTGTTAAACCAGCACAAAACTGACTAAGACTCCTGAGGAGAAGGTGAAGGGTTCATTGGTACAATACTCAGTTGGGTGGTGGTCGGAGTGGGCACTGGTTGTGTGTCCTACTCAGAGCATAGCACAATGGAGGTTGAGAGAAGATGAGAAGCGTGATGCCTGGTTGGTGATAGAAGGGTATGAGTATTCCTCAGCATAATTCCTGGTGTTACTGATTAAAGGGCTGTGGATTACTTCCGTAAAAGAGCTCAGATCTTGGACAGGTTGACTAATTCAATAAGCAGGGACACTACTGTGAGTTGTTTTCCAGGGCTGAACTGAAAGGACACTTGATTGTCCTACAATGATGGAGCTATAGAGTATGGAGACCCAAGATTAACCTTTCCAAAGCACACGCTGGGAATTACTCTGGGTGTGGGTGTGGAGAAAGGAGAGAAAAACTGAGAAACTCAGAGACAGAGTTTGAAGAGGACTTTGTAAGTGAAGGTTTTTACCATCCCTTGGTAAGTGTGTCCCTTTAAGGAAGAAAGGGGCTGGCTCCCATTTGGATCTACACATCCCTGGGGAAGATATCAGAATTTTCCATTAATAAACTTAGGAGTTTTAAGATCCATAAAGTCTATGTGGGGAATTGAGTTGGTAGTCAAACCCTTGAATTAAAGCTTGATTTCAGAGTCTCAGTAGGTGTGGGTGAGGTGAGGTGAGGATGGCATGGGTGCCTCATCTAAACAAATGAATCATGGAAAATACCTTGAATCACCTAGCCCCACCTTCCTCCCACTGCAGGAATCCCTCACACAACAGCTCAAACAGATAATCCTGTAGCTTCTGTTTCAGTTCGTGCATTGACAGGAAACTAACGAATCTCTTAACAGTGATAGGCTTCAACAACCCACTGTGGGCTGACGTTAATTGTTAGAGGCTGCTTCCTTGCATGAAATTAAATATGCCTCCTCTTGGCCATAGTTCTCCTCTCTAGAGCTAAACAATTATATTGACTTTCAACATACTGTCATTCCAAAGAGAGCTATTCAGCCCCCACCTTACTCTTCCCCCATTGTTTTCTTTTTCAGGCTAAATCTCTTCAGTTCATCCCCTTGTTGATCATAGAACATACTTCTAGATTTCTCTGAGCTCCTTTGGATGTCTTCTGATTTGTCAACATGTGCTATGGCCTGGCCTCTTTCTTCTCTCTGTAAGCCAAGAGGAACATAGCACTGGGCTTTCCTGCATGTGGCAGTTAGGAGTTTTCTGAGCCTTCTTGAATGATTTTTTTGGCACAGTCTGGCCTGCTCTGTGCCTAGTGACCATTTGTGGCTGCCCAAAGGTTGGGGAACTTTGCCCAGGTGGGAACAGTCTGACCTGGAAAGCTTCTTTCCCCAAGAAGTATAGGGGAACTAGGTTGGAAAAGACTTGCCTGTCCTCTTCAGGGATCTGTCTACTCCTTAGAATAGTCTGCACCTCTCATTTTCTCAAAGATCATGGCCCCGCTAAGGCCCAAGGCCACAGCATAGAATTAATTTTGGTCCTAAAGAAGAGTAGATAATGATCTGGCATTCCTGATCTCCATCCATCCATCCATCCATCCATCCATCCATCCATCCATCCTCACATCAATCATTTATCAGCATGCACTGAGCAATGACTTTTTCGTAGGCAATGAACTAGGCAGGGAAATAGGACCTGTGAGTTGCAGTTTCCTGCTGAGGAATCTCTCTTCTCTTCCTGAGCCCCACCCCTCTGTAAGTAGTCAGAGACTCAAAGAAGACTTAAGAAGATCCAGGAAGATTAAGGCAGAGCCTCAAGAAGGTCACAATCTAAAGTAGTTTATAGTGAAACATTTCAATGAAGGGTGATATGGTTTGGCTGTGTCCTCACTGAAATCTCATCCTGAATTGTAGTTCCCATAATCCCCACATGTCATGGGAGGGACCCAGTGGGAGGTAATTGAATCATGGGGGCAGTTGCCCCCATGCTGCTGTTCTTGTGATAGTGAGTGGGTTCTCACAAGATCGATGGTTTTATAAGGGGCTGCCCCCTTCACTGGGCACTCATTCTCTCTCCTGCTCTCCTGTGAAGAAGTGCCTTCCACCATGATTATAAGTTTCCTGAGGCCTCTCCAGCCATGTGGAACTGTGAGTCAATTAAACCTGTTTTCTTTATAAATTACCCAGTCTCAGGTATTTCTTTATAGCAGCGTGAGAATGGACTAATACAGTAAATTTGTACCGAGGAAGTAATGTGTTGCTATAAGGACACCCGAAAATGTGGAAATGACTTTGGAACTGGGTAACAGGCAGAGGTTGGACCAGCTTGGAGGGCTCAGAAGAAGACAGGAAGATGTGGGAAACTTTGGAACTGCCTAGAGACTTGTTGAATGGCTTTGACTAAAATGCTGATAGTGATAGACAATGAAGTCCAGGCTGAGGTGGTCTCAGATGGAGATGAGGAACTTGTTGGGAACTAGAGCAAAGGCGACTCTTGCTATGCCTTAGCAACAAGCCTGGTAGCATTTGGCCCCTGCCCTAGAGATTTGTGAAACTTTGAACTTGAGAGAGATGACATAGGGTAGCTGTTGGAAGACATTTCTAAGCAGCAAAGCATTCAAGAGGTGACAGAGCATGAGATTTGGGAAAATTTGCTGCCTAATGATGCAATAGAAAAGAAAAACCCATTTTCTGGGGAGAAATTCAAGCCTGCTGCAGAAATTTGCATAAGTAACAAGGAGGTGAATATTAATCATCAAGACAATGTGGAAAATATCTCCAAGAAATGTCAGAGACCTTCACTGCAGCCCCTCCCATCACAGGCCCAGAGGCCTAGGAGCTAAAAATGGTTTCCAGGCCCAGGCACCCACTGCTGTGTGCAGCCTAGGGACTTGGTGCTCTGTGTCCCAGCTGCTTCAGCTATGGCTAAAACAGGCCAAGGTACAGCTTGGGCCATGGCTTCAGATGGTTCAAGCCCCAAGCCGTGGCAGCTTCCACATGGTGTTGAGCCTGTGGGTACACAGAAGTCAACAACTGAGTTTTGGGAACCTCCACCTAGATTTCAGAGGATGTATGGAAATTCTTGGATATCCAGGCAGCAGTTTGCTGGAGGGGAAGAGCCCTCGTGGAGAACCTCGGCTATGGCAGTGTGGAAGGGAAATGTGGGGTCGAGTCCCCACACAGAGTCACCACTGGGCCACTGGCTAGTGGAGCTGTGAGAAGAGGGCCACCGTCCTCCAGACCCCAGTATGGTAGATCCACCAACTACTAGCACCATGCTCCTGGAAAAGCTGCAGACACTCAATGCCAGCCTGTGAAAGCAGCCAGGAGGGGCATGTACCCTGCAAAGCCAGGGGGATGGAGCTGCTCAAGGCCATGGGAGCCCACCACGTGGGAGCCCACCATATGAGAGCATCCACATGATCTGGATGTGAGAGATGGAGTCAAAGGAGATTATTTCAGAGCTTTAATTACTGCCTCTTTGGATTTTGGACTTGCATGGGGACTGTAGCCCCTTCATTTTGGCTAATTACTCCCATTTGGAATGGGTGTATTTATCCAATGCCTGTACCTCCATTGTATCTAGGAAGTAACTAACTTGCTTTTGATTTTACAGGCTCTTAGGTGGAAGGGACTTGCCTTGTTTCAGATGAGACTTTGGACTTGGACTTTCAGTTTAATGTTAGAATGAGTGAAGATTTTGGGGGAATGCTGGAAGGGCATAATTATGTTTTGAAATGTGAGGACATGAGATTTGGGAGGGGCTTGGGGTGGAATGGTATGGTTTGGCTGTGTCCCCACCCAAATGTCATGTTGAATTGTAGTTCCTATAATCCCCATGTGTCATGGGAGGGACCCAGTGGGAGGTGATTGAATCATGGGGTCAGTTACCCCTGTGCTGCTGTTCTTATCATAGTGAGTTAGTTCTCATGAGATCTGATGGTTTTATAAGGGGCTTCGCTCTTCACTGGGCACTTATTCTCTCTCCTGTCTTCTTGTGAAGAGACGCCTTCCACTATGATTATAAGTTTCCTGAGGCCTCTCCTGTCATGCAGAACTCTGAGTCAATTAAACCTGTTTTCTTTATAAATTACCCAGTCTCAGGTACTTCTTTATAGCAGAGTGAGAATCAACTGATACAAGGGGGCAAAAGGGAATATCCTCATTACAGGATTTATTAAAGGAGATGTAAGAATCTCAGGCAGTAGGATAGGAAAACTGGGGAGGTAGGAAGAAATAGCAAGCTTAGTTCAAAAAGTGTATACTTGGATCACCATTATGCCTTTTGTTTAATTGAAGTTGATATACTTAATTTCCTGAAAATGTATACAACTCTAAAAGAGAGTAGAATGTGTTCATATTTATGACAAAGGGGCATGGATTTTTAAAAACGCCGAGAATCCCTGGCTTGAAGCTTATTGGGAAGGGTTGGGCCCTTCCCTCACTGCTTCTGTTCTCCCTTTCTCCTGAGATGGATGTAGCTATTTTTAATCTCACAGCTTATGGCTTACAGTTCACTGATTCTGAAGAATGGGGAATCTTTTCTTGGCACACCCTATAGATCAACTTCTGGGACGTTTTCTACTTCAGGTCTAGCTTCTCATGGAGCAGGGAAGCTGAGGAATAGAAGAGAGGTTAGTCAGCAGGAATTGATATTTTGTTGCTGTGTCCTCTACCCACTGTCTGGCTTCTCTGCAGGCCTTGCTGCTTTTGTGCCTGCAAACACCTAGGGTTCTTGGACCACCTCAAACTCTTTCCTTTAGTGAAACTGAGTCCAGGCCAAAGGCGGCAGATAGTCTACCCCCACTGCATACCACTGGGATGGTGCTGACATCCCTGAGGATGGTGCCCATGGATGCAGAACAGTCAGTAGTAATGAAACTCACAGTCAGCTAGGAACTTATTAATAGCAGGCAGGGAAATATGCCAGGGTTTGCAGCATCTCATTCAGCTGCCTCGCACCAGCTGCTGGAGCCAGAGGTAACATAGCCCTACCTCCACACTCCCATCCCTGCTCCCAGAATTTGCTCTATCTTCCAGGCAAAAGTTTCCCAGGTCAAATCGCCCAAAGATTTATCTCCTCTAGGTCCTGGGGGACTTTGTTCCTTTAGCTTTGTTTGCTTTAGTCAAGCACCTGTCAGTTCCAGGTGGGGTTTTCCTGTGTATATAGTAGGTGCTCAATAAATGTTCGTTGAATGAAAGGTATATTGGGCTGTTAAAGGAAAGGTGTATTGGGCTGATGGCAGGAATGGTTTTTGCCAGGTAGACTTCTTGAATGCTGGAAATGATTTTCATGGAGGGAAACATTCCTGTGTGTATTGAGAGTGATGAGCTGGTGTAGTTTTACTACTCAGTTCCCTGCAGAGAAGCTGGGCAGATCATGTGCATTAGAAAGTCTGGAGGTTGAGAAGGAGAGCCTAGCATGCTGAGTGTGTCCACAAACAGAGATATTAGCAAGGCATCTGGGTCTGACCAGCTCAGGAACCTCGGAGAAGGAGGTGGGCTGCCTCAGGGGAGGTAGCTCACCAACAAAGCCCCATCAGTCTCAATAAGTGGGAGCAGGGCTGGCTCCATAATTTTCAGGGCCCAGTTAAAATGCAAATGCTGAATCCCTTGTGGAAAAATTACAGACTTTCAAGATGGTGATGGCAGATCATTAAACTAATCACAAACTCTTCTAAGTGCAAGGCTTAGTGCAACAAGTCGGGTTACATGGCCCTGGGTAGGAGTCATTGCCTGTGCATATTTCCACTTTAAAGGTAGACCAGTTGTAACGTTTTGGGAAAGTATTTTCAGTCAGCTCCTCTCTGATGCATTCCCTTTTTACTCTTTCCTTGACCTATTAGCATTAAGCCTGCTTTGCTCTGGTTGCAAACTCACTGTTTGTTCGGCATTACCTCCTTGCTCTGCTATTAGCAGCTAGTAAGTCTGAGGTTCTCCATGGTGAATAATATTATCTCTAATCCTTTCAGAAATGCTTAGTGGTATTTTTACCCCCATTTTACAAATAAGAAAACATATGGTCAGAGACACAAAGTAATTTGGCTAAGGCCACATAATTTGTAAATGACAGAACCATGATCAGGATGGCTTCAAAAACCCATACTCTTTCTATTCCGTACCTTTTCTTTGAGGATGCAATTGTGTCTTGTTAATTTCTGTGTCATCTGCAGGGCCTCACATGTAGCAGGCTCTCAATACTTTTTCTTATGATAAGAGAACCAGTCAGACGTGAAACTTGAAAGAGAGATTTAGGGATCTTGACTCCCAGGTAGCACTCTGTTCACCTGGCTGTGGTACCATCCTGTCTATTTCTGAGCATCCTAAAATAAAGATAACTGCTGCATATTAGGGGTTTCCTGGATTATGGACCTCCATTGATGTTGAGGGTTCCCTTGCTTGGGCTCGATTTGCACATCTTCCTGCCTCTCATAGGCACTGACCTAATTCCAGCCAACCGCATTGTCCTGGGTGGGTTCTCTGACTAAACCTATCTCCTCTCCTGCCCTGGGGAGCTGGGCTGATCATGCAGAAACTTAAGCAATTTGCTCTACCCTCTTTTCCCAAAGACTCAGCCACAGCAGGTCCCCATCAGCTAGTTCTTTGCTCCCTTTCCCCCAGGCTTCACCCTGACCCCCTCAGCTTTCCAAAAGCCCCTCCCAAACAGAAGGTAAGTGCAATTGCTATCATCTCTCCAGGAAAGAGAGGAAAGAGCAAGTGAACACATAAGCAAGGAGACCATTTTTATTTTTATTTTTACTTTTGAGACGGAGTCTCGTTCTGTCGCCCAGGCTGGAATGCAGTGGCGCAATCTCGGCTCACTGCAATCTCCGCCTCCCGGGTTCACGCCATTCTCCTGCCTCAGCCTCCTGAGTAGCTGGGACCACAGGTGCCCGCCACCATGCCTGGCTAATTTCTTGTATTTTTAGTAGAGACAGGGTTTCACTGTGTTAGCCAGGATGGTCTCGATCTCCTGATCTCGTGATCCACCTGCCTCGGCCTCCCAAAGTGCTGGGGTTACAGGCATGAGACACTGCACCCAGCCAGGAGACCATTTTTAAATGATGCTAATGAGTCTACTTCCCATTCTTGCAGGGTAGGAGGGACATGGAGGTGAGCAGTATTCCAGATAAAGTCATTGTGTGTGGCTATGCCTCATTTTATGCCTAATCAGAGTCCATTCCAGGAGCCCGCAGGATGTTGGAAGAGCAGGTTTCACCAACATTGTAGATTCATGTAAAATAAAGCCTAATTGCCTTCCTGCTTTCTAAAGCAAGAAACACATGTACAGGTGTTTCTTGGCTTATATGTGTTAGTCCTTTTTCACGCTGCTGATAAAGACATACCCAAAACTGGGCAATTTACAAAAGAAAGACATTTAATTGGACTTACAGTTCCATATGGCTGAGGAAGCCTCACAATCATGGCAGAAGGCAAGGAGGAACAAGTCACATCTTACATGGATGGCAGCAGGCAAAGAGAGAGAATGAGAGCCAAACAAAACAGATTTCCCCTTATCAAACCATCAGCTCTCGTGAGACTCATTCACTACCATGAGAACAGTATGGGGGAAACTGCTCCCATGATTCAACCATCTCCCACTGGGTCCCTCCCACAACACGTGGGAATTCAAGATGAGATTTGGGTGTACACAGCCAAACCATATCAGCTTATGAAGGGGTTACATCTGATAAACCCATCATGAGTTGAAAATATTGTAAGTCGAAGTGCAATCAATACACCTAACCTACCAAATATCATAACTTAGCCTTGCCTACTTTATACATGCTGGGAACACTTACATTAGCCTACAGTTGGGCAAAATCATCTAACACAAAGCTAATTTTATAATAAAGTGTTGAATATCTCATGTAGTTTATTGAATATCTCCTGAAAGTGAAAAGCAGAATGGTTTTATAGGTACTCAAAGTACAGTTTCTACTGAACACATACTGCTTTTCCACCATTGTAAAGCTGAAAAATTGTACATCAAAGCAGCATAAGTCAGACACCTTCTGTACACTTCACTGTGCTTGACACACCCACTGTGCCATGGACAGGTCACGTGGCCCAGAGCCTTTGCCTTGAAAGATTGTCTACCATGCCCTGCAGCCTGGACCCTTCATTAGAGCCACCTCTCTCTAAATTATTGGTGGCTTGCCTAGCTAAAATTCCCCTGAGTCTCTGAGTGTGCCCACTAATTTAAGACTCTCTAGGTCAAACTCTTCTCTCATTTTCCTTTGGGTGTGATTAGGTTAGTGCTTTGTGCAGTTGGGGATCTCACTTTGCTGAATTCCTTTTCCACTGGCTTCTGATGAAGAATAAATTGAGAGGGCTGATAGGGATGTTCTGCTGATTCTTATTGTTTGGGACAAGGGGGTGTGTTGGCAAGTCTCATTTTGAAACTGTCACTTCTTCCAGAATATGCAACAGGACAGATATTTACACAAATAATGTGGAAAATTGATTGTATGGGCCTGCTGGGCCATAGGGAATTTCCCTTTTGGAATCAAAATTTAGGAGATGCAATTCTGAGAACACTGAAGCTAACTGAAACTTCCATTTGGAAGATCCTATTCTCTTGAGTCCTTCTGTGTGAGCTGCTTCAGGTTTCATGCTACTTTGCCCCACTTTGTTGCTATATTTTGTAACAGCAGAGGAAGGGGGAAAAACCCTCATCTTCTGATGTTTATTTGACTATTGAGGCTAATTGTTCATTTGCTGAAAAGAATAAAAGACCAAGGGTCTCTAAAATACTACATTGTCTGTGTGTGTTTGTGCACATGTGCATATATGAGTATTTTTGCTTGTACATGAGTATATTCTTTGTCCGTGTGTGTTAGAAAGTGAGATGTGAGCATCAAGCTTAAAAATAAAGACAAGAACATTTTATAAAGAATATCCCCCCCCACCTCTTTTTTTGTCTTTTCTCCCACAAGGCACTGCCTTCCAGCTGTAATTACACCCTGTGTTTAACACTTGCAGAGAATCACTTACACATGTCCCTGCATACTCTTGCATCTTCATGTTTTTCTTTCAATATATAATTGTGGTAGAAAGACAAAAGGGATGATCAGATTTCAGGAGTAAGAAGGAAGACAGAAGCAAGCTGAAATCTGAGATCACAGCTCTTTATAAATGCTTGACTCAGGAAAGAGAATTGTATCTGCTGGACTTGGTGCCCAGACAAAGCCTCAAAACACAGGCAGACCTCCACAGGCCATTAGAAAAACCATTTCTCCAGAATATGTGTTGGTATAGAGAGGACGAGAAAAGGTGGTAAAAGCCTGCCTGAGATTGTAGCCACTGGAGACTGCTGATGAAAATTGTGCATAGCTGAAAGAGCAAATCGCTCTAGTTTTTCAGTGATTGTGCTGGATTTTGAAATTAAAGCCAGCGGGGCGAACGTACCTGCCTGAGCTTCAAGAGATGTGGCGGGCTGGTGGACTTGTGGGCTTGTGAGCTACAAGCATCTATGTTTCAAGCTGCGGAGCTCTGTGCCTGTCCTGCTGCGCATCCATGTGACTAGAGTCTCAGGACCGGTGATCTCTTTTTAGCCTACGGTAGTAGGCAGAACGGAAGCAGATTTTACCTGGAGAGTGTGGTGGGGGAAGCTAAGGGTGGTGGCTTAGGCAGTAAATCACAGTTCCTTCTTTTGTTTTTTTCCACATCAGGGAGGCTTTAATCCTACTCCTCAGGCTAAGCTTAGGGGTGATTTAAACTGTTTAAAGTAAAGACCAGCTCTCAGAAAGCCTTCAAGATTTCTAATTTGATTGGAATTTACTTGATGCTAAGCGGACAGAGGTGCTGGAGTGTCTTCTTTTTAGCAAGAGTTAGGTTTTAAAGTCGGCTTGTGGGGTGAAAATTGCAGGTAGTCACAATTAGGCTTGAAAATCCTTTAACAAAGTATACGTCAAGCTGCTTAGACCGGGGAAAGGTGGGGAAAACTGTGGCTGGAGGGGAGTGCCTGTTCTCCCTCTCCTCCAGGTTCACCTGGGGCATTTGCTCTCAGAGAATGGAGTAGGACTGGCAGTATTGAAGTTATTTTTCTCCCAGTCTCATCCAGCCAGCTGGGCATTCTTGAATTTGCTTAAGTTAAATCTATGTAGGATGCAGTTTTACTGCACAATGGTGGGCCAAAAAAAAAAAAAAAAGTGCATTTGCCTTATTTGGAAGAGGAGGTGGGTGGGCAGAAAACCTGGGACTTGATATCCCCAGCCTGACCTCAGGGACCTCTGGCTTCACTGCGACACATTTTCAGGGCCTCTAGCTAACAATGAATAGCTAATATATAACACTGAAAATGTGCTAGACATTGGTGAAAAGCGCTTTATGTATATCAACCTATTCAATACCTACAATAACTCTATAAGATAAAACTTTATTATCCCATTTTATAGATGAGGAAACCACATTTTAGAGCTCATTCACAGTTTTGTGCCTGAAGTAGCCTATGAAGACGATGAGTGTCAGGAGTGTGTGGGTAGAGGATATGGAGAGGAACTGGAAATTTCAGCCTCTTTCTTGGGGCCCAGTGGGGATGTTGTAAGTGGGAGGATCTGCACTGCTCATCCACTGGGGCTTGGTGATGCCAGATTCAGCTGCCTTGCTCTCTGTCTCTGGGCTTTTGCACAGGCTGCTCCCTCTGCCTAGTGTACTTGGTCCCCTACTTTCACCCCGGTAACTCTTATTCATCTTGTAATTGCCCTGTGAGTTCTTCTGGCTTGCTGACAGACAAAACCAGTTCCTCGAAACAATGGTATAGCAGTAAAGAAAGAGTTTAATTGACGTGAGGCCAACCAGGTGGGAGATAGAGTTATTACTTAAATCAGTCTCCCTGAAGGCTCTGAGGCTAGAGGTTTTCAAGGATAGTTTTCAAGGATAGTTTGGTGGGCAAGGGGCTAGGGAATGGGGAATGTTGATTGGTTGGGGATGAAATCATAGGAGTGTGGAAAATGGTCCTTATGCACTGAGCCCCCTCTGGGTGGAGGGGGTCACAGGACCGGTTGAATCACAAGTTGCTGGTCCAGGTGGAGTCAGCCAGTAGTCAGAAATGCAGAACTCTAAAAAGACATCTCAAAAAGCCAATCGTAGGTTCTACAATAGTTATGTTATCTACAGGAGTAATGGGAAACGTTACAAATGTTGTAACCTCCAGAACAATAGCTAGTTGTCATTTAACTATGCTTACATCTTAGCAGAATGAAGGACTTTCATTAGTTTTGCAAAGGCAGTTTAGTTTTGGGAAGGGCTATTATCATTCTTGCTTTAAGATTAAACTATAAACTAAATTGCTCCTGAAGTTGGTTGGTCTATGCTCAGGAATGACCAAGGAGAGCTTGGAGGTTAGAAGCAGGATGGAGTCAACTATGTTAGATTTCTCTTACTGCCATGATTTTGCAAAGTTAGTTTCAGTCTCTCCTGGGCTCCTGTAGCTGGATTAGTGCCTGCCATGCCCCCTTTCACAACTCTCACTCTGTCTCATTTACTAGACTAGATCCTTTTAGCCAAGGATGAAGACTTTCCACTGCTGTCTGCTCAGCACTCAGCACAATGCCTGGCTCACTGTAGTACTCGGTAAATGCTTGTTAAATGGATGTTGAGCAAGTAAAGAGAATACAATTTCCTATCCAGTTCCTAAAATACAGACACCTCCCACTTAATATTAGTCATCCCCTCCTAAAATCAGATGTTGTGCACAAAAATGCTAACCAGAGCTGTTTCCTATTATTTGAAATGGGAAAAATTACAAAATGGTATGCATCAACCCCAAATCCTTAGCCAATTTCTGAAAACATAGAAAAATGCCTATATGTAACTAAAAAACTTATATTAGGGTGTAAAATGCTTAAAACATTCCTTCATGATCCCAGACCACTAATGTGATTGTTGACAAACAGCTGCTTTGTGGGCAGTAATATCTTCTCTTCCTGTGTCATGGCTTTCCTCTCTGGTTTTACTTGCTTCTACAAGTTTTTTTCCTATGCTTTCTCAAATTTTGGGGACGTTTTACAATACTAAGCAAAAATCAAGGTAAATTATCCAAGTCTGTGGAAATATGTTTGGAGCAAGCACAGCACAGGGAGAGAATGGCTCACACTGAATATGAAATCCTACCAATTGAATGTGGAATTTAACTTGTCTTTTCCATACATTACATTGTTTGGTTAAAAATAATGCCCTAGTTTTGGGTATGTAAATGTATTTTTTTCTAAAATTCATACATCACCTGAAAAATGTTTTATCATAGCCAGTGCCTTCCTTTCTTCCTTCTGTTTTTCCTTTCTTCTTTCCTTTTTTCCGTCCTTTCTTTTTTCTTTCAAAGTATTTGAGTCCATAAAATTTGGGTGTGACCAAGGAAGGGATCAGAATATGCCACATGACATAAATATTATTTTGAGTGAAAGGCATTTGAGAATCAACAGATTCAGGAAGAGCCTTTCTCTGCACTCCCTCATCTGCCTAAAAGCAGAACCTTCCAAAAGAATTCTGCTATCATGAATCCTGCTTTAAGGAAGTACCAGGCAGAAGGGGTGACTCCTGTCACCAGAGATGAGAAGTTGACACTGGATGCATAAACACACCTTATTAAAATAAGCCTTATTGTACTATAAGGAATTGATTGATGTGATTGTGGAGGCTGAGAAGTCCCATGATCTGCTGTCTGCAAGCTACAGCCTGGGATAGCTGGTAGTATAGTTCTAGTCAGAGGCCACGGCATGCCAGACTCTTATTGGCTCTGATAGAAATGGCAACATGTCTGAGAGGCCAAGGAAGAGACCTAGAGACAGAGAACAAGACATAGGGTTTATTGGCATGATTTACATACAGGGATGGTCCAGTGGTGGTAGGCGGGACAGGAGAACCACTACCATTTGTAAAAAGCATGCAGTTTATATAGCATTTTCACTTAGCACCCTCCAACCAGCAACCTTCACCTAGCAACCTCCATTTAACCCAAAACAAAGGGCCTCAATTCCTTATACAGCTTGTATTCCAAGGGATAGGCCAGGGGTTCAGATGTCCTTTATACATAAGGAGTGAGTCTTTACATTGGCCACTCCTGAATTCCTTAGCTTGAGACTCTGAACACATATTCTTCTTAGACCATAGGGTCACTCTTAGGCCATGCTTCAATTGTGGCTGTCAGGTCCCTCTGCCATACAGCCCAAAGGCCTGAACACCAGGAGAACTGATGGCTCTAGCCTAAATTTGAAGGCCTGAGAACTAGAGGAGCTGATGGTGTAAGTCCTAGTCTGCGGGCAGGAGATGAATATTCAGTTCAAGTAGCCAGGTAGAGAGAGTAAATTCTCCTTTCCTCTGCCTTTTTGTTTGATCCAGACCTTCACCGGATTGCATGGTGCCCACTCCTGTTGGGAAGGGCAGTCTGCTTTACTGAGTCCACTGATTCAAATGCTAATCTCATCTGGAAACACCCTCACAGACACACCCAGAAATAACATGCAACCAATTATCTGGGTACCGTTTGACCCAGTCAAGTTGACGCATAAAATTTACCACTTCACTTGCCTTCCGTTGGTTTCTTTATATATTTCTCAGTCATTTCCCACCATTTGTTGTCCCTTGAAACCCTAACCCCTTCTCCTTGTTAAAATGGTATATAAGCTCCAAGTTCTAACAGCTTCTTTGAGCCACTTTCTTTGTGAGCTCCCAAGTACATACATGAATAAACATTGTCTTTTCTTTTGCCAGTCTGTCTTTTGTTGGTTTTATTCATAGACCCCCAAATCACTGAACCTAAGAGGATAGAAGAAAAGTTTTTCTTCCCTGATACTTTAAAAGGTCCACTTATTTCAAAACAGGACAGAGAACTGTCTTTTGTGAAGTTTTTATGAATGGTGATGCCAACATGGATCACCTGTCAGTTCTTTAAGGGCCAGAGACCTGTCTCTAACTCTGAAGCCCTGGCCCTGAAGTGGGCTTGGATCCCATTTGAGAAATCTACCTACATGGCTCTTGGCTCCTGGCCATTCCTCCATCTCTCTGGTCTATGGAGATGCCCAGAATTCTTGACTCATCAGTGTGATTAAGACACTACATCTTTTGTAGTGTCTTATATTACAAAATATATTACAAAAGCAGAGACATTTAATATTGGTTTTTCCCTTCTTTCACATGGTAACAGAACCCCTGAATTTTAGCTGAACATAGAATGAAGACTACATTTTCCAGTCTCCCTGGCAGTTGGTGTGACCACATGACTGGTTCTCACCAATGGAATGTGAATGGAAATGATACTTGTCATATCTGGGGTATTGATATTTTTGGAAGGCTGGGAGTCAACAAAGATCCCCAACATTGTCATAAAGCAGTTTTTTCCAGCTAGACCTTGTGCAAACTGCTAGAGCTCAAGATTGCACAGCTCACATTTAGTGAAATCAGGAACATGTTCAGCACAGTCCCTGGCATGAAGGAGGAATTCAACAAATACATGTGTTGAGTGAATGAATGGATGAATAAAAGACGTTAGAGATCTAGGTGATCATGCTGAATGTTGGTCTTCTTTCATTATTCAGGATGGATGACTTATGAGTCAAAGACAGTCTTAGTTCTATTTTCAGTGCCCCCAGGCTGCTGATTGCTGTCACCTGCACCTCTCCATTACCTGTATGAGATCCCTCTAGGTGGTAGCACCCTCCTTATTTTGTGTGCCCACACATGACCCCAGTCCTCTCATAGGAGTTTTGCTAATTTGTTGGGGCCTAAAAAGGAACAGAGTTGAAACTAAAGCATGTTGTTTTATGGAATTTGCCAACCTGTCTTATGTCATAGCTAGTTTCTTTCCTTTAAAAATGTATTCCATGGATTCAAGCATAGATTATCAAATAAAGGAACAGAAACTCCCTCCTTGTGTAGCAGGAAGAGGGTATAGCGCCTTGGGTATAACAACCTTTTCCCATAGAAGATAAAGTAGAAAGGGCCCATTTGAAGCCTTCCAGAGCTCAGTTACCAAGAAGTGCTGGAGTTCTCAGAGCTTAATTTCCTTGTACCTGGTGTGGTTGCCTTGAACTTTGCTCCCAATTGAATCGGGCCTTAGGGTGCACTAACCCTCCTGCATAATAGATCTAGCCACTCAGGGAGGGAGATAAGCCTGACGCTAGCTAACGGAGGCTTTCTAAGCAGCCTGCCTATATCCTTAGCACTGCATCCTTGGATTTTTATCTTTTTTATTTGGAAAAAACTATCACAAGGACATGGGGCCTAACAGCATTGATTGTCTTGATAGTTTGTTGATTAAGTCCAGGAGATGCTGGCATCCGCAAATACATCTTATTAGGTATGATCAGGCAAGTAAATTGTCACTGCCCTCCAGCATGCTGCAATAATTAACTCTAATACCAACAACTAAAAGTTAATCACAGCAGGTGCAAAGCCAGGCTTTCTTTGTCTGCCTGCAAAACCTTTTTCCCACCATGGCTTCATAAGGTGTTAGCTCTGAGACTTGGAACAGGTGCTTTGTAAAAGAGCCTTACCTTTCTGTAAAAGCATTCCACATATTATTATTTTAATTTAATTAGCTTTTAGAAAGGTTAACCATGACATGTTAATAGCTTAAGTTTCACATTAATATTCTGAGAACACTGTTTAGCCCGGCCACTTGTGATTCAAGAAGATGTTTTTCCAGAAAATGAATTGGCTTTTAGGACAATTACAGAAAAACAGCTTTCATTTGATTAAGATGGATATCTTACTATTAAAAAATGTTGTTGAAATGAAATATATATAAGACATTGAAAAACATTAAAAATTTAGCTTGATACAATTCATGTTTGAGAGAGGGAGATGGGGCAGTATGTTTATGGAGATTATCTCAAAGGTGGCTAATGTCCTTCAGCAATAGGCAAATTAGTGGACTGTGCTTGTGATGTGCTGTGTGTTGTCTACCTAATGTTTTATTTATTTGCCTGAGAGCCACTGTTTTCATTAAGGAGTTTAGAAAGCAAAGCAAGATGATATTTACTAGCCTGGCAAACGAATAAGCTCTGTTCATGTTTCTTCTTTTGCTATCATGGCTAATCATTGTTTTTTAAAAATAGCTATTCAATATGCTAATGGATCCTGTGGAAACAGGAATAAACCATAACTTCCTATAGAGGGAGGGAGCAAGGAATAATTCAGTCGTACATGCACATATGGCTACTCTGTGCCAAGCATTGTGCTAGCTCTGGGGGCACAGAGGCAATGAAGCCAGGGGCCTGCCCTCCAGATACTCCTGATAAGCAGGGAGCTGGCATCCATTATACAATTAACCCTCATTATACAGTGTAATAGGTGCTTTTCTTGCCCCAAAGAAACACAGGGGACAAGTAATTAGTTCAGTCTGGTGTGATTGGAGATGGCTGCAAAAAGCAGGGAGGAGCTGGGACTTGAAGGACTAGATGATTTTGCCAGAGGTAGACTGTTGCTTAAACCAGTGGTTCTCAAAGCCAGTGAAAGGTGTGGTGTGTGTGTATGTGTGTGTGTGTGTTTTGTGTGTGTGTGTGTGTGTGCACAAGGGTGTGTGTTTTAACCAGCCTTCCAGGTGATTCTGATCCTAACTAAAGCTCAGAACATGCTGATTCATGGCCCGTCTGGTCAACTGTGAGACATTTGACTTGACCGGAGCTTTGAGATTGATGGGGGTATGGAGGGATGGGATACCAGGCTGTGAAGCTGGAAATGTCAATTGAGGTCAAGTTTGAAGCAAGGGAAGGGAAGATATTAATATTTATATTAGCTCTCTGTATGTGGGCTTTTGTAATGATGGTTCTGGTGCCAGGTAACAGGAACCAGCTGGAATGAGCTTAAACAAATAGGAAATTTATGAAAAAGATACCATGATATCTCATTGCTATCCAAGGGAGAAATCAACAACCAGGCCCTAGGAAGGTATTTTTTTTTCTTTCTCTAGTTCATTATTTCCTTAGGATAGATTCCCAGATGTAAGATTACTGCTTCAGAGAGTGTGAACAATTTCATGGCTCTTGAGGCATGTGGCCAAGTAGCTTCTAAAAGTTTGTAGCAGTATACAAGGCCACCAGCATTGAACATATACACTGGTTTTACTACATCCTTATCAACATTAATTTTATTGTTTCTAATTTGATAGGAGGAAATGATGCATCATTGTTGCTGTTTCAATTGATTGATGACTAATGAAGTCATTAAAAATGTGATTATTGACCAACTGTGTAGCCTTCCTTTCCTGAAAAGAATTTTTTGTCCTTATTTTATGAGGAGAGGACCTACTCTACTCTCCAGGGATTCAGAATAACCATAATTCTAGCAAAATAAAGAGGAAATCATATTGGTTTGGGTGGCTCCAGAGCTGTCAGCTTAACAATGGGAGCATCATCATTACTGTCTTCATTAGCAGCTGAAGAAGCCAAGGTGCCAAGAGAACCTGCCCAAATCCCAGCTCTGCCACTTACAGGCCTCGTGATTTGGTGTACGTTTCTGCGCTCCTCCGAGCCCTAGTTTCGTCATCTGTAAAACAGGGTTAATTTACCCTACCTACTTATATGAGATTTTGAAGATCAGAATGAGGTCAGATACTTGAAAATGCTTGATAAACTGTAAAGAACTATAAAAATGTAAGCTATTGCTATTATTATATTGGCTTGTGCAAACGAACAGTCTCTGCGACATTGCATTAGGTCAGGACTTTTACCGTTGATTGAAAAGTGGAAACTTCAGCCTTTTCACTTCTCACACAAATGGGATTCAATTCATAGATGCTAATTCGGGAAAGATATTTATTGTGTTTGAGATATTTTTACTCCTACCAGCAGGTGATGGGCTTCACAAACATGTGGAAGGACCTAACATTTCAGACCCCTTGGGTGCATAATTTTCTCCCCCTGTCCCTCCCTCCCTTCCTTCCTTCCAGGTGCTAAGCACTGGGAGTAAATAGCGAGCAAGAGGTGACCCAATCCTTGCTCTCATGGAGCTTATGTGCTTATTCAGAAGGACATGCTGCCCAGTGTCCCTAGGTTTGGCATGGGTCTTTAAGTTGACTGAACAGTGCTTTACAGTTTATGAGGTATGTTTATAGCAGTCAATATATTTGATTCTTCCAACTTCATCATGAGGAAGACTAACAGGCATACTATTTTGGAGTCAGAAAGGTGAGGTGTCTTGCCTAAAATCCCATGGCAGAGTCAGTTGTGGGGCCGGGACCTGTGTCCAGTTCCCTGGTGACTAATTTGGTGCCTTTTCCATGACAATACACTCCTCTGTCCTTTTCATTTTCATATTTGCAAGGGGTTAAACTTAGCCCTGCTTTGATGAGGGAATCAAAATAATGGGATTCCCCTGCAGAATCCTAACTCACCTTAAAACTGGCATGGCTTCTGTGATGTGCAAAATGCTGCTCCAAACGTAGTTAAGAAAAGAAAGCCTGGCAGCCAGAAATTAAAAAGCTAAAATAAAAGAGATACCATCTGAAAAGTCCCCACTGACCGAAAGAGCCAGGTAGTGGGTCTGCTGGGGTCGGAGGGGTTGTTGCTGGGAGGTGGCCGTGGCACTGCAGCAGCTCAGCTCTACTCTCTGATGGAAAAATGTCCTGCCAGTCAATGGAATTACTGGAGATGGTTCTGAGGGATAAAGGGAGATAAGTGAGCCGGATAAAAAAGCTGGCAGAAAATTGAACAAAACCAGAAGAAGATGAGATGGGCTAAAAAAAGCAGTTCAGGGAACCTGGGTAAGAGAAGCCTGCGTTCCTTAGCCTGTATTCACTGAGGAGGGAGAGAAGAGGTGCAGTCTACACAACTGGCTGGAGGGGAAGGGTTGGTCTGAGACATGGGCCTGGGAGTGGCAGTTTCACTCCCTCCTCTGAGTCCTCTGCACATCGTGGCTGTACAGTAGGATGATTTACTCACCTGACGATCTCCTCCACTGGGCTGTGAACCCTTGCAGGGAAGAACTACCATGTTGAGCTTTTGTGTCCAGCATCTGGTAGGGTGCCCTGGGCATATCCATGCTAGCAAGCTGGCATCATGGGATTGTGCGAAGCAATGCCTACCAAATTTCCGTTTAATACGTTACAGTTTTCAAGGCTTTGAGATATTTTGAACGTGAAATAATAAATGCTACTACATACCAAGTATTCCCTGACTTAAGTCAGGGCAGGAGCATGGAGCTAGATTTGGGAAATAATTCTGTCCCATGAATCTGCAGGTGAAACATAGATATGGGACAATTACCCTGTAACCCAGGCCAGGGTGATTTTTTAAATACCCAAATTTCTGGGAAATGGCTTCATTCTCTGCTTTAGTCTCAGGGGAGAATGGTTTGACTGTTGGTTTCTGAATCAGATATGGGCTGTACCATCCTGCTTTCCCATGGACAGAAACAGCCTGCTCTCTGGGTTCACCTTCTGAAGCCTGCAATAGAGAAAGGTAATAATGAGTCTCTTTTCTGTACCTGCCTCCCTACTCTCTTCCTCTGTCTTTTACCTTCTCCAGCCTCATCCATACATGAATGCCTGTAACCAAGACAGCAGCTTCCTGAGTGCCTCCAATTTCCCCAGCCTTTTGGGACCACCTTCCAGCTGACAGTGCAATAGAATGGCTTGAATCTTTTTCTTGGGAAGCCTAGTATTCCCCTAATATCTCCAAGAATTATGGATGTCTTTTGTTGCTTCTCTAGCTCCAAGTCCCTGCTTTTAGTGAATTCTTTCTTTATCTTTTCTCATTGTCTTTCCTCCTGTGTATACCGTCCGTTTCTGCACATCATCTCCCCTACAGGGGCACAGCCCCTTCCTTCTCCTTTAATTCCCAGGACAACCATACACAAAAAGCCATGACACCTGGCCGAATTTTGGGGTACTGACTTTACTGAGTACCATTGATTACATTGTCGTATCATAATAACAAATGGTTTTCACAAAGTCAGAGAAAAAAAACCAGATATTATTGGAGCTTCCTCATTTTCATTAGCTCTACTAACCATCATGTTGTTTTGGGTCTTCCAATTTCTTTCCTTCTTCACATCTCTTTTTCCCTTCCCTGAGTTGCTTTATTCCTCCCTTGCAGATTGCCTTTGGAAGCAGACTCAGGAGAAGGACGGGGAGGAGCTGAACTGAGCCAACCCCAGTTATTCTTCTGAAATTTGCCAATCATGGGGTACATTTGCGAAAAATAACTCCCAAGAAGAGGGATAAAAACCAGGGTGGAGAGAGGCCAGGAAAATTCTTCACTGGGAAACTATTCAAAACCTGTTGAAATGTGTTAGTTTCTCATTGTCTATTCTCAGCCCAGCCTGACAAGCTTTCATATCTAAATGTAAAATAGCCAAAAGGAGACTCTGTGATTTCCAGTGCTTCACTGCTCAGATAGTTTCATAAAGTGGATTCCTTCCGCACTTTAGCTGCCACTATCACTCTTTAGATGTTAAGTGTCACATGCCAGCCAGCAGGCAGCTCAAACCGTCACTGTTGGCTTCTGTTTTCATTTATTTCATGACAGCTGTCATTTAAAATCAACATTTATTGAGCACCTAATAATAGGTCTGGGGTAGGAATGGTGGAATATACAAATTTGATTAAGACATGCTCCAAGCCCTCAAGGGAGTCATGCTCTAGCAGAAAATAAACATAAGGTTGTGTTATGTCCTCTAAAGGGCTTTTGAAAAGATTACTGTATACTACCTGTGAAGTAGGGAAGGCAAATGATGACCTGACTTGAAGAATGACACAACAGAAACTCAGAGCTATGAAGTCACTGGTCCAGACTTTCACAGCAAAGAAATGATAGAACCAGAACTAGGACCTGTGGTTTTTGACTCCTGATCTACTCTCCTTCCTTGTATCATAGGCCCACGTTGGGTATATCACATTACCAGAAAGAGAAAAGAATGTTCCGAACGTTATTGGATTCCACATATGGAAGAAACTTACCAGCTCTTGGGAAAAAGAATATGTTGTGGCAGGCAGTAGCTTTCCTCTTTATCTTTTTTCTTAAGAGCTGGTGTCCAAATCCATCAGCCTCAATAAACCATATTGGGATGATTTTCAGGAGAATTGTACTTCAAGGGATGTTTAGCTTTTTCATGTTAGCTAGGTATAAATTCTTGTTTTATGAAAGTTGTTATCCTATTTATGGGTAGATTTCTAAGCAAATATTACTTATGAGAGCTGAATAAAAAATTGTTGACACCCCAGAGTTCAATAAACACTTACTGAAGGTACATAATTAGGCAAATTATATGATAAAGTCTATTTTGATATAATTTACTATTTCTTAAAGCTTATTTATCTTCTACTCGTTAAAGAAAACACAGTGAGGAAGTTGTGAACCATGAGTGTACAAAGTCTGTGAGGTGGTGAAGTCCTAGAAAACAGAGAGGCAGAGCAGACACTAAATCTATTTTCAACATCATCCGAATCAGATTTTCATAGTGAACTGTCATTTTCTTTATGCAAGGCTTTATACATTCCAGAACTGCTGTCAGCCATATTGAAATGTATGCGGACTCTCTCCAGAAACACAAAGCAGAGAAAGGAAGCAAACCTTCATGGCATTACTGAGCTGCTGAACAAACAGCTCTGGAAGACTGCCTTTTTCTGACTTGCTTCCTTATTGTTGGGTCAGGTTGATTTGAGGTTTTTGCATACTTGTAAAACAAAACACCAAAACAAAACAAAACACATTTCCCATTTTAATTGTCTCTTTTACTTTACTCTTTCATTAGCACAAATAAGTGAGAGTTGGACTATTCTGAGATTTCTGTCTCTGATAGTGTCAAAGTTCTTCTGTAGGACTGTACACAGATGATCCAAACATGCGTAGGTCTTTTCCTTGCTGTGATCACAGAAAAATCTATGAAGATTGTGTGTGTGTTAGTTTGTGGGAAAAAAGTCATGGTGATTGATGTAAATTAATCAGCCCCTAGCATGGTTCCTGGCATGGATGCTTGATAGTACTTATTGACTATAGATAAGTATTTATTGACTACTGGGCTATAGACCTCTGATAAATGTAGAATAAATTATTATCTCTCTCTTGAAACTATCACTATGATATTAAACACTTGTCTGCATATGGCTTGTGTGGTTTAAATATGTCTTGTCATATTACTCAGTATTATTTGATAAATAATAGGATTGTTGTTTGAGAAGAATAATAATCGTTACCATTTATTATTTTGTAGGTGTTAGGATCTGTGCTAAGTATTTTGTATATGTTGCTTCATTTCATCTTATTAGAATTCTATAAGGTAGGGATTATTATCCTCATCTTAAAAATGAGGAAATCGAGGCTTTCTTTTGGTGGAAAAGTTCTTAACATAATACATTCAAATGTACCAGTCTTTTTGTTTGTAATCAATCCTGTAAGTGTCTTCTTTAAGAAATCTTTCTCTACCTTAAGGTCTAAAATATATCCACCTTAATTTTCTTCTAAAAGTTTCAATTTTTTTTGACATGTAAGACTTTAATTCATCTGGGGTTGACTTTAACATGTGGGACCTTTGATCTTATTCCATACAGACAATTATTTTATTTCCAACTCTATTTAGTTAAGAGTTTCTCCTTTCTCTTCTGACGTATCTTGCCAGCTCTGACATACTCAGTGATCCACATGTGCATCCACACAATGAGATATTCTACAGCAGGTCAAAGCAGCCTACATGCAGCGATATGAATGAATCCGTGCAATATGTGATGGACTAACGAGGAGAGCGTGTCAAGAACCAAGAAATGTGATGAGTTGAATTCTGTCCATCTGAGGTCCTAGGGGAGAAAACACAACCCGAGGTTAAAACAAGTTAAATGATTTGCCCAGGCTCACTTGGCCGGGAAAGCGGTAGAACTTCAAAACTGTAAAACCAGTTCATCTGAGTCCAAACGCCAAGGTTTTCCATCCGACAGTGCAGCACAGTCCATTTTATAACCTTCCTTGAAGAGGTAACATCTATATTTCCTACTGATAAACAGAATACCATGCAGAGTTAGAAGGCTCTAGAAGGTGCCTCCCTCTTGGATCCCTGAGGTCCTCGATCCATTAGCTATCTCCTCTCTCCCCTGTGTCTCCCACCCTCATCTCTTCTAGGCTCCTTTCCACTAATGGACATGCTTGAATTCTTGATTATGCTTGCATATACTTGCATCTTTGCATATAGTTGCGTCTTGAAGAAAGAAGAACAAACCCTCCTTTGACTGCTTCCCCCTCCCCTCTCAGCACTTGGTATATCTTGTCACAGTTTCACTTGCTTATCCCCCTGTTACACAGAAGCCCTGCAGTGCAGGGTCAGCTTTCTTGTTCACTGTTGTACGTACTACCTAACATAGGACTGGCCTGTAATAGGCTTTTAATAAATATTTGTCTAATTAATGAATACAGGTGGTATATTTACATGTTTCAAATCCCCTATTTCTAGTTTTGCCTCATCCTAGACTCTCGAAAGAGTCCTGTTCTGGGGTGAGGGAATGTGAAATTGTTCTAGATGAGGAACTGATGATTTAGTAAGCCAGCATTGTGGTCTGGCACACTGCTACCACATCTTCCAGTTCCAGTAACCAGGTTCTTGCTTCATTCCTGGTTAATAAACTTCTACCTCTTAGTTCAGTGCCAGTAAATAGATCCCTGCTCAGTACCTCTGGCAGCCCAAAGACATGGTCCTGCAATGAGCCTTAGTCTTCTTGACTGAGTCCCTGACACCCTCACTACATGCCCCAACACAGTTTTTCCTCCAGCCTGCAACCCATGTACTTCTCCCCAACAGACCAACTTCATTCTGCTTTGTGCCTCTTGCAGGGGACTTCCAGAGAGCTGCCATATCTTATACACCTCCCCAAGCCATCTGCTCACTTTTCTTCATGCAAGTGCCCATTGTAACATATTGCTGAGCCCCAGAAGAATCCAGCCACCATCCAGGAGGTCCTTAGGATCATTTCAGGCAGAACCACTGAGCCCCAGATTCTTGCTGTCCATGAAGGATGGGAAGGTTTTATGGGGAGTGGGAGGAATGGGACAGGAAGGCAGAGGAGAAGGCAGGAGAGCCCCAGGAAACTGGTAGTGGTCACAGTCTTGCTGTAGGTCCCACACCCTGTCTGAGGAAGAGACTCTATCACAGTGGGAGTGGGTGGCCCAAGCTGAGGAGGAAGCATATGTTATTTGTGTTCTATTTCTAATACCTACCACAGAGCCTGACATAAACAGGTAGTCAGCAGATGTTAGTGGAATGGCAGGAACATATTCAGTGCAGGCTGTATCCCTAACACCCTATGTGACTTTGGACTAATCAATTCACCCTGAGCCTCAATTCTCCCATCTGTTAACTATGGATCGTCATGACTCTCATGTCATTTCAAGGGTGAAATAATTTAATGCACTTGGGAATGTGATATCGATAGCCTCCAATATTTTTTCAGCATGTTGTCCTATCAGTAGGTGGTTTTAAATATATGTACTCCAATGTAAGTATGTTTATATATTTTAAAATTACCTATTCATTCTATTATATATTTACATAACACATATTTTTAAAGGATTAGGCAAAAATAAATAGAAGTTCTAATGTATTCTTCTTATAACCCAGTGAATAATCTTGTGCACCCCGGGGTTGCATTTATCTTACTCTGGAGATGATGACTTTAAAGTCTGATATACACAGAAGTGGGAAGACAAAATATGAAACTGTTTTTACTCACAGCACTTCTGACTCTGAATGCATGGTCTTTTCCAATGCCACTTCAACTCTCAGACACAAGCTGGGTGTCCTAAAACTCAATTCAGTTTTGGCATTGTCTACCTAGAGTCATCATCAGATCCCACAAATTAAGGATTTAGTCCCACAAGACTGTCCCCACTTTCAGATGCCAGTCACAAGTCTCAGGTTGTCACTGGCACTTCTGACCAATTGGCTGTAAATTCAGAGGGTTCCCACAATACACTCTGCAGGTTCAATAATTTGCTAGAATGACTCACAGAACTCAGGAAAGCACTTCACTTAGTATTAATGGCTTATTATAAAGGATAGGATGCATGAACAGCCAAATGGAAGAGAGGCATAGGCCAAGGTATGGGGGAGGGCGCGGGCCTTCCATGCCTTCTCCAGGTGTGCCACCCTCCCAGCACCTCCTTGTGTTCACCAAATCCAAAGATCTCCAAACCCATTTGTTTAGAGGGTTTGTTTTTTTTTTTAAATGGAGGCATGATTGATTAAATCATTGGCCATTGATGATTGAATCCAACTCTGTTAGTCCATTCTCATGCAGCCATAAAGGACTGTCCCAGACTGGATAATTTATAAAGGAAAGAGTTTTAATTGACTCACAGTTCTGCATGGCTGGTAGGCCTCAGGAAACATACAATCATGGTGGAAGGGGAAGCAAACATGTCTTTCTTCATATGATGGTAGGAAGAAGTGCAGACCAAAACGGGGAGAAGCACCTTATAAAACCATCAGATCTCATGAGAACTCACTCATTATCATGAAAAGAGCAGTATGGGGGTAACTGCCCTCATGATTCAATTAGTTCCCACCGGGTCACTGCCACGAGACATGGCGATTATGGGAACTACAATTCAAGATGAGATTGGGTGGGGGAGAGAGCCAAACCATATCACCAATCTCCAGCCCTGTCCCTTCTCCTAAGGTCCCCAGGTAGGACTGATAGTTTCAACTGTCTAATCCCATGGTTGATTGCTCTGGCAACCAGCCTTCATCCTGAAGCTATTTAGGAGCCCACCAAGAGTCACCTCATTAGCATAAACTCAGGTACGGTTGAGAGGGGCTTGTTATGAATAACAAAAGATGTTCCTATTACCCCATCACTAGGAAATTCAGGGTTTCAGAACCTCTGTGTCAGGAACCTGGGACAAAGACCAAATATACATTTCTTATTGTATCACAGATGTCTATGGATTGCTGCTCATATTAGCATTTTAGTGGCAAAAATGTAATGCCACTAAAGTATTGCTCACTGATATTTGTCTGATCAATAAAGTACATTGTATCAATGGTAAAAATATACACCACTCCCTCCACCCCATAGGATTCAGTAAAGTTACTTTCATATTCAATTTTAAAATGCTGATCATAAACGTTTATGTTTTTCCTGAGTTGGCTCTCAGCCAGAAAGGGTGGCTCACCACCAGTTTAATGTCACTAGTAGCCACATGTGTTTCCTGGAAATGTAAATTCTTGCACTTATTAAAGCAAAATTCTCCTTAGGGTACTATAAACAGATGTTGTGGAGGCATTACCCACATCAGCAGAGAAAACTTCCCTCTTCTTGCTCCATCAAAGAAGTCACATTGGCGATAAGCTGGGGTTCATTTATTCCTTCACTTAAAAAATACTTATGAGTGCAAGGCACTGGGATAGTCCCTGGAAATAAGAGATTAAACAGGAGCGATATGGTCTTTACCCTTGTTAAAAGAAAAATCTTCAGATAAATTTAACAGAGTTTAATTGAGCAAAGAGTGATTGTGAATCAGGCATCCCCGAACCAGAACAGGTTCAGAGACATTCTGGCATTGCCACGTGGTTGAAGAAGAGTTATAAACAGAAAAAGGAAAGTGACATCTGGAAAACAGAAATGAGGTACAGTAACACTAAATTAGTTACAGCTTGGTGTTTGCGTATTTGAACATGATTTAAACAGTTGGCCATCTTTGATTAGCCAAAACTAGGTGATTGGTACAAGAGTAGGTTACAGCCTGTTTACACATCCAGCTGGGTTGCACTTCACTATGTAGGGAGAAACCTTTAGTCTGAAATTAAAATATATAAGGAGGAAGCTTTAGGTTAAACTTAATTTAACACCTTCACGGACTTTACATACTGAGGTGAAAGACAACAACATACAAATGAGACAATTACAGATAGGGTTAGTCTATGAAGGAAACACTCTCAGTGCTGAGATAGTGAACTGTGGGGGTAGGCATGGAATTGCCTGATGGTCAAGGAAAGCTTCTCTGAAGAGGTGACATTTCAGCCCGATCTGAAGGATGGGAAGCCTTATGAGGAGTATGTAATCAGGCCCTGGGACAGAGTGTTGGAAAGCATGAGGTGGGAAAGGGAAAGATTGGAGAGTGGTAAGCTAAAGGGAGAGGGGCACAATGCACAGTTGAAGAGGAAGATAGAGACCATCCTTGCAGGAAGGCAGAGATCATCCATGCAGGAAGGCAGGGACCATCCATGCAGGAAGGCAGAGACCATCCAGGCAGGAAAGTAGAGATCATCCAGGCAGGAAGGTAGAGATTATCTGTGCAGGAAGTTAGAGATCATCTATGCAGGAAGGTAGAGGCCATCCAGGCAAGAAGGCAGAGACCATATGATGCAGGAAGGCAGACAATCCACGCAGGAAGGCAGACACCATCCATTCAGGAAGGTAGAGACCATCCAGGCAGGAGGTAGAGACCATTCATGCAGGAAGGCAGAGACCATCCAGGCACAAAAGCATAGATCATCCATGCAGGATGGCAGAGACCATCCATGCAGGAAGCCAAAGACTATATGATGCAGGAAGGCAGAGACCATCGAGGCACAAAAGCAGAGACCATCCAGGCAGGAAGGCAGAGATTGTCCATGTAGGAAGGTAGAGACCATTCATGCAGGAAGGTAGAGATCTTATCATGGTTTACCTTGTTAAGTCATGGTAAGGAATTGTGATTTTTAAGTACAATAAGAGATCATTAAAATGCAGGGAAGGACACTGTTTAGGGAAAATGCTATGAATAATGGGTTGCAAGCCTGGAATTGGGATGGGCGGTTTAGTTGGTATAATGCATGTGAATCACACTGCAAGTATGCAGCAGAAATGTAACTCAGAATCTTTTCTCTAAAAATTTAGCTTCCCCATTCTTCTGGGTAGTAGAAACTTTATCTAGAGTTCAGCTTGTATAGATTCTAGACAATTGAAGACAAATGCAGTCACTTCAGTGTTTATCATTTTAGGGCTTCACTGTTCCTCCTTCTCCTCTATTCCCGAGGGCTAGTTTTGGGGTTTATTTACATACCCTCAGGGCCCTGGGGAGCTGGATTCTGCTCCATGGACAGCGTCAGGAAGCCCAGCAGCTTCCCTGAGATGAGGTGTCTGTTGGATTTTTATCATATTTTCTTCCTCTTGCCAGGTTCTTGCAAATCAATAGACCCTAGATTATTGAGACTACCAACTCTGTTATGAATTTAAAACCGTCTGCTAAGAAACTCAATTGAATTTTGTCTTTTCTCTGCACTGAGGTAGGTACAAATGGAGGTCACTATGGGACAAACCGCAACAAGAAAAAAACATTGCAAATGATTCCAAGTGTTATCTCTACATTTTTTTTTCCTGGTGAAGCTTTGAATATTTTCTTATGCTATCTCCCAGTCAACTGCTCACTTCCCACCTCATTGTCTGGCAGCAGGGAGCTGGGGCAGAAAAATAGCAAATCTATTCTTTTTGTGGATCCGTTCTTTTCACGGACATGTTCGTGAGGCATCCATTGCATCAGGGAAGATTAGGACATCATAGCAGGGAATGCAAAGAGAAAGGAGCTTCTTTGTTCTGCTTTGAAGTATTCAAATAAGATCTTAAATATCAAAACAATAGCAACGTCTTGAGAGAAAAAGATGCTCTGAACCTCTACGAGCTAAGGCCCTGGACTAAACAGTAGGCAAAGAAGATGGGTCAGCATAAGCTTTCTCCACCCCTAGAGAGCAGGTAAGGATTTCCCAGGCTACAAGGGCAGAGGCGAAGGGATGAGTGGTGCCCAGGCCCCCATCGCAGAAAGTGGAGAGTTGTTGCTTCCAGAAAAGAGCGAGGGAAGGATCAAAGAGTGAGGCCTGGTTTTCTGTCAGGGGAAATAGTATTCCCCCGTGTGCACCCCTCACACCTTGAAGTACTAGGGGGTGGGGAAAGACAGAACCCAGATGAAGAACGGAGGTCCTCAGGTCAGAGTTAGGTTTCAGTTACAGCTGGGAGACAGGGAGGCATTTAGTTAAAAGGGTGAGGGCTGGGGACTTTGCTTTTCCTGGAATGTGAGTTTCAGGAAAGCCTGGGTGTCAGTGTTGTATGAAGATCGGGTCAGGAGAAACGAAGTGCATGGTTGGTAGAGAATACAGATAATCAGAAGGACTTAGGTCTTGGCCAGGAACCAGGGAACAGGACTGGGAGGCTTCCTGGGCTTATGTGACCCCAAGGGTTCCACCTCCAGTCACCTGGGAAGGACCTGGGTCTCCAGAGGAGCCTGGTGACTCCTACCAGCAGCCTCCTGTGACTGAGGGGGCACGAACGAGCTTATGGGCTCTAAGATGAGAATAGCAGTCATGGGCAATGAGTACTTCCACATCCTTCAGAGCGCCTTGTGCTTTGCCTGGTCCCTACAAGGTACGCAGGAAATGGATAATGAGTGAACAAAAATGTGGCTTCCCATTGAATTAGTTTGCTAGGGCTGCCATAACAAAGTACCCCAAACTGGGTGGCCTGAACAATAGAAAGTTATTGTCTCACATTTCTGGAGGCTGGACATCTGGGGTCAAGGTGTTGGAGGGTTGGTTCCTTCTGAGGGCTGTAAGGGAGACACTGTTCCCTGCCTCGCTGCTTAGCTTCTGCTAGGTGGCTGTCCCTTTGTGTTTGTTGGCTTGTAGGCACATCACTCCGCCCTCTGCCTTTCTGTTCAGTGCATTCTCTCTGTGTCTCCATCTTCACAAGGTCTCCTTAAAAGGTCTCCCACCATATTGGATTAGGAGCCCATCCTGCTCCTGTGAGACCTCGTCTTAACAAATTACATCTGCCATGACCCTGTCTGATGGGTCATATTCTGAGAAAGTGTGGGTGAGGACTTCAGCACCTGAGTTTTTGCGGGGACACAATTTAACCTGTGACACTTGTCTCCAGCTCCTCTTCTGCTATATGGTCTGAGCATCATCATTTGAACTACTGATATCATGTATGGAGTTAGTTTCACACTTCTCATGTGGAGAAATGTAGCTTTTTAAGTTTTCCTTTAGCTTTACTAGATTTCTACCGCTAGTCACTATGGTAACTGGTACAGGAAGCCCAATCTAGTCATGCCCAGGTCAACTCAGTCCAATTCAGTAATTTCTCAGTCTATTTGTTAAGCTCAGTCACATTCAGGTATTTCTCACTCCCCCCGACTCCTTGGTGGGACAAGACTGTTCTTCCCTTTGTGGGGATGTTGCAATGCAGTGGCACTGAGGAAGTGCTTGGGTTTATGGTCATTTGACCTGACATTCATGTTCTGTGTGCTGTCTGGTCTTGATCATCGGCTTCTCGTGAAGACCCCCCACCAGCATTTGCTGAAGCAGGTTGGGCCCACATCTTGGGACCACACTGCCATCCATAGCTGCATCTCACTCTTATGTCCGTAAGACTCCACCAAGCTCTTTCCCTGGAGCATGGGAGGATTTGATTGCTGTCCCCACAACTGCCCGGATATACAGGATCCTGGAAAGCTGCTCTCTGGCCCAGTGTTCTGGACCCTTCAAATGGCAATTGATCCTCTGTGGGTTTATCTGCAGGGCTTTCCAATGTCCCAGAGCTCCAGGTAGAAAGTCACCATCTGCCTCTTTTATTCCTGGATTTCCGGAAACATACTTGAGGGTTCAGCCATCTGTTTTCACAGGATTCATTGTTTATGGACTATTATTTCTTAGTCTGCCTTTAGTGAGCTGTAAGCCTCCTGTTCACCTCTGTGTCCCCTGTACCCAGCACAGTGTCTGACACATTGAAAATGTTTAGTAAAAATATGTTGAATGAACGATGCTGGAAAGCTACCTTCTGGAGAGAATATGTGACATCTGCGGTGTATGCTATGTCTTAGACATTACAGTGCAGTGGATAAATCATGGGCCCTGGAAGCAGAGTGGATCCTCATTCAGATGCCAGCCCTGCCGTCTGCTAGCTGCACCACCTTGGGCAAGTGACTTGAGCTCTCTAAGCCTTAGCTTTCTCATAGGTGGGAAACGACTTCATAGGTTGGGATTGGGTGTAAATTAGATAATGTATATAAAGTACTTAGCATGCCTTCTGGTGCTTAAGTAAGCACACTGTAAAAGGAAGCTTTTATTATTACATGACGGTGTTTTCTTTAGCTTCTGGGAACTCCTCAGAGCTTACAGATAAAATGGTTACTGTGAGCTCCAATGAGAGACCAATGTTGCTTTGCCTTAAATCCACGCTTGGCTAGTAGTTGAGTTGGGTTGATCAAGCTGAGCTCTTGCAGACTCTGGAAAGGAGGAGGTGAGAGCAGCCATGGCTGACACCTCCATGTTGGGTCCCCTGAGAGCCATGGCCATCTTGGGTTTGACGCTTGCACGTCAGCCTAAAGGATGCATGATCCTGGCAGCTGCTCGTGA